>NC_000014.9:39611713-40236713 GCF_000001405.40 Homo sapiens | reverse complement strand
TCCCAGTGGGTTCCTCCCACAACATGCAGGAATTCAAGATGACACAGCCAAACCATATAAGGGAACCATATCATGTAGTGACTGGGGGGCTTTACATTGGACTTAGTGCTGCCCTGTCATAGAGGAGAATAAAGCCATGCTAGGCTCAGCCAGTGCCTGTGCATGGAGGGAGCAGTTGGACCAGTCATAGCCAGAAGAGAATCAGCTACCCAGCAGTCAGAATTTGAGTTTCTCAGTAGGCCTTGCCACCATGGTCCAAAGTGCTTCAGGGTCCTAGATAAACTGTAAAGGCATGCCTTGGACACAAGAACTGCAACTCTCAGTGCTAGGGTGCACTTAGAGCCAGTAGACTAGGGTGGCATGTGACCTAGGGAGACACCAGCGGGCATGGCTAACAGAGTGCTTGCACCATCTTTCCCCCAACCCCAGGCAGTGATTCCCTCCACAACAAATGCATCCACTTCCTTCTGCTTAAGGAGACTAGAGTGAAGAGTGAAGAGGACTTTGTCTTACATATTGGATATCAGCCCAGCCACAGTAAAATAGGGCACCCTCCTAGTTCCAGGTGGCTCAGCATAGAAAGAAACACTCCATTTGTTTGAGAGACAGTAAGATGAAAGCAAGAGTTTATTCCAGATAACCCATAGATTTCTTCCCACCAAGTCAGTACCTCTAAGAGTCTGCAAATCCAGTGTTGTTGAGCTTGGGGCACAAGTCCATTCAAATACATGGAAAGCCTTCTCAACAAGGATAGGCACAAAGAAGCCCAGACTGTAAATACTACAATAAATACCTAACTGTTCAATGCCCTAGCACCAACAAACATCTACAAGCATCAACCCCATCTAGGAAAACATGCCCTCAGCAAATAAGCTAAATAAAGCACCAGGGACCAGTCCTGGAGAAACAGAGATATGTGAGAATTCAAAATAGCTGTATTGAGAAAATTCAAAGAAATTCAAGATAACACAGAATTCTATCAGATAAATTTAACGAAGAGATTTAAATAATTAAATAGAATCAAGCATAAAATCTAGAGTTGAAAAATGCAACTGAGATGCTTAAGAATACGAGTCCCTTAATAGCAGAATTGATCAAGCAAAAGAAAAAATTAGTCAGCTTGAAGACAGGCTATATGACAATACATGGTCAGAGAAGACCAAAAGAAAATGAATAAAAAACAATGAGGCACAACTACAAGATATAGAAAATAGCCTCAAAAGGGCAAATCTAAGAGTTATTAGCCTTAAAGAGGAGGCAGAGAAAGAGATAAGGGTAGAAAGTTTAACAAATGGATAATATCTGAGAACTCCCCAAACCTAGAGAAAGATATCAGAATTCAAGTACAAGGTTGTAGAACACCAAGCAGATTAAACTCAAAGACTACCTCATGTCATTTAATAATCAAATTCTCAAAGGTCACAGATCTAGTAAGGATCCTAAAAGCAGCAACTGAAAAGAAACAAATAACATACAATGGAGCTCCATAAAATTGACCACAGACTTTTCAGTGGAAAAGGCCAGGAGATAGTGTCATGACATATTTCATGACATATGTCATGACATATTTAAAGTGAAGAAAGAAAAAACCTTTTACCCTATAGTAGTATATCTGGTAAAAATATCCTTAAATTATGAAAAAGAAATAATGATCTTCCCAGAAAAACAAAAGCTGAGAAATTTCATCAAAACCAGCCCTGTCCTACAAGAAACGCTAGGGAATTATTGCAAATGAAAGTAAAGAATGTAAGTGCGCAATAAGAAATCATCTGAAGGTACAAAACACACTGGGAAGAGGAAGCATACAGAAAATACAGGATACTAGCACATATAATGGTGGTGCGTAAACTACTCTTGTCTTAAGTAGAAAGAATAAATGATGAAGGAATCAAAAATAATAGCTACAGCAACTTTTCAAGACATAGACAGTACAACAAGATATAAAGCGAAACAACAAAATGTGAAACCGTGGGAGAATGAAGTTAGAGTTTTTATTAGTTTTATTTTTGTGTGTTTGTTTGCTTGTTTATTCCATCAATGTTAAGTTGTCATCAGTTTAAAATAATGGGCTATAAGATAGTATTCATAAGTCTTATGGTAAGCTCAAATCAAAAAAACATACAAAGTATACACATAAAATAGAAAGCAAGAAATTAAAGCATGCCACCATAGAAAATCACCTTTACTAAAAGGAAGACACAAAGGAAAGAAAAAAGAAAGATAAGACCACAAAACAGCCAGAAAATAAATAACAAAATGGAGGGAGTAAGTCCCAACCAAGCAATAATAACATTGAATGTAAATGGACTAGACTTTTCCATCAAAAGACATAGAGTAGCTGAATGGATGAAAAGACAAGATACAATAATCTGTTGCCTACAAGACACACATTTTACCTGTAAAGAAACACATTGACTGAAAATAAAGTGAAAATAAAGGCATGGAAACAGATATTCCATGCCAATGGAAACCAAAAAAAGAGCCAGAGTAGCTATATTTTTAACAGACAAAATAGATTTCAAGAGAAAAAATTGTAAAAGAGGACAAAGAATATCATTATATAATGATAAAGGGGTCAATTCAGCAGGAGGATATATTGACTGCAAATGTATATGCACCTAACACTAGAACACTTAGATATATAAAGCAAATATTATCAAAGCTAAGAGAGAGATAGACTCAAATACAATAAAAGTTACACAGTTCAACATCCCACTTGCAGCACTGGACACATCTCCCCAACAGAAAATCAGCAAAGAAACATACAACTTAATCTGCACTATGTAACAAATGGACCTAATAGATACATTCAGAACATTTTATCCAATGGCTGCAGAATACACATTCTTCCCCTCAACACATAAATTATTCTCAAGGATAGAACATATGTTAGGTCAAAAAACAAGTCTTACAACATTCAAAACAATTGAAATAATATCAAACATCTTCTTTGATCATAAATAAAACTAGAAATTCATAACAAGAGGAATTTTGGAAACTATACAAACACATGGATACTAAACAATATGCTCCTGAATGATCAGTGGGTCAATGAAGAAAGTCAGAAGGAAATTTAAAAACTTCTTGAAACAAATGATAATGGAAACACAACATATCAAAATCTATGGGATACAGGGAAAGAAGTACTAAGACAGAAAGTTATAGCTATCAGGGCCTACATCAAAAAAGTATACATATGTAACAAACATGCACGTTGTGCACATGTACCCTAAAACTTAAAGTATAATAATAATAATAATAATAAAGAAAAAAAGAAGCAAAATTTGAAACACATAAACGAATGAGGTATCTTAAAGAATGAGAAAAAGCAAGAGCAAACCAAACCCAAAGTTAGAAGAAAAGAAATGAAAAGGATCAGAGCAGAAACAAATGAATTTGAAATGAAGAAAACAGTAGAAAACAACTATGAAACAAAAGGTTGAGTTTTTGAATAGAAACAAAATGAGCAAAACTTTAGCCAGATTAGCTAAAATAAGAAGAGAAAGAAGACCCAAAAAACAAACTGAGAAATGAAAAAGGAGACATTACAACTGATATGACAGAAATTAAAAGGATCATTAGTGGGTACTATGAACAATCATCTGCCAATATATTGGAAAATCTAGCATAAATGGATTAGTTCCTAGACACATACAACCTACCAAGTTTGAACCATGTTGAAATCCAAAACCTGCACAGACCAGTAACAAGTAATAAGATCCAAGCCATAGTAAACAGTCTACCAGCAAAGAAAAGCCCCAACCATATGGCTTCACTGCTAAATTTTACTAAACATTAAGAACTAATAACAATCCTACTCAGCCTGTTCAGAGAAATACAGGAGGAAATACTTCCAAACTCATTCTATGATGCCAGTATTACCCTGATACCAAAACAAGATAGAGACACATTTAAAAAAGAAAACTACAGGCAAATATTTCTGATGAATATTGATGTAAAAATTCCCAACAAAATACCAGCAAACCAAATTTGACAATACGTTAAAAAGATCACTCATTATTACCAAGTGGAATTTATCCCTTGGATGCAACCATGGTTCAGCCTTTGCAAATCAATCAATGTGATATGTCATATCTACATAACAAAGGACAAAACCATATGACCATATTAATGGATGCTGAAACAGCATTTGATTACCTTCAATATCACTTCATGATAAAAACCCTCAGAAAACTGGGTACAGAAGGAACATACGTCAGCATAATAAAAAAACTATATGTGACTGACCCATAGCTAACTATATATGACTGATCTCATCACACTGAATGGGGAAAAATGGAAAGCCTTTTGTCTTAAGATCTGGAACGTGACAAGGATGCCCACTTTCAGCACTGTTATTCATCATAGTACTGGAAGTCCTAGCTAGCTAGAACAATCAGACCCTTATTTAAGTAAAAGACCCCTATTTAACTTTTGTTAAGTAAAAGAACTCAAACAGAATTCCGTGCATGTGTGTGTGTGCGTGTGTTTGTGTGTGTGTGTGTAAAGGACCATATAGCTTATGTTTTGGCAATTATAGATTTACATTGTACTTTTAAAGGTATTTTTTTAATCACAAACTGGTTATATTGATGAGTATGAAAACTAATTCAACTGTAGTGTTTGGGACACTGAACTATAATTTAGTACAATTTAATTTAATTTGTAATTGAGAAGGGTATGTTAATATTAGCTTTATTTTCTTTTTTTCTTGAAATGGTATCTTGCTACGTTGCCCAGGCTGGTCTTGAACAACTGGAGTAAAGTGATTTACCTCAGGCTTCCGAGGGGCTGAAATTATAGGTGTGCACCATCATGCTTGGGAAAGCTTTTAAAGATCAAAATAATACATAAAGAATACTCCAGTTTCACACACCTTTCTATGATAAACACGAATTCTAATTTCCTTATCATCCCCCCAGAAATATCTCATCTATATATAAGCATATAAATGTTTGTGCTTGTGTGGTGTATGTTTACTGTTGTAATTTTTAAAACTATTATATAAGACAGGCATTAAAGACTGAGAAAAATAGAGCAGGCCCTATATGCTGATCATGCTAAGAGGCTAAGAAATATTTTGTGATTTAAAAAAAATCAGTAGCCATATCATGAGTTCTAGGGAGAAGTCAAAAGGCAGTATAATAGAAAGAATTAATTTAAATAGAGGCATTAGAATATCTCTCCATACCACCCCACTGATAGCAACAAGAGACGACAAATTCCTAGGCAGACAGGGATGGGTCCCTGGTAAAACTCGACCTTCAATCCAACTACAGTCTAAAGCCTGAAAACCAAGCTATCAGTTTTCCACCAGTTCCAGATAGAATCCACAGACTGCAGTGAGAATTTCCATTCCCGTCTTATCCACTCTCTCTCAATTGGTTCTTTCTGAATGATACCTTTCAACCAACTGAATAGTGCCTTTTCCAAGCTCACCCATAAACCAGTCAGCACACACTCCTCCATTCTAAGCCCATAAAAACCCTGGACTCAGCCTCACACATGGCTACTCCTACCCACTTTCAGGTCCCTTCTTGCTGTTGAGAGCTTCTCTTTCACTCAATGAATCCTACTCTGCCTTACCCCTCTCTGATGTTCATGTACGTTATTCCTCTTGGTTGCAGGACAAGAACTGGAACTCACTGGACTGCAAGAGTGAAGGAGTTATAATGCTCCTGCTCTCCAAGCTGTGGGTGGCTGGAGTAACAGAGCTGCGACACTCCTGCTCACAGAACTACAGGAGTAAAAAAGCCACAGTACCACCATCATCACTTTACCCTTTATTTACCTGGACAAGTCAAGAGAGTCCAAGAAAAGTTCTTAAAGAACTTGGCTAACATGAACATTGTGAAGTTGGGGTTCGGAAGGAAAAGCAATTTGGGTTGAAAATCAAGAACATGTTTGTAGTTGTCTTCCTGGAGGGAAAATGAACAGAGAAACACTGGCCATGACCACTTGTGCACTGTGGGCATGAGTTTTATGTTTTTGTATCAAAATTAAGTTTGAAGTATTAATATTATTTTGTACTGTACTTACAACAATCAGAAAATGACAGAAGCTCTTACATCCATGAAATATTTTCACCCAGGTGACGGAAAGTAAAGATCTGATATACCTTTTTTGAAGGCATTAATGTGGTGGGTGCTATTTTGTCATTATGTCACTACTGTTTAGCTCTTTCAAGGAACTCATTTCTCATGAGTGAATTTTTTTCTACAGAAATGGAGCCATAATATTTATACAGCTTTCTTCCCATTTTTCTCTTAATAATATATACTTTGGAGAAATTTTCACATCAATTCATGTACTTCTACCTCATCATTTTTCCTGATTGTTTAATAAACAATTTTATGGTTGTACTGTAAGTTATTTAACCAGATGCTTACTGATGACATTTAGGTTGTTTCCCACCAATTATCTTGCATCAATATTTTAATTAATATGTACAAAATGGGCACTTGTCCAAATAAAAATATATCTGTAGGATAATTTCCTACAAATTAAATATTTATCAAAGGATGGCAGTTTTACATTTTGATAGATATTGCTAAATTTTCCTCAATGGAAATTAGGAATTGTTGCTTTTGTTATTATTTTTATTTGAATTGGTTTATTGTCTCATGTTGTTGAATGTATTTGTGTGTTTGATTACCATTTATTATTAGATAAATGCAAGGTACTTTTATTTCAGTTGCATTTTGTTTAGGAGAAATTAGAGGTGCCTACTATCTCTTAGCCAGCCCCAAACTCTATCTCAGAGATCCTGATCTTACTAAGTGGGCAACAGGCCAGTTATCCCACTTTGTTTGACATGGTTGATTACTCAAGAGTTGGACAGCTGATTCACACTGGACCAAACAGATTCTCCTCTGCTTCAGATTGAAATCAGAACTGAAAGACGCTAGCTACTGTCTGTTTGGTCTTTATAGCTTGAAACTGCTGTCAAGATTGTCTATACACTGATTTCTGCCTTTTGCATCAGGAGGCAAGAAAAGTCAGTCTGTAGAGATGGAGGGAAAATAAAGCAACTGTGCATTACAAAGCAGAGGTGCAAATCCACATATCTTCAGAACAAAAACAAGAGGTGTGAGAGGGAGGGAGGAGAGAGGGAGGGAGGGAGAGAGGGAGGGAGAGAGAGAGAGAGAGAGAGAGAGAGAGAGAGAGAGAGAGAGAGAAAGAGAGAGACCTAGACCTAGCATAGCAAGAAAGCAAGAAAAATTATTTGGTTTTGGTACAATCTAATGTCTAGGCTTAACTACCTTTGATGCAAAGCTGCAAAAATACCCTGTTTTCTGAGCTACTCCCATGTTCTTATAATAATTCTCTAATAAGAAAATTATTAAGCTGGCTTATAAATTATTAAGCAGGTTTATGTGACTCTATATTACTTATAACTAATAAATTCAGAAACAGACATTGTAATAAATCAAAAGTTTGTTTCCTGATTACTAAGAGGAAATAACCTTAATGTATGATTAGCAATTGTTTCAAAAAATATTCTTAGTCACAATGTACTGAAAGATTGATATCAATATCCTGAAAAAAGCAATAAAAATAAGTCTAAAGCAAGATGATAGAAAAGTAAAAGGTAGATACAAAAAGTAAAATGAAGCTATATTACTATGTGAACAGTTTTTGCAAGTTCAGTGAATCATTCTATCCCATTCATTTTCTTCTTTACTCCAAGAGAAATTTGTTTTTATTTGTAAAATGTTCCACAATTGAGATTTGCCTAGTTAGTTTTTTCAGTATTAGCTGCAATGTTGTACCAGGGTAATAAAAAGATCTAATTTACATTTAAAAAGAGAACGTGTGTAGAAAATGGTTCAGTAAGGTCAACAAGAATTCTACTGGGTTGGCTCTTCATAAGTTGTAAGAAGAAGAAAGGAATCAGTTGGTGCAACTAAGTGGAGGGTAGTGTCACTTACTGAGATAGTGCAGATTAAGAAATGAGAGAACTTGGTCAGGTGTGGTGGCTCATGCCTGTAATCCCAGCACTTTGGGAGGCTGAAGTGGGTTGATCACAAGGTCAGGAGCTTGAGACCAGACTGACCAACATGGTGAAATCCGTCTCTACTAAAAATACAAAACTTAGCCAGGTGTGGTGGTGTGCACCTGTAATCCCAGCTACTCAGGAGGCTGAGGCAGGAGAATTGCTTGAACCCGGGAGGCAGAGGTTGCAGTGAGCCAAGATCGCGCCATTGCACTCCAGCATGGGTGACAGAGTAAGAATCCGTCTCCAAAAAAATAAATAAATAAGTAAATAAATAAAATAAAAAGAGAGAGAGAGAGAACTTGGTTAGGAAGAGACCAGAATATTGTTTAGAATATGCAAAATTTAAGGTAACTATTAATCAGCTCCAGGGAGAACCAAGGAAGGCAATTATTGAATAAATGTGTTCAGATTTCTGCAAGGAATTTATGGCAGGATATAAATATTTCAGAACCATGATACAGAGAAGGATAGCTGGGAGCATGCTTAAAACCATATAACTAAATAATCATAACCAGAGTAGTAGAAGAAAAGAGGCCAAGGAGAGAGGCTGGAGAATTTCCATATTTAGAGATCAAGTAATAGAAAGGAGACATTAGAAGAAACTGAGAGAGAACATTGAGTAGGAGGAAATCAAGAAGAAATTCACACTGGTGTATAAAATGTGGGATAAAAAACTGGAGAGTGGCAGGGTGGGAGGTGGTTGAGGGATAAGAAGTTATTTAGTGGATACAATGTACACTATTCAGGTGATGGCTACACCAAAAGCTCAGACTTCACTACTACACAGTATTTCCATGTAACAAAACTGTACTTGTAGCCCTAAATCTATATAAACACAATGGAGTACTATTCAGCCAAAAGAAAAAAAAATGAGATCATGTCATTTGCAACATGGGTGGAACTGGAGGACATTTTGTTAAGTGAAATAAGCCATGCACAAAACGACAAACTTTGCATGTTCTCACTCATTTGTAGGAGCTAAACATTCAAACGACTAAACTCATGGAGATAGTAGAATGATGGTTACCAGAGCCTCAGTGGGGCAGTGGGAACGGGGAGGAAATGAGAAAGATTAATGGGTACAAAAATATAGTTAGGTACAATGAATAAGTTTCAGTATTTGATAGTACAACAGGTTGACTATAGTCAGCAATAATTTGTTGTACATTTTTAGAATAACTGAAGGAGTACAATTGGAATCTTCATAACACCAAGAAATGATGAATGCTTGAGACGATGGATACCGCATTTACCCTAATCTGATTACTACACGTTATGCCTGTATCAAAATATCTCATTTACCCCAAATATATTCACCTACTGTGTATCCATAAACATTAAAAAAGTTTAAAAAGTAAAAAATAAAATAAAGTGTCTTAAAGAGGAATTGTCAATGATAATTAACGTTGCTCGGAAGTCAAGTAAGATAGTAAGAGAACCATGACAATCTGATATGTCTTGATTAGCAGTTCAGGAGAGTTGCTGGACAGAGTCCCAGATGGAGTTAGCTGAGGAGAGACTTTAAGTGATGACTTATAAAGAACAGTGAATATAATCCATACTTTTAGACTTTTTGTTGGTTTTTTGAGAAAAATGGAGTACCAATATGTAGCAATAGCTTCAATAAAATATGAGTTGAATAGGTTATTTTGTTGTTTGCTTGTTACTTTTATAACTATGAAACAACTGGTTATGTTACTACTATTATGAGAATGAAGTAGGAAAGAGAGAAAGATAACAGCAGAAAAAAGAGAATAACTACAGGAGCAAAATGGTTGCAAATGAAGTAATTTTGGAAGCCCATGCTAGAATGAGTGGTATTCTTAGAACAACTTATTGGTTATCCGTTCAAATCTGTGTTATGGGTTCAAATATTTGGTAGATGGGGAAATACCAGAACTCCTGAAAATGTATGTGATTATTTGGCTGGAAAGAGAGGTTAAAAATAGATACAAGGCTACTGGTACCAAGGCTGCCAGGGAATGTGGAAGAAGGGAAGATCATGTTCAGAATAAGTATCACAGTGCGGTTTTGCATTCTTGTAGCAGAACAGTGATGTGGTCAGCTTGGTTGTCATCAGGTAGATGAGAAGCCAAGACACTAGAAGGCTGTGATTTTCTAGAACTTTCCTCCATAGGGCTTAGTACTAGACAGAGATATCAATAAAATGGGTTAGATTCAAAAGATGTTCTAAGGTTTAGAGCATCTACAAAGTTCTAGATACTGTATTTGGTAAAAGTGAAATTGTAACTCATTAGAAATGATCCATATAAAGATTTAAGGACAATTCATTACTCACATAGGAAAAAGCATTTTTAAAACATTTAAGTTCAGGTGGATTAAAAATGGAAATGTGAAAATTAAAACAAATGTACAAATTAAAAGTAGATGCACATAATCTTGCAGTGAGGAAAGATTTTCTCAACTAGAGGTAGGCAAAAAATCTTCAAGAAAGTATGTAAATTTTACTACCAAAAAATTCTCATTTCTATCCATTAAAATAATCTAGAAATTTAAGTACAAACAATAATGTGAAGGAAACAGAAACACACAAACATTATATATCTACACATACATACATATGTGTATATATGTATGTGTATATACATATGTGTGTATACATACATTATATATGTAATATACATATTACATATGTTATATATTGCATATTACATATTACATATATATGTATATACATTATATATGTAATATATGTATACATATATACATATGTATGTAGTGTATATACATATATAATTAATAATTATATATACTACATATACACTACATACACATATGTAGTATGTAATGTATGTATATATACATTATATATGTAATATATGTACACATATATACATATGTATGTTTATGTGTATATACATATATAGGTATATCTATACATATTACATATATATGTAATATATACATTATATAGATATATGTATATATGCATATTGCATGTTATATATGTATATATGCATATTACATATGTTATATATACATATGCATATTACATATATGTTATATATACATATGTATATATGTGTATATACATATGTTATATATAATATATAACATATAATGTACATATACATATATTACATACTACATATATGTATATATAATGTATATATAATGTATATATACACATATATGTAATATATAATGTATATATACACGCATATACACATATATGTAATATATATATGTATATATGCACACATACAGTGACAGGATTACCAGTTGCACTGTTAAACTTAAGAGATTTTTTAAAGTAGTGCAGTAACAAATAGGCAAATGTCACAATATGCAAATCAAGCATCTATAAAACGATAATCAAAACTTTACTTTTTACTTTAATGGAAATATTTGATATTATTTAACATATGATAAAAATAAATGTTGACTATATGAGGAAATAGTCATTTTCACTAATATTCAAAAAATTGAAAAAAATAAATCATTGGGTGTTCTTTTTTCCTAGCCATATTACAAAGAGAGAAAAAAAAGAAAATATGCTGCCTTGATATAATTTCTGGGAAATGTGTGCTGTCTTAATTTTTTGATGAAAGCAGAAACTAATGTGCAAGGTTTACAGTAAAATTTCACAGCATGCATCAAGAGCCCTAAAAAAGTTCAATCTTGCATGTCGCCATAGTGGGATCCTTAGGCTTTCAACATAGAGCAACATGTACCAATGATGTAAAAACTCATGATTAAATACGAAACATTCTGAAAGTCCAACAATAAAAGCATCTAGGTAAACTGTAGTACATTCATATAACGAATAGATATCACATTATTAAAATTATATTTATTTAAAATTGCCATCTTAATTCAGTGTCAAGTCAGTGCTATAAATGTAAATGTACACTGAGAACAAGAAAGAGGCAGAGGCAGAATGAGACGAAGTTAACAAAACAAAGGGAGGAGAGTCACAAAATAGTAATAAAAGTGATTTCTGGTTAAATAAAAGTATAATTTTTTTTCCTTAATAATATCTACATTTTTCAAATATGCAATAAGTATGTATTAAATAAAGTAAATAAGAATAAGCTTTATCACTCATATATAATATTATATAAAATCTTTGCAAAAATAGCTAAATCTAAGCAAAGAGTGGTTTCTTTTTTAATTTCAAATTTGATTTTAGATTCAGGGAGTACATGTGCATGTTTTTTACATTGGTATATTGTGTGACACTGAGGTTTGGGTACAATTGATCTAGTTACTCAGGAAGTGACTTTAGTACTTAATAGGTAGTTCTTTTTAGGCCGCATCTTCCTTCCTCCTTCACCCCTTTTTGTAGTATCCAGTGTTGGTTGTTGCCACCTTTGTGTCCATGTGTACCCAATATTTAGGTCCCATTTATGAGTGAGAGCATGCAGTATTTGGTTTTCTGTTTCTGCATTAATTCACTTAGGATAATGGACCCCAGAAGCATCCATGTTGTTGCAAGGAGCATGTTTTTTTTGTTTTGTTTTTTGTTTTATGACTACAAAGTATTCCATGGTGTATATGTACCAGAGTCATTAATTTCTACTCATCTCAACTTCTCATTTAATTTTCTTCTATACTCAAATCACCTATATATGAAGGATTACCAAGCAAAGAAACTACAGTTCTTAGACAATAGAAATCATTCTGTGGAAACACCACTGTCACTTTTACCTATGAAATTTAAAAATCAAAACCTGCTTTCCAACAAAATAAATATGTTAATTTATAAACTCAGTCATATCACTCATTTATTGACCAAGAATCATAGTTTACAATAAAGCAACAAAGTAGAGGCCTTCAGGAGCGGAAAACAGCTTATAAAAAGTGACGGTTGTATCCAAAATGTAGCTAAAGCCAAATGTATTAAAAATAATTTGAAGGTTTAATATAATGGATTTTTTTCATTTAATCGCTTAAGAGATGAACATTTCACTAAAACACCTTTTTAAAACATCACATTTTCAAATTACATTTTTCTACTTCAACCTTGATAAACTCCACTGGACCCATATCTACTTATTTTATAATTGCTGTTTTCCCGTCATTCTCCATCTTCTATTTTGTAAATAATGAATAATTATAATTCTATATAATCTCTTAGCAAAATCAGAATCATAATTTTAGGGAGAAAGAAGAGGAAATTTAAGTGGGGATAATGTTTTGAAGGCAATGAGTAAGGCATATTTTGGAGTGCAGGTTTTCTGACTACTGGCATAGTGTTCTACACAATCAACACTACATCTCATTAACTAGTAGTAAAATGAAATGATTATGACCAAAGTCATTTTAAGCTGTTTCTCTAGTGGCAATACTGCATTTTGTACTTTCATAACGAAGTGAAGGTTTTCAGATTCAGAAAGAAACGTGTTATTCTGAAGTGTTACCTAAAAACTTAAAAACTGTCAGTGTCTAGATGAGTGCTTCTAAAAACCATGGACATCCCTTTGAAGATCTCCTAGGATCCTCCCAAAATGACCAGGGCCAAAAAGTGAGGGATAACAGTAGTGACGACACCACCAAAATGAGGTCATAGTCAGGACACCATTTAGTGGGCATGTTTACCATGAGACAAGCATGTTACATTTGCATTTTATATTTTCCAGAGCACAAATCTGTGAGAAGAATTAAAAAGAGCAAAGATGCATCAGGAAAAAAAATGCGTATCATAACAGTCACAAGTCCTATTAATTTCTTCCTCCCATTAGTCTATGGAGATTCAAGACCACTATATTGCCATCTCCTTTCTTGTCCCCTAAAATAAAAACACAATAAAGTTCTAGGGATCTAAGAAATTTTTTCAGGTGTCATTTATGCAATTAGCCTATGGGATTTAGAGATAATATATTTTTATTTGTTTTAATAATGTCCCTTTATTCTGATAAAAGTAACAGTATGTCTTTGATGCCTAACGAAAAGGGCTATCCCACTGCCAACTGTCCACATGCTGTCTATTCATATCTGTGTTGAGCTTTCTGAGGTCCATATTTGAGATACCGCAGTCCCTTTGCTTCTTGATTTTAGCTACTCTCTTAATTTGTGTCCTGTTTTGTCTCAAGTATCCCTAACTCAGAAGCTTCTTGTGAGATTGACCTTGACTTATACCTTCACTTCTGCTTCCTTTCCTAATAAGAACCTAGATCATATTTCATCCTTTAGGCTGGATCTTGGATGTGTGAAAATGGAGAAAAATATGTTGAATTAAAATAGACATATTTATTGTGTAAGAGTTAAGTAAATAAGATTTTGTGTTTGATAATTAGTTTTAGAAGAAAAGTTATAGTTACATAATCCACTATGGTCAGTGCTATGACTTTGTTCTTCTGCTACACTGCTTCAATTTGAAAGTCAAGTCAATTATCAAAAAACTGAGTATATTTAGACATCATAAGATTATGATCAAATTTATTTCAATGATAAGCATCTTGTCAACTGGGAGAAAGATAGTTATTCAGAACTTGGACACAAATGTTATGGCATGACTCAGATAGATCGTATCCTTATAGATTATGAAAATTATGCAAAAGGAAAAAGTGTCCAAAGCATAGTTGCATAAAAGCTAATAAATAGAAATATGTCTTGGAAAAATAGAGCCTAGTTAAGAAAAGTTGAGCCTAGGAACAGATCAGACCTAGGCAAACTTAAGGGATAAAACAATAAGACAAGAGCAAAGGTCAGAATTTACAATTCAAGGAATCTGATAGGCAGTTATCTCTTCTTTTTCCTAAAAATATCATTGGACTGTCAGAAGGAAAATAAAAGTACAAACACATCCATAGCCCTAAAAAAGAGCTGAGACATAAGTCATTAGCAAGTATAACACAGAAGAATTTCTGGAAATATAAGGTAGATAGAAGAGAATTAAAAGAAACCCATGAAAACGTAGGAACTTAAATCCACTCAGTGATCAAAAGGACTTTCTAAATAGTGAGTTATTAAACAAAAATCTTATAATCTTTTTAGGAACAGAGTAATCAGGATACAAAAGTACAAGCAGAATTTGATTTTGTCAGTAGGGTGGCTGTGAAAAAACTGCAAACCAGTTGTATCAGATTTCATCATAGCTGCCAATAGCTTTTGCCCTTGGGCAGTAAGGTGGCAAATGGACATGAAGTTTGCCAAACAGGTTGTTTGGGCTGGAGATAAAATCAAGCAGAGGCCCAGATTAATTCTGGACACAATGGTATATGCACAGCCTGCACCAATAAAGTAAACTGCCTCAACATCCTATAGAAAATTGACAATTAGAAAATCTCATGCAACCCTCTCCTTCCCAATAATCAGAATGAAGATTTCTACGATTATAATCTGAATTCATTACTGTAGGAAGAAATTATACTTATGCTGATGATACTTCAGCTGTCAATAGTATTCATTCTAAGTCCTCATTAATAAAGACAGACAATGAAGATTCTACAATATATAAGGAAACCAATGGATGCAATGTAAATATCCAGTTAAAAGAACAGAAGAATGAACCCTTGAAGAAGTAGTTAATATGGAAAATAAAGCATAATTGTATAATCATTATAGTTAGCAATGTTCAATGTTCAGAAATATTTAAAAATATTCAAAGTATATTGGGACCCATGATGCTGCATACACCAAAATAATATGAAAAGATTTTTTTACTTATACAACTGGACTTTCTGGGAAGAGTAAGGCAAGTTCAAGCTGGTCTGACTGACTGGCAGGAGCAAAGCTGGGTGTGGGTTTTATTATAGGTAGGAAGTAGGGGCAGAATGAGGGTGAGTGCCCAGGAATGGTTTGGCATATTTATTGGCTTTTTATTGTGAACAATAATAAAATTTGCATATTTCCACTTTTTCCCACCTCTTTTCTCCCTTTTTCACTACTTAATTTTGTATTATTCTTTCTTAGTTGTTCCAGTATTTACTTTGTATCTTCAAGCATATTTATAGCTTGGCTACTTGATGAATCAATTGTAAGTCATATATTTTAATCCCTGGCTATGAAGAATGGAGAAAATCTACTCATATATCATACCTCTTCTAATTCCTCCTTCTCTCACTTTCTTTATTAGTTATATTATTTTTACATTGTCATCATAGAAGACATTTAAATTCTTCTGTACAATACGAATAATTCACATATTTGTTTCCATCTCTCCCTTTCAGGACATGAATTCAAGGCTGGCTACCAGTCCTTTCGTCATTGTTTATTCAGTTTTCTCCTCTTTGGCCAAGGAACAGTTTTCTTCAAAAAGAGTCTATGGATATTCCATTCCTTTAATTTCTTGCACATGTAAAAACTTTATACATATATCATTCATATTTGAATGGCGATTTAGGTGTGCATAACATTTTTAGGCATTTTTGCTGAGAAATTTAGGGACATTACTCCACATCCTACATGGGATGTGTATTTTAAAAACGATAGCTGGCACTGTTATTTCCCCCCTGGTGTTACACTCACTTTGCCTGGGTACTAAAAATAATTTTCTTAATATTTGACAAAATCATCACCAGACTTGTCTGTTAATCATTCTGCATGAATTTTTTCCCTAGGACATAATATATCATTTGAACCTATGAATTCAAGTCTTTTATTTGTGAAATTTCTCCTTGAAATACGTTGTTAGATGTTTATTTTCCCTTCCAATTGTTAGGTTTATTTCTTCAGGGACATTAATTATATTTAATATAGGATAATTTGTCTTCCATACATACTTGTTTATTTCAAACCCTTTAAAATTTGCTCATTTCCATTCCTTTCCACTCATGTTTTTCAATCTTGCCCTTCATGACTGTCATTATATTTCCATAATATTTCTTTTCATATATGTCACTGCGTTACTGTCAATGTTAACTTCCTATGATTATTTTATTTTTATCCTCTAAGTATTTCCTGGCTCCTGTTTCTCATGCTATTTCTATGCCTGTGGTGGCACCATATCTCCCTAGGCTTTTGTTTCTCTGCCATGAATTTTTGATGGTTTCATTGAGTTGTACTCATTCACACTGGTATATTTAATCACAGTTTACTGGATCACTGACAAATTTTTCCATGAGTTTTCTTTGTCCATTTATTTTTGCATATGTTTCAGTCTTGCCTTTTCCTTCCTTTCTCCGTGTAGTATATTTGCATTGGCTCCTTTTTTGATAATAACTTGTCTTTGAATGCAAAGAAATCTTTCTGTATCAGCATTTTTCACATTCTTATTAGACAGGAACTAAAGTAATATTACAAACTAGCAAGAATTCTCCCTGGGTTATAATATAGGATTGTCTGAATGTCCAGGATGCCTTAACTTTATTTCTTCCCATTAAAAAGAGATTTAGAGCTGTAGTCCTACATATAATATAGGATCTCCTTCCACGCCACATTTCCACTGCATTTACTCTTCCTTCCCTGGTACCCATGGGAAAAAAAAATCATATGAAGCTTTCAGCCTGAAACACATACCTGTTTCTTGAAACAAAAGGTTGTTGTTTTGCTTCTCGGTGTAAGAACTGCTCAGTCAGCTTAATCCAAGATTTGTAGCCATTAAAGACCTTCTGAGCATCATTCTTGCCCCTGTGGCAGCACTTTTTTATATCTGATTGTTACGAGTAAGAAATGTCCTTAGTTTAACAAAATGTAGAGCTTGCATTCCTGTTTCTTGAGTTTTTGTTGTTGTTACTGTTGTTGTTTTCTAAAATAGAGAAGAGCACCTGATAAAACAGGTATCTCTAAGCTCATGTTATTCAGGAATGACCTCAGACGCAGTTTAGCATGGGATATGAAAGCACTGAAGCCAAGTTGTTTTTATACAAGAGAGTTTGTTGGTGTTTCATTTAATTATTTGCTTCCATATCTAAGAAAACTTTAAGTAATATAGTCTTTTGACTTTCTTTTAACTAACCTTACTGTGTGACCCCACGAGAAGCAGCCTGCTATAAGAGATCAAAGTTCAAAATGTCAACAGTGACCCACAGAGAGCTCTGTTGCCCAGTGCAGAACATTACTAAGTACTCTTAATACATCACAGCTACGGGTATTAATATGAGCAGTCCTTGTAAATTTGAAACTGGCTCAATGATCCCATTGAACTGAAGTTTATGGTTTCTTTTGAATAAACATACAAATTTACCCTCCCAGTCTTAAAATTAAAAATATTACATTTGTCTTGTCTGAGTTCCTTTCTCAGGAAACCAACCCTCATGCCCCCTACATAGTATCAAGGAAGTGAAACTTACCAGATCACAGCATCCGGACAATGAGACACCATACCCCCCACTCATCGTGATTGCCTATCCAACCACCTGCTTCCTGTTGACCAACTCCTCTTCCTTAGCCCTCTCTAATTCCTGTTTACCCACATATAGTTTTATTCCTCCCCCACTACATAAACTCCCAGTTTTAGTAGATCAGGGAAATGGATTTGAGACTGATCTTGCATCTCCTCAGCTGCGCGGCACCCAATTAAATAAAGCCTTTGTTCCCCGAGAATTCTCGTTGTCTCCTAATTGGCTTTCTGTGTGGAAAGCAGGAGAACTTAGACCAAACCCCTGGTGTTTTGGTAACAAACTGATGGATATTGTTTACAAAATATTAAGATGCATACTACATACTTCGTGTTCACAATCTTGTTTAAAATTTACAATTACTAGCCAGGTGTAGTGGCTCACACCTGTAATCTCAGCACTTTGGGAGGCCGAGGCAGGTGGATAACCTGAGGATAGGAGTTCAAGACCAGCCTGGCCAACATGGCAAAACTCCGTCTCTACTAAAAATACAAAAAAACTTACCCAGGCGTGGTGGCACACGCTTGTAGTCCCAGCTACTCGGGAGGCTGAGGCATGAGAATCACTTGAACCAGGGAGACAGAGGCTGCAGTCAGCCAAGATTGCGCCACTGCATTCCAGCCTGGGCAACAGAGTGAGACCCTGTCTCAAAAACAACAACAACAACAAAAAGCTTACAATTACTATATGGAGTAACCACTATATTATCATTTTACAAAAGAAGAAATTCAAGGCTTAGAGAAGTCTAGTAATGTTCTCAAGGCCACACAGGAAGTAAATAGCCTAGCCAGAATTAGAATCCTGTTATACTCCAAGACCTGTAATGCCCATCACTTACTCTACAGAATATCCAAATGTCTTTTAATTATTTTCAAAATTGCTTCTATTATTCCAGTCACGTGGAATCATAAAAGGTAGACTTTAAAAGTCATCCTAGATTTCTGGGGGACTTTATTCCATTACATTAGCCCCGCCAAATATAAATGTAAAATTGATGGCCTAAAACAGTGAAGTCATCTCCCAAAAAAGTGGCCCAAAGAAAGAATTGTATGTATTTTCTCCTTAGAGTAAGGAATCATCCTTTGTTTCCTACACAGTGGCTTAGTTCTATTCATTGTGAGAGGTGACAACCTGCCAGCAGCCCTAGCTCACTCTTGGCGCCTCCTCTGCCTCGGCATCTGCTCTGGCCGCGCTTGAGGAGCCCTTCAGCCCGCCGCTGCGCTGTGGGGGGCCCTCTCTGGGGCTGGCCGAGGACAGAGCCGGCTCCTTCTGCTCCGGAGGAGGTGTGGAGGGACAGGCGCGGGTGGGAACCGGGGCTGTGAGCGGCCCTGGCGGACAGGTGGGGCTTCCGGGTGGGTGCCGCGTGGAGCCTGCTGGGCTTGATCGGTGGCTAGGTCCTGATTGTCCACGATGGCGGGTCTCTTGTCTCTTTCTCCCTTTCCCTCTTTTCCTCTTGGTTGTCTGGGATGACTCCCTCTGGGCTGCCGGACTGCCCAGACTAGGTGCCACAAAGTCCCCTGGAGAGTGCTAGTGAGAGGTGAAGCAGGCTGGGCTTCTGGTTGGGTGGGGACTTGGAGAACTTTTCTGACTAGCTAAAGGATTGTAAACGCACCAATCAGCCCTCAGTGCCTAGCTAAAGGTTTGTAAAGGCACCACTCAGCACCCTGTCAAAACGGACCAATCGGCCCTCTGTAAAATGGACCAATCAGCAGGATGTGGGTGGGGTCAGATAAGCGAATAAAAGCAGGCTGCCCCAGCCAGCACCCGCAACCCACTCGGGTCCCCTTCCACACTGTGGAAGCTTTCTTTTTTCGCTCTTTGCAATAAATCTTGCTGCTGCTCACTCTTTGGGTCCGCACCGCCTTTATGAGCTGTAACACTCACCGTGAAGGTCTGCAGCTTCGCTCCTGAAGCCCTGGAGACCACGAACTCACCTGGAAGAACAAACAACTCTGGACGCGCCGCCTTTATGAGCTATAACACTCACCGCGAAGGTCTGCAGCTTCACTCCTGAAGTCAGCGAGACCACGAACCCTCCAGAAGGAAGAAACTCCAGACATGTCTGAACATCAGAAGGAACAAACTCCGGATGCACCATCTTTAAGAACTAACACTCACCGTGAGGGTCCACAGCTTCATTCTTGAAGTCAGCGAGACCAAGAACCCACCAATTCTGGACACAATTGTGTCTATAATGGTAAAAGAAAAATAGGTATATAGATATATGTGTGTGTGTCCATATGCCTGTGTGTATATAAAGATATGTATGTGTGTCTATGTTTATTATGTCAACACATACATATGTTATACATGTAAGCAAGAATGTTATTTTCTGTTTGAACATCTCTAGCTCCTTAAAATGTTACTTATATCTAAGGTAACCACATGGCTTACACGAGAAAACTTTTGAGAATAAAAAGGGGCATTAGCCAGGACATACAACTGGGTAGACAGGAGCAAACTGAGACAGTCCCAGACATGCTCATATGTCCTACCTATTCATATATGTAGTGCTTCTTTTTGTTGTTGTTTTATAGGCCACAAACTCAGGTATACAAAAATGTACAATATCTTATCTACAATTAAGAGCTCTTAGCTAGCTATACAAAGAACTCCTAAAAATTGACAAGAAAAATATGACAGCTGAAAAAGAATAAAATGCTTTGAAATGGTAAGTTACAGAAGGAAAAAACATCACGTAATAACACATATGTTAAGAAATGCTCAAACTTCCTAGTTGTCAGCAAAGCACACTAAAAACTAGCTGTGAACTTTTATTTTATATGTACCAAAATGACAAAAATTAAAAAAAGAATTATAGTACCTACTGCTGGTTGGGATTTAAGACAATTCACATTGTGGGTGAAAAATATAAATTGTTATGGCTCTTTGGAAACTAAATCTAGCAACATCCACTATAATAAATTTATACATAATTAGCAATCCCACTTTTAGATTTCTATCCTATAGAAATAAAAGTGCTAGTACCTAAACACATGTACCCCAAAATTTTTATCACAGAATTATTTGTAGTTATAAATAAATAAAAACAAAATGGTCACATACTAAGTAAGATAATGGCTAAATAAATTATGATAGAGTCACACTATGTAATATGAGACTATCAAAAACATAAATTACAATATAAAATTTGTTCTGGGTTGTTTTCCATGAGGTATTGTTGAATGAGATGGCCATTGTGCAGTTCAAAGAAAGTTCTAGGGTCTGAGTAATTGTTATTATGACACTATAAAGAAACATAAAATAAAAAAACAAAAAACTTGGCACACTTACATCTATCTAACTATCTAAAATACTGTGAGGGTATGTGCTCATATAAGGTTCAGCTTCATGAGGCAGAGTACAGACAGATACCCACCAAGTTGTTAATATGAATTACGAGGGTACTGAAGTGGAGGTTTATGTGAATAGAATTCGAGACAGTGTGGGGGGGTCAGAATGAGGAAATAAGTAGCATAGTAGTTCATAATAAAAGTCATGAAGAACTTATAGCTATCTCTGAATTTACAGACTTCCATGATTTAATGTTGCAAGGAAATGTATGCAGTATGTTCAGACTTTTGTTGAAAGAAATAGCTCAAACTTTTCTCTCTAAACACTCTCTTTATATATAAAATACTTGTTTATGTACATGTAAGCAGGTAGAAGAAAGGTGTTCAAAGATATCCACAAAATTGTTAACACTAAATAGCTCAAAGGCTGAGAGGTAAATATTTTTGACTTAATAAAACTTGTGCTATTTTTGTGCTATTTTATACTAACTGTTACTACAAATATGTATTACTTTTTTAAATTTGAAAAACATTTAAAAATATTTACTCTACGTTAAATTCTGAAAGTACATCCTAGCAATATTGCACACCTTTAGGTTATCTGGAATCTACATCAGTGACCTCTACACCACAGTGCAGATGCCCTCACTCATGTAGTTATATATTTCCTCACTAAAACACTGGCATACTTCCATATATCTACCAATCTTTAAGAAATCTTCCTTGGTTCTTGGATTGAACAGTAGTGTTATGCCACTGAAATATTAGTGTCAATTTTTTTTATCTCCCTTAGTTCACAGCTAGTTTTTCTTCTCTTCCCCTGCTTTCCACATAACTGCACACCATGCTGAAAACCGATTTTAATTTATATTTGCTTCATCTTAATTTGTTAGTGTATCCAAGCTTGCTCTTCCACAATAGACTATCTGGATTATCTTTTAGCGGAAAAGCTTCATAAATTATGGAATGTAAATATGCTGAACATATCTACCTTGAAAATATGACTGGGTCTAAAGGAATATTTACTCCTGCATAATAAGGCTCTATAGACTCTTCAGAGGCCACATTTGAGAAATTAACACTCAAACCAAATGTATATATTCCATAGACCTACTTCCTGTTTTGGTGTAAAAGAATAAAGAAGAACTTTACCTCTATGGTAATACCAAGAAAAAAACTGGAAAATATTTGAAAATTATATCAGTCTATAGGGTTATTTATTAGTGGCAGATACAAGAAAGACTTGATGAACAGGTTTCCACTGAAGCATTCACAGGCAATCAGCTTCCTTCAACAGCTCTGGGCAAACACTAGATCTAGGTCTAGGTCTAGACAAACATTCAAAAAATCCAGAAACTATACCCAGTTCAGAAGAGATCTGACAAGATATTGACAACTGTTAAGTAGGCAGGAATACAAAATTTTTTTTGGTGTAACACTTCTCCTGATCTCACTCCTCTTCAGTTTCACTGAAGTAATAAAGGCAATGATGTTGAGTTTGAAACACATATAACTTACATATTTGAAAAACTCTAACACTTATTCTAATAGTTTCAGGAACTGTAAATGTGATGACAATACCTCTCTAGACCCCACATTCAATAAAACAGAGTAATTGCTCCATAGCAGTGGCAGCTCCCAGCAGCAACCTGCAGCCACCAAACCGGATGTCTTGGACTGGCCTAGCCAGAAATGAGCTTAACCTTTTTTTTTTCTTTTCAGTGATTTGGATGTTGTTTTTTTTTTTGGTTTTTGTTGTTGTTGTTGTTGTTGTTGTTGTTTTGAGACGGAGTCTCGCTCTGTCGCCCAGGCTGGCATGCAGTGGCGCGATCTCGACTCATTGCAACCTCTGCCTCCCGGGTTCAAGCGCTTCTCCTGCCTCGGCCTCCTGAGTAGCTGGGATTACAGGCATGCACCACCATGCCCAGCTAGTTTTATTTGTATTTTTAGTAGAGACGGGGTTTCTCCATGTTGGTCAGGCTGGTCTCAAACTCCCGACCTCAGGTGATCCACCCGCCATGGCCTCCCAAAGTGCTAGATCACAGGCATGAGCCACTGCGTCAGGCCGAAATGAGCTTAATCTTAAAGCTTTTTAACTCAGATGATTTCAGTCATTCAACAACTGGTAAAAATTAAATGATTACTTTCTCACTGTAACCAACAGACACAAATAATGTTCGTACACTCTGGGGAAACACAACTAAACAACGGTGTACTCTGACCTTCCTAGTTCTTCTACACACAATGTATGGTATGCAGTATAAGAATTATAAGCTATGTGAACCAGCAAAAACTGGACTTCACAATGAAGGAAAAAAAATCAAAAGCATCTAACTCACCGATAAACTACATATTGGAACTTGCAAACATGAACTTTAAAATAACTAACTAAATAAGTACAAGAATTGACAAACAGAAAGTATCGATAAACAGATGGTGAATCTCAACAGAGAAAATAAAACTATTAGAATAAAGAAATTCTGTCATCTGCAATACAAAATGGGATTAACATGAGAATTAAACTGAAAAAGAAACAATCTGTGAATTTAAAGACAGGTCAATAGGTGTTATCTTAAAGGAAGTACAGAGGGGGAAAAAAAAAGCAACTGATCAGAAAGCCAATTACCAGTGGGAAAATACAAGGCAATTTAGCATATGTGTAATTAGAAAATATATCATTGTTAACTGAAGTTTATGCCGAGAATTCAAGGTTATATTAACATTCAGAAATCAATGAACGTAATGTATCACATTAACAAGAATAAAAAAGATAAATCACGTTGTTTATCAGATGCAAAAAAGCATTAGACAAAATCTACCACTCATTAATGATAAAAAGTCTCAGGATCTAGAAATAAAACTACCTCTATTTGAAAATTTGAGTAATCTGTGAATACCTTTCCACTGACATCACACTTATGGATGAAATATTAGACATTCACCACCACTAAGATTGGAGACAAGGAAAGGTAGTATACTTTTTCACCATTTGTATTCAACATTGTACTTTTCAAAGGTCCTAGATACTGCATTAAAGTAAAAATAAGGAAGAAAGGGAGTGAGCAAAGGAGCAAAGAAGAAAGAGAGGGAAAAGTAACAAGGGAGGAAAAAAGTAAGTATTTTTTTCTGCAGACCAAATTATTTACATCTAGGAAATATTAATATATTAAAAATTCTAGATGTAATAGGTGAATTCAGTGAGGTCTCAGGATTTAGGATCAATACAAAATCTGTTGTATTTCTACAAATTAGCAAAAACAGTTGCAAAATAAAATTTAAAAATCAGTATCATTCATTATATCACAAAAAAATAACATTTAGAGCCATATATAATAAAACCTGAGCAAGACCTCTACTCTGCAAACAGGAAGACTTTCTTGAGAAAAGTTAGCGATGACCTAAATAAATATTGTACAGATATCAATTATCCCCAACTTAATCAAAGATGGCATGCAATTTCAATATCTGAGGAGGCTTTTCTGCCATTACTGAAAAACAAATGCTAAAATTTGTATGGAAGTATAACGAACCTAGATAGAACAGTTAAACATTATTGAAAAATAAAGAAAATTTGAGGATTTATAAAATCTGACTTCAAGACTTATTATAAAGCTACACCAACCAAGTCTGTGATATGGGCATAAGATAAACAAATAGATGCATGAAACAAAGGAGAGCCCATAAATAGCTCTACATAGATACAACTGAATTATATGCGACAGGCAACAATGTAATTCAATGGAGAAAAAAAATCTTTTCAGCAATTGGTGTATTGGAACAACTGAATAAAGAATAGATGAAAAAATAAATCTCTTCTTGATGCATTCAACATAAAAGTTAATTTGAAATGACTCATAAACCTAAATATAGATGCTAAAATTATAAAACATTTAGAAGAAAGCATACCAGTGTTATAGTGAGCAAGATCATGAATGGTAAGTAAGAGTTTATAAGCCTTTGAGAGAAAACAGAGATCAAATTTAAAGAAAAATAATCCATGCTAAAGGCCTCAAATGTAAATCCACTGTGTCAATAGGAAATCATGAGAATATAGCGTTATTTCATTAGTAAGTACTGTCTTGTGCAAGTTGTTTTGCTAAGTGCAAAGGACAAAAGGTAAAATACCATACAGTACCTCTACATCAGGAACTTTCATTACAATGGGAAAAAAGGATATAGGGAATGGCACACAATGCAATGAAATTAAGTTATATTAAAGTTAACTATAATCTCTATGAAAACAGTGAGAGCCTAGGAATTAATTCTATATCAATTTCTTGCAAGATTGTAAAGATTTCATAGGATAAACAGGTTGAGTCTGGTGGCAGAATAAATTACATGTGAAAAAATTCATATATGAACGTGTGGGGCTATTCACAAAACCATTAGCATTTGACATGGCTGCAGGAAGCGTGTTTGGGAAAGAGTAGCATTAATTGAGAGTAGAAAGGAAAGTGACAACACATTTGTGAATGTCAAGTACACCATGCCAAAAAAATTAAGATATATTAAATGAATGGTCAATTTACATATTTTTAATATTAAAAATCCTCTGAGGGATGTTTTATGTTTCCTATTTTACACATGAGAAATCAAGCTAAGAAAGTTTTGATGCATACATATTAAGTACTGTTATGTCTTCTTAGAGAATAGACCTAATTATATAATGACCTTCATTATCTGATTAATTTTCTGATGAATGTTCTGTTCTCTAGCCTGCTTTGTCTGAAATTTATACATAACTACTACAGCTTTCTAATGATTACTGTTAGTGTGATATATCTTTCCCTATCCCTTTACTTTTAACCTTTCTGAGCCTTATATTTGAAGTCATTTCCTATAGACAGAATATTTGCTTGTAGTATTTATCCATTCTGACAATCTGTTTTTATAAATTTCTGTATTTAGACCATTTGCATTTAAAGTCATGATTATCAACCATGTTTTTAACTGTTATTCATTGCACTTGTTCTTTGTTTCTTTTTTTCTCTTTTTCCGTCTTCTCAGGTTTTAATGAGTATTTTATATAATTTTATTTTACATCTTCTTTTAGAATATTAATTATATTTTAAAAAAAAATTTATTGAC
This sequence comes from Homo sapiens, assembly GCF_000001405.40. Taxonomy (NCBI): domain Eukaryota; kingdom Metazoa; phylum Chordata; class Mammalia; order Primates; family Hominidae; genus Homo; species Homo sapiens. Next base: position 40,210,089 of record NC_000014.9, on the reverse strand, counting down.
TTCCCTAGAGGCTACAATGTACCTTAACCAATCTAAGTCCACCCTCAAATAAGACTATGCTGCTTCACATGTAATACTTTATAACAGAGTATTCTTAATCCTCTCCTATCATTTGTGACATTGATCTCATTCATTTATTTCACTTATTTATATGCTATGGTCATCAAATATATTTTCTTTAATATTATGGTAAATGAAGTTCTCTTTTATATCAATTAAGAGTAATAAAATAAAAGATTTTGTTTTAGCTTCATTTATTTCTTCTCTGATGCTCTCCCTGTTCTTTATACATATAATGTTTCTAACCTGTATCATTGTTCTTCTCCCTGAAGAACTTCTTTAACATTTCTTTGGGCTGGTTCATTGGCAATAAATTACCTGTTTTTGTTTGTCTAAGAAGGTCTGTTTTTTTTTTTCAAGATTTTCTCTTTACAGTTAGCTTTCTGTGGCTTGCATATGACATGTTTAGATGTAAATTTTTGGTATTTATACTTCCTGGTGTTCTCTGAGCCTCTAGGATCTGTGGCTAGATGTCTGTCATTAATTTTGAAAACTTAGCCATTATTACTTCAGATATTTACTCTGTTCTGATCTCTTTTTCTTCCACTTTTGGTTATCCAATTATACACATGTTATACATTTATAAATTGTCCCACAACTATTGAATGTTCTGGATCACTTTTTCCAATTCTTATTTCTCTTTTAACATGGAATCTCTCTATGGGGCTATCTTCAAGCCCATTGATTATTTCTTCATTTATGTCCAGTTTACTGATGAGCTCTTCAAAGGCATTATTCATTTCTCTTCATATTTTTTATTTCTAGAATTTTCTTTTTATTCATTCTTAGGATTTTATTTCTCTGCTTACATTACCCATTGTTTTTTGCATGTTGTTTACTTTTTTATCAAAACCTTAAACATATTAATTATGGTCATCTTAAATTCTCTAATAATTCCAATACTGGTGTCATATCTAATTTTGGTTCTGATTTTTGCTTCACCTCTTTAGGTGATTTTGTTTATTTATTTATTTATTTATTTTTCTTTAAACAAGGCTTGTAACTTTTCTGTTGAACAATAAACATGATTTATCTGGCGATAGGAACTGACATAAATATGCCTTTAGTGTGAGGATTTATTTTAATCTGGGTGGGACTTGGGCTACATTTAATGTTTGCTGTAGTTGTAGGTGTTATAGACTTTAAATTTATTTAGTTTTCTTGTCTCCCCCGTTGCCTTTGGGTGCCCCTTTTTAGATATAGTCCATGTCCTGCAGCTCTGCCAGCTGCAATCCAATGTTATACTCGAACCCTGTTGGTGGAGTGGTAAGATATGAGAGAGAGGAAGCTCTTTATAGCCTTATAATTAAAATCAGTCTTTTAATGGACCTGTGTTCCAGGGTTGTGACCTTCACTAATGTTTCTTAACTTCTCTTAGGTGAGGTGGGAAGTGATAGGTGGGTGAAATCAGGAAAATATCTTTACCTCAGGTGGAACAAGGCTTTGATAAGGGTTTTTGGTTTACTTTTTCTTCCCCAGGGACAGTCAGCCTTTGTTATGGGAAATGTTCTAGGCATATTTTACGTGGTAACTTTTCCTCCAACCTTTGCCAGAGCCACTAGGGGATCTTTCTCAAATCTCCACAGTGAAGCTCTGATGGGGTTCCTAGAGTTAAAACCCATAAAAGTGTTAGGACTCCCTAAGCCTGTGGTTCCCAGGAGTTTTGTCATGCTAGTCCACACCCAGGCTGCAGCAATTCATCAAAATTACATTCAAATGTCATTTTCTGTGTATTGCTTCAGTGGCTTCTGCTTTAACCAGAAAACCAGACCTCAGTTGTAACTCCATGGATTTCCTTGTCTTTCCAGATTTCAAGGTGACTGTTTGCCTTGTGACCTTAGTTCCCTGATGAGTCCCAAAAAAAAAAATAGTTCATTTTTGGTTAGTTTAGCTTTTTTTCTCATGGTAATAAGCTTTTTACATATTAGTGTTAAAACCAGCTTAGGGAATTTAAATATCTACAAAATTGCCATTAAGTTTATTATTTTTTCCTCTAAAACCATGGCCTGAAACATTATTATAGAACTGCCCACATTTTTAGTGTAACAGTAGCCTGATAAATTAATTTTTATTACCCTGATGACAAAGCAGGGAATGGGCTGACATACCTGGAAAAGGGAAGCAATAGGAAGCTATTGGAAAAATAATCTTTGCAAGATTGTGAGAGAGGATTGAATTAGGTAGAAGTAAAGACACCAGAAATTTAAAAATGGAGTTTAAGCACAGAAAAATATGAAGTAAAATCAATATTTAGTTGTAGCTAATGAGGGAGGATGAATCAAGGCCAATTATGAGAATTCTCATTTGGACAAGGTGTCTACTTGAAGATTATCCAAAACAAAGTAACAACTACATTCTTATATATTATTATAATTGACCCAAAAGTATTTTCTATGGACAAATAACTAGTGCTGATGAATAATCTCATTGAGGTTGTCTTGATACAACTCAGTTAACAAAGCAGATGGGACATTTATCATACATTTATTATATGAATCAGAAAAATAACTTTTATATTTGAGTATATTATATGTTTAGAATCTCTGAGACCATATTCAACTACTTAGTATTAAAATTATCAATAGACTGAGAATTGCTCTTGCTTACTACTATTTTGAAAAAAAAAAGTAAATTTAAAAAACCTACTTTTATTACCAGAAAATAGATGATTTCAGGTAGTGGTAATAAAGCCTGTAGAGGCTCAGTAACAAACATAAAGAAAAATCCTTCTGGCCACCACTTTCACACTCACTATGTTGGACTTGTAAATCCTGACACAACTATGACAAAAACTCCAAACAGAGAAAATATGTTTCTCCTTATCTCCAAAATTAAATACTTGTATGTTTTGAAGATCAATCCTAGGGAAGTTGTCTTGATGAGAAAGATGCAGAGTGGTTCTTGTAGACAATTAAAATCAGCAAATAGAATGAACTCCTGTGCAATCACACAAAAGAAGCAACACAGGCATTTTATCCAATGCACTCCCAGATATACTAGTTAGAGGACAGGCTAACCTTTACTAAAAAATATTTCTCCCTTATGTCCAGAGGCATGTGAGCAATCCAAGAAGAGCAGTGGAAATTAGTCCATGAAGTTTTCCAAGGACCTAGGTTCCTTCTATCTGTTTTACCTTTTCCAGAGTGATGACTCCTCATTAAAGTCAAATCCAGGTCACCAGCACCTTATCTGCTTTCTAATCTGCAGCAAGTAGAAACAGAAAGTGTAGGGTTTCCGCTTTTAGGAATGTGATTTCTAACTACAATTGAACCTAACACTTCCATTCACTACCAACTGATCAGAGTGCCTTCACCCCAACTAACTAAAAAGGGAGAATGATGAAATCACCTGGACCTGAACAGCTATCATACAGGGGAAGGTGTTTTATAACTAACAAAAGAGGGGCATAGGAAGGATCACATGTCAATTAATTCAATAAAATATTGTTTGTTAATTACTCTGTTAGTTTGCAAGCCACATACTGAGAATATAGAGGTAGAATATATAATTTTTGCTCTCCTGAAGGTCACAGGCTAGCAGAGGAGAAAAACAAATAAAGGCAACAAAATATAGATGCTGCTATTAGTAATTACAGTATCCTAAGAAGATGGAGAGGTGATGGACCAAAGGAGATTTTTCCTGAAGGAGAAGATAAAGAAATAATGAGAGAAAGGGAAGAGTTAAGATTCTCGAAAGCCTTGGATATTCAACAAAATAATTTGAATTTTGCCCTGCAGGTCACTATAAGCCATGAAGAAAATTTAAAGCTAGGACATTAGATTATTAATTATGCATTTTCAAATATATCATGTTGATACTCTCCCATCTCTGAGGAGAACAATTTAGAGGGTGTGACATTGGAAACAGGGAAATTTCAGATAAATTGTCTGATATTTAAAAACAGATCAGCTGGGAATTACTTGATGTCAAGAAGCCTTAATGTTTCATTATATGAGCAACCAATGTGTACATTCCTCCCTTTCCAGGAGGATCTGCTTCAAGTAAAGTTTAGGGAAGGTGACTTGGGGTTGGGAAGAGTCTCAATTATTTCAATTATACTTAGACCACACAGTTGACTGCTTCCAGATGAATAAAGTATGGCTCCTACTGAAAATATATTGCCAATTCCCTACAGCCCAGAGTAGTCTGAGAGGAGTTTAACCCCTTACTTACATAGTTTCTAAATTTTCCTTAACATCATACACTTTTTTAAACTGGAAGTTTGATATCTAGCTAGCAAAACAACGTAGTGAGAAAAGTCTTCTTGCAACTACAGGGTAAATATGCTATTACCAAAGGCCAGGGAAAAATTCAGAATAATGTTAAATCCTTTGCAAAGGTGTTTTCAAAGGTTCTCTCCATTTCCTAGTCCAACTTCTCTATGCTGAGGACTGTGTTCCTTTTTTTTCCTCCTTGGAATCTGTACCCCCTTTTCAATCCTCCACTGCCCTCTTGAGTAAAACTTCAATTCCACTAATCAACAAGTTTTCTTGAAGCAGTTTTCTCCCACCCTGAATGTACCATACATTTATTTGAGTTCTAATTATTCTCTCTAGAATATCACTATGAAGGCTCTTCAGCAAATCAGATCAGTATGGACCTTGGGTACCTTTCCAAATCTCCACAAAAATATGAGTAGTAAGTAAGATTTCTCCCTACTCCTGTCCTTTTCAGGCCTTCACTGTGTAAACCTTGAAAAAAAGACACATTCATACACATTCAAACACACACGTATACACACAGAGTTTCTGGAATAAAGTCTAAATTCATAAGAAAAAATAAATTTATTTTTACAGGCAACATAATCTCGAAAGATTTCCCCTGCTCACAGAGTAATTAGCATTTTATAACATTTTTGCTTAGCAGCTTAGGTTCCCAAACTAGGCCTTAGGGCCTACTTATTTATTGATGGCAGCGACCTGTCTAGAGCCACTGCTGTGAAGACACCAGCTGCAGTGGGGGAGACACAGTGGGGCTTTTCATGCCACAGAGCCTGCAGGAGACTGGGACAGGTGGAAGCCCCGCCCCCTTCTGAGTTGGAGGAGCTGGACCTCTGCCCTCCTAGGCCATGGCTGCAGATCTAGGCATTCCTATGCTCTCGTGGCCTGGGAAGCACCGCTTCCCCTGCAGGCTCAGAAATGCCTACTCTCTCTGCCCGGCCTTTCCCTGATCCCAGCACCCAGTCTGATTTTGGAGCAGAGTTAAGGCCAAGCCAGGGCCCTGTTACCACCCAGCCAGGTGTGCAAGCACTCAAGGCAGCACTGACAAGCCAGTCCCCTGCTGCCTCAGCCCCCTCCAGACTTTGGGTATCAAGAAGAACGTGAGGGAGGCCGAGGAGGCTGAGTGGGGCTCAGCATGGGCCTGCAGGCACTGCTCGGCACAAACAGACTGAGTGCTGGGGACAGCAGGCTGATGGCCGTGAGAAGCAGACAGGCTCCTGGGTAGGAAGGAGCGGATCCCCAGTGGAGCCCCACGTTTGGGCCTGGGATGGCCTGAAGCCTGGGGTCTAGGCTGCCAGTTCTGCAGACCAGAGTGAGAACTTACAGTGCTTTTCCAGCCCCACCCATGACTGCCTATGGACAAATCAGCACGTTCTTTCTCCCCTCTGAAGCCCATAAAACCCCCTGGACTGAGCTAGACTCAGGCAGATGTCTGGCTGACCTGCCTGTGAATAGGTGCTACCCACTGCAGGTCTCCTGTCAGCTGAGGGCTGCAGACTCCACAGGATGACCTGCCTGTAGAGAGAAGCTACCCACTGTGGGTCTCCTTTCTGCTGAGAGCTGCACTCAGTATGACCTGCCTGTGGAAAAGAGCTACTCACTTTGGGTCTCCTGAGAGCTGTACTTTCACTCAATAAAGCACCTCATCGCCTTACCCTCCAGTTGTCTGCATAACTCATTCTTCCTGGATGCAGGACAAGAACTCGATACCCACCAAATGGCAGGACTAAAAGAGCTGTAACACAATAGGGCTGAAATATACCCCTCACTCACCATGTTGCTGGCAACAAGAAGAAGCGAAGAGAGAAGGAGAGAAGAGCTGTGGCACTTCGGGGAGCCCAGATCTAGGAGCTCCCCGAGCCAGGACTGTGACACCCTCTTTGGGGCTCTCTGTTTCCTGGCATCTCCAAGCTTCCAAGCACCACCACATTCCCTGGTGTCAGCAGTGGAAGCTGCTTGCAGTACACTTGGTCCAGCTGCAGCTTCACAGGGAGCCAGCACCAGTGCCGGTACCTGGAGCTGCCCACCCTGCTACAGCTGGCATGCTTGGCTGCAGTGGCTGTTAGAGGTGAAGCCAGCTGGGCTTCTGGGTCGGGTGGGGACTTGGAGAACTCTGTGTCTAGCTAAAGGATTGTAAACGCACCAATCAGTGCTCTGTGTGTAGCTAAAGGTTTGTAAACACACCAATCAGCACTCTCTGTCTAGCTAATCGGGTAGGGAACTTGGAGAACTTTTATGTCTAGCTAAAGGATTGTAAAAGCACCGATCAGCGCTCTGTGTCTAGCTAAAGATTTGTAAACGCACCAATCAGCACTCTGTCAAAACGAACCAATCAGCACTCTGTAAAATGGACAAATCAGCTCTCTGTAAAATGGACCAATCATCAGGATGTGGGTGGGGCCAAATAAGGGAATAAAAGCAGGTCACCAGAGCCAGCGGTGGCAACCCACTGGGTCCCCTTCCAGATGTGGAAGGTTTGTTCTTTTGCTCTTTGCAATAATTATTGCTGCTGCTGCTCACTCTTTTGGTGCTCACTACCTTTATGAGCTGTAACACTCACCATGAAGGTCTGCAGCTTCACTCCTGAAGCCAGCGAGACCACGAACCCACCAGGAGAAATGAACAACTCTAGACGCACCACCTTTAAGAGCTGTGACACTCAGTGCAAAGGTCTGCAGCTTCACTCCTGAAGTCAGCAAGACCACAAACCCACCAGGAGGAACAAACAACTCCAGATGCGCCATCTTTAAGAGCTGTAACACTCTGCGAAGGTCTGCAGCTTCACTCATGAAGTCAGCGAGACCACGAACATCTGAAGGAACAAACTGCGGACACACCATCTTTAAGAACTGTAACACTCACCCTGAGGGTCTGCGGCTTCATTCTTGAAGTCAGCAAGACCAAGAACCCACCAATTCTGAACACAGCTGGACCCCATGTTTGCTCACTCATGCACCCCTCAGCACCCTGCACCTGGCTCGCCCTTGGCAAGCATGAGAGCGAGGCTGGTAGCACCAGCAAGTGCAGCTTTCCAGGCTAAGTGGATGGAATGAGCCCAGCAGGCCTGAGCAAAACTCAGGCAAAGATGCCACCAGCCACAAAGGTTTCTGGCTAGTGAAGTAACACCCTGTGACATTATAAGGAGGAAAAGTCATTAAACTTTGTTCTTAAATGAAAAAAAATTTACTTGTAGTCTCCATTCTTCACAAAATACATGTGGAAGCCTTGAAATTTTCTTTTAAAATAATTTATGTTAGTATTCTCTCCTCTGTTGTTCTCTGTTAGCAGAAGGAAAATACATTTTAAACATTATGCTCCCTCCTGCTGGTAGCCCAAATCTAAACTGAGCATCAAGTTTCATTCTTCTTCTATCAATTACTAATATTTTATAAGATATTTCAATTACTTGCAAACAATAACATAAGCTATTCTAGAATACATAAAGTATCATATTTCTGTGGAAAGAATAAGAGTAAAGCCCATTTTCAAGTAGTAAATATCCCAGATATTCCATATACCCCCCAAATATAGAAGTTTATAAGATGTATGTGTTTGTTTTGTTATAATGGCAGTAAGAATCATGGGGGCCTCTAAAAGTAAACTGGTATTTTGGTAGAAAGTTGTAATTGAGCTGCAATGAAGTACTCTTTGCAACACATGTTTTTGCAACAACTGGATATCCATATCTTAAAGAATAAAATCAGGCCCCTACCTCACACCATACACAAAATTTAACTCAAATGGGTTATAGGCCTAAATATAAGGTTTAAAACCATAAAACCCTTGGAAAAAATATAGCAATAAATATTCATGACCTTGGGATAGACAATGATTTATTAGGTAAGTCATCAAAATCATGGCAATAAAATTATAAATTGAACTTTATCAAAATTAAAATCTTTTAACTTTTCAACACTATCAAGATAATAAAAATATTATCTACAGAGTGATAAAAATATTTGCTAATCATAAGTCTGATAAAGGATTTATACCCATAATATATAAAGAATATATAAATAATTCATAAACTCAATGATGTAAAGATAACAATTCAATTTCCAAATGGATTGTTGTCAAAGGATTTGAATGACTATTTCTCCAAAAAAGACATACAAATGACCAATAAGCACATGAAACTATGCTCAAAAGCATATACAATAGAAAAATGCAAATCAAAACCACAAGGAAGTAGCATTTCATACTCACTAAAGGGTTATCTTAAGAGAGAAACATACAATGCATATTGACAAGAATGTGGAAATCTAAAATATTTGCTGGTGTGAATGTACATTGATAAAACCATTTTCGAAAACAGTTGTACAATTTCTCGAAAATGTTAAGCATAGACTTAGAAATTCCATTCCTTGGTATCTACCCAAGAGAAATAAAAACGTATGCCCACATACAGACTTGCACACTAATGTTCACAGCAGCATTATAAATAACAGCCACAAAGTGGAAATATTCCAAATATTCATCAACTGATGAATGAATAATCAAAATGTGGTATATCCATACAGTGGAATAGTACTCAGCAGTGAAACAAATGAAGTGCTGATAAATGCTGTAACAAGGATTGCCCTTAAAAACATGCTAGGTCAAAGAAGCCAGTCACAAAAGATAATATATTATTGCATTAATAAATTTATATAAAAGCTCCAGAATAGACAAATCTCAGAGACAGAGAGTAGATGAGTAGCTACTTAGAGCTGAGGGGAAAGAGGAACAAGGCTTGAATGCTAATGATATGAGGATTCCTTTGAGGATGATAACAAATGTTTAAAATTTTAGTATGATGGTGGTTGCACAACTCTTAAAAATGCTAATAAATATTAAATTGTACACTTAAAATAGATGAATTTTTGGTATATATGTTGTAACCGAAGAATGTTTCTTAAAAATAAAATATTGTTATCCCTATTTTGATACGATGTAAAATTCCTTTCTCTCCCTCTTTATACATTTGTTCCTGATCCCTTGCTTTTCTTAGCATATCTTTGTTCCCACCAAATGACTCAGTACAGATAGAAATATCAACTTCTTTTATTAGACTTTTGGCATTTGTACACGAAAAAAAATACCACGCAGGGAAATATCATCACAATTAAAAAACATAAAGGGGCTGAGCACAGTGGCCCATGCCTGTAATGCTAGCATTTTGGGAGACCAAGGTGGGAGGATCACTTGAGCTCAGGAGGTTGAGGCTGCAGTGAGCCATGACTGTGCTCCTATACCCCAGCCTGGGTGACAAAGCAAGACCCTATTTCAAATAAATAAATAAAAAGTATAAGAGATTATACAATGATAACTACATAAAACATAAGATAATCCCCTTCTTTCTGAAAGATTTTTGTTTGTTCTACTCCTCTGTACTACCCATACCACCACCACCAGCATGCATGCATTTACAGATGATCTCCAAGAAAGAATGTCCATCATTTATTAGACACATTTAAAATGGTTTGTAGGAAACCTTAAAAAATACAGACAAAAATATAAAGCTGTAAGAAACTAATCAATTTCACTTCTTGGGAGAGCACATGAAATCAAGTTGTACTCCTCTTCTGAGAGAATGCAATGCCCTCAAACTGAAAGACAGGGGTAATGCGTGCAATATGATAATCTAAATTCTACTCCAGTACAGTAAAATTTAAATTTTACTCCAGTTAAAACCCAAATTAATGCCTCCCACCCAAGTCTCCAGTTAACATCTCATTTTTCTGCCTTACAATTCTGCTATAGTTCATCTGATGGAATATATTTACATGTTAAAATAGAAATGAAAGAAATTCCATAGGTTCTCTTTAAAAAAAAAAAAGTTTTGTTTTAACTCATTAATGTTTTCCATCTTATTTCTTGCTTTCCACTGGAAATTTTTGCCCTGAGCAATTTTGACAAACAAAGTTGGACAGAGCTTACTAGCTTATATTATTTTTTAATAAAATTAAAACAGACAACTTTGTAGGAATTGCAGATTTAGAAAATTATTATGACAATTATAATTTACTAAACTGACATATTTCATCTACAGGTATATTGAAGAAACAGAATATTTGATAAATTATAATTGCTTTTATTCTCTTTCATGCAGAATGTAATTTATAAAATTTCTAAGATTAATACAAGTTTATAATCCTTTTACTAGCAACTATCTTCTTAAACAGCACAAAGTTATTTAGATCAGATTTCATAATCTTTCAATTCCTCTATATAGAGGGAATTATAAAAAATATTGCTGTGAAGCAGGTTCACTGTGCACTGATTACCAACTTATTTGAGTTTTATTATTAATACTTACAGTTAGGCAGCAAGGAACAACAGAAGCCTAGGACTCACTGTGAGCTGGCCCAAGGCTCAGGAAAGCTGCCCAGGGCAGGTGAAGTCTCCTCTGGGTATTTCCCACCAGAACCACAGAGAGGGGAGCATGGAAAGCAGCCCGCCATTCCCATGTTTGATATCTTGAGGTCATGTGAGTTGCTGATTTAAAGCATTGAAGAACATCCTCCTTTTAGGGTGGAACTGGCACTGAGCCCATGCTGTTCCAGTCAGTCTCTCCTTATCTCAGGGATGTTGCACTCCTAGCACATTGTACAGTTATTCTTAAGAACTACAAACAAGAAAGTGGGGAGAACTGGGTCATTCCAAGGCCACCCTGGGAAATGTCCTGCATTGCTGGAGGTCTAGGGCAATAAAAGGAAATACTAACATCTTGTTGCCTATTTTAATTGGAATCTGAAAGCTGTCTTTATTTCTTACTTATCCAACAGAAGATCTTCTTGAATCTTCCTTTTCTTATTCTCCTTCCTCTACGTTATCAAGATACCTCATCTTTGGTGCATTTTTTTATTCTAAATTACTTTTTTTTCTTTTATTATTATACTTTAAGTTTTAGGGTACATGTGCACATTGTGCAGGTTAGTTACATACGTATACATGTGCCACGCTGGTGCGCTGCACCCACTAACTCGTCATCGAGCATTAGGTATATCTCCCAATGCTATCCCTCCCCCCTCCCCCCACCCCACCACAGTCCCCAGAGTGTGATGTTCCCCTTCATGTGTCCATGTGATCTCATTGTTCAATTCCCACCTATGAGTGAGAATATGCAGTGTTTGGTTTTTTGTTCTTGCGATAGTTTACTGAGAATGATAAATTACTCTTTGGTTTTATTTTATATTTATAAATGCCTTCTCAATTATCACATGAAATTCTCATGCTTTATTTTGGTGTTTTCATCATGTCATTTATATTAGAATAAGTCATCTACTCATCAGTAGCATACTTTTTAAAACATATAATTTTTGCTTTAAGATCTGGGGTACATGTGCAGATTTCTTACATAGGTAAACTTGTGTCATGGGGGTTTGTTGTACAGATTATTTTGTCATCCAGGTATTAAGCCTAGAACCCATTTTTCCTGATCTTCTCCCTCCTCCCACCCTCTACTCCCTAAAAGCCCCCAGTGTGTGTTGTTCCCCTCTAGGTGTCTATGCGTTCTTATCACTTCTTCTCATGTATAAGTGAGAACATGTGGTATTTGGTTTTCTGTTCCTGCATCAGTTTGCTAAGGGTGCCTTTTTAAATTTTAAAACTTCAGTATTTACTAAGTTTTCTTGAATTCATTTTGTGTAATTTTATACTTTTTCTACAATAATTCTACTGATAGTGCCCAACACAAAGGCAATGAAGAAACTTAAAAGCAGCCCTAGAAAAAAGACTTTCAAAAGAATGACAATTAGACTTCTTGATAATGGAATCCAAATAATATTGAAAATTTTCTTAGAAATGCTGAGATGATATAAGTGAAATGGGATGAAAATATTGAATGGGATTTCCAGAAAATTTCCCTTTCAAGAATGTTTTCAAAATGAAGAAATTTTCAGATTAAAAAAGTCTTCCAAAATTCATCAAAAGCAACAACAAAAATTTCATTAAATGAAATTGTAACAGATGTTTTAGAGAACTAAAGGCAATTATCCTAGATGATAGTATGAGATGAAAGAAAGAATAGTAATAAAAAGAATTGGTAAAAATATATATAAATATAAGTGATGTGCCAGTTCCAAACCTAGGCATCAAAAGGCCTGTGTGCTCTTGTTCTTTTGTTGGAACTCACCTCCAGGTGAACATATCTTAGTCTGGCCTGCTGGAAGATGGAAGACCACCGAAAGAAGAATCAATGCACCTCTGCCAATAGCCTGACAAATCCAGATGTAGACACACCTAGCTGACTCACAACTGATGGCAGGCTACTGGAGAACTTGGGCTGAGACCAGAACTACCAAATGAGTCCAGTGTTAATTTTATAACCACAAATTGTAAGCTGAATAAATGTTGGTTTTAAGCCAGCGCATTTTAGTGTGGTTTGTCACTCAGTAATATCAAAAAAGTAGATTTTGATTAAAAATATGACAGAAGTAAAATACTAGGCAGCAATAGCATGAAAGACAAGAAGGGATCCTGCACATTAAAGTACTCTGTGCTTCTTTTATATTACAGAGATAAAAAATTCAGTTAACTAAGGTAATTATGTTTTAAATTATGCCATGAAATTTCAAAGTTTAGATGAATGGTGAAATGTCTGGAATAATATTACTTACAAAGAGTTGATACAAGAAGAATAAATTACCCTTTATGAAAGAAACATTAACATTAAAGTATTCAGAAAAAGAAAATCTCAAGCTCAGAAATCTTAAAGGCAGGTTCTATTAATCATTCAAGGAACAAATCATTTTCTATCATATAGAAAATGATACATTCCTCAAATCATTGTATGAGGAGTAGATATGGGATTATGTAGTCGTAAAAGGACTGCATCAAAAGGCAAACATACACATCAAGTTCACTTCTGCACACAGATGCTAAAATTCCCCAAAATATTACCAGGTGAATATAGCAATTTGAAAAAAGCATGTATTACGATCAAGTTACGTAGATCTCTTGAAGACAAAATGTTTTAACATTAAAAGGACCTATAGATCTAATAAACACATTAACATTCTCTCAATAAATTGTCTTATTTTATATTAAATAATTGCATTATTTAACAATGAATCTTTTTTACATTTTACTTATTGTCCCAGATTTGTCATTATCTGTCATTATAATTATATTACCCTCTATAAAAATACAGTGATAAGATGAAGCTTTTGAAGTGTCTCAATGTTTACCTTTATATTAAATGACCTATAACTTGTGTGCATGCATGCTTGTTTGAGTTTATATTGTGTGTACATATATGCGTATGTGAGTATGCAAATATCTTCCTGCTTTTTATTGCTATATAATGATTGCATATATTTCTGGGGTACATATGATATTTTGATACATACATACAATGTATAATGATCAAATCAGGGTACTTGGGATATCCATCACCTCAAACATCTATTATTTGTGTTGGGAATATTTTAAATCTTTTCTTCTAGTGACATTGAAACATACAATAAATTATTGTTAACTATAGTCACCCTACTATCTATACAACAGTAGAACTTATTCCTTCTAATTGTATTTTTGTACCCATTAGCCAACTTCTCTTCATCAAGTAAAAATTGTACATATTTATGGGATACAGCACGATGATTTGATACATCTATGCACTGTGGGATTCCTAAATCAAGCTATTTAAGTATGCATTACCTCATGTATTTATCATTTTTATGTGGTGAGACACTTCAAATTTACTTTAAGCAACTTTCAAGTATACAAAATATTGTTATTAACTACAGTCATCATAATGCACAAGAGGTCTCTTCAACTTATTCCTCCTAGCTGAAATTTTATATTATTTGACCATTGCTCCAACCTTCTCAGCCTCTCATAACCACCATTTTACTCTCTGTTTCTATGACTTTTATAGATGCCATATATAAGTTAGATCATGTGGTGCTTTTCTTTCTGTGCCTGGCTTATTTTCTTTAACATAATGTCTGTCAGGTTCATCAATGTTGTCACAAATGTCAAGATTTCATTCTTTTTGAAGGCTGAACAGTATTTCATGGTGTATATATACCAAATTTTCTTCATCCATTCATCCATTGCTGAAACTTAGGTTGACCTCATATCTTGGCTATTGTAAATAATGTTGCAACAAACACAGGAGTGCAGACATCTTTTCAGCATACTAATTTCATATCTTTTTAAAATTTTATATCGTTAAATATATAGTCCATAGTGGGATTGTTGGATCGTATGGTAATTCTCTTTTTAATTGTTTGAGGAACCTCCATAGTGTTTTCCATAATGGCTATGCTAATTTACCTTCTTACCAACCAGGTACAAGGGTTTTCTTTATTCTACATCCTCATCAACACTTGTTTTCTTTCATCTTTTTGGTAGTAGCCATTTTAACAGGTATGAAGTGATATCTCATTATAATTTTAATTTGCATTTTCCTGATGATTAGTGATTTTGAGCCTATTTTCATATACTTGACCATTTATATGTCTTCTTTTGAGAAATGTCTATTTAGGTTCTTGGCTCATTTTTCAATCGGGTTATTTGTTTTCTTGCTATTGAGTAAAGGAGTTCCTTATATATTTTAGATATTAACCACTTATCAGTGTGTGGCTTGAAAATATATTCTCCCCGTCTCTAGATGGTCTTTCACTCTGTTGTTTCCTTTCCTGTGCAGGAGCTTTTTAGTTTGCTGTAGTCCCACCTGTGTAGCTATGATTATGCTTCCTGTGCTTTTGGGGTCATATCAAAAACCTCATTGCCCAGAACAATGTGGAGATTTTCCTCTATGTTTTGTTTCAGTAGTTTTATAGTTTTGGGTCTTATGTTGAAGTCTTCAATCCATTTTAAGTTGATTTTTGTATGTGGTATAACATAAGGGCCTAATTTCATTCTTTATAAAAATATCAGTTTTCCGAACACAATTTATTGAAGAGGCACCTTTATCCATTGTATGTTGTTGGTATCGTTGTTGAAAATCAATTGTTCATGTGTAGATAGATAAATTTCTGGAGTCTCTATTTTGTTTTATCATCCTATATATCTGATCTGTTTTTATGCCAATACCATGCTTTTGCTTGGCTTTACAGTAGATTTGGAATTCAGCTTGTGTGATACATCTGGATTTTTTCTCTAAAGATTGCTTTGGTTATTCTTTTGTAGTTACATACAAATTTTAGGATTGTTTTTTCTATTTCTGTGAAAAATGTCAATGGTATTTTGAGAACTATTGCACTGAATCTGTGGATCACTCAGTAATATGGACATTTTAACAATACTAATTCTCTCAATTTATGAACATAGGTTATCTTTCCATTTATTCATTTAATTGCTTTGATCAATGCTTTATAGTTTTCAGTGTACAAATCTGTCACCTCTTTAGTGAAATTTATTCCTAAGTTTTTTGTAGCTATTGCAAACATGATTTTTAAAATATTTTAGTTATTAGTTTATATAAATGGTACTGAGCTTTGCATGTTGGTTTTGCATCTTGCAACTTTACTGAATTTGTTTATTAGTTCTAATATTATTTTGGTAGAGTCCTTAGAATTTTTCATATATAATATCATGTCATCAGCAAATAGTAGCAATTTCACTTTTTCCTTTCTAATTAGGTATCTTTTATGTTTTTCTCTTTTTCTAATTTCTGTGGATTAAATTTCCAGTACTGTTGAATAGAAAGTGGTGAGAATGGGCATCCTTGTCTTATTCCTGATCTTAGGAAAAAGCATTAAACTTTTCACTATTGAGTAAGATGTTAGCTATAAGCTTGTAATATATGGCCTTTATTGTGTTGAGATAGATCCCTTCTATACCTATTTTTTGAGATTTTTATCAGTAAAGTATGTTGAATTGTTGAAAGCCTTTTGTTGTTGTTGTTGTTTGCATTTGAGATCATCACAAAGTTTTTGTCCTTCATTCTGTTAATGTAGTATATTGCATTGGTAGATTTGTGTATGTTGAATCATCCTTGCATCCCTGGGATAAATCAACTTGGTCATGGTGAATGATCCTTTTGATGTGCTGTTGAATTCAGTTTGCTAGTATTTTGTTAAGGATTTTTGCATCCATGTTCATCAGGGAGATTGGCTCAGAATTTTCTTTTCTTGCAGTTCCCCTGTATAGTCTTGGTTTCAGCATAACATTTGTCTCACA
This sequence comes from Homo sapiens, assembly GCF_000001405.40. Classification (NCBI taxonomy): domain Eukaryota; kingdom Metazoa; phylum Chordata; class Mammalia; order Primates; family Hominidae; genus Homo; species Homo sapiens. The sequence continues at coordinate 40,193,695 of NC_000014.9, read as the reverse complement.
GGATAAGTTTGGACATATTCTCTCTGCTTTAATTTTTGGAAGAGTTTCAGAAATATTGGTATTAGTTATTTAAATGTTTGGGAGAACTCATCCATGAAGGTATTAGGTCCTAGGCTTTTTTTTCATGGCAAACTTTTTACTATGGTTCAATCTCTTGGCTAGTTATTGGCATATTCAGATCTTCTATTTTCTAATGATTCAGTCTTGATATGTGGTATACGTTTAGGAATTTATCTATTTCTTCCAGTTTGCCAAATTTGTTGACATATAGTTCTTCATAGTGGTTTCATTATTAACCCTTCTATTTCTGTGGCATCAGTTGCAATGTATCCTTTTTATTTCTGGTTTTATTTATTTGATTCTTTTTCTCTTAGTCTAGCTAAAGTTTTGTCAATTTTGTTTGTCTTTTCAAAGAACCAACTTTTAGTCTTGTTTATCTTTTTATTGATTTTGTAGTTTCTATTTCATTTGTTAATTCTCTGATCATTATCATTACCTTTTTTTTCTACTAACAGTGGACATAGTTTACTATTCCTTTCCTAGTTCCTTGTGATGAAACATTAGTTTTTTTTATTTAGGATTTTTATTTGGGTGTTTATTGCTATACACGTCCCTCTTAGAATTGCTTTTGCTATATCCCATAAATTTTGGTATGTTGTGTTTTCATTTTCATTTATCTCAATCTATTTTTTCTTTTTTTTTTTTTTTTTTGAGATGGAGTCTCACCCTGTTGCCCAGGCTGGAGTGCAATGGCATGGTCTTGGCTCACTGCAACCTCTGCCTCCGGGTTCAAGTGATACTCCCGCCTCAGCCTCCATGCCTATCCAATTTCTGTATTTCTAGTACAGACTGGGTTTCACCATGTTGGCCAGGCTGATCTCAAACATCTGACCTTGTGATCCACCCGCCTCAGCCTCCCAAAGTGCTGGGACCACAGGCGTGAGCCACCGCACCTGGCCTTTATTTCTCTTTTAATTTCTTCTTTGACCCATTAGTTTTTAAGAAGCCTGTTATTTAATTTCTACATATATGTAAATTTCCTAAAATTTCCCCATTATAGACTTTTAGTTTCATATAATTGTGGTCAGAAAAGATATTTGATATGATTTCTGGCTTTTTAAATTGTTTAAGCTTGTTTTGTGGCCTAACATATGATATACCCTGGAGAATGTTCCATGTGTGTTTGAGCAGAATGTGCATTCTGCTTCTATTGCATAGAATTTTCTGTATATATCTGTTAGGTCTATTTGGTCTAACTTGTAGTTTAAGTCTACTGTCTTTTATTGATTTTCTGTCTGGATGATCTTTCCATTGTTGAAACTGGGATATCAAATCCTCTACTATTATAGTACTATAGTGTATCTCTCTTTTCAGATCTATTAATATTTGTTTTATATATATATTTAGATATTCTTATGTTGAGTACAAATATTAACAATCAATTCTTGATGAGTTGATGTTTTTATTATTATATGATGACCTTCTTTGTCTCATTTTATAGTTTCTGACTTAAAAATCTATTTTATCTGACATAAGTATAGTTTCTTCTGCTCTCTTTGGTTTTCCATTTGAATGGAATGTCTTTATCCATTCTTTTACTTTCAATCTATGTGCATCCTTAAAGGTGAAGTGAATCTCTTACAGGCAGCATATAGTTTGAACTTATTATTTTATCCATTCAGCCACTATGTCTCTTGATTAAAGAATTTTATCTGCTTAAATTCAAGGTAACTATTGATAGGTAAGGACTTACTATTGTCATTTTGTTAACTGTTTCCAGGGTTTTTGTAGTTCCTTTTCCCGTTTCCTCCTCTACTGCTGTCTTTGTTTTTGATTACATGATTTTTGTTTAGTGGCATGCTTTGATTTCTTACATGTTATCTTTTGGGTATCTACTACAGGTATTTGTTTTGTGGTTACATGAGGCTTAAATAAAATATCTTATAGTAATAATAGGCTATTCTAAGATGGCAACTTAACCTTGATCACATAAAATAATTCTACACATTTACTCCACTCCCTGCCCCACAATTCATGTTTTTCATGTCACAATTTACATTTTTTATATTGTATATCCCTTAAAAATTATTGTGACTACTATTTTTATAGTTTTGCCCTTTAGCCCCTATACTAAAAATATAAGTTGTTTACATACCACTATTGCAGTGTTAGAATATTCTAAATTTGATTGTGTACTAAATGTTACCAGTGAGTTTAATATTTTCATATGTTTTCATGTTACTTGTTAGCATCTTTTTCTTTCAGCTTGAAGAATATCCTTTAGCATTTTTTGTATAACAATTCTGCTGGCGATATAAGCTCTCTTAGCTTTTGTTTATCTGGGAAGGTCTTTCTCTTTCTTTCATTTTTCAAGGACAGCTTTGCCAAGTAAACTGTGCTTTTTTGGTAGTTTTTCACCTTCAACACTTTGTATCTATCATCCCAGTTTACCTTAGTCTATCAGGTTTCTGCTGAGAAATCTGGGCTAGCTTTATTGAAACTTCCTTATACGTAATGTTGCATATTTTCTTATATTTCTGCTGCTGCACTGGTGCAGATGTTCATGAAGCAGTCAAGGAGCCCTAAATGGGATCACAGGCATGCACAGAGTTACAGCGGCTCTGAAGTCAGGGCAGGGCCTAGCTCTCTATGGAGGCTTAGTTGGTGCCTGGAGCATGGCACACTCAGAGAGACCTTGGTATCAGGATCCAGAGTGTAAATTAGCTCACCAGGGAGATGGTTCCAGTACTTGAGATGTGGGTGACTACCATGAAACCACAGAGCCCAGGATTGAAATGTGGGTACTTGCAGAGTGGCCACAGAGCCCAGGTTTGGAGTACAGGCACTTGAAGGATGGCTGTGGCTCAGGGATTGAGGCATGTGAGGGGTTGGGAGATGTGATGACTTCTTTTCTAAAGCAGCTCAGTAGTGGCTGATCCTTGAGGGGAGAGAGGTAGGCAGCTGCATCTCCCTTTCTCCAATGGGAATGGCAGACCTCTTTCTTTATATACTTTTCTGATTGTAATTTACTATAAACTAGAAGCCCTGGTAACCAAACATGTTTACATATGTTTATAAAGTTAGTAAATTGCTTATGAGTGAAGAATTAAGGTGGTTTCTTTTGAACATAGTTTACATGTATTAACATAAACTTAATGACATATTATATGGCTATGCAAATATATCTTTACTTAATATTTTAAAATATTTTTCACATTGCAATATAATGTATTTTTGGAATACTTAATCCAAACACTAGAGCAAATACAATGTAGAAAGTGAAATTCAGCCTACAATGATGTAATGAATTGTACTATGTACTACCCAAATTCATACACTGAAGTTTTCACCCCTAGTGCCTCAGATTGTGACTATATTTAGAAATAGAGCTATTCAAAGGCAACTAGAGTCAAATGAGGTATTAGGATGGGCCTTAATCCAATATGACTATTGTTCTTATAAGAAAGGGAAATTAGGACTCAGATGCTTTCACAGGAACGACTATGTGAAGACACAGGGAGAAAATGGTAATCTACAAACTAAGGACAGAGGTCCATAGAAGAAACCAACCCTGCTGACACCTTCATCTTAAATTTCTGGCCTCCAGAATTGTAAGGAAACACATTTTCGTTGTTTAAGCCACTTAGTCTTGGGGTACTTTGTTGTGGCAGCCCTAGCAAACTATTACAGATGGCAACCCTCCACTGCTGTATTTGCCAGGTAAGTGGCATGTTATTTAACTCTAAAAAATGTAGCAAACATTAAACTTTCAAGAAAACATTACAAGTTAATTTCTTCTTCTATTGTAAAATGCTTGTGAAATGTGTAAGTAAATATCTTGTATTAAATAGGCCACAAAACTAGTAAATAGGCAAATCCTTTTACTGTGAACTTTCCTTTCTTCTTTCCCAATGATGACTTTTTTGACTTTAAATATTACTTTCACCATTTACTTGCCTTAAATCCATAGCTAAATTCCTCAATCTCTTTGGCCTAACATTTTCAGGGCTAAAATGCAGATAATTATGCCTACCTGATGAGGTTTGTGTGAGATCAATATTAACAACATAGAGTATTTAATAACATACAGGTAATAACTGGAAATTGCAAATGGGGCTTTAAAGAAGAAACTCTCCTGGGCTAGTAATCAAGTAAAATTACTGGGTCAAAAGACAAAATATTTGGACTAGTCTTTTATGATTATTTGAGTTTGAGTTATTTTTAAGCCATATGACTATAGATTTTAAATAACAGTGGTTTAATTGCATTTTTAATTAATAAAACAGACAAGACTAAGATTATCTAATAATGCAATGTGTAAGCATTTAAAATACAGGAAATGCTGGAACAGCATACCAGCCTTGCAGACTAAGTTAATTTAAGCTTGAAACACTAATTTGGTAAATATTAATATGTGAAGATGAAAAAGAACAATTTAATTTGGATGAAGTCATATTTTTTTAAATGCATACTCTGAATTTTAAGACCTTTTAACAATTGAAAAAAATCAGATTTTATTGGTAGAATATTTTCTTAATGCTAAAGTATATAAAATTTGCCTTTGCTGGAGGCATGTTTTTTATTTTTTATAAAGCTCTAGCATGCAATGTACTTTCACTGATATAAAAATAAAAACAACAAATAGGAAACTATAAGGCAACAATAGCAATATTGTTTTGCAAACTCTCCCCTGAGCTGTAACTAATCTGGTTGGTTTAGCCTAGAAGGATCATTATATTGTATGCAATATTTTTCTCAAATATTTTTCTCAAAAAATATTTAACTAGCTCAAACTAAAATAACACAGAAGGACAAAGACTATGAAGATGCGCAATTTCCTATCACATGGATATGACCTAATTTTTAAATCTATTTTGTATAGGACGGAAATGTCAAATTATTTAAACCCATCGTAATAATGTTTTTAGCAATGCAACTAGAAAAAATATGTAGTTAGGAGAACTTGTTTAAATTGTTTTCTTTAAAATTTTTCTAATCCAATGGAAGCTATTCTAAAATAATCCTATTCAGTACCAGCATAAGTAAAATTAAACTAATGCTTATATATTGCTGATAGGTAAACAATTTGGCAATAAGTGTCAAGAGTCTTGACAGTGTTTTACTCTTTGATCCAGTAGTTAGGAATTTACACAAAGGGAAAAACATAAGCTATGCAAATGCATGTGTAGAAGATATTTATTACAGAATTATTTATAATAGTGATCAACACAAATGATTTAAATGTCAAACAATAGAAATATACTTAAATAAATTATGGTTCATGGTTGGAATACTATATTGCCATAAATGTTGCTTTTCAACATATACTAACGTATAGGAGAAAACTCATAATGTAATTTAAGTTTTAAAGAGTTATTTTCACTCTCTCTTATTTTCATAGTGAGTCTTTTACTTTCTATTTACAGAACTTCTCAGTTCACACTAGCCACATTCCAGGGCTCAGTAGTCACACGTGGACAGCAACTGCCATGTTGGACAGCACAGCTCTAGGGCCTCCCTGGCATATACACATCATACATCCAGCTCAGAGAGCTGATGTCTGGGACTCCAGAACAACAACCTACATGATAACAGTTTCCCAGTGTCTCACAATCGGTCTTGGATAGTTAACAGATTTATAGCCCATAGCTTAGGTACTGGAAGTCACTGGGGGAAAGGCTGGCTAGTATTTTCCTATGCCCTTTTTTTGGAATTTTGGCTGCTAAATGTTTAGAAATAAAAACTTTTCTTTTTTTAGCATGTTTGCCCAAGGTGTAAAAATAGATGTAGGTCGGTCAATCTTAGACGTTCACTCATCAATTGGATTCTCAAGGGGTTAACCTGAATGGTGTTTCAGAGATGTTTAGCAATTGACATTCCAGTTTTGAAAGATATTTACAAGCCGGCCATTTCCTCGATCCTACAATTACAAAAGCAAAATGTAAGTTAAAAATTGATTCGATTTATCTTGTGATTAGGTTCGTGAAAACTGTTCTTTTATTAATTGAACAAAGATTAATTTTCATACCCTCTTGAAGATATGACATAAGGGCTTCTAATATTACTGATTAATTCCATTTTTAACTGCCATGTTTTAACTTGCGAACATCATACCTCTTATAATTGGCCATATTCTCTCTGCTTTGCAGCAAAAAAAACGAGTTCTGAGCTTTGAGTCACCTTTACTAGCTGTGCAGAACCTGATGGTACATTTTTGTGTATTGGTTCCACTGATGACTTCGTTTTACCTTTTTTTTGTTGTTGTTCACTTTATTCTCTGTCATGATTTTACATTGTTAGTGTTTCATTTCAGTTCCCTCAAATACTTTCTAGAACGAGTCAGTTTTTTGTTTTGTTTTGTTTTGGAGACGGAGTCTCGCTCTGTTGTTCAGGCTAGAGTGCAGTGGTGCAATCTCGGCTCACTGCAACCTCTGCCTCTTGGGTTCAAGCAATTCTCCTGCCTCGGCCTCCCAAGTAGCTGGGACTACAGGTGCACACCACCATGCTGGGCTATTTTTTTTTTTTTTTTGTATTTTTAGTAGAGATGGGGTTTCACTGTGTTGCCCAGGCTGGTTTCGAACTCCTGAACTTAGGCAAACCATCCGCCTTGGCCTCCCAAAGTGCTAGGATTACAGGCGTGGGCCACTGTGCCTGGCCATGAGTCAGCTTTTAATTAATTGATGCCATTTTAGTATCATCCAAAAAGTAAAATTGTGAACACCTATTAAGCATGCTAAACTATAACACAGTTCATAAAACTCATTTCTGAGAAGTGGTTAACTTACCCATTTAGTCATGCAGATTTAAAGTAATGGGTTAAAGGCAACCTATAGAATAGGACGAAATATTTGCAAACCATATAGCCAATAAGGAGTTAATATCAAAATATATGATATTTTGATACTACTACTCCCACAACTTAGTAGTAAAAACACAGATGACCAGAATAAGAATATGGACAGTTAGCCTGAATAGACATTTATCTAAAGAAGACATGGCCGGTGTGGTCCATGTAATTCCAGCCCTTTGGGAGGCCAAGGCAGGTGGATTACCTGAGGTCACGAGTTCTAGACCAGCCTGGCCAACATGGCGAAACCCCATCTCTACTAAAAATACAAAATATTAGCTGGGTATAGTGGTGGGCATCTGTAGTCCCAGCTACTCGGGAGGCTGAGGCAGGAGAATCGTTTGAACCTGGGAGGCAGAGGTGGTAGTGAGCCAATATCATGCCACTGCATTCCAGCCTGGGTGGTTACAGAGCAAGACTTCCTCTGGAAAGAAAAGAAAAGCGAAAAGAAAAGAGAAAAGAAAAGAAAAGAACAGAAAATTCACCAATCTCAGGTTGAGGAACTCTTTGGAATCAATAGGAATAGAGTAGCACCAGCCCAGGATAGCAGGGCAGAGGGGAGCAGGAGAAGATGCCTGCCCTCCCCAGGAAGCCACAGAGGGAGATTTGCCCCAGCTCACAAGTTGAAAGTCTTCATTTTGAGGAATTTAATTATGGCTAATAGCGAGGATTAATTGCTTTTTACTGTGATAGTATAAATACTTTCATTTGTCTGTACGCTGCTGTTTCAATCCCAAGACCCAAGTTTACATGAGTGTATTAGATAGATATGCTTTACCCCAGCTCACCCCAGGTGGCTTCAACTAGATAAAACATGACCAGAAAACTCAGGGAGGCTGCTCCTGCCCCCTGAATGCTGAGGGGTAGCCAGTGACCTCATATGGAAAGGTCTTGGACTGCTTACACATATTGTCATGGGCTTACGGGTTTCACAAGCATCAATAAACCCTGTGTGTGGTATAATCTCCTTTTGTTTGTTCTACAACTATAAGGCAATGTTTCTCAATGTGTGATGCACAGACTTCCTGCAACAAAAATCACCCTGGGTTCTTGTTAGAACGGAGTATTTATGGGTGCTACTGAGACCTTCTGAATCAGGATCTCTGAGGCTATGGCCAGGATGTGACATTTTAAATAAGCTCCCCAGATATTCTAAGTGTTGGTCTATAGCTTGGTAACTTGTGACATGCTCTCCTTCTTACAAGATCATGATGGTGGTGATGATGTTGATGATGATGGGGGGAATGGGGAGGATGATGATGGTGGTGGTGATGGAAGATACAATAAAATTCCTTCATATGTCAAAAAAATACACACAATAGTCAATAAGCATAGCATATAAAAAGGTGGTCAAAATCAGTAATTATGAAAACACAAATCAAAACCACAATGATATATCACCTTACACCTTTTAGCATGGTTGTTATTTAAAAAAAATAGATAACCAATGTTAACAAGCATGTGGAGAAGAAATAATCTTTGTACACAGTCGGTGAGGATGTAAATTGTGCAACCATTATGGAGAATAGTATGGAGGTTCCTGAAAAAATTAAAACTGGAGCTACTATATGATTCAGCAATCCTACTTCTAAGTATATATTCAAAGGACTTAAAATCAGTGCATTGAAGAGATATCTGCACTCCCCTGTTCACTGTAGCATTATTCACAATAGCCCACATATGGAAGCAAGCTTAGTGTCTATCAACAGATGAAAGAATAACGAATATGTGGTGCATATAAACAATGAAGTACAATACAGCTTTAGAAAAGGAAGAAAATCCTGTCATTTGTGACATCATGGATGAACCTGGGAGACATTAGGCTAACTGAAGTAAGCCAGACACAGAAAGACAGAAACTGCACGGTCTTACTTACATGTGGAATCTGAAAAAGTCAAACTCATAGAAGCAGAGAGTAGAGGGGTGGTTAACCAGGGGATGAGGGGTAAGGAAATGGGGAAATGTTGATTAAAGGGTACAAACTTTACAGGGTTTGTACATCCATTACAGGGTACATCCATTACAGGATGAAAAAGTTCTAGAGACCTAATGTAAAACTTGGTGACTATTGTTAATAATAATGTATTGAATATTTGACATTTGCTAAAAGGGTAGATCTTGAGTGTTTGCAACACAAAGAAGGTAATTATTTGAAGTAATTGATATGTTCATTACTTGATTAAGGTAATCATTTCACAATGTATACATATATCAAAACATCAAGTTGTATGTCTGGGTGTGGTGACTCATGCCTGTAATCCCAGCACTTTGGAAGGCTGAGGTAGGTGGATCACGAGGTCAGGAATTCTGAACATGGTGAAAGTCCGTCCTACTAAAAATACAAAAAAGCTGGGTGTGGTGGCACACCTGTAGTCCCAGCTATTTGGGAGGCTGAAGTGGGAGGATCACGTGAACCTGGGAGGCAGAGGTTGCAGTGAGCCGAGATTGTGCCACTGCACTCCAGCCTGGGTGACAAAGCGAGACTCCGTCTCAAAAAACAAAACAAAACAAAAAAACCTCATAATGATCTTTACATAATAAACTAATAGGCTACAATTTTTAAATATTTTTAAATATTAAACCATAATTAAACCAAAATATTTCATTTACATGGATAATCCTTCATTTTACTTGCTCATCACTATTCTGCAAATATCAACTTGATGGCAGGCAAAAATACAGACCTGGCCGAGCATGTAAACCATCCAAAATCATGAAAGAAAAGGAACAAATAAAATGCAACACTTACCTCATTTTATCACAAAATAATGCATCTGTCTGCATTTCTGTATTAGGGTCACACATTTATAACTTAGTTATCACAGATTGCATCATTTACTTAGAAAAGTAGCAGAGATGATTTTTTTTTTACCATTTCTTTAAAATGAATAGAGTTATAATGAAGTTTAAACCGCTGTTTCTCTAGAAATATTGAAATTACACACTGAAAAGGGCAAAATATAAGTGGTTAAATAAAATGAATCTATGAACGTATCCACAAATATTTAAAATTGACATATTTACATATTTGAATTCTTCATATTTTCACTAATAATTTAAAAATGAAATTCAGTTTCTCTCCAGAAATAATCAAGACAAAGGGAAGATAATCTTTTTTCAGACAGCATTATTTATTCTGTAAATCCTTTAACAAGTCTATTGATAAAACAATAGATTGAATAGCCCTAGATCCAATTATGGAATTTTAAAAAATTTATTAATTTTTTAATATGATGCTTGCAAAATATAAAAATATAACTAATATGTATTGACATTTTTCAAATATAAATAAACAACCTGAAATCCCAACCAAAATATTAGATTACCAACAATGGCTCTACCTTTGCATACATCTCAAATACAACCATTTTTGTAGTTTTAAAAACAATTTTCCTACATGGTTTTTAAGAGTATACATTAATTACAAAAAAAATTGTTTAGAAATTTTATGATGTTTATAAAAAATGAATGTTGTGACATCTTCAGAAAAAAAATTCACTCCACATAATTTTTTAAGTATATCCAAATTGTTACAAGTAATTGTTCATTGAATTTTTACTTTGTATAACAATATTCCATTATGTGCATTCTGCTATTGAAATAATTTGAGTCTTTTTCATGTCTTTTGCTAATGCAGTTACTACTAACTGTAAACATTTTTGCATGTATCTCCTGGTATGACTGGAATAATATGTCTGTATTATAATCTTAATAGTTAAATTGCTGAAGCATACAGATTACCATGCTCAGCTTCACAAGATAATTCCAAATCATTTTCCAAAGTAGCTGTACCAATTACATGCTAACATTTGTATATGAGTTTTCTTTAATCCACATGTTCAGAAGCACTCATTATTTAATTTTTGCCATCCTAGATTTATGTAAAATGTTATATCACTGTGACTTTGATTAGCATTGGCCTGATTACTAATTAAGTTGAAAACTATTTCTTTCATTTATTGACCATTCCTATTTCTGTAAAATGCTTATTATTGTGTTTGCCAATTTTTCTATTGACTTGTTTACTTTCAATTGACTTGTAGTTTTCTCTATATTGTAAATAACAATTCTCTGAGGGTTACATGTTCATATGAAAAGTATTCTTCTACTCAGTTTGTGGTGTGTCTTTTGATATGCAATATTTTTAACAAAATGCAATAGAATTTATCCATCATGTTCTCTTTAAAGTTTGTCACTTTTATGGCTTATTTAAGAAATCCTTCCCCATCTTGAATTCATTTTTAAAAATTCTATATTTCCTTCTAAAATTGTTCCATTTGCATTTTGCATACAACTGCCACTGCCTCCTCCTGTTCCTCCTTCTTTTTAATTGGGGCCTTTTTTCTTGATCTAAGATTTAATCCATAGTGCTCATGTTGTAGCACGCAAATAATGAGTTTGACATCTGTTTGAAATACAAGAGGAAACTAACAGAAACACATTTAACAGTAGTCCACAGATTCACATATAGAGATCTATTGTCTATTAACAGAGACTGTGCTTTCTTTTAATGTTTCCAGATATCATTAGCAAAATCTATTGGTAATTTTGGGGACCAAAAAAAAAAAACCAAAGTAATTACAAGACACAAAATTGTCTTGTTACAAATAATGACCAAAATTTTAAAGAATAGAAAAAAATAATGACAAAGTATAAGGCAAGTACAACACAGAAAACCACTTGGTAATTAATAAAACACTCAGACTCTTGAATATCGTAGAAAATCAACACTATAATTAAAGAGAAAATAACTTTTAGAACATTACACACAAAACTTTTAGAACATTACACCAAAATCCTCACTCAGAAGTAAATAAGAAAACACAAAAGAAAAGAAACAGAACTTGCCAGTCAAGAATTCAGAAAATTAACAGCAAAGCATACTTGAGGAAATAATAATGAATGTATTAAGAAGATAAAATATAATTAATGTATTAAAATAAGGGGTTGATAAATTAAAACTATTTTTAGGGGCCGGGCACAGTGGCTCACACCCATAGTCCCAGTAATTTGGGAGGGTGAGGCAGAAAGATCACTTGAAGCCAACAGTTTTAGACCAGCCTGTGCAACAAAGCAAGACCCCATCTCTGAAAAAATAAAAATAAAAAAATTAGCTAGTTATGGCAGCACATGGCTGTAGTCCACCTAATGGAGAGGCTGAGGTGAAACGGTCCCTTGAACCCAGAAGTTTGAGGTTACAGAGGGCCATGATTGTACCACTGTACCCCAGTCTGGGGAACAGGGTGAGACCTTGTCTCTAAAATCAAAACAAACAAACACACTATTTTTGGGGTGGGAAAAACTAAACAAATCAATATCTGACGTTTAGAAACATAATTTCTAGCAAAGTTAGAAATAGAAAAGAATAAACATATTCATGCTTTTGTAATTGTTTGAAAGAATTTCAACGGATATAATATTTTCCATTTTTTTTTAATTTGGCTTATTGATTTTTATTCAATTATGAAAGTTATCAAAGGGAATGAAAAACTATAATACAAAATCAAGCAAATTAAACAAAAAGGTGAAAACTCCATAGCTCTTGTTAATAAGCTTGGTCTAATATTTATAGCACATTTTATTTTATTTGGACATCAGATATACATTCTAAGGTACTGAAAGTTCAAGTATACTAGCATCATTTCCATAGCTATATAATGGCAGGACTCTTTACTGCACATTGAAGGTATCACCTGTTAGTTCCTACGTACTCCTCTTCTCAGAAACTTTAAATAGAAAAATAATCACCCTATGCTCATCTGCCAGAATATTTGCTTTTTATCTTTACTTTCTAAAATGTAACTATGTTAAACATGAGATTGAACGATAAAGACAGACTCACACAAATAAGATACCTTGCATTTTACTTAAAATTTTGAGGATACACACACTGAAGATGCTCAGATACCTCAGGGGAAGGTCTAGAACATTGAGTATAGTTAATTCCTCTGCACATGAGACACAGTCTTTGGTCTCTAAATTAGATGCACAAGGTTATCACATACAGCAGGGAGCATTAAGGTTATAAAACATCTCCCTTTTATACCCAGTTAGTTGCATGGTTTATATATTATTTTCTAGAGAACCATGCCTTTAAAATGGATAGATCTTTGGCCATTCCTCCTGCCAGTGGATTCCCACCAGCCACTATATGCCCTTCTGCCCTCAGCCTGGGAATACATTCTGACTCTGTTTCCCTGCTTCTGGGCTTCATGTGGAGCAGTTAAGCCACTTCCTGCTGTTGCTCAGGCTCCTACCAACTCTCCCACCTACAGGCCTTCCTTTCTAACTAAAGTGCTTATTTCAAGTTATTTTCTAAAGCAAGGATAGTTTCTTCCCAAGAGGAATATCACTGTCAGTAGTTAAAATAATAACATTCCAACCCCTATTACATTTGTTAATACTTTGGATATATGGTTTTGTATACTTTTAAAAATAAATTATATTGTGAGCATTTCACCATGTCAATAAAATTTACACAAAAACTTTACATCACAGAATATTACATCATCAGGATCAGTAAATGTTTCTGGGAAAGGGTTGTGTCAGGAACATGAAGGACATGAGAGGAGACAGGACCCAAGAAGGCTTATGGCCTCACAGGCGAGTTCTATTAAACATTTAAAGAAGTAGTGTCAATTCTTCTCAATCCCTTCCAAGGAAAATGAAAAAGAGGGAACACATTTCCAAACTCCTGATGTGAGGCTAGCATTACCCTGATTCCAAAGAGAGGTAAAGACCCTATAATAAGAAGAGAATTACAGGCCAATAACCCTGATGAACATAAATGCAAAAACGTTCAACAAAATACTAGCAAACCAAATTCAAGAACACATTATAAGGATCATACACTATGACCAAGTGAGATTTATCCTTAGGATGCAAAGATGGTTCTACATGCATAAATCAATATTATACACCACATTGAGACGATAATGGATAAAAATCACACAATCATTTCAATAGACGCAAAAATAGTATTTGACGAAAGTCAATCCCCTTTCATGATAAAAACTCTCAACAAATTGGCTATAGAGTTTACCTCACCATAATGAAGGCCATATAAGAAAGGCCCACAGCTATTGTCATGTGGAATGACTACAAAGTGCAAGCTTTTCTTCTACGATTTAGAACAAGGCAAGGGTACTCACTCAGGCCACTTCTACGTAATATTGTACTGGAAGTAGCAGCCATAGTAATTAGGGAAGGAAATGAAAAATAAGAGGTCTAAATCAGAAAGGAAGAAGTAAAATTATCTCTTTGCAGATGACATAATGTCATACATAGAAAATCCTAAAGACTCAACCAAAAAACTGTTGGAACTAATAAACAAATTATGTAAATCTGTAGGACACAAATTAACATACAAAAATCAGTAGCATTTCTACACATTAACAACACATTATTCAAAAAGAAAATTAAGAAAATAATTCCATTCACAATAGCATCAGAAAAAAAAAATACTTTCATATAAACTTAACTAAGGAGGTGAAAGCCTTGTACAATAAAAACTACAAAATAGATGAAAAAAGTTAAAGCACACACAAGTAAGAAGAAAGGCATTCTGTGCTTGGATAGAAAGAATCAATATTGTGCAAATGTCCATACCACTCAAAGTGATCTACAGATTCCAATTTAATTCTAGTCAAAATCACAATGGTATTTTTTACAGAAATAGAAGAAATAACCCTAAAATTGATATTGAACCACAAAGGAGCCCAAATAGCCAAAACAATCCTAAGAAAGAACAAAGCTGGAGACATCACATGTCCTGATTTTAAAATGTATTATAAAACTACAGTAATTAAAACAGTATATTACTTGTAGAGATACAGACACATAGACCAGTGGAACAGAATTAAGAGCCAGGAAATTAACCCATGCATATATAGGCAATTGTTCTTCAGCAAGGGTACCAAAAATACACAATAGAGAAAGGGTAGTCTTTTAAAAAATGGCTCTGGGAAAACCAGATACCTGCATGCAAAAAAAAATGAGATTGGACCCTTACCTTACACTATACACAAAAATTAACCGAAAATAGATTAAATAATTAAATGTAACACCTGAAACAGTTAAAATCCTAGAATAAAACATAGGTGGAAAACCTTTTGGGAATTGGTCTTGGCAATAATTTATTGGATATGACACCAAAAGCATAGACAACAAAAGCAAAAATAGATAACTGGTACTAACATGTGTCTGCACAGCAAACAACAAGGACAACAACTAAAACCTACAAGAACAGAGCAAAAAGGCAACCTACAACATAGAATAAAACATGTGCAAACCAGGTATCTGATAGTTAATATCCAAAATATATAAGGAATTTCTTCAACTTAATAGCAAAAAATCAACTAACCTAATTTTTTAAATGGGCAAAGGATTTCAGTAGACATTTCTCGAAAGAACACATAAAAATGGTATATATTATATATACCATTTATATATCTATATCTATATATATACCATATATATATTTGATGCCCAACATCATTAATCATCAGAAAACTAAAAATCAAACCATACTGAGCTATAATCCCACACCTGTTAAGTTGGCTATGATCAATAAAACAAAACAACAAAAGATAACAAGTACTGGTGAGGATGTGGAGAAAGCAAAACCCTGTTGGTGGAAATGTAAAATGAAGTAGTTGCTATGGAAAACAGTATGGAGATTCCTCAAAATTTAAAATAGAAATCCCATATGATCCAGCAATCCTACCTTGGTGCATTTATCCAAAAGAATTGAAATCAGGATTTCAAAGAGATATTTGCATTTCAATATTCATTGAAGCATTTTTCAAAATAGGCAAGTGTGGAAACATCCTAAGTGTCCAATGACAGATAAATGGATAAAGAAAATCTGGTATATATAAACAATAACTTAAAAAGAAGGAAATCTTACCATCTACAACAACATGAAACTTTGAGGACATTATGCTAAATGAAATGCACCAGTTACATATATCCTGCATGATTCCATTTATATGAGGTGTTTAAAACACATAAATGCATAGAAGCAGAGAGTACAATGGTACTTGCCAGGAGGTGGGGGAAGGGAAAAATGGGGAGTTGCTTATCAACATGTATAAAATTTCAGTTATGCAAGATGACTGATTTGTAGAGATCTGCTTTACAACATTGCACCTATAGTTTAAAAATACTGAATTGTACACTGAAAAATTAAGTGGGTAGATCTTATGTTAAGTCTTCTTACCACAGTAAAAAATGAATAAATGGATATCCTCACACCCCTCACAAAAAAATAGAACTGTGACCCAAAAGAGTCATCATGTGGTATTTGTTGAGAGACCACATCATTAATTATTTAAGCATTAATTATTAATTATTAAAACATGAATACTTTAACATCAGAACACATGACTCTAGCACCTATAAATATATTACATGGAGGAATTATTATGTTCAATTAAAGACACATGCATACTTGTCTATATGTTTTCTAGCTGTAAATTTCTTCTTATCTCTATTTACTTTTCTCATTTTGATTCCCTGTATAACCTTGTGCAGTATCTGTTCTTTTTTCTTTGGGGGTTGTTGATCTTTATTTACTTTCCAAATTTGTTTTATCTCTTCCTGTTGACACTGATCATTGCCTATCCTAGATCACTGCTATGCAAAAGTGATCCACAGACCTGCTGCTTGTTCAGCGGCAGAAATCTGTAAACTTTGGCCAGTCTGTGGAAATTCTAAGAAAGAATACAAAGAAACAGTGGAAATTTAAAGTATGCACACCTACATTAATAGCAATAATGAAAGCCTTTGATGAGCTCATCAGTAGACTCAATACAGCTAAGGAAAAATCACTGTGCTTCAAAATAAGTCAATATAACCTTCCTAAATTAAAATGCAGAGAAAAGAAGGAAAAACAACAATAGTAAAGAACTATAGAAAAACATCAAAGGTATAGCACATGTATAACTTAAATACAATAAGGAAAAGAAATTTTAAAACTATCATAAAATTTTGAAGTGATTACTGTCAAATATAATTAACCACAGATCTAGGAAACTTAGAGAACAATAATCACAATATGTACCAAAATACTACACCTAGGCATACCATGTTCAAACTGCAGAAAATCAAATACAAGGAGAATATCTTTAAATAATAAGAAAAAACACGAGGCAAATAATACCTTATCTATTACGGAACAAGAATAAGAATTACAGAAGTATTCTCACCAGAAAGCATGCAAGCAATGGGAGAGGTGAGCAAAACATTTGAGGTGTTGAAGAAAAAATACTAAAAATTTTATATCCAGTAAAATTATTCCTCAAAAATGTAGAAGTAAAGACTCTCTCAGACAAAAAACAATTGAGGAAATTCATGACCAACAGATTCTCGACAAGAAATGTTAAAAGAAGTTGGTTAGGAAGAAAGAAAATAATAGAGATAAGAAAATTAGACCTATGTAAAAAAAAGAGTATAAGATAAGGAATAAATTAACGTTAAAATGTCTTTTATTATTATCTTTAATATTATTGATCTAAAAGATAATTGTTTAATGCAGCAATAGTACAATATGTTGTGTGATTATAGCATACAGGTAAGGGGAATGAATGCCAGAAGTAATACAAGGGATGAGAGGAGAAAGCAAGAATACTCGGTTATAAGTTGTGTTGCACTACAATTGAAGTTTTGTAATGTTACTTGAAGGTAGACTTACATAAGTTTAAAATTTATTCTGTAAATTTAGGCCAACCACAAAAGAAGTTATTTTATATATATGTGTATATATATATATATACACATACACACACATATATATATACACATATATATAAAATAGATATATAATAGATATATAAAATACTATATATATTAAATATGATATATATTATATAATATATATTCCCAAAACCTCATCTCTAATATATATTACACTATATATATTAGATATATATTAACAAAATAACTTTCAAAGAAGGAAATCTTACATGTACATAACTTAAAAATAAGGACATCTTAATTTATATGCAAATATACATATAAATCTGTAGTCCCAGCTACTCAGGCTGAGGTGGGAGGATTGCTTGAATCCAGGAGGTGGAGGTTGCACTGAGCCAAGATCATGCCACTGCACTCCAGTCTGGGTGACAGAGTGAGGATCTGTCTAAAAATATATATATTAAAATTTGTGTGATGCAGCTAAGCAGTGTTTAGAAGGGGGATTTATAGCATTTAATTATTTTATTTGAAAAAAAGTTCTAAAATCAACAACCTAAGTTTCCACCTTAGGAAACAAGAGAAAGAAAAGCAGTTGAAGCCTAAAGCAAGAAGAAGTAAGGAGTAGAAAAAGAAAAAAATTAAAACAGAACTCAAAGAAATTGAAAACCAGTAAATAACAGAGAAAACCAATGAAATCAAATGAAATGATAAGTAGTCTTTTGAAAACATGAATAAGATTGATGAAATTATAGCCTAGCTAATAAGACAAAAAGAAAGAAAGAGAGACAGACAGAGAGAAAGATAATCAACATCAGAAATAAAATAAAAAAGAAGTTAGCACTACTAATCATGTAGACCTTAAAAGGATAACAAAAGAACACTATACTCAATGCTCACAAAATTGACAGCCTAGATGCAATAGGCCAATTTCCATCCCCATCAAGCTACCAATGACTTTCTTCACAGAATTGGAAAAAACTACTTTAAAGTTCATATGGAACCAAAAAAGAGCCCTCATTGCCAAGTCACTCCTAAGCCAAAAGAACAAAGCTGGAGGCATCACACTACCTGACTTCAAACTATACTACAAGGCTACAGTAACCAAAACAGCATGGTACTGGTACCAAAACAGAGATATACACCAATGGAACAGAACAGAGCCCTCAGAAATAATGCTGCATATCTACAACTATCTGATCTTTGAGAAAGCTGACAAAAACAAGCAATGGGGAAAGGATTCCCTATTTAATAAATGGTGCTGGGAAAACTGGCTAGCCATATGTAGAAAGCTGAAACTGGATCCCTTCCTTACACCTTATACAAAAATTAATTCAAGATGGATTAAAGACTTAAATGTTAGACCTAAAACCATAAAAACCCTAGAAGAAAACCTAGGCATTACCATTCAGGACATAGGCATGGGAAAGGACTTCATGTCTAAAACACCAAAAGCAATGGCAACAAAAGCCAAAATTGACAAATGGGATCTAATTAAACTAAAGAGCTTCTGCACAGCAAAAGAAACTACCATCAGAGTGAACAGGAAACCTACAGAATGGGAGAAAATTTTTGCAATCTACTCATCTGACAAAGGGCTAATATCCAGAATCTACAATGAACTCAAACAAATTTACAAGAAAAAAACAAACAACCCCATCAAAAAGTGGGTGAAGGATATGAACAGATACTTCTTGAAAGAAGACACTTATGCAGCCAAAAGACACATGAAAAAATGCTCATCATCACTGGCCATCAGAGAAATGCAAATCAAAACCACAGTGAGACACCATCTCACACCAGTTAGAATGGCGATCATTAAAAAGTCAGGAAACAACAGGTGCTGGAGAGGATATGGAGAAATAGGAACACTTTTACACTGTTGGTGGGACTGTAAACTAGTTCAACCATTGTGGAAGTCAGTGTGGCGATTCCTCAGGGATCTAGAACTAGAAATACCATTTGACCCAGCCATCCCATTACTGGGTATATACCCAAAGGATTAGAAATCATGCTGCTATAAAGACACATGCACACGTATGTTTTTTGTGGCACTATTCACAATAGCAAAGACTTGAAACCAACCCAAATGTCCAATGATAGACTGGATTAAGAAAATGTGGCACATATACACTATGGAATACTATGCAGCCATAAAATGATGAGTTCATGTCCTTTGTAGGGACATGGATGAAGCTGGAAACCATCATTCTCAGCAAACTATTGCAAGGACAAAAAACCGAACACCGCATGTTCTCACTCATAGGTGGGAATTGAACAATGAGAACACATGGACACAGGAAGAGGAATATCACACACCGGGGCCTGTTGTGGGGTGGGGGGAGGGGAGAGGGATAGCATTAGGAGATATACCTAATGTTAAATGATGAGTTAATGGGTGCAGCCCACCAACATGGCACATGCATACATATGTAACAAACCTGTACTTTGTGCACATGTACCCTAAAACTTAAAGTATAATAAAAAAAACACACAAACTATCAAACTCACAAAAAAAGAAACAGAAAATCTGAATAGTCATTTATAGTTTAAAGAAATTGAATCAATTAATAATTTTGCAAAAATGAAAACACCAGGCTCCAACTCTGCATTAAAGAAGTCTGCAAGAAATTTTACAGAAGTTTTACCACTTCTTTGCAATCTCTTCCAGAAAATAGAAGCAGAGTGAACACTTCTCAGCTCATTCTATGAGGCCAGCATTAACCTAAGATCAAAACCAGATACACACTACAAGAAAAAAGCAAAACAAAACTGCAGATTGATTTTTCTCAGTAACATAAACACAAAAACCCTCAACAAAATATTAGCAAATTGAGTATATAATTGCATAAAAATGTACACCATAAAAAACTAAAACTTATTCTACATATGTAAGGCTGGTTCAACATTTTTAAAAAAATTATTCAATGTAATCCACTACTTAAATACACTGAGAGAAAAATCATATGATCATGTGAGTTAATACAGAAAAATTATTTAGAAAAATCCAATATCTATTCATGACAAAAACATTGTTAACTTTATTGATAACAGCTACAAAACATCCAGAGCTAAGTTATATCTAATGCAAGAGATCAGATGCTTTCTTCCTAAGTTCAATAAAAAGGCAAGGACACCTTTTCTCACTTCTATTCAACATCTTATTGGAAGTCCTACCTAGTTCAATAAGACAAGAAGACGATATAAGGTCAAAAGGAATAAATGAAATATACTTATTTTCAGATGGCATGGTTGCCTATGTAGCAAACCCTTAAGGATCAACAGAAAAAAACCTTTTGGAAATAATCTAAAAAATAAGTGTGTATAGCAGAGTCACAATACAAAAGGTCAATACACTAAAGTATCTGGAAAGTTTTGGATGAGTGTAGAAAAGTTGAAGGTAAAACCTTTCTAGAAATTACAGCTAAAGCATTGGCCAGACCTTTCAAAACTGAAATTACCTCTTTCCCTATTAGTGGCAAAATAGGGAAATGCATGGCCTACATTTAGGAATCACCACCACTTTATTGTGCTACATAAACAAAGATCCATCTTGTAAAAACTAGAGTTTTTACCTTACCTTAAATAGCAGTAAAAGCTGCTCATCTAATGGCCATTAGGAATATGGTTTTACACACTCCCATAGCTCTAAATTTCACTTTAGCCAGCATAGGAAGAGTGTGAGCTCTGAATAGCAAAAAATAGGCACATTCCCAAAAAGGAATGGCTAAAGGTTGAGGAATAGGAATGAGAAAGGTAGATGTTTCAATAAAGGGGTAGAGAGAGCTTCATTATGATGGAACTATCTGTACCTTGATTGCAGTAGTATTTACACAAATCTGCACATGTGATAAAATTGCTTGGAACTTTATATACACACAGTGAGTGCCTATAAAACTAGTGGAGTATGAATAAATTCTTTGGATTGGAAAAAAAGTTACTTGTTTTCTTACATATCAAGAATGAACAATAGCATAAAAGTAAAATACTTAGGTATAAATATAGCTAAATATGCACGGGCTGTATCTCAAAGAAACTATAAAACATTGGTAAAAACATTAAATATAACTTAAAAGAATGAAGAGATATTCCATGTTCATGGATTAGAAGATTCAATATTGTTGTAAATTCTTCCCAATTTTTCTATAGAGTCAGGGCAATTTCTATCAAGGTCTCAGCTAATTTTGCATATTTTGAAAACTGGTTCTTTAGTTTGTATAGAAAGGCAAAAGATCAAGTATAGTCAGAATATTTAAAAAGAACAAATTTGGAAAACTCACATTACCCCAATCGAAGGGTCCCACTTTAATGAAGAACCTAAGATCTCATAGAACTTATGTAATCACATTGTCTAAATTCCCTCTTAACACAGAGACTTATAACTTAGCTTTTACTATCTAGATATACCATGTTAACACTCATATTCTGATCTGAGTGAGGAAGGAGACAGGACACAAGATATCCATTTGCCTATATGAATCGTGTCAAAGGCAACGTAGTGTTAGGTTTTTCACTCTAATAGTGGTTTCCTGTTATGGTAGATTCTGGATTAAAGTAGAGGTAGATGTTACTGGAGCCTGCAACACCAATTGATACCTATTTGATTCAGAGTTTTCTGAGTAGCAGAAACATTTTAGTTCTGTGGCCTGATTAATGGAGTTGTTCCTGGAAGATCAGTTTAGAGTCTTCAGCCATCCCAATGACTTTGAACTATTCATACCCTTTAATCAATTTTTTTCTTAAACCAGCTAAGGTAGTTTCTTTTGTCTGAAATAAATGGCATAAAACAAAAACTTGAGCAGTTTGTAAATGCCTATTATTGGTAGGTGGGCTCCATGGCCTACACTGTGTTCTGAGCTTTTGAAATATTCTTGTTACTAAATTATATATAATTTTACACTAACCTAGAAAGGTAGTTAATGTCAACTTAATCTTCTAACTTCACAGGTCATAGAAATGCACTTTTAGAGAATCAAATATCCATTTTCTTCTTTCATCCTTGCACTTGTTACTGACCTGTGAGAATATATCAAGTTTTATAATGTTGTATGTGGGCTTATAAGAGAAAATTAAAGAAATATTTTTCTCTATCCATATTGTGTGGGCTATACAACAATATAGAAGGAAAATACATGATTTAAGATTCAGAGAAATGTTGGAAGACTTGGTAATATTGATAATGGGTTGAGGCTAGAGCATGTCATTTTTCTTACCACATAAACTTTAATCTAGATAGAAAAGCATGACAGCAATTTAAGGTGAAAAAAATCTATATAAGGTAAATATAGCACTTGTTACTAGAATGTTAAATTTTCTGAATTACATTCAAAAGAGATAGCTTTGAATGTTGTTGCTTATCATTTAAGGAAACTAATTATTCAATCCAAGCTACTTAAAATCACTTCACATAATTAACTGTCAGTGTCTGATATCATTAGTTAACACTGTTAAATACAATTATATGCCTGACAACAGAATCCCCACATTTCCCCCTAAGGCCTGTTCTTCCATTTTTGTACCTGTGGGCTCTTCTATTATATTCTGGGATGAAAACTAACAAGGTGTTTAGTGTGATCACAGCAGTTTTCACTCCGTGATTACAGAGAGCTCAGGTGCTTATGAAGTTTACACTGAGCTGATAATACAAAATTATCAGACAGAATATCAAAGGCAGGCTTTTAGGGAACTGTTTATTCTATGCAAATTACACACTGCTAGGTTTTTTTTGTGGGGGTGGGCGGGGAGTGGTGTGTGGAGCTGGCGTTGTTTTGTTTGTTTGCAGCTAGCCTGTTTCAGGGTTATCATTTTGACACAGAGAAAATTCTTTTTCTGTCACTTCTAAGGAGGATCCTACAGAGGCAAATATGCCCCAAAATGCACAAGACCGGAAACAACTTGCAATATGTTCAGAAGCCATAAAGCATTTGTTGAAAAGAAGGTTGTTGGGACTTGTTTGTCAAATACTGCACATCATGCTCTCAATTTCCTACTTTTTAAGAGTAAAATATATGATTCTATCACATAAAATCTATGATTCTATTTCTGAGATGCAGACATGTGTTTAGACAATAATCTGTAGGATCAAGTAACATTTGAGATCAAATGAAAGTATATAAGCAGTTTATATTATAGTAGGACCTTTAAGACATGGCACAGGATCTATATCTACTATCTATTACAGTAGTCACTAGACATATGGAGCTATTTAAGCTTAAATTTAATAAAAACACAAAGAAATGTAAAACTGAGTTCCCCATTACAAGTGTTCAATAGCCACATTGGCTAGTGGTTTCCATATCAAACAGCATACATATAGAACATTTTGGCCATTGCAGAAAGATCTATTAGACTGCACAGTTTACACATACGTTCTTTGTAGTTTTGTGATCTAGTTGATGCTTATTTTTAAAAATTTTCTCAAAATTAAGATAGTCTGCCTTGTCACATTGTTATAAATAGCATCTACTCTTTGTGTTCCATTACACATCATAAATTATAAAGTGCTTTATACCAACATGACTATAGCCTCTCTAAATGACTGAGGCTGTATTGCATTATTCAATCCTGCCAAAAAGTACAATGAAATAAAGATTACACTTAGGAATAAAGTAGCTTAAAAATTAAGTTTAATGTATTTGAGAGAAAATGTTTAAATTCTTTAAATTGAGAACATTTATACAAAATACTTTCAGTCCAGTATTTAGGCAATAATAATTAGAATGAGGCAAACATGGCATTCTCTTTAGATACAAAACTTAAGGAAGTGCCAAAAAACTCAGTAATAATATTAAATAATATTTAATGTGATACTTTAAAAATACAAAAATTAATACAAAGACGTCTCATGAACAAAAAGCCAAAATTTTAGATTTTTAAAAAAATGATCCAAACTTACATTTGTATACCTCAATTCATTTACCTCACCAGGTTGCACCCTTTATTTAAAATTTAGATAACATGAAAATAAAATAAGATGACATCCTGTAATTTGTTAGGTCCTTGAATAGCCCAAGGATTCTCTTGTATTAGACATGGATGTCTAGATTATTATGAAAATTACAGAAGATGGTAAAGTTATGTTATTAACTATTTAATTTATATTATGAAATATTAAAATCATGCTACTGTGAGGAGGAACTAATAACATGGTCACTCATACTGTAAATTTACTGTGTAAATAGGTACAGAATATTTGAAATACATTTAATTTATATACAAATAACTATAATATTTTTCATAGTATTTTATCTGTTAATCATATTTTGAAAAAATGTAATAAAATGGCCACATTACATGTTTATTAAATATAAAACCTATGACAAAGAATTTCATCTCAGTATTGTGTGTCATCGTGATGTAGGATTTTTCTTCTCACTTTGCAAGCTGGGGACCTTCGGCCAGCAACGCCCCACCTGGGCCTCGCTTGGGCGTGCTGGCATGCACCAGCTTGCCCCAGCTCGCCTTTGTTATAGCTTGTACCCATGTTCAGCAGTTCCTGAGCTCTTGTACCACAACCAAGAAGAATGAGGATATGCTAAACATTGAAGGATGAGGAGGGCAGAGAAGAATTTTATTGAGTGATGAAAACAGCTTTCAGCAAATAGGGGATGCTGGATTGGTCTCCCTATCAGAAGGCAGGAAAGTTCCCCCATGTGGCTGGGTCCAGGGCCTTTCATGAACTCAGAGTAGGGAATGCAGGCTGATTGGTTTGTGAGTGTGCAAAAAAGCTTAAAGCGAATATACCACACAAGGCTGGGCCTGACAGTGTTGAAAAACCACTTAGTAAACGGTAGGCATATGTAAAATAGGTCATAAGTGGGGTCCAATCAAAGAAAAGCCCAAACCAGAAAAGTTCTCAATCCAGTCTGAGGATTTAACTTGTAGCTTGGCTTTCAGGCTTTAAACTGTCTTAGGCTTGGAGGTGGGGTTTCAGCAGGGACCCACCCCTATCTGCCTAGGCATTTGGCTGCCTCCTGACATTATCAGCAGTAAATAATTGAAAACAATTTTTATATTTAGCAAGATGTGAGTGACTAAATAACCTAAACAACATTCATTGAATGAATTTTAGTTCATTAATTGAACTTTATTTTATTGAGTTAAATACTATAATGTGGAAGAGATAAAATATACATTTTACACACAATGGTATGACTTTATATAAAAAAACTGCTAAAGAAAATACCAAATGAGAATATAGGAAAAGTTTCAGAATTATGTTTTGGTAGTTTGATTATGGATATTTTACATTTTTTTTACATAATTATCTTTATTATGTGCATGTGTGCATGTTATTTTTACAATGAAAACATGGTTTAAGGAAGAAAACATACGTATTTTTTCCATTTTAAGTGGTACATAATGTGCTTCTTTAAAATAATTTCAGCACTTACTATAAATGCTGGCATTTGAGTAACTTTCCCCTGTGCAGACCAAAGGCTTATCACGGTTTAGGCTTTGTTCCTTGTCTTATGTTGGTCATCAATTCATTTGACAAGTTTCATTAAAGTACTTTACCTCCAGGCTAGAGTGAGTGAAATGTGTATTACTCAAATTAAAATTGATGTTGTTCCACAGAGAAATTTCATAACAGATGTTACCTAATTTGTTCAGAAGACATTTTATTTTGTTCACAACATGCATGTTCTAGCATAATCTCAGTCTCTTAGATATAGATAGAAGTTGGTAAATGAATGCTCCCAGTTTCTAAACATCTAATACATTGGTTACATTTGTTGATCCAGTAATTCTGTGAAAATTTTGTGTTTCTCTACCTTTATACCTAATAATTTTGCAAGTTGAAATGTCTTAGCTTGTTCCTATTCAGTTCCACCCAGTAATATGGAAATAATCCTTGCTCTAGTTTTAAGTAAGTTGAGGAGTCTGAGCAGTCTTCCAGTATCAAGTATACCTTGCTTCAGTAGCAATCTGATATAATTTCCCACTTTTAATCATGGAGATTTTCCTGAGAGAGTAAGTTCTTTGTATAATGAATAACCCAGGGAGAATTGCTCTCATAGCCACGTAATTATTGTTTTCTCATTTTTTGGTAAACTGAAGATGAAGCTTATCCATCACAATGTCTTTTACTAAATATAACAGAAACCCCAACTCTAATGTATTTAAATAATAAGGCTACTTGTTATTTCATATAATAATAGGTGGTGGTTCGCAGGCCTTATGGTTAGTTCATTCAGACATATTTCAATAACATCATTAATAATCCAGTTTCTTTTTTTCTTGTTATTCTTTTTTTTTTTTTTTAACTTTGCCATTTCCTTGGTGCCAGCTTTTCCTTTGGCCTTAGTAACATCAAAGTTTCAGGTTGGTTGAGGCTATTCTGAGCATAAAGTCCAAAAAATATCTTCTGGGAGAAAAGAAATGTGTTTCTGTTCTGTCTACCTAAGAGGTAGGTAACTCTTGCAGAGGCCTTTCCGTAAACTACCCTTTGTATCTCATTGGTTATAACTGGGTAACATGCTTACCCCTAAACCAAAAGAAATAATACATGGATCAATATGACTCCTGATAATCTTTCAGGGGTGTTACAAAGTCAAAACTATTTTCATTATGATACTAAGATACCATTTGCCTTCTTCAGTATGTTGACTGATGGGACAAAGGTAATGGTGTGTAAAACTGCTAATACCTTAGCAAAAATCAAGGCATTGGTGCTGAACTGCATTAGCAGTTATCATACTGTTGTATTATTGACTGCTATGCAATTGCCTTTTTAAAAAAAAAAAGCCAATTTTATGCATTTTATCTGAGAATGTCCTTGATTTGCAGAAGAAATTTATTTTATCAGACTATATTTTTTTAATTTTTAATTTCTACATTTTGTGGATACAGAGCAGATGTATGTATGTATTTATGGGTTATAGGAGATATTTTGATACAGGCATACAAGTGAACTATTTCTCCATTAGTTCACTCGTTTTAAATTTTAGCTACCACAAATAAGTAAGATTAGTTTGTCTTTCTGTACCTGGCTTATTTCACTTAACATAATGACTTCCAGTTCCATCCATGTTCTTGCAAAGGACAAGATCTTGTTATTTTTTTAAGGCTGAATAGTACTCCATTGCGTATATGTACATTTTCTTTATGCATTCATCTGTTGATGGACACAGGTTGCTTCCAAATCCTGGCTATTGGGAGCAGAGCTGCAACAAACATGCGAGTGCAGATATGCCTTTGATATACTGATTTCTTTTGGTTATATACCAAGCAGTGAGATTGGTAGATTATATAGTAGCTCTATTTTTAGTTTTTTGAGGAGCTTCCAAACTGTTCTCTATAATGCTTGTACTGATTTACATTCCCACTAACAGTGTACCAGTATTCCCCTTTCTCCACATCCTTGTCAGCATGTATTGTTGCTTGTATTTGAAAAAAGCCATTATAACTACAGTGCAATGATATCTCATTGTAGTTTTAATTTGCATGTCTTTGATAATAAGTAATAGTGAGCAGCTCTGCATATACTTGTTTGCCATTTGTATGTTTTCTTTTGAGAAATGTCTATTCAGATGTTTCGCCAATTTTAAAAATCAGAGTATTAGATTGTATCTTCACAAGTCATTTGAGCTGCTTATATATTCTATTTATTAATCCCTTGTTAGATGGGTAGTGTGCAAATATTCTATTCTGTGGATTTTCTCTTCACTTTGTTGATTGTTTCCTCTGCTGTGCAGAAACTTTAGATGTGATCCCATTCAGTCATATTTGCTTTTTTTGCCTGAACTTGTGGGGTATACTCAATAAATCTTTGCCCAGTCCAATGTCCCAGAGAGTTTTCCCAAATTTTTCTTTCAGTAGTTTCATAGTTTGAGGTCTTAGATTTAAGTTTTCAATTTATTTTGATTTGATTTTTGTACATGGCAAGAGATAGATAGAGGTCTAGTTTTGTGCTTCTGCATATAGAGTTGCAGTTTTTTCAGTACTATTTATTGAAGAGACTGTCCTTTTCCCAATGTTATGTTCTTGGCATCTTTGTTGAAAATTAGTTCACTGTAGATATACGGATTTGTATTGGGGCTCTCTACTCTGTTCCATGGGTCTGGGTCTGTTTTTATACCAGTATGATGCCATTGTGGTTTCTCCAGCTTTGTTGTATAATTTGAAGTAAGATTATGTGATTCCTTCACTTTTGTTCTTTTTGCTTAGGATAACTTTGGCTATGTGGGGTCTTTTGTAGTTCCATATAAATTTTGGGTTTCTTTTTCTATTTCTGTGAAGGATGTCATTCTTATTTTGATAGGAATTGTATTAAATCTTTATATTTCTTTGAATAGTATTGACATTTTAACAATATTGATTCTTCTAGTCTGTGACAAAAGAATATCTTTCTTTTTTGGAGTTCTCTTCATTGTTGAATGAATGTTTTATAGTTTTCATTGTAGAGATCTTTCACTTGTTTGGTTTACTTAATTCCTAGGTACTTAATTTCATTTGTGGCTATTGTAAATGGTATTACTTTCCTGATTTCTTCTTCTGATTGTTTGCTGTTGGCATATAAAAATTCAACTAATTTTTGTATGTTGATTTTGTATCTTACAACTTTACTGAATTTATCAAATAGCTTTTTAGTGGAGCATTTGGAATTTCCAAATATAAAATCATATCATTTACAGACAAGAATAATTTGACTTCCTCTGCCAGGGTCTGACCTACAGACCCAGGATGCACAATGGATGAATAACATACTCAGACACCAATATTCAGTAAAAGAGCAAGCCAGGGAGCCAGGCCACTCACAGAAAGAGTTTTGGCAGCCACACACCCTGACTAGTTGGCTCTATGGTCACTTACTCAGCACAGATTTAATGCCAAAGGCTTTGAGTCAACCACCTGAGGGTAATTAATCAATCTGGTCGCCCACCCACCCCCCCGCCACCCCCCCGCACCCCCCCCGAGAGATCAGTCCTGCCTTCGAATGATCAAAGGTCAGTCTTGGGACCAGATGAGTAAACAAGCTCTTTAGATAACTCCCTTGCATTCCTTTGTACCTACTCTAAGCTACTAACTTAAGGTAAGAGGATTAGGCTGCCTTCAGCCAAATCTTTCACTAAAGCTACACAAACCTCCCAGCCTTCCAAGAAAGTTTGTGTCTATTTCCTATAACTTTATCTTTATAATTTTTCCCACCACTTTGACTGATCCCCTACATTCTTTCTTTCCAATTTAGATGCCTTTATTTTATTTTCTTGTCTGATTGCTCTAACTAGGACTTTCAGTACTATGTTGAATAACAGTAGTGAAAGTGGGTACCCTTATCTTCTTCCAGGTCCTAGAGGAAAGAGTTTTCATTTTTTCCCCATTCAGTATGATAATAGCTATGGGTCTGCCATATATGGCTTTTACCATGTTGAGATATGCTTCTTCTATATGCAATATTTTGAGTTTTTATTATGAAGGGATGTTGAAGCTTATAAAATGCTTTTTCAGCAGCAGTTGAAATTATTATATGGTTTTTGCCCTTAATTCTGTTGATATAATGTACCACATTGATTGATTTGTGTATATTAAACCATCTGGCAACACTGGGAATATTAGTCTGTTCTTACACTGCTATGATGAAATACCTGAGACTGGGGAATTTATAAAGGAAAGAGGTTTTATTGATTCATGGTTCTGCAGGGCTGAGGAGGCCTCAGGAAACTTACAATCATGGCAGAAGGGGAACCAAACATTGGCAACAAGGAGACGTGCCAAGCAAAAGATGAAAAGTTCCTTATAAAACCATCAGATATCATGAGAACTCACTCATTATCTCAGGAACAGCAGCATGGGAGTAACCACCCCCATGGCTCAATTACCTCCCACTGGGTCCCTCCCACAACACATGGGGATTATAGGAACTACAATTCAAGATGAGATTTGAGTGGAGACACAGCCAAACCATATTATTCTGCCACTGGCCTCTTCCAAATCTCATGTCCTCACATTTCAAAACAAAATCATGCCTTCCCAATAGTCCCTCAAAGTCTTAATTCATTCCAACATTAACCCAAAAGTCTAAGTACAAAGTCTTATCTGAGACAATATAAGTCCCTTCCACCTACGAGCCTGTAGAATATAAAGCAAATTAGTTACTTCCTAGAAACAATGGAGGTACAGGCATTGGGTCAATACATCTGTTCCAAATGGGAGAAATTGGCCAAAACAAAAGGGCAATAGGCCCAATGCAAGTCCGAAATTCAACAGAGCAGTCATTAAACCTTAAAGTTCAAAAACAATCTCCTTTGACTCCATGTCTCACATCCAGGTCATGCTGATGCAAGACATGGGTTCCCATGGTCTTGGGCAGCTCCGCCCCAGTGGGTTTGCAGAGTACACCCACCCCCCTGGCTTCTTTCATGAGCTGGTGTTGGGTGTTTGCGGCTTTTCCAGGTACATAGTGCAAGCTATCAGTGTTTCTACCATTCTGGGGTCTGGAGGACGGTGGCCCTCTTCTCATACCTCCATTAGGCAGTGCCCCAGTGGGGAATCTGTGTGGGGGCTCCAACCTCACAGTTCCCTTTCACACTGCCCCAGCAGAGGTTCTCCATGAGGGCTGCAACCCTGCAGCAAACTTCTGCCTTGATATCCAGGCAATTCCATACAACCTCTGAAATCTAGGCAGAAGTTCCAAAACCTCAATTCTTGACTTATGTGCAACTGCAGGCTAAACAACACTTGGAAGCTGCCAAGGCTTGGGGCTTGCACCCTCTGAAGCCACGACCCGAGCTGAAACTTGGCCCCTTTAGCCATGGCTGGAGTAGCTGGGACACAGGGCACCAAGTCACTAGGCTGCACATAGCAGGGGGGCCATTGGGCCTGACCCACAAAACCATTTTTTCCTCTTGGGTCTCTGGGCCTGTGATGTGAGGGGCTGCTGTGAAAGTCTTCAACATGCCCTGGAGACACATTGTCTTGGAAAGCTCCTCGTTACTTATGCAAATTTCTGTAGCAGGCTTGAATTTCTCCTCAGAAAATGGGTTTTTCTTTTTTATCGCATTGTCGGGCTGCCACTTTCCCAAACTTTTGTGCTCTGGTTCCTCTTAAACCCTTTGCCACTTAGAAATTTATTCTGCCAGATACCCTAAATCATCTCTCTTAAGTTAAAAGTTCCACAGATCTCTAGGGCAGGGGTAAAGCACAGCAAAAATCACTTTTACTCCAATTGCTACCAAGTTCCTCATCTCCATCTGAGACCATCTCAGCCTAGATTTCATTGTCCATATCACTATCAGCATTTTGGTCAAAGCCATTCAGCAAGTCTCCAGGAAGGCTCAAACTTCCCCAGATCTTCCTGTCTTCTTATGAGCCCTCCAAACTGTTCCAACCTCTCCCTGTTACCCTGTCCCAAAGTTGCTTCCACATTTTCGGGTATCTTTAGAGCAGCACCCCACTCTCTGCAGTATTAATTTATTGTATTAGTTCGTTCTCACACTGCTATGAAGAAATACCTGAGACTGGGTAATTTATAAAGGAACAAGGTTTGACTCACAGTTGTACAGGGCTGGGGAGGCCTCAGAAAACTTACAATCATGGTGGTAGGAGAAGCAAACATGTCCTTCTTTACCTGGCAGCAGCAAGAAGAAGGGCCAAACAAAAGGGGAAAAGCCCCTTATAAAACCATCATATCTCATGAGAACTCACTCACTATCATGAGAACAGCATTCAGGTAACCACCCCCATGATTTAATTACCTCCCACTGAGTCTTTTTCATGACACATGGGATTATGGGAACTACAGTTCATGATGAGATTCAAGTGGGGACACAACCTGACCATATCACTGGGATAAATCCTGTTTGGTCATGATGAATGATCTTTATAATATGTTGTAGAATTCAGCTTGTTAGTATTTTGCTGACAATTGTTGCATCAATATTCTTCAGTTATATTGGTCTATAGTTTTTTTTTCTTTTTTGATGTGCCTTTGTCTGGTGTTGGTATCAGGGTAACTGGCCTCATATAATGAGGTTGGAACTGATTACTTCTCTTCTACTTTTTAGAAGAGTTTGAATAGGATTGATTTTATTTCTTCTTTACAAATCTGGTAAAATTCAGAAGTGACCCCATTGGTTCCCAGGCTTTTCTTTGCTGGGAGATTTTTATTACAACTTGAATCTTGTTATCTTGTTATTTGTTATTGGATTTCTCTATGGTTCAATCTTGGTAGATTTTATGTGTCTAAGAATTTATTCACTTCTAGATTTTCCAATTTATTGGAAAATAGTTGCTTGTAGTAGCCTCTAATGTCCCCTTAAATTTCTGCAGTATTAGTGATAATGTCTCCTTTTTCATCTCTGATTTTATTTTGGTCTTCTTTTTTCATTTTTTAGTCTGGCTAAAGATTTGTCCATTTTGTTTATCTTTTCAGCAATCAACTTTTGTTTCATTAATCATTGGTATTTCTTTATTTCAAATTCATTTATTTCTGCTCTGATCCTTATTCCTTTTCTTCTACTAAATTTGGGTTTGGTTTGCTTTTGCTTTTCTATTTCATTCATATGTATTTTTAAGTAGTTTATTTGAAGTGTTTCTCTCTCTCTCTTTTTTTTATATAGGCACTTACAGATACAAACTTTCAAATTAGTACTGCTTTGCTATATCCCATAGGCTTTGTTATGTTGTGTTTCCATTTTCACTTGTTTTAAGAAGTTTACAATTTTCTTCTAAATTTCTTTACTGACCCACTGTTCATTCAGGATATTGTTTCATTTCCATGTGTTTGTGTAGTTTCCATAACTCCTTTTATTATTGATTTCTAGTTTTATTCCACTGTGTTCAGAGAAGATGCATGATATTATTTCAATTATTTTGAATGTTTTACAATTTGTTTTGTGACCTGACATATTGTCTCTCCTTGAGAATTATCAATGTGCTAATATAACAATGTGTATTCTGCAGCATTGGCATGGAATGTTTTGTAAATATCTGCTAGGTCAATTTGGTTTATAGTGCTGCATATGTCTGAGGTTTTTTGTTGATTCTTTGCCTGGAAGATCTGTACAATGCTGAAATTGTGGTATTAAATTCTCCAGCTATTATTGTATTGGGGTCCATTTCTCCCTTTAATACCAATAATATTTGTTTTATTTATCTGAGTGCTCCAGTGTTGAGTTCATATATATTTAAAATTATTTTATCTTCATGCTGAATTGACCACTTTATCATTATATAGTGACCTTTTTGTCTCTTACAGTTTTTTCTTGAAATCTATTATTTTAGCTGCTCATGCTATTTTCTGTTTTTTATTGGCATAGAATATCTTTTTCCATCTTGTTATTTTCAGTCTATGTGTGTCTTTATAGAAAAAAAGTGTGTTTCTTATAAGCAACAGAACATTGGTTGCTTTTTATCTATTCAATCACTCTATGTCTATTGATTGAAGAGTTTAGTCCATATACATTCAATGTTGTCATTCATAAGTATGGATTAATTACTACCATTTTGCTGTTTGTTTTCTGGTTGTTTCATTATCTTCTATTTTTTATTTCCTTTGTTCCTGTCTTCTTTTACTAAAGGTGATTGTATCCGTTGGTATGATTTAATTTCTTGTTTCCCATTTTTGTGTTTCCATTCTGTGTTTTGACTTGAGGTTACTATGAAGCTTGTAAATACTACCTTAAAACCAATTATTTTAAGCTGATAACACTGTTTGCATGAACAAACAAAAAGAAAACCAATATAAACTCTATACCTTAACTTCATCCCCCCAACTTTTAACTTTTTATTGTTTTCATGTATAACTTATTGTACTGTCTATGTCTTAAAAAGTTTCAGTTACTATCTTTGTTTGGTAGATCTCTTAGTCTGTCTACTTAAGATGAGAGTGTGTTACATACCACAGTTACAGTGTTATAATATCTGTGTTTTTTAGTGTACTTACTATTACCAGTAAGTTTTGTACCTTCAGAGGATTATTTATTGCTCATTAATGTCCTTTTCCTTCTGATTTAAGTATTCCCTTCAGCATTTCTTGTAGGACTGGTCTGGTATTGATGAAATCCCTCAGCTTTTGTTTGTCTAGAAAAGTCTTTATTTCTCCTTCATGTTTGAAGGACATTTTTACCAGATATAATGTTCCAGGGTATTTTTTTTTTTCCTTCAACACTTTTATTTATTTATTTGTGACAGAGTCTCACTGTGTTACCCAGGCTGGAGTGCAGTGGTGCAATCTTGGCTAACTGCACCCTCCACTTCCCGGGTTTAAGCAATTCTCCTGCCTCAGCCTTCCAAGTAGATGAGATGACAGATGCCTGCCATCACAGCCAGCTAATTTTCATATTTTTAGTAGAGATCAGGTTTCACCTTGTTGGCCAGGCTGGTCTTGAACTCCTGACCTCAGATAATCTGCCTGCCTCAGCCTCCCAAACTGCTGGGATTACAGGCATAAGCCACTGTGTCCGGTCTTCCTTAAGCACTTTTGACATGCTAGGCCACTCTTTCCTGGCCTGTCAGGCTTCCACTGAAAGTCTGCTGCCAGATGTATTGGAGCTCCGTTTTATGTCATTTGTTTCTTATCTCTGGCTGCTTTTAGAATCCTTTCCTTATCCTTAATCTTTGGGGATTTGATTATTAAATACCCAGAGGTAGTCTTTTTTGGGATAAATCTGCTTGCTGTTCTATAATATTCATGGACTTGGATATTAATCTCTTTATGTTTTGGGGGTTCTCTGTTATTATATCATCAATTTAAACAAAACTTCTACCTCTATCTCTTTCTCTATTTTGCCTCTATGACCAATCATTCTTAGATTTGAACTTTTCAGGCTCTTTTTTAGATCTTGTAGGTGTGATTCTTTGTTTTTCATTCTTTTTTCTTTTGTTTCCTCTGACTCTATTTTCAAATAATCTATCTTCAATTTCACTATTTATTTCTTCTTCTTAATAAATTCTGCTATTAAAACAGTCTGTGCATTCTTCAGTAAGTCAATTACATTTTTCAACTCCATAATTTCTGTTCGATTATTAATTATTTCAATCTCTTTGTTAAATTTATCTGAAAGAAATCTAAATTCCTTCCTCTATGTTATCTTGAATATATTTGAGCTATCAATTCTGGAAAAACAGAGGTATGTAACCTCACAGATAATTCAAATAGAAATTTGAATTCACAGACAGAGAATTCAAATTCAAAATTTCCATTTGAGTTTGCTGTGAGGTCACATACCTCTGTTTCTCCAGGATTGGTCTGTGGTGCCTTATCTAGTTTGTTTGGGAGGTAATGATTTCCTGGATGGTCTTTATGCTTCTGGATGTTTTGCAGTGTCTGGACATTGAAAATTTAGGTATTTATTATAATATTTACAGTCTGGGCTTGTTTGTACCCGTCTGATATGGTTTGGCTGTGTCCCCACCCAAATCTCATTGTGAATTCTCACGTGTTGGGGAGAGACCCAGTGGGAAGTAATTGAATCACAGGGGCAGGTCATTCCTGTGCTGTTCTCAGGGTAGTGAATAAGTCTCAGGATATCTGATGATTTTAAAAGGGAAAGTTTCCCTGCACAAGCTCTCTTCTCTTGTCTGCCTCCATGTGAGTGATTTCTTTCACCTTCCACCATGATTGTGAGGCTGCCTCAGCCATGTGGAACTATGAGTCCATTAAACCTTTTTCTTTTGTAAATTGCCCAGTCTCGAGTATGTCTTTATCAGCAGCATGAAAATAGACTAATATAGTACATTGGGACCAAGGTAGTGGTGCACTGCTATAAAGATACCTGAAAATGTGGAAGTGACTTGGGAACTGGGTAGCAGGCAGAGGTTGGAACAGTTTGGAGGGCTCAGAAGAACAGGGAAATGTGGGAAAGTTTGGAACTTCTTAGAGACTTGTTGAATGGCTTTGACCAAAATGCTGATAATGATATGGACAATAAAATCCAGGCTGAGGTGGTCCCAGATGGAGATGAGGAATTTGTTGGGAACTGGAGCAAAGGTGACTATTGTTATGTTTTAGCAAAGAGACTGGATGCATTTTGCCCCTGCCCTGAAGATTTGGGGAACATTGAACTTGAGAGAGATGATTTGGGGTATCTGGTGGAAGAAATTTCTAAACAGCAAAGCATTCAAGAGGTGACTTGGCTGCTGTTAAAGGCATTCAATTTTATAAGGGTAGCTGAGCATAAAAGTTTGGAAAAGTTGCAGCCTGACAATGTGATTGAAAAGAAAATCCCATTTTCTGAGAAGAAATTCAAGCTGGCTGCAGAAATTTGCATGAGTAATGAGGAGACAAATGTTCATCACCAAGACAATGGGGAAAATGTCTCCAGGGCATGTCAGAGATATTTGTGGCAGCCCCTCCCATCATAGGCCCAGAGGTTTAGGAGAAAAAAATGGTTCCATGGGTTGAGCCCAGGGTCCCTCTGCTGTGTGCAATCTAGAGAATTGGTGCCCTGCATCTCAGCCACTGCACCCATGACTAAAAGGCACAGCTCAGGCTGTTGCTTCAGAGGGTGCAAGCCCCAAGCCTTGGCAGCTTCCACAAGGTGTTGAGCCTGTGGGTGCACAGAAGTCAAGAATGGAAATTTGGCTGGGCGCA
This sequence comes from Homo sapiens, assembly GCF_000001405.40. Classification (NCBI taxonomy): domain Eukaryota; kingdom Metazoa; phylum Chordata; class Mammalia; order Primates; family Hominidae; genus Homo; species Homo sapiens. Next base: position 40,156,622 of record NC_000014.9, on the reverse strand, counting down.
GTGGCTCACACCTGTAATCCCAGCACTTTGGGAGGCTGAGGTGGATGGATCACAAGGTCAGGAGTTCAAGACCAGCCTGGCCAAGATGGTGAAACCCTGTCTCTACTAAAACTACAAAAATTCACCAGGTGTGGTGGCAGGCGCCTGTAATCCCAGCTACTCAGAAGGCTGAGGCAGGGGAATCACTTGAACCTGGGCAGCAGAGGTTGCAGTGAGCCAAGATTGTGCCACTGTACTCTAGACTGGGTGACCGAGTAAGATTCCATCTCAAAAGAATTGAGGTTTGGGAACCTCTGCCTAGATTTCAGAGGATGTATGGAAACATCTTGATGTCTCGGCAGAAGTTTGCTGCAGGGGCAGAGCCCTCATGGAGAACCTCTGCTAGGGTAGTGTGGAAGGGAAATGTGGGGTCAGAGCCCTCACACAGAGTCCCTACTGGGGCATGACATAGTGGAGCTGTGAAAAGAGGGCCACCATCCTCCAGACCCCAGAATGGTAGATCCACCAACAGCTTTCACCATGCACCTTGAAAAGCCACAGACACTCAATGCCAGCCCATAAACGCAGCTAGGAGGGGGTGTATACCCTGCATAGCCACAGGTGGAGAGCTTCCCAAGGCTGAAGTAGCCCACCTCTTGCATCAGTGTGACCTGGATGTGAGACATGGAGTTAAAAGAGATCATGTTGGAGCTTTAAGATTTAACTACCCCACTGGATTTCAGACTTTCATGGGTCCTGTAGCCCCTTTGTTTTGGTCAATTTCTTTCATTTGAAATGGCTCTACTTACCCAACGCCTGTACCCCAATTGTATCTAGGAAGTAGCTAACTTGCTTTTGATTTTACAGGCTCATAGGCATAAAGGACTTGTCTTGCCTTGGATGAGACATTTGATTGTGGACTTTTTTGGGTTAATGCTGAAATAAGTTAAGACTTTGGAGGACTGTTGGGAAAGCATGATTGGTTTTGAAATACGAGGACATGAAATTTGGGAGGGGCTGGGGTGAAATGATATGGTTTGGCTGTGTCCACACCCAAATATCATCTTGAATTCTCACATGTTGTGGGAGACACCTGGTGGGAGGTAAATGAATCATGAGGGCAGGTATTTCCCATGCGGTTCTCATGACAGTGAATAAGTTTCATGAGATCTGATGGTCTTATAAGGTGGAGTTTCCCTGCACAAGCTCTCTTCTCTTGTCTGCTGCCATGTGAGACAGTCTTTTCACCTTTCACCATGATTGTGCGGCCTCCCCAGCCATATGGAACAGTGAGTCCATTAAAGTTCTTTCTTTTGTAAATTGCCCAGTCTCGGGTATGTCTTTATTAGTAGCATGACAATAGAGTAACACACCATCTCTCTGGAGAAGCCTTTCTAGATATTTGAAAGGACTTGTGTGTTGTGATATAAGCTGTATCTGCTTTCTGTAGCACCGCAAACCCAGTAATGCTATGGTTCTTGAAGACTTGTAGAGGCACCACCATTATTGTCTTGGACAAGATTTAAAAGAATTATGTGGTGTGCCAGGAAGAGACTCTTGTTCTCTTCCCTTACTTTCTCCCAAACAAATGGAGTATCTCTTTGTGCTGAGCCACATGTAGCTGGGGCTGGGGTGACATAAGCAACCCTATAGGTGCCACCTCTGAGACTGTGTTGGAACAGACCTGAAGCCAGCACAACACTGAGTCTCACCCAAGGCCCACCGTAACCACTGCCTAGATAACACCTATGTTTTCTCAAGGCCCTAGGGCTCTACAATGACAGGTGGCTATGCCAGCCAAGCTTGCATCCTTCCCTTCAGGGCAGCAAGTTCCCCCAGGCCCTGGGCAGTGCCAGGGGTAACATCCAGGATCCAGGGACTGAAATCAAAAATCTTAGAAATCAACCTCATGTTCTATTGTATTGCAGCTAAGTTGCCATTCAAACCATGAGACACAGTCTTTCTCACTCTTCCCTTCCCTTTCTGCAAGCAAATGAGCCTTACCCCATGGTAACAACCACAGGCCTATGGGGAGTACTGCCAGGCTACTACTAATGTTCACTAAGGTCCAAGGGCTCTTCAGTCAGCTTGTGGTGACTGCTGCCAGGCTTGGGACTTGTCTTTCAGGGAAATGCGCTATCTCTGGCCCAGGGAAGGTCAAGAAATGCCATCCAAGAGCCATTACCTGGAATTACAAACCCCAAGAGTATGATTCTCTATCCCCCTGTGGCTGAGGTGGTACCCAAGGTATAAGACAAAATCACTTTTACTTTTCTCCCTGCTTTTCTCAAGAAAAAGAAGTCTCTCCCTTATGCACCACAACTGGGCATGTGCTGGATCTCACCCGAAGCTGGTACATCTCAGAGTCTAACCCAAGGCCCACAGCACACTACCTGAGTATCACTGCTGGTAATTCAGGTACAAGGGCTCTTTAGTCAGCAGGTTATGGGGCCTGCCAGGACTCAGTCCTTCTCTTAAAGTCAGTGTCTTCCCTGCTGGCCAACAGTGTGTCTGAAAATGTCATATGGGACTGAGTGATTGGAATAGGGGCCTCATGACTCTGACCACTGCCTTTTCTTACTGTGGCTGAGCTGATATCCAAAATGCAAGACAGCAACCTCTTTATAGTTCCCTCTCCTCTCCTCAAGCAAAGGGAAGGGGTCTCTTTTGGAGCCACAAGCCATGCTGCCTGGAGTCTGCCTGCTCTGGTTAATATCTCAGTAGGTCTTCTACCCTTTATGTCCACTGGCTCTGGGCCCAGCTCAGCACTAGGACTTACCTAGCAGTTGCAGTTCTTGTGGACTAGACTGCCTATCAACTTTATTTAGAACCTCAGTGCACTTTAGCCCATGGTGGGAAGGCTTGCTGGAACTCAAGTTCTGACCACTGGGATTGGAGATTACTCTGTATCAAGAGCTAGTCTATGCTCCCTCCATGGGTGGGTATCAGCTAAATTCAGCCCAGTTTTGTCTTCCCCCGTGACAGGGCAGCACTGAGTTCAATTCAAAGTCTCACTATCACTGTACTCTCTCTCTCCCAAGCACAAATATTATCTCTCTACACCACTCAGCTGCTGCTGGGTGTGCAGTAGGCATGGCATCAGCAATTCAAGACTCTCTTTCCTGCCTTCTTCAGTGCCTCTTTCAGTGATATAAATTAAAACTGGGTACTGTGAGTGCTCACCTGGTTTTTGGCTCTTATGTAGGTGTTTTTTGTGTAGATAGTTGTTAAATTTGGTGTTCCTTTACAGGGGATGATTGGTAGTCATCTTGCTTCACTCACGCTCCTATTTCATCAAACTTTAACTCTTCAGTTACATGAATTTTTTAATTTCTGCATAAGAAAATGGAAAGTAGGCTTAAAATACTTCTGCTACATAATGAAGCACAATGACTGTCTCAAGGAAAAGCACTTGATTGCATTTTAAGCTGAACTAGTCAATTTTCCAAGAAATTCAATATTTACTTAAAAGAATGACAGGAAAAAAACACAGGAACTCAAACTTGGATATTTGATGGAAATTTTCAAAAAATATTCAAAGTGAGCCTGTCACTTCAAGGAAAACAATTGACAGCATTTGTTGCTAATGATAAAATTTGAGCATTCAAGTTAAATTTAGAATTTTTAAAAACCTATATCTTACCTACATGAGCTTATAGTTTTTCATACTTAAAGACTTTCCTGATGACATTGATGGTGATATTTATACATTATATTAATAAATTTGATCTTTAAATTATTGTATAATGAAGCATGCTAACATTTTTAAGATCTGCATAACTCGGTGAATCAACATTTTCCCAATGATTAATACATGATGTCACATAATTACTCAAAGTGCAAGAAAGACAAATGGGTTTTAACATAATTATGAAATGTTCACTAAGAATTTAGATTCCACACTGCAACTAATCTCTATTAAAATATTATTTGTTGAATGTTGGTGCAATATCAAAGAATTGCCACAATTTTCTGTATTGGTTTTAAAATACTCCTATTTCCAACTGTGCAGCTGATGTTATTCCTGACAGGAATATCTCCTCACAAAACTAGCCAGGTCTGAGACTTTTATTTTCTTTCCTTTCTCTTTTCTTTCCTTCCCTTTACCCTTTTTCTTTCTTTCTTTTTGTGATATCCCAATACAAATGTCCTTTTCTCAGTAAATATTCCTCTTTTCCCCATATTAGATTAGGTTCCTTACAATATACTCTCACAGATCCCTACATCTATTTGTTTACTATAATTGTAATGAAATGATTTGTATAATTAAGTATTAGAAATCTGTTTTCCTATTAGAACCCAAGTGTATAAGGACACGATTCATGTTTGATTTCTTCACTGTTGTATAACTCAGAACTTAACATCTTGTCTGGAAGATATTAGGTCTTCAATAAATTTGTGTTGACTAAATGTCGAATGAAATTGTACTGGACTTTATAGTGTTTTATAAAATTAAAGTAAAACATAGGTATGATGTAAAAGAAAGAATAGTCTAGGAACATGTATCTAAATAGGAGATTTTTGGCTGGATTTTCAGCCAATAATAATAAAAACTTGATAGCCATTTAATAGGATTCATTTGTTTTAACAATTATATAATATTTTGTATTAAAATTATCATCTTAAATCTAGAAGGTAGTCAAATTCATTATCTTGACCCCAACTTGCCTTTCCTTACTCCCCAAAAAAGCATTACTATCAGAATTGTTAAATCAGGTTTAGGCTAACGCTGCCTCCTTACATATTTTAAGTTCAGCCTAAAGGTTACTCACTTCCATTTTCTGTATGTCACTTTCCTTTTTCTGTCCATAAATCTTCTTCCACCATGTGGCTGCACTGGTTTCAGAGCCTATTCTGATTTAGGAGGCTGTCCAATTCACGAATCATTCATTGCTCAATTAAACTCCTTTAAATTTAATTCGGCTGAAGTTTTTATTTTATCAAAATATAACTTACTTTTTTACTTTGCTGTCAGTATACCAGTGTTTTACGACAAGACAGTTTAGAAAATTTTAATCAATGAAGTCATGACATGGCAAAATTCACATGATTAAGTGACAATTTAGGTATGATATACATTTTAAAAATATAAAGAAGCTGTATTAGTCAGGATATGCTCATTTCTTTTTGATAAACTAAACTAAATAAATGTATATGTGCCACTCATGCAAAGTACAATGTAGATATTGCTGTTTGACTGGCTCTTCTACTAACAGTAGTTCAATAATCAGGGGTCCTTCACTCTAGGGCTATGCAATTTTATGCTGAATAATCAGCATTCAATTGGGAGATCAAAGGGACAGAAAGAATGTGGTAGATCTCCTGGGAGATCTAGGACTAGAAGTGGTGTGCATCACTTCTGCCACCATTCTTTTGCCAAAAGCAGTTATTTTTCCCCTACATTTGCAATGAAAACTGGGAACAAAAAATAGTGATGGTGATCACATGACAAGCATTTTCCACAAAAATAATTTGTAAAATTTAGACAGCTATACTCATATATTCATTGAAGCACTATTCACAGCACCAAATCCATGAAACCAACCTAAGTGTCCATCAACAGTTGCCTGGAAAGCAAAGAAGATGGTATATATACACCATGAAATACTATACAGCTATAAAAAAGAATGAAATCATGTCCTTTGCAGCAACATGGATGGATGGAGCTAACGCATCCAATGTGAACTAACTCAGAAACAGAAAACCAAATACCAAATGTTCTTACTCATAAGGGGGAGCTAGACAATGGGTACACATGGACATAAAGATGAATATAATATATGCTGCAGAGTCCAAAGGGGAAAGAGTGGGAGGGGGTGAGGGATGAAAAAATACCTACTGGTTACAATGTTTACCATTTGAGTAATGAGTACACTAAAAGCCCAATTCCCACCAGCATGCAATATACCCACTGATATCATTTGGCTATGCCCCCACCCAAATCTCATCTTGAATTCCCATGTGTTGTGGAGCGACCCAGTGGGTGGTAATTGAATCATGGTGACAGGTCTTTCCCATGCTATTCTCATGATAGTAAATAAGTCTCACAAGATCTGATGGTTTTATAAGGGGAGTTTCCCTGCATAAGCTCTCTTTTTGCCTGCTGTCATCCATATTAGATGTGACTTGCTCCTCTTTGCCTTCCACAATTGTGAAGCCTCCCCAGCCGCATGGAACTATAAGTCCATTAGACCTCTTTTTCTTCCCAGTCTCAGGTATGTCTTTATTAGCAATGTGAAAATGGACTAATACACCCATGAAAGAAATAAACACATGTAAACCTTGAATTTAAAAGATAAATGAATGAATGAATGAAGGAAGGAAGGAATAAAATAAATAAATAAATGGGTTACTTCAGAGTAAAACAATGTCATGGTAAACTGAAATACATTGTTTGAAAAGAAAACACATTATGGATAAACCAATAAGCATGACAGTTAGCTAACTATTATTATTTCTGTCTTAGAGTTTTCTATCCAAACATTTCTTTAAAGGAAAGCTATTTTTTCATTCATAAATACAAATTGTACAAATATTTCAAGATACTTTTATAGTTTTTATTCAACAAATATAGCCACTTATCAGAAATTGTATAGCTATATTCAAACAGAACAAAAAATAGTAGAATAACAATTTTGTTTTAAAATATGTAGCTTACCAACAAATTTAAGTAAACACTTTGATCCCAAAAGGTTATACAAACATAACTGTCAAGCACCTCAGGACTCAGAATCCATTACATGTTTTGGGTCACCACCTCATACATCAAGGTCACAGTCATCACTTCCAATTTCCATGGTAATGAAATATTGTAACCATTTTGAGTCATTAGTGCTTCAAGGATTGTTGTGCAAGAGATCAACGATGACATGACTTTGCCTTAAAGTTCATCTTTTGAATTCTCTGACTGTGTGAAAATCATCAGAAAAATGCAGCACAGTAATGAAGAGAGTAAATTTCTATAAAGTATATCTTTTAAACTTTACGGGTAAGTTAGATAAATAGTAATTTGCTTCATTTAAAAGAAGTCAGTTTAAAAATACATTTGACAATTATTAGAGTTACAGAAGTAAAATATAATTTCATGCTGTTATAAAAAAAGAGAACTATATTCAAAAAAACAATACAACATGGCCTTAAAAGTCTATACAACACACAGAAGTTAAGAAGTGACAAAACAGTAGTCAAATCATCTTATAATAATGAAAAATCTGATTAGCAGCCTACCCTACTAAAGGTCTTTGATCTTTATACTGGTGTTTCAAAATAACAAGAAAAATATGACAATTTATCAGAAGCTGGAAGTTGATCAGATCAGATAACTGATAAAAATATTGGCTACTTCTTTCTAATTAAACCTTATGAAAACCACACTGAAATAAGTGTAAATTAGAACTTGAAATACATAATAATGTCTTTCTTGAAAAACAGCATAAACACTGTGTAAATTATACAAATATAATTGAAAGAACTCACAAAACTCCATAGATTACACACACATGCATTAGTCCTTAAGTAAAGGTAAAGGATGTGGTATTTCAGGAAAAAGAGCGCATAGACAAGACTTGGGAGCCCAAGAGACTTCTAGGCACAGCTCCCTGGAATTCATAGCCCAGGATGTGCTTCATTTCCAGATCATGAACCACCAAGATATGTGTGAGAAATCCTGGTTTCAAGAGAGATTGGGAAGCTGTTTTAGTGGAATCTTCTAGTAAAGCCAGGCAATGTGACTTGCCAACCTTGATGCAAACCATTAATCAATACATCCCTAAACAAACTAGCCCCAGGTACCTGCAGGACACTTTCAAAATTCAAATATCTTATTATGAACACCTTGGCCATTGGTCAGTATTAGTCACTCAAGCATTATTGAAGATAAGCAGAGAACTGTCTACCCTAACCGAACTGTAAGATCACTCTATCTTGTGCAAAAGTTGATTCTCACGTGCCACATTGGCTTCTTGGTACTCTACATTTAGACTATTAAGTAAATAAATTAAAAAGAACCATGTATAATTCAAACCACAATTACTAATGTTTGAAAATATAGTAAGTGCTTCTAAATAGAGGGATTTAAAAACAAAAATTTTTTGAATACCATTTCATAGGAGATTATCTAAACCTTCATATATATGAAATGGCAAACAGCCTGCATTTGTCAGTGAATAATGAAAAAGTTGTTATACCCCTTGTTCTCAATAATTCAAAGCTAATAAACTTTTAAATATTCAATTGAGCTTCCTAAGAAAATTATTAGAGTGCTGGCACGGGCAGTAGGAAATGGCAGTGTTTTAGATCTCCTTCTATTGGTCTCTTTGTTTTTATTCATCCATTCAACAAATATTTATGACAGGTATCTAATTAAGTCCTTAGTATATATATAAACAAAAAAGATGTAGATAATTTTTACCCTCATTGAGCATATATTCCAGCAGGAAAAACAGAAAATAAATAATGAAAATAATGAATAAGTAACTTCATAGTATATTACATGATTTAAGTGCCATGGAAAAAATCATGACAGAGAGTAGCAGAATAAAGACAATGAAGAACGCATCTTCATAAAAAGCACAGTTACAGAATTAAATAGGATAGTAAAAATAGGCCACATTGTGGAGGTAGAATCTGAGCAATCACTTGAAAATCGTGAGGGAGGTAATGATATGGTTATCTAGGGAAGAGCATTGCAGGAAGGCAAAATCTGTAGTACGAAAGTCCTACAATGGAAGTCTTTTTGTAATGCTCAAGAAATGACAAGGATTCCAATGTGGCTGAAGTATAGTGAGCAAATGAAAAACGGAGGACATTAAAAAATGTGATAGGGCTGGGTAGGGAGTCAATATGATAGTGCAGAATATAAGGATTCATAGAGCATGTCTTAATTCATCTGGGCTACTATATAACAGAATACTATAGCCTGGGTGGCTTATAATAAACAGCAGAAATTTATTTCTCACAGTTCTGGAGGCTAGAAAGTCTGATATCAAGGCACAGGCAAATTTGGTGTCTGGTAAGGGCTTGCTTCCTGATTCATAGACAGCTGTCTTCTCACTTTGTACTCACATAGCAGAAGGGATGAGGAAGTCTCTTTATAAAGGCATTAATCCCATTCACCTCACACAGACCCCATCTCCAAATACCATCACATTGGATATTAAGATTTCAACTTTCAATTTGGGGGGGACACCAACATTCAGCCTATAATGTTCCATCCCTAGCCCCCAGAGTTTATTTTCTCACATGCAAAATACACTAATTTTATCCCAACAACCCCTAAAGTCTAAATGCCTTCTAGCATCAACTTTAAAGTCTAAAGTCCAACATTTTATCTGAATATCATCTAAATCATATAGGGGTGAAATTCAAAGTATGATTCATTTTGAGACACATTATCTTCCAGCTATGAACATATAAAACCAAGTATGTTATGTGCTTCCAAAATAAATTGTGGGAAAGGCATAATATATACATTTTCATTCCAAAAGGGAGAAATAGGAAAGAAGAAATGGGTGACAAGTCCCAAGCTTCATGTGATCTTAAGACCCAAGAATAATCCTGTTTGGTTCAATAATCGGCCTTCCAGGCCAACTGGGGCTGTGATCCTGCCTTCGGGACCCTCTGAGTAGAATTCCTGCCCCAGGGATCACTAAAGATGAACCCTCACTTCTAAGGCTTTGGGCAGAGGCTATCTTATCTGTTAAAGGGAAAACAATAGTCCTGCCTTTTGAAACTTAGGAGGCAGCCCTGGTGATTTCTCAGTCACCTTCAGGATCATTCTTTCCTCGCTTTGAAGAATAGTGTACATTTGCAGCCAAATAGCTCTATGGTCTTATCCTGTAAAATCCAAGAAGTCCAACAGCTTTCCTTAATCTCTTTCTTTCTCCTTCCTCTTCAGTTCAAACTAATAGGTTTTTTAATGTGGTCAGTGATCACATCTGTGGTTCACATTCATACTAATCTTCTTATAAGTCATGTGGCCACACTCAGCATTCTCACCCAACATAGTCATTCTTATTCTTTTTAATATAAGTAGGTAAAACATTTCCTAAATCTCTAATTTCTAGCTCCTTTTTGCTTAACAATTCAATCTTTAAATCGTATTTCTCTCTTCTAAAATTCTACTATAAACAGTTATAAGGAGCCAGGCTACAGTTTCTGTACTTTGCTTAGAGATTTCCTCAGCCAGATGTCCAATTTCATTGCTCACAAGTTCTACCTTCCAAAATCACTACAACACAAACACAATTCAACCAGGTGCTTTGCCACTTTATACAAAAATAACTTTTCTTCTAGTGTCCAATTACATATTGTTCATTTCTATCTAAGAACTCATCAGAATTGTCTTTACCATTTATACTTGTACTAGCATTCCGTTCAGGACTGACTACTTAAATATTTTCTGAGAAAATTGAAGCTTTCTCTGAAGCTCTTCCCTTTTTTTTTTCTGAGCCCTTACAAGAATTGTCCTTAATGACCCATTTACGGCAATGTAGGCTTTTTCTGGTATGTACCCCAAAACTCTTTCAGCCTCTACCCACTACTTGATTCCAAAGCCATTTCCATGTTGTTAGGTATTTGCTACATCAGACCTCCCAATCTCAGTACCAATTCTGTCTCAGTCTGTCCAGGCTTCTATAACACAACACCATAGACTAGATGGCTGATAAACAACAAAAATTTATTTCTCGCTGTTTTGAAGGCTGGGAAGTCCAAGATCAAGGCCTGGTAGATTCAGTGTCTAAAGAAGGCTCATTTTCTTGTTTATAAATTGTATTCTCACTGTGTCCTCGCTTGAGAGAGAGAATGAGGAAGCTCCCTTTTATAAAGGCATGAACTCCATTCACCAGAGCTCCATTCTTTATGACCTACTTACCTCCCAAAGCCCAGCTCCAAATATCACATTGAGGATTAGATTTCAACACACAAATTTTTAGGGGACATGAACATTCAGTCTATAAGAGGGTATTGGTATATATTAGTCTAGGCTTTGGGAGACAGGTTTTAGTGAGAGATAGTATTTACGAATCACTGTAATGGAGGTATTAAAAGTCACGGCGGGCCAGGCGCGGTTGCTCACGCCTGTAATCCCAGCACTTTGGGAGGGCAAGGCGGGCGGATCACAAGGTCAGGAGATCGAGACCATCCTGGCTAACACGGTGAAACCCCGTCTCTACTAAAAATACAAAAATTAGCCGGGCATGGTGGCACTCACCTGTAGTCCCAGTTACTCAGGAGGCTGAAGCAGGAGAGTTGCTTGAACCCAGAAGGCAGAGGTTGCAGTGAGCCGAGATGGCGCCACTGCACTCCAGCCTGGGGAACAGAGCAAGACTCAGTCTCAAAAAACAAAACAAAAAAAGTCATTGGGACCAGCACTTTAGGAGGCCAAGGTGGGCAGATCACCTGTTCGAGACCAGCCTGGCCAACACAGTGAAACCCCGCCTCTTCTAAAAATACAAAAATTAGACAGGCGTGGTGGTGCCCACCTGTAATCCCAGCTACTCAGGAGGTTGAGGCACAAGAATCGCTTGAATCTGGGAGGTGGAGGTTGCAGTAATCAGAGATCGTGACACAGCACTCCAGCCTGGGTGACAGAACAAGACTCTGTCTCAAAAAAAAAAAAAAAAAAGGCATGGGCAGAAATTAGCTTGCCAAGAAACTGAGGAAAGTAACAAAACAGAAAAGGACCAGTGATGGAGACCTGGAATTCGCCAATATTAAGAAGTTAGGGAGAAAGAAACTAACTGGAAAAGCAGACTGAAAAGGAGTGACCAATGAGATGGCAGGGAAATTAAGAGCATGTGCAGTCTTAGAAGCCAAGAGAACAAAGAATATCTAAAAGAGGGGAGAAATTAACAGTGTAATTAACTGTGTAATATATGAAGTATTGCTAATAATCGAAGAAAAATGAAAACTGAGAATTGATCATGGGACTTAGCAGCATCAAAGTGACTTGTGACTTTGAGAAGAACAGATTTAGGGAGTGGTATGGATGAAAACCTGGAATAATACAAGATGACGTAGAGACAGAGAATGGAGTCAATTCTCCTTAGGAGTTCTGCTGTAAAGGGAATAAAAAGTGAGGCAGTAGCTAAAGGGGGAATTGGAGTTATGAGGAAGTGTTTTTAATAAAAGAGAAAATAAAAATTATGTATGGTTATGAAAATAATCTAGTAGAAAGTGAATTCTGATGATGCAGAAGACATTTTTTAATTAAAGTTATTATCATGCTAACAATCTGCAAAGCCCTCTTATAAATCATTTACAAATAATAACTCATTTATTCTTCACAATCCTGTGATGTAAGTGTTATTATTATCCTTATTATAAAAGATGTAAAAATTGAGCACAAGGGAATAACTAAGTTGCTCTAGGTCACACAGATATTGACAGAGCTGGGATTTCAACCCAAGCAGTCTAGCTGTATGGTCCATGCTGATAACAGCTACTCAGTACTATCTTTTAGAGGGGGGAATTATTAGAATATCCCAATATGATGGTATTTGAAGGTGGGGCTTTGTGAGGTAAGTAGGTCCAAAGAATAGAGCCCTGGTGAATGGAGCTTATCCCCTTATAAAAAAAAAAAACACAAAGTGGTTCCCTCATTCTCCCTCTTGAGTGAAGACAGAGTGAGAATGCAGTTTTTTTTGTTCTTTTTTTTTTATACTTTAAATTCTAGGGCACATGTGCACAATGTGCAGGTTTGTTACATACATATACATGTGCCATGTTGGTGTGCTGCACCCATTAACTCATCATTTACATTAGGTATATCTCCTAATGCTATCCCTCCCCCTTCCCCCTGCCCCACAACAGGCCCCAGTGTGTGATGTTCCCCTTCCTGTGTCCAAGTGTTCTCATTGTTCAATTCCCACCTGTGAGTGAGAACATGTGGTGTTTGGGTCCTGTGATAGTTTGCTGAGAATGATGGTTTCCAGCTTCATCCATGTCCCTACAAAGGACATGAACTCATCATTTTTTATGGTTGCATAGTATTCCATGGTGTATATGTGCCACATTTTCTTCATCCAGTCTATCATTGATGGACATTTGGGTTGGTTCCAAGTCTTTGCTATTGTGAATAGTGCCACAATAAACATACGTGTGCATGTGTCTTTAGAGCAGCATGATTTATAATCCTTTGGGTATATACCCAGTAATGGGATGGCTGGGTCAAATGATATTTCTAGTTCTAGACCCTTAGGGAATCGCCACACTGTCTTCCACAATGGTTGAACCAGTTTACAGTCCCACCAACAGTGTAAACGTGTTCCTATTTCTCCACATCCTCTCCAGCACCTGTTGTTTCCTGACTTTTTAATGATCTCCATTCTAACTGATGTGATCAGTTCAACAAGAAGAGCTAACTATCCTAAATATATATGCACCCAATACAGGAGCACCCAGACTCATAAAGCAAGTCGTTAGAGACCTACAAAGAGACTTAGACTCCCACACAATAATAATGGGAGACTTTAACACCCCACTGTCAACATTAGACAGATCAACGAGACAGAAAGTTAACAAGGATACCCAGGAATTGAACTCTGCTCTGCACCAAGTGGGCCTAATAGACATCTACAGAACTCTCCACCCCAATTCAACAGAATATATGTTCTTCTCAGTACCACACTGCACGTATTCCAAAATTGACCACACAGTTGGAAGTAAAGCACTCCTCAGCAAATATAAAAGAACAGAAATTATAACAAACTGTCTCTCAGACCACAGTGAAATCAAACTAGAACTCAGGATTAAGAAACTCACTCAAAACCACTCAACTACATGGAAACTGAACAACCTGCTCCTGAACGACTACTGGGTACATAACGAAATGAAGGCAGAAATAAAGATGTTCTTTGAAACCATTGAGAACAAAGACACAACATACCAGAATCTCAGGGACACATTTAAAGCAGTGTGTAGAGGGAAATTTATAGCACTGAATTCCCACTAAAGAAAGCAGGAAAGATCTAAAATTGACACCCTAACATCACAATTGAAAGAACTAGAGAAGCAAGAGCAAACACATTCAAAAGCTAGCAGAAGACAAGGAATAACTAAGATCAGGGCAGAACTGAAGGAGATAGAGACACAAAAAACTCTTCAAAAAATCAATGAATCCAGGAGCTGGTTTTTTGAAAAGATCGACAAAATCGATAGACCACTAGCAAGACTAATAAAGAAGAAAAGAGAGAAGAATCAAATAGATGCAATAAAAAATGATAAAGGGGATATCACCACTGATCCCACAGAAATACAAACTACCATCAGAGAATACTGCAAACACCTCTATGCAAATAAACTAGAAAATCTAGAAGAAACGGACAAATTCCTGGACACATACACCCTCCCAAGACTAAACTAGGAGGAAGTTGAATCTCTGAATAGACCAATAACAGGCTCTGAAATTGAGGCAATAATTAATAGCTTACCAACCAAAAAAAGTCCAGGACCAGACGGATTCAAAGACGAATTCTACCAGAGGTACAAGGAGGAGCTGGTACCATTCCTTCTGAAACTATTCCAATCCATAGAATAAGAGGGAATCCTCCCTAACTCATTTTATGAGGCCAGCATCATCCTGATACCAAAGCCTGGCAGAGGCACAACAAAAAAAGAGAATTTTAGACCAATATCCCTGATGAACATCCATGCAAAAATCCTCAATAAAATACTGGCAAGCCGAATCCAGCACCACATCAAAAAGCTTATCCACCATGATCAAGGGGGCTTCATCCCTGGGATGCAAGGCTGGTTCAACATACGCAAATCAATAAACATAATCCAGCATATAAACAGAACCAAAGACAAAAACCATATGATTATCTCAATAGATGCAGAAAAGGCCTTTGACAAAATTCAACAACCCTTCATGCTAAAAACTCTCAATAAATTAGGTATTGATGGGACGTATCTCAAAACAATAAGAGCTATCTATGACAAACCCACAGCCAATATCATACTGAATGGGCAAAAACTGGAAGCATTCCCTTTGAAAACTGGCACAACACAGGGATGCCCTCTCTCACCACTCCTATTCAACACAGTGTTGGAAGTTCTGGCCAGGACAGTCAGGCAGGAGAAGGAAATAAAGAGTATTCAATTAGGAAAAGAGGAAGTCAAATTGTCCCTGTTTGCAGATGACATGACTGTATATTTAGAAAACCCCATCGTCACAGCCCAAAATCTCCTTAAGCTGATAAGCAACTTCAGCAAAGTCTCAGGATACAAAATCAATGTGCAAAAATCATGAGAATGCAATTTATAAACAAGGAAATGGGACTTCTTCAGACATTGAATCTACCAGGCCTTGATCTTGGACTTCCCAGTCTACAAAACAGTGAGAAATAAATTTCTGTTGTTTATAAGGCATCCAGTCTATGATGTTCTGTCATAGCAGCCTGAACAGACTGAGACAGAAATTGGTACTGAGACTGGGGTTGCCGATGTAACAGATACCTAACAATATGGAAATGGCTTTGAAATTGGGTGGAAGCTGGTGTGAATGTGCTCTAGTACATCAAAGGGAGCATTCATGTTAGGTTAGTGTTATTCTGAAACATAGATAGTTATATGATAGGTGGGAAGGTGCTGTGTAGATGCTAGTGTAAGGTTAGATGTGATGTGATGGTAAGAGTTTTAATGTGATATATATACACATATATACGGGAGGAGGGAAGGAGGTAGTAGAAGGGGAGAGAGTCAGAGAGAGTGAGAGAGAAAGAGAAAACAGCTTAAAGTAGTAAAAGATTTTTTAAACAGAATATAAGAAGCACTAACTATAATAAAAAATATTGATAAAAAAGAATATGTCAAAACTTATAATTAAAGTCTTCAATAAAAATTTAAGGCAAGGTTTTTAGAATAAATATAACTGACAAAGAGCTTATATCCAAAATTATAGCCAATTCTTTCAAATTAATATGAAAAATACAGAGAACCCAATAGAAAAATTGACAAATATATCAAATACCAACTTTCTGAAACTTTCTAAAATAGTATAAACAAGTGGCCACAAATTAAATGAGAAATTCTCTATTTGTAAATTTAAAAGCCCACTTCACTTAACCAACAACAATTACCTTACTTTTTGACGTACAATCAAATTCATGAGATACAACAGGCTACATTCATCACCAAAACTTTAAGAAAGCATACAGAACAGCAACACAACTTGCACAATAATGGCATACTGAAGGCTCATAATTCCCAGATGGAACTTTCTGATGGTCTCTGTCCTCATCGTAGGTAACACAGTGAAGAGGGAAGACCAGTTGGTCTTGGATCACCTGTGAAGCACTCATTTCTAAATATATTGCTATCCCACAGCCCTGTCAGGGAAAAATGACTAGCTGCCATTTCCCATCTTAGCTGCACCTCATCAATTCCACTTCCCTTGTCAGTGTTAATAATTTCTCAATGAACAACCCCTATAATGAGGTACGAGTACCTCAGTTTGGTACATAACATTTATATTGGAAACTATACATACAATACCCTAAATTCATTGACTTAATGATGAAAGAAAGATTCAATGAATAGTCAAACCCTTGGATTATCCCTGAGGTTAAAGGAAAGGCAAATGTAATTTTAAATTCAATGAGGTGCTGTTCCACATCCACCAAAATATGTCATTAGAAAGTGTTGGAGATAATAAAAAAATAGAACTCTATAAACTACTAGCAGGTATTTAAACTTCCACAAACATTTTGGGAAGCATGCAGTTGAGCACACACATTGCCTATGATACATTGTTTATACTTCTTAAGTATATTATCCAACCAAATGCACAAATAAGTTTATGAGTGTGTATGGGAAATGATACAAACCTTGCATGACTGGGCTGAACAAGTTAAAAAAAGACACTGGCAGTCAGACTAGAAATATATTCTGCTACTTACATGTCCATGTTAAACAACAAAGATATTCTGGAAAATCCTCAAACAACTGAAAATGGTTTCTTTTAAGATACCTTCAGTGTCCAAAGACAGAAAACCCTGACTGGTCTCTTTACTCACTGCCAGAAAATCAGCATCTTATTCAAATTATGAAAAATAAAATGTGGCATTTTAACTGAAGTTTTTCCTCTCTATTTTTCCTTTTTTCCTTGTATAAAAATTCTGCTTTTGTATTTGTTAGAAGAAATCAGTCCATTGGTTTTTTCTTGTATACAAGTAAACTGTATGTAAATCATTAATTGTATGTGTTTTAGTTATTGACTAGCAGAAGCCAACAGAAATACATGCAGCATCATCCCAATGTCTATCAACAATAGCATAGATAAATAAATTGTGCCACATTCCTGCATGTAACATGGTTGTATCAATAAAATTAACAGCTACTGCAAGTAAAAACAGTAATTAATTTTACAAAAATAATGTGGAGCCAGGGAAGCCACACAAAAAGAATACATATTGTTTGACTCTACTTATATAAGAAGATAAAACTGAACTAGGGTGTTAGGCATCAAGAAAGATTTCTTCTGGGGAAGGGATCAGAATTTATAATTGGGAAAGGATACATAGTAAGCCCTTGCATGGTAGTAATGTTTTACTACTAGAGATGACATAAATGTCCATGTAGTGATAACTGATTGAATAGTACATACATCTCCACCTATATGTTTGACTGTAATAAAAAGTATTAAGAAATAAAAATCGTTTTAAGAGAGGGGAATTTTGTGGATGCATCCATGCAGACATCTTAGAAGGTGTAAGAATTCAAAATGTGCTAGTTTTTCAAAATGTATTGTTTATGTATTTCCTTCTTTTGCTAGGGAAAATTACCTTGTTTACTAAATAAGTAGGCAGTTTTGGGAATGCCTAATCCTAATGTTAAAGGACAATACTGGCTATTAAAGAAATACCTTTAAAAATGTGCTTTAAAAACAACTAAAAAAACACAAACAAATTCTTAATAAGAATAGTAATGCTTTGAGATCAGGGTCAAATAATTGGATTTGCAGACATAAAGAAGTATTTTCCTACACTTAAAGATTATTAAAATGCCAAGAATGAAATTCATGCGATATTAATAATAATCTATTCATTCTTCTACATTTTTGATACACATTTATCTGATATGAAGGAAACATTCATGTTCTGCATGCCTGGTTTGATTACATTTAATTACAAGTCCTTCACTTGTACAGAAAACTTTGATTCTACAAAAATATGGCTCAGTCATGTATTGAAATGCTGTTACAACAAACTAGGAGTTGTATCACAATTTTATACATTATGCTACAGTTGAAAAAAGTTTATAATGATGCACTTACTGGGGATCAAGCATGAGATATATTATCCATAGTAATTGTCAGTTGTTGCCTTTCTTACTAAATTAACACATATATATCCATGGTGTATTCCTGAGAGCACTGGTCCTCAAGATTTTTAAACATTACTATTAAACAACTATGATGTATTCAATATGACCCTAATATGATTTTACAAAACTAAGATATAATATCTTGAAACATTGATATTTTATAAATCTGAAATAGAATATTCCCAAAACAAAAAATATTCAGGAAAACAATATGTAGATTTTTTCATGTGTTTCTTAGAAAATTAAATATGAATGAAAATAATATATAACATTTTCCAGAATACTTTGTACACTTTTAAAGAGTGATTTTCCCACATTAAAGTGAATAAGAATTACTTGATGGGGCTTGTCATAACACATAGTCCTATACCCTGCAGCAGAAATTCTCATTCAGTTAATCAGCAGTTGGATCTAGAAATTTGTCTTTTAATGAGCAGCTAAGGATATAGTTAACCATCTTTTGAGAAACACTCTTTTAAGGATTCAGCTTGTACTTTTGAAAATTCTGACTTTAAAATATCACCCTGAGAATTCATACCACTCGACCTGTCTTACAAGAGGTCCTTAAAGGAGTCATAAACATGGAAACAAAATACCATTACTTGTCACTACAACACACACATAAGTACATAGACCATTGACACTATAAAGCAACTACACAATTAATTTTGCCTAACAACCAGCTAACAACATGATAATGGGATCCTCACATATCAATATTAACCTTGAATGTAAACAGGCTAAATCCCCCCACTTAAAAGGTACAGAGTGGCAAGTTGGATAAAGAAGCAAGACCCAACTGTATGTTGTCTTCAAGAGACTCAACTCACATGCAATGACAAATAGGCTCAAAGTAAAAGAATAGAGAAAAATCTACCAAGCAAATGGAAAATAAAAAAGAGCAGGAGCTGCTAGTCTAATTTCAGACAAAACAGACTTGAAACCAACAGTGATCAAATTAGACAAAGAAGGGTATTACATAATGATAAAGGGTTCAATTTGACAAGATGACTTAACTATCCTAAACACATATGTCCCCAACTAGAGCATTTAGATTCATAAAGCAAGTTCTTAGAGACTTATGAAGAGACTTAGATAACCACACAATAATAATCGGAGACTTCAATATGCACTGATAGTATTAGACATATTATCAAGGCAGAAAACTGACAAAGATATTTAGGACATAAACTAACACTTGATGAAATGGAACTAGCAGACATCTATAGAATACTCCACCCAGCAACAACATGATATACATTTTTCTTATCTTCACATGGCACATACTCTAAAATCAATGACATGCTTAGCCATAAAACAATTTGGAAAAATTTTAAAAAACTGAAATCATACCATCCACACTCACAGGCCACAGTGTGATGAAAATAGGAATCAATACTAAGAAGATCTCTAAAAACCACACAGTTACATGGAAATTAAACAACCTGCTCCTGAATGACTTTTGAAGCAACAATGAAATTATGGCAGAAATCAAGGAATTCTTTAAGATTCACTGAAATTAGGAAATGTTTTGTTTTTATTAGAAAACAAACATACCACATATTAGAATCTCCACAACAGAGCTAAAGAACTGTTAAGAGGAATGTTTAGAGAACTAAACACCCACATAAAAAAGAAAGATCTCAAATTAACAATCTAACATCACACCTAGAGAAACTAGGAAAACAAGAGCAAACAAACCCCAAGCTGGTTGGTTTGCTTGGAGCTAACAGAAGAACAAAAATCCGAGCTAAACTGAATGAAACTGAGACACACACAAAAAAAACATACAAAATGATCATCGAAACCAAAACTTTGTTGTTTGAAAGAATAAGTAAGACTGAGAGACTGCGAGCTAGACTAGCAAAGAAAAAAAGACTGAAGACCCAAATAAACACAACCAGAAATGACAAAGGAGACATTACCATTGACCCCACAGAAATACAAAAAAGTCTCAAAGACTATTAATGCCTTTATGCACACAAACTAGAAAACCTAGAAGAAATGGGTATAAATTTGGGAAACATACAACTTCCCAAGACTGAACAAGGAAGAAACTGAGTCCTTGAATAGACCAATAACAAGATCTGAAATTGAATCAGTAAGTAAAAGCCTACTAACCAAAAAAAGCCCTGGACCAGATAGATTTACAGCTGAATTCTATCAGGCATAAAAAAGAAGAGCTGGTACCAATCCTACTGAAACTATTCCACAAAAATGAGGAGGAAGGACTCTTCTTTAACTCATTGTATGAAGCCAGCATCATTCTGATACCAAAACCTGTTGGAGACACAACATAAAAAAAAGTCACTTCAGGACAGTATCCCTAATGAACATAAATGCAGATATCTTCAACAAAATCCTAGCAAACCAAATCCAGCAGCAAACAAAAAAGCAAATCCACCAAGATTAAGTGTGCTTTATTCCTGGGATGCAAGTCTGTTTCAACATAAGCAAATCAATAAAAGTGATTAATCAGAAACAGAACTAAGAGCAAAAC
This sequence comes from Homo sapiens, assembly GCF_000001405.40. Classification (NCBI taxonomy): domain Eukaryota; kingdom Metazoa; phylum Chordata; class Mammalia; order Primates; family Hominidae; genus Homo; species Homo sapiens. The sequence goes on along the minus strand of NC_000014.9, from coordinate 40,135,816 downwards.
CAAATAACCCTCTCAATAGATGCTGAAATGGCTTTTGATAAAACTCAATATCCCATCATCTTAAAAACTCTCAACAAACTAGAGATTGAAGGCACTTACCTCAAAATAATAAGAGTCATCTATGACAAACCCACATCCAACATCATACTGAAGAGGCATAAGCTGGAAGCATTCCCCCTGAGAACTGGAATAAGCAAATATGCCCAATCTCATCAGTCCTATTCAACATTGTACTGGAAGTCTTGGTCAGAGCAATCAGCAAGAGCAAGAAATAAAAAGCATCCAATAGGTAGATAGGAATTCAAACCACTGCTCTTCACAAATGATATAATTTTATACCTAAAAAATCCCATAGTCTCTTCCGAAAAGTTCCTAGATCTGATAAGCAACTTCAGTAGAGTTTGGAGATACAAAATCAATGAAGAAAAATCCCATTTTGGGAGGCCGAGGCAGGTGGATCTCCTGAAGTCAGGAGTTTGAGACCAGCCTGGGCAACACGGTGAAACCTGGTCTCTACTAAAAACACAAAAAATTAGCTAGGCATGGTGGTGGGTGCCTGTAATCCCAGCTACTCAGGAGGCTGAGGCAGGAGAATCGCTTGAACCCAGGAGGCAGAGGTTGCAGTGAACCAAGATCATGCCATTGCACTCCAGCCTGGGTGATAAGAGCAAGACTCCATCTCAAAATAAAATAAAATAAAAATTAAAAAAGAAAGAAAGAAAAGAAAAATCACTAGAATTTATATAGACCAACAATGTCCAAGCTGAGAACCAAATAAACAATGCAATCCTATTTACAATAGCCACACACACACACACACACACACACACACACACACATACACACACAAATACTGCTAACCAGGGACGTGAAAGTTCTCTACAATGTGAATTACAAATCCTTGCTGAAATAAATCAGAAATAATGCAAACAAATGGAAAAACATTCCATGCACCTGGATTGGAAGAATCAACATTGTTAAAATGACCATACTGCCCAAAGCAATTTAAAGATTCAATACTATTTGTATCCAACTATCAATGACATTTTTCAAAGAATTGGGAAAATCTATTTTAAAATGCATATAGAACCAAAAAAGAGGCTGAATAGCCAAAGAAATCATATACAAAAAGAACAAAGCTGGAGGCATCACATTACCCTACTTCAAACTATACTGCAAGGCCACAGTGACCAAAACGGCATGGGACTGGTACAAAAACAGGCACATAGACCAATGAAGCAGAATACAGAACCCAGAACTAACGTTGTGTACCTACAACCACATGATTTTTAACAAAGTGGACACCAAAACAAGCAATGAGGGAATCAATAAATGGTGCCAGGATAACTAGCCAGCCATATACAGATTAAAATTGGACCCCCTTCCTCTTACAATATACAAAAATCAACTCAAGATGGAATAAAGATTTAAGTGTAAAACCCAATACTACAAAAACCCTAGAAGAAAACCATTCTGGGCATAGGCTCTGGCAAAGACTTCATGATGAAGACTCCAAAGCAATTGCAACAATGCAAAAATTGACAAGTGGGACCTAATTAAACCAATAAGCTTCTGCACAGTAAAAGAAATGTACAGAGTAAATAGACAATCTACAGAATGGGAGAAAATATTTATAAGCTATGCATCAAAAAAAGGTCTAATATCTAGAATCTATAAGAAACTTAATTACCAAGCAAAAAACAAACAATCCCATTAAAAATTGGCAAAGAACATGAATAGACACCCCTCAAAAGGATAAATAGCTAATGTATGTGGGGCTTAATACTTAAGGTGATGGGTTGATACGTGCAGCAAACCACCATGGCACACATTTACCTATGTAACAAACCTGCACATCCTGCAAATGTGTTCTGGAACTTAAAATGAAATAAAATAAAATTTTAAAAAAGTAATATATAATATACATATGCAATGAAATACTACTAAAATATTAAAAATAGAACCATAAAATATGTAATAGTCTTGAAAAACAATACATTACAATAAATTTTATCAAAACTATTTTTTCAAATAGGCTGATAATTCCACCAAAAGGAAATATATCAAAAAAAGGAGACATACACATGGCCAACAAGGATATGAAAATATTCTCAACATCCCTAGTCATTAGAGAAATGCAAATCAAACCCACAATGTGGTATCATCTCACACCAGTCAGAATAGCTATTACTAAAAAGTCAATAAATAACAAATGCTGGCAAGGTTGCAGAGAAAAAGGAAAACTTATACACTGCTGTTGGGAACATAAATTAGTTAAGCCACTCTGGAAAGCAGTTTCGAGATTTCTTAAAGAACTCAGAACTACCATTTGACCCAGTGATCCCGTTACTGGTATGTATTCAAAAGGTTATAAATTGTTCTACCATAAAAACACATGCACAAATATGATCATCACAGCACTATTCAAAATAGCAAAGACACGGAGTCAACCTAATGTCTATCAGTGGCAGACTGGAAAAAGAAAATGTGGTACATATACATCATGGAATATTATGCAGTGCTAAAAAAAGAACAAGATCGTATCTTTTGCAGCAACATGAATGACACTAGAGGCCTTTATTCTGAGTGAATTAACGTGGGAACAGAAAATAAAATACCACATATTTTCACTTATGACTAGTAGCTAAATACTGAGTACACATAGATGCAAAGAAGGGCACAATAGACACAAGGGTCTACTGAAAGGTGGAGGTAGAGAGGAGGGTAAGGATCAAAAAATTATCTACCAGGTACTATGCTTATTACCTAGGTGATGAAATAATCTATTCACTAAAGCCCTTCAACTTGCAATTTACCCATGTAGCAAACCATTTGTTACTGTTTGGACCTAGAGTAAAAATTGGAAGGAAAAATAAATAAATAATTTTAATTGAATTTTTTTAAAAAAAGCAGAGTGTACAAGGAGGTCAAGTTCACCTACAAGATACTGTCTAAGGTAATAAGATAAAGCAACAATAAATAAATAATTAAACCCAAGACACATTGCAAAGTAAGTGACTAATTCTAGAATTATGCCTGCATTTTTAAAAAGGCCATAAAACATCTGAGTAGATTTGTTATAATGTCAAAATTAGGTAGAAATAAATTTTCTCTACTAGATATTCTATTTATTTGAGAGGGTGGGGTGGCAGATCACATAGTGTAATGAAAGAGGAAAGGGTCTAGAGCCAGACCCATCCCCATACTCTCCACCTCCATGTAAATTACCTCTTTGCCACTTCTTAACTTGTGAGCTCAAAGATTTATATTCTCTGTAAGCCTTGGTGTCCTTGCTTTGCAGAGTTTATGGAAAGATAAAAGATGAGGTGTGCTCCTTGAGAATAGGAGGTGCATACCAAGCGGTAAATATAAATATGTTGCCTCGCTGTGAGTATGAGTATGCATCGTGATACTGTATATGAAAATTGTGATTGAAAATTAATACCTATTTTTATAGCTCATCAAAAATAATAAAATAACCCTGAAAATAAGCTGAAAGCTGAAGTCTCATATGCATATGAAAGAATTGTAACAATATAATGAAAAGGGGCTCTCTGTTCATTAGCCAGATAATCCATAAAACCAAATTAGATTTTTTAATAATCATATATCACTAAGAAAATAGATTAAAATAATCACATGTATGTAAAAATACAGCTTACAAGAAAATATTTTTCAAAAGTAAAATTTTAAATAAAAGATTGTAAGTAGCATTTTAATTTTTAAATTTGAGTTTGGTTACCTCTTTGGCTCAGTGAAAATGACATACAAATGAAGAAAAAGTTTTCATCCTACTTCGTCATTAGTTTTCTCTGTGACTCTCACCAGATACCTTACTTTTTCATTGTTAAAAAGTGGAAACGCAAACCCATTTTACTGGGAAGCTGAAAGGCTCACATAATTTTTAAATAACCAAAGTGCTTACAAATAATTTCTCATAAGTAATAATAATAATAAATGTTTGACTAACATTACAATGTGATCTACTGCAACTAACAGAGGCCTTTTTACTTACCTTTGTCCATTATTCCAAATACTCAGATCAGTACAGCTTGTAGAATATCGGTAAGGCTAACCCCTTATTTAGGAGTTTAGAAACATGAATTCTATGTCACCTTATTGCCACATTTTCAAGCCATTGTCTACTTTTCTCTGTTATAGATATAGGTCTCATGTAGGGCGAATTCCTGCAGGTCATATAATACTTACAAGACCACAGGAGTCCAAACTTCGAGTATAGTGGAATTGTGATTGTAGTCTGTGACCTACATGAATATGCTATGAAGTTAATAAGATGTACAACACCATTTTCAGCCTCTAAGCCTCTGCAAGAATTTATACATCATAACCCACTCCTGGTAAAGCTTTTAATATTATAGCAAATTGCTAAAACATTAAACCCTGAAACTTTAATATAGTTTTAGTCTACAGGAAAAAATACAAATCATATTGAAAGCAGTGAGAAATGCTTACAAAAAAAGTAAAGATTTATTTCCATATGTCTCCATAAGGTTTCTTTTAGACACTCCTTTTATTCAGAGTATTGATATTTAGCTTCCAATCTCCAAAATGAACACATACCAACATAAGAAACAATTTTAGGATAACCCCAAATATAAATAATATTTTAATAATACCAATATATAGTATTAATTTACATAATATTATATTAAAATATTAAGCTTATTTTTAAACATTCAAAAATATTTAAATGATATATAAAATATAGGAAGTTCTAAACTCTTCCAGCCCTATATGGGTCAGCCCAAGCAAGAGCCGTAACACTTACTTTGGTGACCACTATTATTGTAAAGCTTCTGCATTAGTCTGTTCTCACATGCTACAAAGATAACTACCTAAGACTGGGTAATTTATTAAGAGAAGAGGTTTAATTGATTCACAGTTTTACATGGCTGGGGAGACCTTAGGAAACTTACAATCATGGCAGAAGAAGAAGCAGGCACCTCTTCACAAGATGATAGGATAGAGAAGAGCAATCAAAGGATAAACTTGCCAAACACTTATAAAACCATCAGATCTCATGGGAACTCACTCATCATCATAAGAACAGCATGGGGAAAACCCTCCCAGTGATCCACTCACCTTCCACCAGGTCTCTCTCAACACCTGGGGATTACAATTCAAGATGAGATTTGGGTGGGATCACAAAGCCTAACCATATCAGCTCCCTATTGCACTTCCCATGTTTCTCTTGCTGTTTTTATCCAACTATAAAAGACAACTTGAAGCTCAAATTTTTATAAATTATTTCCATGTTTTAACATTTCCTTAAACTGGATGATACATAATAGTATTCTCTACATCTTTGGAAATATAACATTTCGTAAATTTTATTGTACATTTATTGATGCTTCTCTAGGAATATTTGAAGCTGATAATTTTTGATGTTTTTCTTTTCTAATTTAAGAAACCTGTTTTTAGTTATAAGTCTTACATTTCATTGCCTTGAGATGCTTTCAAAGATTAGTTACTGGATATCATAAGTGAACCAAGTAAAAACATGAGGAATGGGATATGCAAATAAGGCTGAAATAATGATTATGAGTTTCTTTGGAAAGATAAAGAGAAGAATGCAAATAAATCTACTTAATATAAGGAACTATATAAACATACAAGTGGATCATAGAAAAATAATATAGAACTATAAATGTCCATTCCAGTGGAATTCCATCTTACACAGGGTAAATGTTATAAAGTCAGTCCTTAATTCCTTTGTTGTATACAATTAAATACTATAGGATAAAAATTAGCTTTTCCTCCAACAATGGATAAGACAGATGTTTAGTCGGCTGGCAACAGATGGAAGTTTTGACTGGCACTTGGAGCCATTAGTATCTCAATTATGAATCTTCAAATGCTAAAATTACAATCAGGCTGCAAGATGCTCACACTATGAAAGCTCCTCTGAAACTAACACTCACCCCCCGCACCCCATCCCAGCAAAAATCCCACTATTCACCTTGGATCATAAATAACTTAAGTACAATAACAGGCAGAATTTTCTGCATTATTTAATTACTCCCCCACTTCTTCTCTTCTTCTCTCCCTCCAAGTACACACTGATCATTGTGAAATTCAGAGTATAAAAATATGCATGATTATTTCACAGTACACTGTGGTCACTTAGAATGAGGCACACAAAAGGCGTCAGTTTTCATGAGTAATTTTAGAACAAAAACTAGAGAAATTATATAAATACAAGACAGTCGTCAATGATTAGAACCGTTGGATATTTTGTTTACATTACTTTGGGATGTCCAAACATATCTACATATTTTAAATCTCAGTATTTTAATTTTTTAAATTTTTATTTTAAAACAGTATTTTAATTTTTTCTTTATTTAATATATACAGATAGTAACACTAAAATCCTCATAAGAGTACACACAGACCTGAATAATGCACACAGATCCTTCATTATACTTTAGTCAGCAGTTTTACATTTGTATAATGTATGTAATTAGGATATCAAATTTGAATATTCAAAGTTCAAGTATGATGCCCCAGCTTCTATTGAGTTCAAATATGATGCCCCAGGTGTCACTATTTTTAGAGTCAAGCTTTTAAAAGGAAAGAAGATTACATCTTATTTTATGTAATTGTAGGAATTAATGGTGAATCATAACTATAATAATTGGTAATTTTGTGTACCTAATGTTACCAGAAAAATGCTCATACCTTTCAAGGGAAAATAATTACATACTTGTGTCACAGAATGCAGGAGATATTTACTGCTTTTTGCTGTTTCATTTATGGTTCATATTGTTTGTTTCTGTGTTAAAAAAAAGTTAAAAATCTTGCTAGCATATGTGTGGGATTTTCTTCTACTACTCATGTTATTTAGTTGTCTTTCATGTGTGCATAGGGAATTCGGGGGATGGGGAGCAAAATAAAAGCATAGTATAAGAGATAAAATGAAAAATATTTTTGATCAGCATTTTCTCTTTAATTAATGAAGAAAATCCAAGTTTCTGATTAGATACTTATATCCCTGTCTCTTTATTTGATAATTAGCATTTTAGGGATTATTTTTGGAAAATAGACTTCTATTAAAATAAACTTTTCTCTGTATTTAGAGTATTAAATATCAATGTAAATGTGTTATTCATGTGTGTCTTTATGCAAAGCATGTTTCTTTTTCAATTCTGTAGTAGGTAAATTGAAGAATTTCTTTTAATATGTATTACAAGATATTTTAAGAATATAGCAATATGCTTTATGTCTACTTGGTTTCATCATTCACAGCACTTCAACATTTTATAAATGTGAATTTCTCAACCTTTGAATATAAAACTAAATTAAAGATTAAGATTAAAGTGTTTCCAAAAGATTTATTTTGCTGTATTCCTTATGTAAAATAATAGTTATTGCATATATAATTTTAAAAGCCAGAGACATTTTAATTTTATTCCAAGTGGCATAAAACTTTTTTATTTTAAAATAGGGAAGTGTGGCTGGGTGCAGTGGCTCACAGCTATAATCCTGGCACTTTGGGAGGCCGAGATGAGTGGATCACTTGAGGTCAGGAGTTTGAGACCAGCCTGGCCAACATGGTGAAACCCCATCTCTACTAAAAATACAAAAATTAGCCAGGGATGGTTGCAGGAATGTGTAATCCCAGCTACTTGGGAGGCTGAGGGAGGAGAACTGCTTGAACCAGGGAGGCAAAGGTTGCAGTGAGCCAACATTGTGTAACTGCACTCCAGCCTGGGTGACAGAGTGAGACTCTGTCTCTAAATAAATAAACATAATAAAATAAAATAGGTAAGTGCATGAAGCCATCATAAAACTATCTTAAATTTTTGTTCAAAATTTTAGGATTTCTACTTACAGTATTTGTCCCTAATGCAAACTAGAATTATATAGTTTTAAAACCCATAAAATAAGCCAGTTTTCATTAGTAGATGTTGTGGAAACATAAAACTCTTTCTCCAACCTATGCCCTCTTGTTTCTGGGTCCATAGCTAGACTAACTTTACTAGACTCCTTTGTAGTTAGCTGACTTCAGACTGACAATATGACAAAGCACTAGCCAACAAAATGTGATAACAAATGATATATATTACTTCCTGAAATGTACTGTATTAGTCTGTTGCCACACTGCTATAAAGACATACCCAAGACTGGGTAATTTATAAAAAACATTGGTTTAATTGACTCACAGTTCCGCAGGGCTGGGGAGGCCTCAGGAAACTTACAATCATGGCGGAAGAGTACGAGGCACATCTTACATGGTGGCAGGAGAGAGAGAGAGAGAAGAGAGAGAAAGAGAGTGAGAGCGCACAGACAAGTGAAGGGGGAGGAGCCTCTTATGAAACCATCAGATTTCGTGAGAGCTCACTCACTATCATGAGAACAGCATGGGGGAAACCACCCCCTTGATCCAATCACCTCCTACCAAGTCCCACCCTCAACGTGTGGGGATTCTGGGGATTACAATTTGATATGAGATTTGGATGGGGACATAGAACCGACCCATATCATGTACCACAAAAATCTCCTCCTTTACGTTCCTGGCCTTGATCTTCTTTCTGGCTGGCTTGATGCAGATGACCAGAGCAATTTCAGATACCACATTTTGAGTCTGACAGAACCACAAGCTGGAAGGAGGTTGGATCCCCGAATTGGTGTTTGGACTTTTCAAGATTAAGAAATACTTTCTCAGTGTTTTTGGCCACCATTTATCTTAGTCATCATGTATTTTTAGGTATTTTGTCATTATAACTAGCACAATCTTAAGTAATGCAATGGCCAGTGTACAGCATTTACTATTTTGAACCAGCTGTTTAACTGAGAAACTTCCTTCACAATCACTATTTCAATCACCACCCAGGTTCCATTAGAAAAGAAGAGTGATAGGTAAGAACAGATGCCCTAGAACTAGAACATCTGAATCAAAATCCACTTCCACTGCTTTCTAGAGGTTTGATATTGGATGAATGATTTACTCTGCTTGTATCTCAATTTCCTCAGCATTAAAACTAAGAGAGTAATAATATTAAAGTGGCTTATTATGAAGATTAAATGTTTCATATGTGTAAAGTGCTAAAAGTTCTGCCAAATTCATAGTAGACATGTAATAACTGTTAATTGCTATATTTCTTCTATACTTGACATCACTCAAGATCCAAATATATACATTCAATTACCTAAAGGTCATCCCCACTTAGACGTTCCATGGATAACTTAAACTCAAATTAGTGAGGTTAGGAAGGTATCAGTCAGAATTGGGCAATATTCTGGGCTCTCTTAATGTTCTCAAGGTTCTGGAATTGTACCTACAACAGAATTGTGCAGTGTTATATTTCCTCAATCTTCTGATCTTCCTTTTGTATTGACCTATTACCAGTCAGCAATAAGTATATTGTTCAATAGCCATATTGTCTTTGAATGATTGTCATCACTTTCTGTCATGTGACCTGTTGATATATTATTATTAGTTGTGGTAGAAAGTGCCTAATACCAATATATCTAGCTCAGCTGGCATTTTTTTCACTTTTTAGAATTTAGTGATGGATGTTGAAGATCATAAGATAACAAGACTTGCCAAAAAGAAAATCGTAGTGAAATCTAAAGACAAAGGTAAAGCCATTCTTTTCATTACACAATTTCACGTAATGTTTGTTAGTGAATCCAGTATTTGTTGTACAAAGTTACATTACGGAGGTTGGGCAATGTGATACTGAGAGAAGAATGGTATTATAAGACATATATCTGTACTGGTAAAAAAAAAAGTGTATTTTTCATAAAGGCTTGAGATTTAGACAAATTAGCTAATGAGATAAATACAAACTCACCAATTGTCACATTAATCTTCGGCTTTTTAAAAGTCACCCCATAATCACAATCAAATACATCTATTCGAAAAACAAAGGTAAATGGGTGTCATGATGGACGTAAAAATCTAGTGTAAGGCATCATCTCCTCACATGCCTACTTCACCTAGCTTTGGGGCCTTAATGGGCATCATCTGCATTAACCCATTTACCTGAACTATTCTTTGATAGGAGGACTCTGGAAATCTTCTACACTACACTATACCTGATAAGGAATAATCTGTTGTATTAATCTAGTAAGTAAACAATAAGGCCAGGTGCGGTGGCTCACGCCTGTAATCCCAGCACTTTGGGAGGCCAAGGCGGGTGGATCACAACGTCAGGAGATCGAGACCATCCTAGCTAACACGGTGAAACCCTGTCTCTACTAAAAATACAAAAAATTAGCGGGGCGTGGTGGCGGGCACCTGTAGTCCCAGCTACTCAGGAGGCTGAGGCAAGGAGAATGGCATGAACCCGGAGGCAGAGCTTGTAGTGAGCCAAGATCGCGCCACTGCACTCCAGCCTGGGCGACAGAGCAAGACTCCGTCTCAAATAAATAAATAAATAAATAAATAAATAAATAAACAAACAATAAGTATTTCCTAAGCAATTACTATTGGAAAAGCCATACAAGAGTAATACAAGCAAAAAAGAGTGGCCCTTTCTTGTAATATTTTCAGTCTCGTAGATGTATGAAGATAATTTACCAATAAGACTTCATGGGCCGGGCACGGTGGCTCACACCTGTAATCCCAGCACTTTGGGAGACTGAGGAGGGCAGATCACGAGGTCAGGAGTTCGAGACCAGCCTGACCAACATGGTGAAACCCCATCTCTACTAAAAATACAAAAAAAAATAATAATAAAATCAGCCGGGCATGGTGGAGGGCGCCTGTAATCTCAGCTACTCGGGAGGCTGAGGCAAGAGAATTGCTTAAACCCTCAAGGTGGAGGCTGCAGTGGCCGAGATCGCGTCACTGCACTCCAGCCTGGGCAACAGTGCAAGAGTCGGTCTCAAAAAAAAAAAAAAAAAGAATTCATGAAAAGCATTAAAATGAATAGTAAGGATAATAAATTACATATAATTTCAGAAGAGAGAGAAAGCATTTGGAGTTAAAATGTAATGTAGGTGGTTTGAGTTATGCTCATAGAATGCTTATGATTTATACAGGATAAGGGGAAAAGGAAGAATTTTCCCAGTAATAGCATGTAAATCAAGTCATGGTTAATGGATATCTAATATTTATTGCTTAGAGAAGAGATAGCTTACAAAACTGAAATTTCAAATTACAACAACGTTGTGAAGGATTTTGAATGGACAGTGAAGGAGTTTGGACTACATCCAGTGAATAATACAAAAAGTTATACAAAGTTTCTGATCAGAAATATCGTATTAGAAAAGAAGCAGTTTAAAAGACCTAATTTTGGGAAAGGTTTACAAATAGTAATTAAGAGAGACTAAGATCCTTATCTATGCTAGTCCATTACTTAAAATAGAATGAGAATCTCCATATAGTAAGGTATCACCAACAACCAAGGGCATTAAGTTGTGTGCAACTTAACCAAGAAAAAAAAATAGATACACTTAATTCAAATTACTAGCCCTCTTTTCATAACCTAACCTAAAAATAGGAACATTCTAAAAGAATAACATAAATTCTTTTTATGAGAACAAAATAAATGAAAAACAAAATGCAAAACAATAGATGGGAATTTGTTAAATTGACTGGAACCAAAAGAAGCAAAGAATGTTCCAAAGGGCATAAAATGAAAACAGAAATGAACGTACATGATAAGGCAAAGCAGTGAAGAAGAGAACAGCTATGTTTAACAATTAAGCCAAATGCAGCCTTGCCTTACTGTTCTCTTAATTCACTAAGTACAGACAAGCTTGTATATCTGGGTCTTGCTACCTGTTGTTCTATTCAGGCAGATGTGTTGTAATTCTTAGACACTCCTGCCAAGAGTCCACTCTGGACATCAAAACACCGCAGCCCTAAATGTTTCTGGTAGGCCACTGCCAAATCTTCTGCAGGATCATTATATCATCAGTAACATTAGTGTACCAAAGCTACATAACTAGCTCAGAAACTAATTGTCTAATATGGTAGTGAATAGAATCCAGAGTAATTGGCACAGGGCTCTGATAAGTTTAAAAGGAATGGAACCTCTGGTTTCTTCCTTCCTTTAACTTAACTTCTCTCCCCAGCCCTTATTAGGAAAAGGCTACAGGAGATTTCTAATTAGGAAATGACATTACTTCTGTCAAGAACTAGGGAAGATAAAGAGGAAACAATGAAGGGAGGAGAGGTCCATCATTCATTTTATATTCATTTATATTCTTATCTACTATATATCTTTTATTCTGATTGTTTCCCATGGTAAAAGCAGCCTTAAACAGAGACAACTTGTCTTTCTTGCAAAGTGCCAAAGTGGTTTTTTTTTTTTCTTTTTTGGTCAGGCCTAGCCCAGCTATATGCTCAACTCGGTCAGTATGAAAGGAAGCACAGAAAAAGCAAAGTAATCATTAAATTCTAGAATGACTTTTTACCACTAGAGTACAGGCCCTAAACTAAAGATTATCTACTAGCTGACTTTCTTGTTGCCCTTTCACCTGCCTCTCAAAGGAAATGTCTTTCCTACCAAACAGATGGCATCAGAAGCACTGAAATCTGTCATGGCATAATCTAAGAAGGTAAATGTGAACTTGAGCTAGCTTTAAAGAATTAATCAGCTTTAGAAAGAAAGAAACGATGAGAATGAATCACAGAACATTACTCAGTGAAGCATGAATATGTTAAACACAGGGTAAGGCTTAAAGATTTTCAAAGGTTAATAAGACCAGTTTCTTAAGTGGGGTGGCTGTATATTACACTAAAAGGTAAACATTATCCAGGATGTAGAAAACCTTAGAATCTGAAGATATAAATTCAGCTGCTTTATATGTAGTGTGAAAACTTCACTAAGTCCAGTGTGACTTGTGTAGATCAAAAAAGGAAAGCCTAACCATAAAACCTCTTTCCCACTGCCTACAGTACAATGAATTACACTTTTATGCTGGTAGTAGAAATCTTAATACCCTATTTAATCCTGATCTATTTTTAATCTTATTGGCTCTTTAAGAGGTTTCATATGCATGATATTTTATCACACATTTCAAAGAAGGAAATGAAGTGTTCTTAGCTCCATGTAAGAAAGGAATTAAACCTTGTGATATGAGATAAAAAAATTTATGTAACTACTATAAAAGCACCCACGTGAGGTCCCATAGCGTCTGTTGTATCTGTTTTAGCTCACACTTTGGGGGACTGATACTGCCTCACACTCCTCCATTCTATTTGTCTCTAAATTCCCAAATTAAGCAAGTTGTAATTGGGGTAATTTAGTGCTTTGTAGTGATATTGTTCTCTGGGGAATAGTAAAGACCAGTTTTAACTTCATTATTTTGTAGAGTTAGTGAATAAATTACTTGGATAAAGTCCTATTGCTATAGGTTTTTAAGCTTTTTATATTTTCTGCCTTGGTCTCTAATATATGTTATTTTATAAATGATTCTTCTGATGTGCATTGATGTGAACATTATTTTAAGGCTTAATTTTATGCCTAGCTAGTCAAATGGTTACCTGTCAATAAAAGATATTGATTTTTCCCAAAGTCAAGGACAAATGGGCATCATATATTTAACATTTATGAAAGCCACCCTCCATTTAGTGTCCACTCCTTTAGAATCTTCCTAAGGGAACCAACCCACTTAAGTGAATTGCTTAAACATGTTTCATTCAGGGCTGCTGACTTATGTCTTGCAGTTCCAAAAACCTCTTTCAATATTCCTTCCTGCAAATAACATCCCAGTCCCAGACTGAGTTTTGTGTAGACCTATACAGCATGTAATAGAAAACTCATGATTTCAAGGGACTTTCAACCTAAATGAAAAGACCAAATAGGAAAATTATGAATAAGCTAAACTTAACCTTTGAAGACGACAAGGACCTGAGATGCTGGAGAATAAAAACTTGGCAGGTCCTTGAGTAGCTGAGAGGTTCTGAGGCATAAGAGGTAAGGCTGAAAAGGCTTGTGTGACAGAAAGCTTCACAATACAGTGAATTTGGAAAGTGACGAAGTACATTAGCATATCTAGAGGACAAAAATATATAATCCTCATGTTCCCTTTTACACAATTCTATCAGCCCCTATTTATAGTTTGTAGCTTTTTAAAAAAATAAAATAATCTTGATAAGTTCTTTACAGATGCTTTTAGAACCTCAGATTTATTAGTTTTTAAGTTTTCTCTGACCATGTTTAATTTATTGGGGGGATATCAAGAAAATGTTTATATGTCCTTACAGTTTCACCTCTCCCGCCCCCAACAAATTATTTCATATTAAATTTTAAAAAAAGATCTTACCTCCAATCTGAACAGTGCATCATATCGCTCTTTCCTTTATTCTTCTAATGAATCCTTGAATCAGCTGTTAGTCATTTGATGTTTTACAAATAAGTGTTCTATCATTCGCAATTACTTAAAACACTACAAAACTGTAATTTTGAGGACACATTGTAAAATGTTGTGTATTATTTGCTATCATATTTCCAGGACTCTAAATTGGAAAGGTTGTTAGTTTATGAAAGTGTCATTCCTTTTATCACTTCTTAAGAAGGCAAAGGCCAGTCGTGGAGGCTCACGCCTGTAATCCCAGCACTTTGGGAAGCAGAGGCGGGTGGACCACGAGGTCAGGAGTTTAAGACCAGCCTGACCAATATGGTAAAACCCTGTCTCTACTAAAAATACAAAAAAAAAATAGCCGGGCATGGTGGTGCATCACTATAGTCCCAGCTACTTGGGAGGCTGAGGCAGAAGAATCACTTGAACCCAGAGGTGGAGGTTGCCGTGAGCCAAGACTGCACCACTTCACTCCAGCCTGGGTGACAGAGCAAGATTCTGTCTCAAATAAATAAATAAGAAGGCAAAAAATTTTCCAATATAAAACCACTATGTTTTGCTATGTTTTAATTTGATTGATTTCCTTTGTTTTGTTGTGGAATGAGGGAGGGATGTGTACCAAGGAAACAAGGAGATTGCTAGTTGATCTGCTCTTCTCAGGTTATAGAAATTATTTATTTCAACAAAAGAAAAATATTGTTTTTGCCTAGCATTTGACTTCAGGCTTAAAGAGTGCCATTAGTAGAGTATTAACATCTGGATCTCAAGCTTTAGGCTGTCTTCCATTATTTAAATTTTATCCTTAGGCTTTAGGTGTGTAGAAAACTTTTCTCAGATCTGTGATGTGTTATTGTACATTTGCTTAGCAGTGCTTATCTTAGCTCTCAGAATGGGTCTCTGGGGGTTAACCTGAAAGAGCAAAAGTCACTGAATAAAGAGAGATGTGTCCATCTGAGGATTAATGCCAGAAAATAACATATTTTGAAATAGTTTTGCTTTTTAGAAAGGTCTGCTTTCTGATATGAGATACTTATGTTTTCCTTTGAAAATTACAAGAAAAGCTTCAAGTTTGGGGGCTTTTTTTCCCTCCTGATTTTGACCCAGACTTCAGGTATCAATGTGGTTTCATTTTCCTTTAGGTTTTTAACTTTCTATATGGTGAAAGCATTTTTTAAAGTAATTTCTTGTTTTATTTGTCAAAGATATCCTAGGACAAGAGATTACTTGAATATGTTCTCCTTCACTTCAGTGTGGTACAGAGGAAAACAGGATAGTCTTGGAGCCAGGCAGAATTTTTTTTACCAAACCAATAACTACTCTAGCTGCAGAGTCTGGAGCTGATTGTTTTATACTTGCCAAGCCTTGTTTTTCTCAAATTTAAACTCAGCATAATGATAGTTATTATGCAGACTTCTTGTGGCAATCAAATAATATATTGGAAAGCATCTATCAATAAATCTAGCCTGTAGGAAGCTCTGGGGAGATTAAATGCCCCTGGATTTCTCAGTGTGCTTGTGAAAAGCCCTAGCCTCCAGAGACATGGAAAGGTATATGATGTAAGGTAGGGGATGTACGCTTTCACTTCCTCTAGAATCTTTTTACTCTTCATATAACATGAAAGTTAGATCTGTAGCCCTCTCTCTGGTTAATTGCTCTGAACTACCAGTGCCAAATGCTCTGGACTAGATCCCTGGGCTAAGTCCAAGGTGCCAAGAAGATGTGAGTACTATTTTTCCCTATATATTTACATTTCAAAAATTATGAACCCAACGTCTCCCACAGGAGCTCAGCGTGGGTGCACCTAAAGACAACCCTTCTGGAACATTTCGGGGTGACCACATCCCCACAGAAGGAGGCCCTCTAGGTTCAGATTTGCACAAGGGGTAGAGTCAGCTCCTCTCTACTTGGGACATCAACATTCCTGCAGATTAAAAAAGTGTCTGTTGGATCTGAAGAGCCAGAACACTGAGTCAGAACTGTGTCTGGGAGGTGAATTGCTTTCCTGCTGTCCTGGCAGGGGCTCTGAGGTGGGTCTCATATTTCCCTCTGATAAGACTTCAGTGCATTTCTCTGAGCGCTCCTCCAGCCACCTCTGTCAAGGTGGTGACATCTGCCAACAACTTATTATTGCATTTATTTACCTGCTTTAGCCACAACTGGTTTCTACCCAGGAACACGTCCCCTATTGGCATGAAGCCCGAACTATTCAACCCAGTAAATAAAATATTGGGGTAAAATAAATAAATTAAAAATGCAAACCACGAGGGAATGAGATAAGCTTCAAGAGACCTCTGCCATTCCAACCCCATAGGAGATAATCTGCTCACATACCAGCATATTGCCAGTACAGCCAGTATCTGAGAAAGCCATTATTAAAAGTTTCTCTATAACCAAGGAACCTGTACATGTTCTTCACTCCTAAAAGCATCACAAGCCAAATTAGGGTATAATACACTACACATATTAAAGTCACATCCTTGAGGGGGGGAAAAAGAAATATAAAAAAATCAAATAAAAAATGTTCAGGAATAATTAGAACAAATAGCCTATCTAAATTAGAAGAAACCAGAAAAATAATTCTGGTAATACGACAAAACAGAGTTCTATAACAACCCTAAAAATCATACTAACTTTCCAGCAATGGATCCAAACCAAAATGAAATATTTTAAATACGAGATGAAGAATTCAGAAGGTGAATTATTAAGCTCCTCAAGGAGATACCAGGGAAAGACAAAACCAACATAAAGACATTTAAAAAAACAATTCAGGATGTAAATGAAAATTTTTCTAAAGAGATAGATATTTTAAAGAAAAACTTCAGAATGTCTGGAAATAAAAGACACATTTAGGAAATTACAAAATGCAGTGTAAAGTATTAAGAAACTAGACGAAATAGAAGAAGGAATTTCAGAGCTCAAAGACAAGGCATTCAAATTAACCCAATGAGACAAAAATAAAGAATAAAGAATCAAAAGAAATGAGCAAAGGCCTCCAAGAAATATGGGATTATGTAAAATGGCCAAGCCTAAGAATAATTTATGTTCCTAAGCGAAAAAAGAAAGCAAAAAAGTTTGGAAAACTTATTTGAGGGAATAATTGAAGAAAATTTTCCTGGCCTGGCTAGAAATTTAGATGTCCAAATACAAGCAGCTCAAAGAACTCCCAGGATATTCATTGCAAAAAGGACACCACTAAGGCACATAGTCACCAGGCTACCTGAAGCCAACATGAAAAAAAAAATTCAAAGAAAAGTGAGGCAAAAGCATCAGGAAACCTATCTATAAAGGAAAATCTAGCAGACTAACAGCAGACTTCTCAGTGGAAACCTTACAAACCAGAAGGGATTGGGGTCATATCTTTAGTCTCCTTAAACAGAATAATGGTCAGTCAAGAATTTTGTATCCTGCAAAACTAAGTTTCATAAATGAAGGAGAAATAAATTTATTTTCAGACAAACAAATACTGAGAGAATTTGTCACTACAAGACCAGCCCTAAAAGAAATGCTAAAAGGAGTTCTAAATCTTGAAATAACAGTTTAATATGCACCAGAATAGACCTCTTGAAAGACTCTTGGAACTCACAAGACCTATAAAAAATAACACAACAAAGAAAATAAAGTATCTAGGTGTATTAATCCATTATCACACTGCTATAAAGAACTACCTGATACTGGATGATTTATGAAGAAAAGAAGTTTAATTTACTCATAGTTCCACAGGCTCCCCAGGAATCATAGCTGGGAGGCCTCAGGAAATTTACAATCATGGCAGAAAGTGAAGGGGAATCAGGCATGTGTTACCATGGTGAAGCAGGAGAGAAAATGAAGGGGGAAGTGCCACACACTTTTAAACAACCAGATTGCCTAAGAACTCACTATCACAAGAACAGCAAGGGGAAATGCACCGCCATGATCCAATTGCCTCCCACCAGGTCCCTCCCCCAACATTGGGAATTACAATTCAACATGAGATTTGGGTGGAGGCACAGAGCCTAACCATATCACTAGGTAACAATTAACATGATGAATGGAAAAGTACCTCACATTTCAATGTTAACATTGAACATAAATGACCTAAATGCTCCTCTTAAAAGATAAAGATTAGCAGAATGGATAAAAAATTACAAACCAAATATCTACTATCTTCAAGAGATTCATCTAACATGTAAGGATTCATAAAAACTCAAGGTAAACGGGTTGGAAAAGATATTTTATGGAAATGGAAACCAACAATAAGCAGGAGTACTGAGAAGAATTGGTACCAATCCAAAAGACTGAGAAAGAGGAAATTCTCCCTAATGAACTGAAGCCAGTATCACCCTGATACCCAAACCAGGAAAGGACATAACCAAAAGAGAAAACTACAGACCAATATATTTGATGAACATAGATGGAAAAAATAAACCTGATGAACACAGATGGAAAAATCCTCAACAAAATGCTAGGTAAATGAATACATCAGCACATCAGAGAGGTAATATACCATGATCACGTGCATTTCATCTTAGGGATGCAGGGATGGTTTAACATATGCAAGTCAATACATGTGATATACCACATAAACATAATTAAAAACAAAAACCATATGATCATTTCAATAGATGCAAGAAAAAGCATTTGAAAAACATCCAGCATCCCTTTATAATAAAAGCCCTCCACACACTAGGCATAAAAAGGACATATCTCAAAATAATAAAAGCTATATATGATAAACCCACAGGCAACATCATACTGAATGGGGAAAAGTTGAAAGCATTCCCCCTGAGAACTGACTCTAGGCAAGGACACCCGCTTTAAATACTTCTATTCAACACAGTACTGGAAGTCCCAGCCAAAGCATTCAGGCAAGAGAAAGAAATAAACGGCATCCAAATTGTAAAAAAGGAAAGTCAAACTACCACTGTTCGCCAATGATTTAGTTGTATACCTAGAAAACCCCAGACTCCTCCAAAGGACTACTAGATTTGATAAATGAATTCAGTAAAGTCTCAGGTTACAAAATCAGTGTACACACATCAGTAGCACTGCTATATACCAACAATGACCAAGATGAGAATGAAATCAAGAACTCAATCCCTTTTACAATAGCTGCAAAAAAATTAAAATACCTTGGAATATGCTTAACCAAGGAGGTGAAAGATCCATACATGGAAAGCTATTAAACACTGCTGAAATAAATTACAGATGACACAAACAAGAGAAAATACATTCCAGACTCATGGATTGGGAGAATTAATATCATGAAAATGACCTCACCGCCCAAAGCATTCTAACAATTCAATGCAATTCCTATAAAATATTAAGATCATTTTTTACAGAATTAGAAAAAAAATTCTAAAATTCATATGGAACCAAAACAGAGCCTGAATAGCCAAAGCAATCCTAAGCAAAAAGAACAAATCTAGAGGCATGACATTACCTGACTTCAAATTATACTACAAGTCTATAGTTACCAAAACAGCATGGTATTGCTATAAAAGTAGACACTGGACCAGTGGAACAGAATAGAGAACCCAGAAATAAAGCCAAATACTTACAGCCTTACTGCTTTATCTTTGAAATAGATAACAAAGATAACGAAACATAAATTGGCAAAAGGACATCCTACTTAATAAATGGTGCAGAGAAAACTGGATAGCCACATGTGGAAGAATGAAATTGGATCCCTATCTCTCATACAAAAAATCAACTCATGATAGATCAAATACTTAAATCTAAGACTTAAACCATTAAAACTCTAGAAGACAACCAAGGAAAAGCTCTTCTGGATATTAGTTTAGGCAAAGAATTTATGACTAAGTCCCCAAAAGCAAATGCCACAAAACCAAAAATAAATAAATGGGACCTAATTAAACTAAAAAGTTTCTTCATAGCAAAACAAATAATCAGCAGAGTAAACAGACAACCCACAGAGTTGGAGAAAAAGACTAATATCCAGAATCTATAATGAATTCAAATCATCAAGAAAAAAAAAATCCCATCAAAAAGCAGGCAAATGGCATAGATACTTCTCAAAAGAAGATACAGAAATGGTTAACGAACATATAAATAAAATGCTCAACATCACTAATCATCAGGAAATTCAAATTAAGACCACAATGAGCTACCACGTTACCCTTGCAAAAATGGCCATTATTAAAAAGTAAAAAAACAATAGATGTTGTCATACATGTAGTGAAAAGGAAATGCGTATACATTGCTGGTGGGAATGTAAATTTGCACAACCACTGTGGAAAACAGTATAGAGGTTTCTTAAAGAAGCAAAAGTATTCAGTTTGTACAACAGTAATTGTGGGTTTTGCCATTACTTTAATAGTAAAATTACTTTAATTAATTACTGCTGCACTAACCTATCTATCAGCAATCCTGCTCCTGGATATCTACCCAAAGGAAAAATCATTGTATCAAAAAGACTCCAGCATGTATATGTTTACTGCAGCACAATTCACAATTGCAAAGATATGGAACCAACCTAAATGAGTGGATAAAGAAAATGTGGTGTATGTGAAATATATATGTCTATCGTGTGTGTGTGTGTGTGTGTGTGTGTGTGTGTGTGTGTATAATTTTCTCTGTGTCTCACCTTTGATAAACTTTGAAATTTGTATACAGAAAACATTTGACCTGGCTTTCACAGAGTTACCCCTGGACTAAAAATCAAAGTGGGAGAAAAACAGATGAATGTTATATGCTTTTTAAATTGATAATAATGTTTGTGATTTAGAATGCCAGTGTGTGCATTCAGTGAAAAATGACTATTAAAAATCCAGCAGTGGCCATATCAGTGTTTTAGAACATTTGCTTAAATAAAGGAATCTTGGATTCAGTCATCAGGTTAAGAGAAGTCTTGGCTGGGCGCGGTGGCTCACGCCTGTAATCCCAGGACTTTGGGAGGCCAAGGCGGGCAGATCACGAGGTCAGGAGATCGAGACCATCCCGGCTAACACGGTGAAACCCCGTCTCTACTAAAAATACAAAAAATTAGCCAGGCGTAGTGGCGGGCGCCTGTAGTCCCAGCTACTTGGGAGGCTGAGGCAGGAGAATGGTGTGAACCCGGGAGGCGGAGCTTGCAGTGAGCCGAGATCCCGCCACTGCCCTCCAGCCTGGGCGACAGAGCGAGACTCCGTCTCAAAAAAAAAAAAAGAGAGAAGTCTCAAGTGACGTTTCCAGAGTCATATATTTCTGCTTTTGTTAAAACATCCACAATATTAATCCAGTAGTGACCAGAGACTCTGAGTCTCAACATCATTAACACACACAAACACACACACAATAGTTCAATGATATTACCTAGGTGAAGACAATTGGATGCAAAATCAGTTAATCAATATTAATTTATTTGAATGGAAATGCCCAATAAATGAAAGTATGATCATGTATATCTAAGCATAGGTTCCTGATACCTAAATATAGTTTTCAAACTGTCAATATTGTACAAAGATGCTCAATGACTTTGCCTTTATTACATCTTTCTTCTATGCTTTAGGAGGTGGTTCTGGGAAAAGATATTTTATAAGGTTACAAAAGCTTATTGCTTTAAAAACTTCAGTAGTCTTAAGAGATGGCATCTTGATGTAGAGTCATATTCCCAGAAGCTTTAACAATGCAAAATATGGGGTACTGTAGTGACCTTTTAGTTACACCCATAGCTTCCAGGATACTTCCTGGGAAACAGACAAGCAGCATACTCCATCTATTGCTGACCTTGAGCTAGTTACTCATTCACAAAAGTTCTATTTGAATTCAGTGTTGGCATTCATACTTGAATTTAGAGTAGAAACAGGGACACTGCATGCATATAAAAATGATTAATTTCTGAATTCAATTAACTGATAAACTGTTTCATTGTTCTTTTAGGTGTTTTTCCATCTCTGGTTTTAAAATTTAGTTCTTGTTTTATAGTTTTTACTAAACTTTCACAAATTAATCTTCTAAGACAGTTTCTTTCTTGATGGTATCTGTTTTCCTCAGCCTACAGAAAATTTCACTTTATCCATTGAATAATAGGTATTGACTGCATTCTATGTGTATAACATACTAGACACTAGTGAGAACACACAGGTATAAAAACTATTGAGAATTGTATAGTCTCATTGAGAAAGCAAGTCAGTCTCAAAAGGATATAGTGTTGTCTATAAATTCTACAGAGGGTCAGACAAGGGGAGACAGTTGTGGATCTCCATGATCATGGAAGTCTTCACAGCAATGGGAGAAAATATTCCCAGCATGCAGTAATAGAGTTTTTAAAAAATTAAAAGGCAAGAAAAAAAGTTGTCTGTAGGCCCCTGAGGCAATAGTTGTTGCTGGATCACATGGTTAATAAGATAAAGTGGAAAACATATTATTACAAAATACATCAAGACCGGATTACAGAGTCTCATTAAAAAGGGCCAACAGAATATTTTAATAATTTAAGCAACTGCGAGTCTGTTAATCCGATTAAAAATAAATTCTCCAAAAGCCAACACTGAAGGCTTTATCCTGCTAACAATTTTTTTTTTTTTTTTTTGAGATGGAGTCTCACTCTGCAGCCCAGGCTGGAGTGCAGTGGCGCGATCTCAGCTCACTGCAAGCTCCGCCTCCCAGGTTCACGCCATTCTCCTGCCTCAGCCTCCCGAGTAGCTGAGACTACAGGCCCCTGCCACCACGCCCGACTAATTTCTTTTTGTATTTTTAGTAGAGACAGGGTTTCACTGTGTTAGCCAGGATGGTCTTGATCTCCTGACCTCGTGATCCACCCGCCTCGGCCTCCCAAAGTGCTGGGATTACAGGCATGAGCCACGGCACCTGGCCTATCCTGCTCACTATTTGAGAGCTGACTACCCTCTACTCCCACTCGTCATTATTAATTACTCAGATGACCGTGAAAACAAAATTAGTTGTTCTCCCCCTACCCCTGCTGGCTGCCCTGGTACTGGACTTGGATTCTTCAGTGTATTATGCTAAAGAAGATCTGGCTCCAAATATCAGCCCTATCATATCACATAGCCCTGGCTGTGTGAGCTTGGATGTGACATTTGAATAATTCATGAACGTCAGTTTCATTGCCTATAAAATGGGGATAACTGTTATCTATCTGAAAGAGTGGTTTTGAGGATTATATAAATAATGGCAAGCACCTGAAACATGAAGGAAAACTAAATTCTTATTTCTAGAATAACTGCTTTCCTTTAAAATGAGTGACTCTTTGCATAATTAGCACAGATCCACAGCTCTCTTCCACACCTTGCAAGGAAAAGGAGGAGATTCCTAGCCCAAGAACTATTGTTCTCGCTATTCCCTAAGAGCTTCACTTTCTGCTGCTGGCAAAGAAACATGCAGAGAGGGAGTGATTCTGGTGTCTGCAATGCCCAAGGATGCTGGTTGACCCTGGCAGGGAGAAGCAACTCCTCTGCCACAGGGTCTCAACAGGTGCCACAGCAGCCACACAGACCAGAGTTAAGTCCTGTTGCTTCACATGGCCCTGAAAGAAGGTCTTAGAGAGAAGTTATGCGCCAATTTTTTTTCAAAACATATTGAAAAAGATAAAATTTGAAACATAGAAGTCTTTCTTCAATTAAACTACTGAATTGTCATTAAAGTGTACTATCCATCTTTGTATTTAGGCTACAAGCTACAAAATTTCTTGTTCCTAGAAAATTGTTTGGAGCTTTTATCACTCCTCTCTTGCTGTTTGAAACAGGATTAATTAATAAGTTAATCTCCTTAAATTTAAAAGTATTTGAAAATACATGATAACACTTGAGTGTCTTCTTTCATTCAATATTTTTGAGTACCTGTAATATACTAGGTATCACGCTATATACTTCAAATTTTCCAATCCCCTCTGGAATGGGCATTACTAACCTCACCTCTTCCAGTTTAAAGATGAAATTGAAGCAAAAAAAGGTAACCTATCCATAATCACAATGTAGTAAAATAAAGAAATTAAGCCTTGGACCCAGAACTTATGACAATTAAATCTTGCCTTCTTTGAATTGCACAAATCTGTTTCCCCAGCAGAAGTTCAATAAGTATATGTTAAATAGGAAAGCAATATTTTAAGAATGATAAACTGGAGGCTCCATAGCTTCAAAGTGAAAATACACATAGAAACAGCCCTGAGGAAATAAAGGCCTGGACAGTTTTTGTGAGTGGAGAGAAGATAAACCGATGCATCCAGTTATTGAATCATTCATTTATTCAAAAAGCATAAACATCTCCTTATGTATTCGTTTCCAACTGCTTCCTGGAGAGTTCATGACTCTGGAATCTAATCCACTTTTGTGATCTTGCTTTTCACTCTTTGGTCCTGGTGTGCATTTCTGTTCTCTGTCATACTTTACTCTTATCTGTCTAAGGATTACACTTGGATATGCCATTCTGACACTCTTGGCCTATTATGAGAACTTGCAGATTAGACAGTTTACTCAATCTACTGAAGGTCCAGGAGTTGGACAAGTCCTCTTGCTATTTAGAGTTGCCATTCTCCTTTTACCCTCAGGACAGTC
The DNA here is from genome assembly GCF_000001405.40 of Homo sapiens. Lineage (NCBI taxonomy): Eukaryota > Metazoa > Chordata > Mammalia > Primates > Hominidae > Homo > Homo sapiens. The sequence continues at coordinate 40,111,046 of NC_000014.9, read as the reverse complement.
TTTAAAATGTGCCTATTACTTTGTTTACCTACTTCCTATTTATTTATGACTTACCTTCTTGAAACTGTTAGTTTCAACACTACAAATGTTCTTATGAGCACTGTCAAATACCACAATTATATGTAAGTTTTCAAATTCAGGGCATTTTCTCAAGGAGATTTTTGAAAGTATTGGTTGCCTCCTTACCTACTTCCTTTTTCCTATCTTTCAATTATAAATATTCTTGAGAGTCAGTCTCTTTGGTTCTATAAATTTTTCCTCTTTACTTTTTAATCCCTCTGATAACTCATTTATAGTTATGGCTTTATTTTTAACAGCTTTATAAGTTACAAACCATACAGTTTGCCCTCTTAAAGTATATAATTCAATGGCTTTTAGTATATTCACAGAATTGTGTATCCATTCCATAATCATTTTTTAAAAACTTTCATTACTCCCAAAAGAAATCCTGTACTCCTTAGCTATCACTCTACACTCACTCCCAACCCTAAGCAACCCCAAATCTACTTTCTATTTCTATAGATTTTCCTATTCTGGACATTTATTTTCATTGAGATTGCACAGTATATGGCCCGTTTTGACTGCCTTTACAGTCATAACTTTAAACTAGCTTCACCATGCAAATTTCTCAATCTCAATTTATTTCTAGACACAACTCCTCTTCTAAATTCCAGTACTGAATTGCCAAACACATATTCTACATAAATCCACACTTCAATTTATCATACTTAAAACAGAATTGTTGACTTTCTTTTCAACCAGCTTGTTTGCCTTCGTTCTTTATTTCTGTCAATGTACTTGATTTACAGATACAGACACTGTCATTCTCTTCTAAACCTTGTACATACCTTAATTTTATCTGTTCAATGCCTTGCATGTAGGTATTTGCTATATGCCTTTAGAATGAATGTATGATTCAATGACTGAATGCATCAGTTTATCTTCTCTTCACTCACAAAAACTGTCCAGGCTGTCATTTCCTCAGGCCTGTTTCTAAGTGTATTTTTGCTGTAAAGCTATGGAACCTCCAATTTATTATTCTTACAATACCACTTTCCTATTTATCATATACTTATTGAACTCCTGCTGGGGAAACAGACTTGTTCAATTCAAAGAATACAAGAGTTAATTGTCATAGGGTCAAACAATAAATGATTAATTGAACATTAATGACTCAAAGATAAGGAACAAAAGTTATAATGTCTTTCCTGAGGAAGCTTATAATTGAGCAAAGTAGATATGTAATAAGCATGGTACAAATGCAAAGTTCTTACTGAGGGAAGTGCTAAAAGACTAGAATTACGAGGATACTGAATGATTTCATGGGGGTGATTAATTTTATCATGGAGATCAAAAAGGCTACATTGAGAAAGCAATGCTTGAGCTGAAATTTGAGAATAACTAAACTAAATAAACAGATACTTATGGAAAGTATGTTGGATACAAAGGACTGAAGCATGCTGTGTGATTGGAACAAAAAAATTAGGAGTTGTTAGAGATCATTTTTGGGGAGGTCTTACAAGTCATATCAAAAAGATTGCTTTTGTCCAAAGAAAAATATGAAATCATTAAAGAATTTTAAGTGTGGAAAGCAGGGCAACATGGTCACATTAGCACTTGCAATATGGAGAACTAATTGTAGAAAGGCTAAAGCGAATGACAGACTATTCAACATACTATGGCATTATTCAGGCAAAAGATCTTAATAACTTGTATAAGAATAGTAGTGATTTTGGGCTGGGCGCGGTGGCTCACGCCTGTAATCCCAGCACTTTGGGAGGCCGAGATGGGAGGATCATGAGGTCAGGAGTTTGAGACCATCCTGGCTAACACGGTGAAACCTCGTCTCTACTAAAAATACAAAAAAAAAATAGCCGGGCATGGTGGCAGGTGCCTGTAGTCCCAGCTACTTGGGAGGCTGAGGCAGGAGAATGGCGTGAACCTGGGAGGCGGAGCTTGCAGTGAGCCAAGATCGTGCCACTGCACTCCAGCCTGGGGGACACAGGGAGACTCCGTCTCAAAAAAAAAAAAAAAAAAAAAAAAATTGTAGTGATTTTGGTAGAGATGTAGAATAAGAAACAAGTTAAATATTTAATTGGAAATTTTTAGCAGAATTTGTGAAAACACTGGATGAGGAGTGGCAAGGGAAACAGAGGAGGATATTAGTATTGCTCTCGTGCTTTTGGCTTACACACTGGATGGTGCCATTTTTTTATTAGTAACCATGGAAAAAGTAGTATTGGGAAAGAAGGTAATGAGTTCAATTGTCAGCTCCATGTAGGTGGCTATATGTGAATCAGATCACCAGGGAAATAGTGAGTGAAGACTTGGAGGATGAGAAACCCTCAGACTGAAATGAAATAGCATGCAAAGAAGAAGAGAAAGTATGGATAGAGACCAAAAAGGGTAATTATTTTAAAAGAAAAAAAGAAAGAAAGATTTTTAACATGGAAAGCCAAGAAAAGAAGTTTTCAGAAGGAGAAACTGGTCATTATATTCAAATGATTCTGGAATACTGAGATGTTACTGTAAATAGCCTGCAGGATAAGCAGCAGAGAGGCCACTGGTGACCTTACTGAATGATGTCCCAGGGCAGTGATGGACCAAAAACACAGACTGCAATGGCTTGAGGAGGGAGTAAGAGACACTGAGATAATGAAATTCTCAGAAAATAAAAATGATTAATTATTAAAATACATGTAGACTTTAAAAGAAGAAGATAGGGTAGATATATGGGTGAGGTAGAAATTAAGAAAAATTTTTTTCAATTGTTATTTGCTTTATAATGGCAACAGACATGAAACTTTTTTAATTAGTGGAGGAAAATTGTACTTACAACGGTTCAATGTATAATATAAAGAAAGGATAGCAACAATCCTGAAAGTGAAGATGGGGAGTGAAATGCAAAACACAACTGCAAGACTTCACATTGCTTAAAATATTTTGTATAGCCAGGGCTGTTAAGACATTTATAGACTTATGGGTGCACACTGTTGAATGTGTATTGAACATAAAATCTCATTCAGTGCAGAGGTTGTGATAAACAAAATCAGGTAAATGTTTCCTCATTGAAGATAAAGGAGACCTCTGGATAATTCTAAGCAGGGGAAATCAGTCACCCATAGAAAAGTGATGCAGGAGATACACAATGTATACAATTTCTACTTTATGGAATAAGGCAAGCAATAAAGAAGAGACAAAAGGGAAAGGGCCTACTAAGTAGCTGCATCAACTCACTGAAGACTTTTTCTGTTACTTTTGGTTTTTGTATATCTAGGTGGACCACAACTTTCTACATTTATTAAGTTTACAACATGTTAAATAGCTATAGGTGACCTATATTGCCAATTAAGATTTTCTTAATTGGCAAATTAAACACCCATAAGAATATTCAGTTGACATTGTGCTTCAGATTTATTTCTATGGAGTTCTGAAAACCTAGACAAGTGGAGGTAGAAATGATTTTAGAATTATTTCATTATCCCTTAGAATTTCTTTCCTAACAAGAACGTAGCAAAATTATATACTTATAACAACTGAAATATTGATTTACTATAAATCCATCAAAACTATTCCATGTAAAACATTTAGAAACATTAGTTTTATATGCCCTACTCATTATATATTGTGCATATGCGCCATTTATCTTCTAAAGTCACAGTTTCCTTCTCTTTATTAAAAAAGGAAAAATACGTAATTAAAGTGAAAGTACCATTTATTTTTTAAACTTAAACTTTTTGATAGATGTGCCATACTTATATTGGATTCTGAAGTGTGAACAGGAATATGAAATACCTTAAAGTTAAGAAAATACAAGTAAAAATAACAAAACATTAATCTATCTTAAACATTACTCACATTTTTTGCACTATGACATGTTTTTACCAATAGAAGTTCAAATGTAAAAGGAAGCTTCATTTTTTATGCCAAAAAATTAAGTAAACTGTTCTATTTGCAAGAAGCCAGCAAGGCTGATGGAGCATCTAATGTGCTAATTAGCTGGCAGACCTTCTCTTCCCTAATGGCACATCTTTCTCCATTCAAAATAACCATGGCAAGATTGGAGCAAATCACGTCTGTCAATTGTTAAGACTGTCATAATGTTCTTGCTAAAAAATGCCATTACAAGTGTTACTGTATTTTCTAGATAATTTATAAGGGCAAAGTCCTGATATTTTTCTATCTAGTAGCTTTAAACTGCTTCATAACTGACTATTAAGATAAAGTGAAAAGGGACACGAGCCAGTCTACATATAGCGTGACTGTTATAATCAGTCAAGTAGGAAGCAGGTTCAGATGCAAAATATTCCTTCAATCCTTCCTGGAAGTATGCCCAATTATTCCAGAAAGCTATTTCAGCTAGCTTTAATTCTCTCCATAAGTTGTAAAGTTAGTCATTTCAATCTTTTGGAAATTGTATAACCTAAAATAACATAATATCACATAGAATTTCTATTTCAATCTTTGGATGTAAACTTTTTAAAAAAAATTCTTGTTTAATCTAAAATGGCTTTGTAATAGTCTGTTTTCACACTGCTGTAAAGAACCACCTGAGACTGGGTAATTTATGAAGAAAAAAGGCTTAACTGACTCACAGTTTCACAGGCTTAACAGAAAGCATAACTGGGAGGCCTCAGGAAACTTACAGTCATGGTGGAAGGGGAAGGGAAAGCAAGCACCTTCTTCACATGGAGGGAGGAGAGAGAGAGAACGAAGGGGGAAGTGCCACATACTTTTAAACTATCAGATCTCCTGAGAACTCACTAACATGAGAATAGCAGGGGGGAAATTCGTCCCCATGATCCAATCACCTCCCACCAAGCCCCTCCTCCAATACGATAGGAGATTTGGGCAGGGACACAAATTCAAACCATTATCAGGCTTTATTACACTTATCATTAACCAATTTCCTTATAATTGACAGAGATCATTTTATTAGAGGTGATAATATGTTTAAATAGAGTGTGTATGGTTTGGTATTGAAAACATTTTACAATGTCTCATACATCATAAAATCGTAATTTCTTACAAGACTTGGGGACAACATATATATCTATATAAAGCATGCAGCCCTTTAAAGTTACATATAAATATAATTGGTACTAAGACTATTGTTATACCTAAGTAAATTTTTATTACCTCTATTTCCAAATTCTTTTTGTAATTTTTGTTATTTCTTCTAAATAAAAAAACAGGATATGTGCAAAACGTGCAGGTTTGTTACATAGGTATACGTGTGCCATAGTGGTTTGCCACACCTATTGATCCATCCACTAAGTTCCCTCCCCTCGCCCCCCACCCCCCAACAGGCCCCACCCCCCAACAGGTGTGTATTGTTCCCCTTTCTGTATTCATGGATTCTCATTGTTTAACTCCCACTTATGAGTGAGAACATGCAGTGTTTGCTTTTCTGTTCCTGTGTTAATTTGCTGAGGATGATGGCTTCCAGTTTCATCCATGCCCCGGCAAAGGACATGATCTCATTCCTTTTTATGCCTGCATAGTATTCCACGGTGTAGTATATGTACCACATTTTCTTTATCCAGTCTATCATTGATGGGCATCTGGGTTAGTTCCATGTCTTTGCTATTGTGAATAGTGCTGCAATAAATATACATGTGCATGGGTCTTTAGAGTAGAATGATTTATATTCTTTTGGGTATATACCCAGTAATGGGATTGCTGGGTCAAATGGTATTTCTGGTTCTAGATCCTTGAGGAATTGCCATATGTCTTCCACGATGGTTAAACTAATCTACATTCCCACCAACAGTGTAAAAGCATACCTATTTCTCCAAAGCCTCACCAGCATCTATTGTTTCTTGAGTTTTTAATAATCACCATTCTGCCTGGTGTGAGATGGTATCTCATTGTGGTTTTGATTTGCATTTCCCTGATGATCAGTAATATTGAGCTTTCTTCATATGTTTTTGGCTGCATAAATATCTTCTTTAGAGAAGTGTCTGTTCATATCCTTTGCCCACTTTTTGATAGGGTTTTTTTTTCTTGTAAATTTGTTTCAGTTCCTCGTAAATTCTGGATATTAGATCTTTGTCAGATCTAATGTCCAGATCTAAAGTCAGATCTAATGTCAGATCGCAAAAATTTTCTCCCATTCTGTAGGATGCCTGTTAACTCTGATGATTATTTCTTTTACTGTGCAGAAGCTCTTTAGTTTAATTAGATTCCATTTGTCAATTTTTGCTTTTGTTGCCATTGCTTTTGGCATTTTCGTCATGAAGTCTTTGCACATGCCTATATCCTCAACGGTATTGCCTAGGTTTTCTTCTAGGGTTTTTATGATTTTGGGTTTTATATTTAAGTCTTTAATCCATCTTGAGTAAATTTTTGTATACTGTATAAGGAAGGGGTCTAGTTTCGGTTTTCTCCATATGGCTAGTCAGTTTTCCCAGTACCATGTATTGAATAGGAGATCTTTTCCCCCAGGGCTTGTTTTTGTCAGGTTTGTAGAAGATCAGATGGTTGTAGATGTGTGGTGTTATTTCTGAGGTCTCTGCTCTGTTCCATTGGTCTATGTATCTGTTTTGGTACCAGTACCATACTATTTTGATTACAATTGCCTTGTAGCATAGTTTGAAGTCAGGTAGCATTATGCCTCCACCTTTGTTCTTTTTCCTTACGATTGTCTTGGCTATACGGCATCTTCTTTGGTTCTACATGAAATTTAAAGTAGATTTTCTAATTCTGTGAAGAATGTCAATGGTAGTTTGATGACAATAGCATTGAATCTATAAATTACTTTGGGCACTATGGACATTTTCATGATATTGATTCTTCCTATCCATGAGGATGGAATGTTTTTTCCATTTGCTTATGTCCTCACTTAATTCCTTGAGCAGTGGTTTGTAGTTCTCCTTGAAGAAGTCCTTCACATCCCCTGTTAGCTGTATTCCTAGGTATTTTATTCTCTTTGTAGCAATTGTGAATGGCAGTTCATTAATAATTTGGCTCTCTGCTTGTCTATTGTTGGTGTAATGGAATGCTTGTGATTTTTGCACATTGATTTCGTATCCTGAGACTTTGCTAAAGTTGTTTATCAGTTTAAGGAGTTTTGGGGCTGAGATGATGGGGTTTTCTAAACATGTAATCATGTTATCTTCAAATAGATATAACTTGACTCCCTCTCTTTCTGTTTGAATACCTTTTATTTCTTTCTCTTGCCTGACTGCCCTGCCAGAACTTCCAATACTATGTTGAATAGGAGGGGTGAGAGAGGGCATCCTTGTCTTGTACCAGTTTTCAAAGGTAATGCTTCCAGTTTTTGCCCATTCAGTATGATATTGGCTGTGGGTTTGTCATAAATAGCTCTTATTATTTTGAGGTATGTTCCATCAATACCTAGTTTATTGAGAGTTTTTTTTAATATGAAGGATGTTGAATGTTATCAAAGGCCTTTTCTGCATCTATTGAAATAATCATGTGGTTTTTGTCTTTGGTTCTGTTTATGTGATGCATTATGTTTATTGATTTGCATATATTGAACGAGCCTTCCATTCCAGGGATGAAGCCGACTTGATCGTGGTGGATAAGTTCTCTGATGTTGGTTGCCTGTGGTCCCAGCCACTCGGGAGGCTGAGGCAGGAGAACGGAGTGAACCCGGGAGGTGGAGCTTGCAGTGAGCCGAGATCGCGCCACTGCACTCCAGCCTGGGTGACAGAGTGAGACTCCATCTCAAAAATAAATAAATAATAAAAAATAAAAGTTCTCTGATGTGCTTCTGGATTCGGTTTGCTGGTATTTTATTGAGAATTTTCACATCTATGTTCATCAGGGATATTAGCCTGAAGTTTTATTTTTTTGTTGTGTCTCTTTCCTGTTTTGGTATTAGGATGATCCTGGCTTCATAAAATGAGTTAGGGAGGAGTCCCTCCTTTTCAATTGTTACATTTCCAAACTCTCTGACCTGTCCCAGCTTCACACTTTAGGTGATAGTAACCAATTAGAAAGCCCAGAAACACAAAATATTGATTTTAATCTTTGCCAATGTTCTTCTTCTGAAAGGTGTCCACATGTTTAAAATAAATGATTTATATTTATCAACTCAAACAAAACATTGTCTCATCTAAAATTACATTCTTGGTAGTGAAGTTAACTGTATATTAATATCATTTTAATGCTCAGTCTGTTACTTTTCCATCATCCCAAGCACTAACTTTTATTCAGAAAGACAACCGATGCTGTTCAGTATAGAATGTTCTTTCTTCCTTTGTCAGCCTGGCCAGCTGTTGCTCATCCTTCAAGGCCTTGCAACGTCAACATGATGCAGCTTGCCTCAAAACCTTCAGGGATAAATAATTGCTTCCTCATCTGTATTTCTAAAGAACAGTATATTTCTTTCCAAGAACACATTTCTTCTACTTTGGAAACATTTAACACTTAATGTGGTAACTATTAATATGATAGTGCACTGAATTTTGTAACTTACTGTCATTCTTCATTTCCTGTTATTCCATAGGAAACCATAGCATGACAAAATATAACTAAAGGTGTTCGTTTTCTGTTGCTGTGTAACAAATTACCACAAATTTGGTGGCTTAAAACAACAGTTATTTACGCAATAGCTGTAGGTCAGAAATTCAGGCTCAGCATGGCTGGGCTCTGTTGAAGGCCTCATCAAGCTGAAATCACATCCCTCATAGGCAGTTCATAGTATAGATGGATGCTTCTTTAATGCTGGTAGCATCTTATCTGTCTGACTGTTGTCTCCAACTTCTAGACCCCCATTCAGAAGCCCGTCTATTAGGTCAGGCTCACCCAAGATAGTCTCCCTTTTGATTAAATCAGCTGATTAGAGAACTTAATTACATCTGCAAAATTATTTTTATCATGTAACATAACATAATCATGACAGTGATATCCCAACCTATCCACAGGAGAGAATAGAGACACTGGTCTGCCCAAGCAGGGAGCAGCATTTTCTCAGTGGTATTGTTTTGAATTGTTGTTTCATGGTGATATTACAAGGAAGAACATCTGTTAGTCAGTTTTAGTATTATTTTTAAATCATCTAAAGACAATGCACTCTCGAACGGGTGCTGAGCCTCATGCCTGTAATCCCAGCACTTTGGGAGGCTGAGGTGGGCGGATCACGAGGTCAGGAGTTCGAGACCAGCCTGGCCAATATGGTGAAACCCCGTCTCTACTAAAAATACAAAAATTAGCCGGGCGTGGTGGCGGGCACCTGTAATCCCAACTACTCGGGAGGCTGAAGCAGGAGAATTGCTTGAAACTGAAAGGCGGAGGTTGCAGTGAGCTGAGATCGTGCCCCTGCACCACTCCATCCTGAGAAAAAGAGCAAAACTCTGTCTCAAAAAAAAAAAAAAAAAAAAAAAGAATGACAATGCACCCTCTAATTGCCTGCACTCTGGATAGACTGCTCTGACTAATTCCCAACTTGGCATACTACCTGCAGTATCAAAAATTTACCTAGTGAGATTATTGATACAGCTTAGGAGATTTTTTTCCCAGGCAAAATACCAAAAGTGCCAACTGGTTTATTTTATCTGCAAATGGAAAGACACATATAGAGAAAGATGAGCTACAGAAAATAGAATTATTTATCTAAATTTAAAAGAAATGTAAGAAACAAGAACTTGCTTGCTTAAAATACAGACTGTTTCTCATACCTGGTCTTTCCAGACAGTGGACTGTTCTCAAACTCAGAAATGGTATCTGGGCAAAGATTCAGAACTCCTTTGGTAAGATGGATTTCAGATTGAGAAAGTCTCAGAAAGACACTTTGTTAAGGCTGAGGTGGGAAGATTGCTTGAATCCAGGAGTTCGAAACCAGCCTGTGCAACATAGTGAGACCCTGCCTCTATAAAAAATTAAAAATCTTAGCCAGGTGTGGTGGTGTGTGCATGTGGTCCTAGCTACTCAGAAGGCTGAGGTAGGAGGATTGCTTGAGCCCAGGAGGTCAAGACCAGCCTGGGCAACATAGTGAGACCCTGTCTCTATAAAAAATTAAGAATCTTAGCCGGGTGTGGTGATGGGTGCCTGTGGTCCTAGCTTCTCAAAAAGCTGACACAGCAGGATTGCTTGAGCCCAGGAGGTGGAGACTGCTGTGAGCTATGATTGTACTACTGTACTCCTGCCTGGGTGACAGAGAGATAACTTGTCTCAAAAAAAGGAAAGGGAAGGGAGGGGAGGGGGGAGGAGAGGGGAAGGGAGGGCAGGAGAGGGGAAGGGAGGGCAGGAGAGGGGAAGGGAGGGGAAGGGAAGGGAAGGGAAGGGAAGGGAAGGGAAGGGAAGAAAGGAAAAAGGAAAGTTGGTTGGTTGATTTAAGGCAGCTCCTTGTAGACCTTCTCAATTAGAAAAAAAAAAAAAAATGACCTCTAAGAATAACAAGGGCATGGCTCCTAGACCCTCTCAGCTAGATACAATATTTTCTAAATATCTTAAGGGGGCTTCTTAGATTTTCTTGCCTAAGAATAAAGGTCTACCACAGCAACCTCACAGGTGACTGAGGTAGAGAAGGGATTGTCTCAGAATGAAATGTGGGTTTGAGTCTATTCTACTGTAGCAGATTTACAATTTGATACGTAAGAACAAAAAAAATTAATAAGTGGACCAACTTGTACTTAAAGGAACTGAGAGTAAAACAAAGATGTTTCAGGTCCCTCCAATTTCTATGGAAAGGAAAGAGACCGGAAAGCTGCTTAGCTGTGAACACTGTCATTTCTTGTGGAAAAGAATAATTCAGTCTGGAGCAAAAACCCCAGTGGATAGAGCCAAGCACTGATGTAAACAAATCCCAGAAACAAAACTGATCCCTAGTCAGCATACATTTCCTTCACCCAAAGCAGGGTGAATTACCACCTGAGCCCAGCTGGATTTCAGAATTGCTATGGAACAAGGACTCCTATATTCCTTCTATTTTACATTTTTAGTGGACATGTCTATGGCACTAGTCATGTCCCACCTTTCAATGCTGAGTATGTGGGAAACAGGTACATTGTGTCTGAATTTACAGCATCTTATTTGAGGAGTCTCGTTCACATCTGGATCTGATTTAGATAATGAAATTCTAAATTTAAGTCTGATTCCAATGACATAATAAGATGAAATTTTGGGAGTCTTAGGAGGGGCTCAGTATATTTTGTACATGGGAAGGAAGAAAATCACTGGAATCCACAGAGGGGTACTGTGGAAATTACTCTCCAAAGATGCCCATCCCCTGCCCCACCAATGAACACCTCCTGGCACATACTTTGCAATGTGGTGGACACCTCCAACATTGAATCTTAGCTGATGTATCTTCAGTAGATTAAGGCAGAAATTACACTTCATGATTTTCAAGACTAGATATAAAAAACTTGCAGCTTCAGTGTAGATCTCTTAGAATGCTTACCATTAGGATGCCCAGTTTAAAAATCCAGATGCCATGCTGCAAGAATATGAAATGCAAGCCACATAGAAAGGCCAAGGGCAGGTGTTCTTGTAAACAGTCCCCATTGGGTTCCCAGGCAACTGATAGCATAAACCGCCAGCCATGTAAATGAACTGTCAGTAAAGCTCAACAGATGCAGCCCCAGTCAAGAGCTGACTGACACCAAATGAAAGAACCAAAGCAAGAATTAACATCTGATCAGAGTCAACCCACAGAATCTGAATAATAACGTGTCATTTAAGCCAGAGGACAGCACAATTTTTTTCTTTAAAGGACTAGAAAATAAATATTTTCATCATTACAAACTATATAAAATCTCTGTCACATATTATTTACTTTTTTAATAAAAATTTTTTTAAAATAAAAAGATAACTCACAGGACACACAAAAACAGGACATAAACTAGATACGGCACATCAGCTAAAATTTGTGGATCCCCATTTTAATCCACTAATATAGAGTGTTTGGTTATGCAGCAAGAGATAAATTCATATGAAATAGTGTGCCAAATAATTAGCATAGCACATATGTTTTTCCATAGCATCAGCTCCTGGGTAGTAGATATAATGTCTTAAATATCTATGCAATCCCATTGACTGTAGCAGAATGACTATTCTATAAACATTTGTTACCTATAATTCCTTTTAGTTATTAAATATGATTCAGTTATATTTTAGCATCTTAAAATATTTTCAAAGATATTATTTAAAATATTATATTCATAAAAAATCCTTATGGAATACATATGTAATATTTCTGGAAATTGATAAAAATATTCTGCTACTAGGATTATTACCTATATGTTGATTGGGAGTATATTCGAGTACACCCTAGAGAGGAAAAAGGCATATTTTAAACTAATATTTAGATTTTTCTCACTCTGCTTTATTCATTTAGGTATTGATTGACTGCAAAAACATTTTAATTAAGCCACTTTACTTGGTCAGACATTATTTGATGTAAGACCCCAATGTTATGTAAGATGACATCATAGTCAAACTAATTAAAATTTTTGGATAAATGTAGAATAAGTTCTCACATGAAATTAAAGGCTGGCGCGTAACAAACTATTGTGAAAAGAAAAACAAATTACTTTTACTTGTAAATCCTAATGTCCTAAAGTAAATTGAGATAGAATTTTATAAGAAGTTGATTTCAAGAGCAATATTTTACATAGTGAGGCTAATGCTAACAAAATATTTAACATAAAATACGCATTTATTTCCCAATGCATGACTTTAACAGTTAGTTAATTTCAACACATCCTACCCAGAGGAACTTTGGAGCTCTGAACTGTTACTTATGGAACGTCTTTCTAGAAATCAATTATTGCTGTTTGTTATTGATTGAAAATGACTCATGAATGGCATTTATTTTCACAGGTGAACTGTGATATTGCTAACACTCTTTTTCACACTAATCAGTGTTTTCCTTAATAATAACTTCAAGAACTATTCTATTCTGCATGCATTACTATCAGACTTAAGTAGGTTTTTCCAGCAATGGTTACCTCAATTACTTTAAATAAAGAGAGCATTTTATATATTTTTGCTTCTCTAGGAATTTGGGATAGCCCTAGAATAAGAAACCACACAAAGATTTGCAAAAATGTTTTCATGTTTTCATCCTTAGTGCTTGCTGTAATCCTCAGTGACACCTTTGAAAGTAAAAGAGAATACTGTTAATAATTATGTCAGGAGAAGAGACGGAAGTTGGCCACAGGACAGGGAGGAATAAAAGGAGAATGGGAGGAGGGAGAGGGAAGGGAAGGAAGAACAGAAAGAAGGAACGGAAGGAGGGAGGGAAAATGGGGGAAGGAGTGAGAGAGGGAAAAAGAAGGTATCTAGATTAGAAAAGAAGAAATAAAGCTGTCTTTATTAGCAGCTAACATAATTCTTAACACAGAAAATCCTAAGGAACTGACAGACACACACTCACAACCAAAAATTATAATTGAGTTCAGCAATGTCTCAGGATGAAAAATCCATACACAAAAATCAGTCATCTTTCCACTTACTAGCAAAGATTAGGTAGAAAATGAGATTAACAAAACAATTATATCTATAATAATATCAAGAAGAATAAAATATTTAGGAAAAAATTTAACAAAAAAGAATGCAAGGCTTGAACATTCAAACAAGCAACAAAACACTGCAGAGAGAAAGTAGAGACCTAAGTAACTAAACAGACATTCCATTGTCATGTGTTGAAGGACTCCAATTTTTACATAGCAATTCTCCCCCAAAACAATCTATTGATTCAACACAGTCTGACAGGATTTTTTTTTGCAGAATATAAGGCTATTAAGAAAAAAAAAGACAAAATAACAGCAAACAAACAAAAGTTGATGAGAAAGTGAAGAAATTTGAACCTTTATATATTGTTGATAGGAATGTAAAATGGTACAGCTACTTTGGAAAACAGCTTGGAAATTTCTAAAAAATCTACACATAAACCTTCCCACATGACTCAGCAATTCTTCCCCTAGGTATCTACCCAAGGGAAACTAAAACATCTCCATGCAAAAATTGTATACAAATGTTCATGGCAGAGTTACTCATGTTAACCAAAAACTAGAAATAACTTTATGTCCAACAATTGGTGAATGTATAAACAAAATATTATATTTCCACACAATGGAATATTATTTTGCAATAAAAAGAAGCAAACCAGCAAAACATAAATACATGCTACCATATGGATGAACTTCAAAAATACTATACTAATGGAAGGAATTTAAACACAGACGAATATATTTTATATGGTTTCATCTTTATGAAATGTCCAAAAAAAGCCAAATCTAGTAAAAAGCAGATTAAGGGTACTTAAGGCTGAGAATGAAAGCAGGCATTAACTGCAAACTGGATGACAGAATTTGGAAGTTGACAGACGTGTTCTATACTTGGCATGTGATGATGGTTGCATAGTTCTATAAACTTACTAAAAATCATTAAATTGAACAATTAAAATGCATGAATTTTATGGTGTATAAATTAGTTGTCTCAATAAATAAGTCAAAACATACTAAACATCCACATTTTAATTTTACCAATATGGTAAAAAGTCGAATTCCTTCATTTCAGCCCAAGAAGAAAAAAGAAGCTTTAAAATTAGTTCAACCATTGTGGAAGACAGAGTGGTGACTCCTCAATTATCTAGAACCAGAAATACCATTTGACCCAGCAATCCCATTACTGGGTATATACCCAAAGGATTATAAATCATTCTACTATAAAGACACATATGTTTTATGTGCTGCACACGTATATTTATTACAGTACTGTTTACAATAGCAAAGACTTGGAACCAACCCAAATGCCCATCAGTGATAGACTGGATAGAGAAAATGTGGCACATATACACCATGGAATACTATGCAGCCATAAAAAAGGATGAGTTCATGTCCTTTGCAGGGACATGGATGAAGCTGGAAACCATCATTCTCAGCAAACTAACACAGGAACAGAAAACCAAACACCACATGTTCTCACTCATAAGTGGGAGTTGAACAATGAGAACACATGGAGTCAGGGAGGGGAACATTACACACCAGGGCCTGTCAGGGGGTGGGGGCCTAGGGGAGGGATAGCATTAGGAGAAATACCTAATGCAGATGACAGGTTGATGGGTGCAGCAAACCACCATGGCATGTATATACCTATGTAACATATCTGCACTTTCTGCACATTTATCCCAGAACTTAAAGTATAATAAAAAAAAGATATTTTTATTACACACACATATTCTGTGAAACATTGTCAAAAATACATTTAGTATTTTTACTGCAACCATTTTTCAATTAAAAATTATTATTTACCTTGAGTTGATATGCCCTACACACTAACAAATATAACCACCATATTATCAATACTAACCACAAAGTTTGTCATAGAGAAAAAAGTCTTATTTCTAGTCTCCCTGTGAACAATATTCTGCAGATATTGAGATTTCAGAAATGTAACAGAAATTGTTTACGAGGCTCTGGAATTCTAGTGAAAAATACAATTTTCAGTTACTTCTTTCCAGTTATTATTTTCAACCATTCTTTAAAATACTGGCAAGAATCAAATTCCTAATGGAAGTTTAAAAATATTGTCATCTTTAAGTAAGATTAACAAGTTATAGAAGTTACAAATCACAGTTACCATTACAAGTTCTAAATAATATATATATATATATAAATATAAAATGTAAAATATCCACTCAGTGAAATAAAGAAAAGGTAAAGAGAACATAAACTGAATAATTTTATATAATTTTTAATGAGTCCTTCAGATTAAAAATATATGCACAAAAGTAAGTTATAATCTCTTTTGTGGCTCTTAAACTCTTTTGTACCATTAGGCCTTATACTTCAGAAAGTATAGAACTAATGTACATTATATATCCATATAAAAACAAAATGTTTCTTCAATCTGCAAGGCTTTGAATAGCCCCTGAAATGCATCCACTGACAGAATAAGATCCACTGATATAATGTGAATTGATGCTTGAGTATTTTAAAGAAGTAAATCCTGTGCATCAGAAGTGGCACGTAGCACTAAGCAAAACAAATATATGTTGAAAGCAAAGTCTTTGTTTTAGACATATTCAGTCAGGAATAATAGCCTTTGATGTATTGAATGTGCTTAACCTCAGAAAGAACCTATATAGAATCATGGTGCCAGTACTTGACAGTCTCCAATAATAATCTGATACAGGTGTTTTGACTTGAGTCATTCAGAAGTTTGGCTGTTTTTGAAAATTTACAATTCTCCCATGTCAAAAAACAACAATAAAAAATCAACGTGGTGATTAAGACAAGAAGCAAGTTGTTGGAACTGTCGTATATTTAAAGCCACCAAAAACTAATTATCAACAGAATATATCTGATTAATTATATAATTCAAAATAAATATCTTATCAAAGTTCCTGAAAACTAATCAACTGAAAAATATCATGTTTCAAGGGTTAGTTAATGAAATTCATATTGAAATAAACATGTAAAATATATGGTAGCAGAAGCCACAAACATTATCATGTATAGAGAGTAATAAAAGTTTTGTATTTTTACCTACCAATTAGTGATTTTTTAATAAAATATCATTTTACATTTTGCAAAGCCCTATCTAAAAGTCTGTGATAGAACAGTGGTAACATCTGCAGGATGTATACCTCATGAGTAATTTACAAAAAAAGTAAAACCAATATTTGAAACCTGATAGGACTTCATTTATCAACACAGAGGATTAATCAATCTTGGGCTTATATTTGCATATTTTGGTAGGGTTGCATGAACACTGATGAGGAAATGCAAGTAAACCCAAAAGATTTATTATTAAAACTTTTCATGCATTTCTTATTCTGAAAACAAGTAAGCAAAGAAACAATCATTCTGTCAACTTTGTTCAACTTAAAGTTTCATCTTTCCTCTTCCAGGTCTTCAGAAGTAGTCTGTACAGTGGTGAAGTTAAATATAGTAACATGATGACATAATCTACACTTCCATTTCCAGCTTATTAGTAAAGTATGGATGAAGATAGAGTCAAAAGTTCAAAACAACCCTAAAACTCATGTCAGAGTCTATATCCAAAATCTATGAGACATTTCCCTTAACTATAAAGCTGAAGAAATGTGATTTAAAAACACAAGTGATGACTCATTCTATAAATTTACGGAAACAGAATAAGCCTGTTGACTGTCACCCTATCTTCCTAATTTTGCAAAACATAAATCTCAGTAGGAAAAGTATGGATGGGAAATGGAACAAATCACTGGGGAAAAGAAAAGAAGAATATCCAATTGTAATATATATTAAGGGTTGTGATTCATAGAGTCACAGCATTGGGTTCAGAATAATATCCCATTTCACATAAGCAGACATGCAATAAATGAACAGATATTAGACATTAGGAATT
This sequence comes from Homo sapiens, assembly GCF_000001405.40. Lineage (NCBI taxonomy): Eukaryota > Metazoa > Chordata > Mammalia > Primates > Hominidae > Homo > Homo sapiens. The sequence goes on along the minus strand of NC_000014.9, from coordinate 40,093,739 downwards.
TGTTTTAAGATACACAAATACATATGTTTTCTGAGTATAGGTAGGTCTGAGAAAAGGTGTCATCCAACTTTCAACAAGATCATGGTATCAAGAGTGAATCAAATACAACCTAGTTACTAACTAAGTGTAAAACAGCCCTAGATTTACTAAATGCAACATTGATTCACAACCCAGGACAATTTTTCCCTCTTCCCCAGAACATTTGGCAGTATGCAGAGATCTTTTTGGTTGTCAAAACTGGGTAGGAGTGTACTGGCATTAGTGGGTAGAGATCAGAAATGTTAAATATGCTTTAATGCACTGGACTAACCCCACAAAAATATACCTGGTCCAAGATGTCAGGAGTTAAGAAACTCTAAAATAGAAAAATCCCAATATGTGACAAAACATGTATGAGACAACAAAGCAAACAGAGTAAGATTGTAATGACCCAGAAGAAAAGTGTTTCTGAATAGAAAATATTTCAAGAAGCAGAAAAATTACCACAGGAATCAGAAAATGTAGCACAGATAACAGAAAAAAAATTTGCACAAATATTGGGACCAGATGTGGTGGCTAAAGCTTGTAATTGCAGCACTTTGGGAGACTGAGGCAGGAGAATCATTTGAGGGCAGGAGTTCAAGACCAGCCTGGGCAACATAATGAGATCCTGTCTCTGAAAAAATAAGAAGAAATTAGCCAGGCATGGTGGTGTATACCTGTAGTCCACTAGGGAGGCTGAGGCAGGAGGATCACTTGAGGCCAGGGATTGAGGATTCAGTGAACTCTGACCATGCCACTGCACCCATCCTGGGTGACAGAGAGAGACACTACCTCTTAAAGGTGGGAAGGAGAAAGAGAGAGAGAGAGAGAGAGAGAAGAGAGAGAGAGAGAGAGAGAGAAATAAAAAGAAAAGAAAAAAGAGAAGAAAAGAAAAATACTAGGCATCCCAGAAGGCAAGAAAGACTGCATTAATGAAATAAGAACAATTAGTAAGGATAGAACAGACTGCAAATTATACAGAACAGAATTTTTTATGCAAAAGGATGATAAAAGAAGGATTAAAGAAAAGTATAAATAGGACAATTAAAATGAATTTTGTAAGAGTTGCTTCCAGCCCAGTTGAAGGGTCAAAAATTAGATTTACTCCACTGCCTTAGAAAATTTAAAAAAAAAAAAACAAGACACATGAAACAACAATTTTCAGACATTAGACAATAAGTAGCTAAGGATTGTAAGCCCTGTAAAAAAGCAAATTAAGAAGAAGAGCCCTCAAATTTTAACAGTTTATTACCCAAAGCCACTTACCAGGTCCCAAAAAGGTAGAGGAACTCACATTCAGAACCTGGTGGTCTCTTTGAGCTGAGGAAACAAATATCAGATTTTGAGAGGTCGAAGTATCTAGACAGAATACATGCTGCAGAGTACCAAAAAATAGGGAGCTGTACAGACAGAGAGAGATGGAGGTCTTCAGAGTTTCCTCAAGTTTTTGTCTGAGTGTGATGTGTACAACCAAAAGCAGAAACTATACAATCTGGGGAAACAACTACCAAAATGGGGAGACATAAAAATTTCCAAAACTCACACAAGTAAGGCCTCATAAGACATGCGGCATAGAGTAAAGTTCACAGAAGTCTATCATCTTCATGGTAGGGTTTAATTACACTAAATGCCAAGAGCAAAGACTTCAAAGCAGACCACAATTAATCCAAGTAACTTAACTGTATAAAAAACCATATGCAAAATTATTATTAAAACATAATAAAATCCTTCACATAAAAGGTAAAAATCACAATGCCTTGGATCTCATCAAATGTTACAAAACATGCAAAATATCAGAAAGTATGATCCATAATTATTAGAGGAAAAGTCAAGTCGTGATGAAAACAGAGCCACAAATGACTAAGATAACGGTATGAGCAGGCAAGGATGTTAAAACAACTATCGTAAATATTCCTCACATGTTTAAGAATGTAGTAAAAAATAACCATAATGAGTAGGAAAATAGAAAATATTTTAAAAGATCCAAATGGAAGACCTAGAGATAAAAAATCTAATATCTGGAATAAAAAATATATTGGCTGGATTGACAACAGATTAGAAACTACAGAAGGAAATAAAATCAGTAAACTTGAAGCAACTGAAATAGAAATGATACAAAATGAAGCATGGAAGAAAAAAGGCTTTAAACAAAAACCCAGAGACTGAGTAGGCAATATTAAGCAGTATAAGTACAATTTGAATCACAGGAGAATGGAAGACAAAAAACATTTGAAGAAATAATAGCAAAAACTTCTAAATTGATAAAAACTATAAGCCCACAGATTCCAAAGCAGGATAAATACAAAATAAAACACAACAAGGCTCCCTATAATCAAACTGCTAAAAGCCAAAGCCAAGGAAAAAAATAAAAACAAACGGAAAAATTATTACATAGAACAAAATAAAGATAAGGATGATCACAGATTTCTTTTCAGAAACAACTCAAGCTTTAAGATAATGAATGATATCTTTAATGTTCTGAATTTTTGTAAAACATTATTGACCTAAAATTTTCTATTCAGAGAAAACATCTTGGAAAAATGAATATGAAACATTTTTCAGGCATTAACAAAACTGATAATATTTATTCTCAGAACACATTGGAATTCATGTTAAGAGAAGTTTTTAAATTATTTATTTATTTATTTATTTATTTAGTGAGACAAGGTTTCTGTCACCCAAGCTGGAGCACAGTGGCACCACCATAGCTCACTACAGCCTTGAATTACTGGGTTCAAGCCATCCTCCTGCCTCGGCCTTCCAAAGTGCTGACATTAGAGACATGAGCCACTGTGCCCAGCCAAGATAAGTTTTCAAAGCAGAAGTATATTGACATTAGATGACAATGTGAAAATTCATTGTAAAGGAGAGCAAAAAATATTATAAATATGTTAATAAATGTTAAGAAATTCTAATTTTAAATTTACTTAAAATATAACTTACAGCTAAAGCAAAAATAATAATACAGAATTATGTAGTTTTTAATTTATGTAAAAGAAAAATTCATGACAGCAAAACGCAAGTGTAAGGGAATAAATAGAATACTGTTGTAAGTTTCTTATACTACACAGAAGTGAATTTGATCCTGTCATTATGACACTAGCTGATTATTTTGCAGATTAATTGATGCAGTTGCTTCATAGTGTCAATGGACTTACAATTTGGCATGTTTTTGCAGTGGCCAGTACTGGTTTTTCCTTTCCATGTTTAGGGCTTCCTTCAGGAGCTCTTGTAAGGCAGGCCCTGTGATGAAAAAAGTCTCTCAGCATCTGCTTGTCTGGAAAGGATTTTATTTCTCCTTCGCTTATGAAGCTTAGTTCGGCTAGCTATGAAATTCTGTGTTGAAAATTATTTTCTTTAAGAATGTTGAATATTGGCCCCCACTCTCTTCTGGCTTGTAGGGTTTCTGCAGAGAGATCCCCTGTTAGTCTGATGGACTTCCCTTTGTGGGTAACCCGACCTTTCTGTCTGGCTGGCCTTAATGCTTTTTCCTTCATTTCAACATTAGTGAATCTGATGATTATGTTGCTTGGGGTTGTTCTTCTCGAGGACTGTCTTTGTGGTGTTCTCTGTATTTCCTGAATTTGAATGTTGGCCTATCTTGCTAGGTTGGGGAAGTTCTCCTGGATAATATCCTGAAGAGTGTTTTCCAACTTGGTTCCATTCTCCCCGTCACTTTCAGGTAAACCAATCAAATGTAGATTTGGTCTTTTCACATAGCCCCATACTTCTTGAGGCTTTGTTCATTGCTTTTCATTCTTTTTTCTGTAATCTTGCTTTGCACTTTATTTCATTAAGTTGACCTTCAGTCTCTGATATCCTTTCTTCTGCTTGATCGATTCAACTATTGATACTTGTGGATGCTTCATGAAGTTCTCTTGCTGTGTTTTTCAGCTTCATCAGGTCATTTATGTTCTCTAAACTGGTGATTCTAGTTAGAAATTCCTCTAACCTTTTTTCAAGGTTCTTAGCTTCCTTGCATTGGGTTAGAACATGCTCCTTTAGCTCAGAGGAGTTTGTTATTTCTCACATTCTGAAGCCTACTTCTGTCAATTCATCAAACTCATTATCCATCTAGTTTTGTTCCCTGGCTGGTGAGGAGTTATGATCCTTTAGAGAAGAGGTGTTCTGGGTTTTGGAATTGTCAGCCTTTTTGCGCTGGTTTTCCCCCATCTTTGTGGATTTATCTACTTTTGGTTTTTGATGTTGGTGACCTTCGATTGAGGTTTCCGTGTGGATGTCCTTTTTGTTGATGTTGATGCTATTCCTTTCTGTTTGTTAGTTTTCCTTCTAATAGTCAGACCCCTCTGCAGCAGGTCTGCTGGAGTTTGCAGGAGGTCTACTCCAGACCCTGTTTGCCTGGGTATCACCAGCAGAGGCTGCAAAATAGCAGATTGCCAACTGTTCCTTCTTGTGGAAGTTTCGTCCCAGAGGGGCACCCACCAGATGCCAGCCGGAGCTCTCCTGTATGAGGTGTCTGCCACACATAACAATATTAACCTTAAATGTAAATGGGCTAATGCCCCAATTAAAAGACACAGACTGGCAAATTGGATAAAGAGTCAAGACCCATCAGTGTGCTGTATTCAGGTGACCCATCTCATGTGCAAAAACACACATCGGCTCAAAATAAAGGGATGGAAGAAGATCTACCAAGCAAATGGAAAGCAAAAAAAAAAAAAAAAAAAAAAAAAAAAAAAAAAAAGCAGGAGTTGCAATCCCAGTCTCTGATAAAACAGGTTTTAAACCAACAAAGATTAAAAAAAGACAAAGAAGGGCATTACGTTTTAAACCAACAAAGATTAAAAAAAGACAAAGAAGGGCATTACGTAATGGTAAAGGGGTCAATGCAACAAGAAAAGCTAACTATCCTAAATATATATGCACCCAATACAGGAGCACCCAGATTCATAAAACAGGTTCTTAGAGACTTACAAAGAAACTTAGACTCTCACACAATAATAGTGGGAGACTTAAACACCCCAATGTCAATATTATACTGATCAACGAGACAGAAAATTAACAAGGGTGTTCAGGATTTGAACTCAGCTCTGGACCAAGTGGACCTAATAGCCATCTACAGAACTCTCCACCCCAACTCAACAGAATATACATTATTCTCAGCACCACATCGCGCTTATTCTAAAATTGACCACATAATCAGAAGTAAAACACTCCTCAGCAAATGCAAAAGAACGGAAATCATAACAGTCTCTCAGACCACAGTGCAATCAAATTAGAACTCAGGATTAAGAAACTCAGTCAATTAGACACAATAAAAAATGATAAATGGGGTATCACCACTGATCCCACAGAAATATAAACTACTATCAGAGAATACTATAAACATCTCTATGCAAATAAACTAGAAAATCTAGAAGAAATGGATAAATTCCTGGACACATACACCCTCCCAAGACTAAACCAGGAAGAAGTCGAATCCTTGAATAGACCAATAATAAGTTCTGAAATTGAGGCAATATTTAATAGCCCACCAACCAAAAAAAAAGCCCAGGACAGACAGATTCACAGCCAAATTCTGCCAGAGTTACAAAGAGGACCTGGCACCATTCCTTTTTAAACTATTCCAAACAAAAGAAAAAGAGGGAGTCCTCCCTAACTCATTTTATGAGGCCAGCGTCATACTGATACCAAAACCTGGCAGAGACACAACAAAAAAAGAAAATTTCAGGCCAATATCCCTGATGAACATTGATATGAAAATCCTCAATAAAATACTGGCAAACCAAATCCAGCAGCACATCAAAAAGCTTATCCACCATGATCAAGTTGGCTTCATCCCTGGGATGCAAGGCTGGTTCAAAATACACAAATCAATAAACATAATCCATCGCATAAACAGAACCAATCATGAAAACCACATGGTTATCTCAATAGATGCAGAAAAGGCCTTTGATAAAATTCAACACCCCTTCATGCTAAAAACTCTCAATAACTTAGGTATTGATGGAACATATCTCAAAATAATAAGAGCTATTTATGACAAACCCACAGCCAATATCATACTGAATGGGCAAAAGCTGAAAGCATTACCTTTGAAAACAAGCACAAGACAAAGATGCCCTCTATCACCTATTCAACATAGTATTGGAAGTTCTGGCCAGGGCAATTAGGCAAGAAAAAGATATAAAGTGTATTCAAATAGGAGGAGAGGAAGTCAAATTATCTCTCTTTGCAGATGACACGATTGTATATTTAGTAAACCCCATTGTCTCAGTCCAACATCTCCTTAAGCTGCTAAGCTACTTCAGCAAAGTCTCACAATGCAAAATCAATGTGCAAATATCACCAGCATTCCTATACACCAACAAAAGAGAAACAGAGAGCCAAATCATGAGTGAACTCCCATTCATAATTGCTACAAAGAGAATAAAATACCTAGGAATCCAACTTACAAGGGATGTGAAGGACCTCATCAAGGAGAACTACAAACCACTGCTCGAGGAAATAAGAGAGAACACAAACAAATGGAACAACTTTTCATGCTCATGGATAGGAAGAATCAATATCATGAAAATGGCCATACTGCCCGAAGTAATTTATAGATTCAATGCTATCTCCACCAAGCTACCATTGACTTTCTTCACAGAATTAGAAAAAACTACTTTAAATTTCATATGAAACCAAAGAGAGCCCATATAGCCAAGACAATCCTAAGCAAAAAGAACAAAGCTGCAAACACCATGCCACCTGACTTGAAGCTATACTACAAGGCTACAGTAACCAAAACAGCATGGTACTAGTACCAAAACAAACATGTAAACCAATGAAACAGAACAGAGGCCTCAGAAATAAGGCCACACATCTACAACCATCTGGTCTTTAACAAACCTGACAAAAACAAGCAACTGGAGGACAGGATTCCCTATTTAATAAATGGTGCTGGGAAAACTGGCTAGCTACATGCAGAAAACTAAAACTGGATGCCTTCTTTATATCTTATACAAAAATTAACTCAAGATGGATTAAAGACTTAAATGTAAGACTTAAAACCATAAAAAACCTAGAAGAAACCTAGGCAATAACATTCAGGACATAGGGATGGGCAAAGACTTCATGACTAAAACACTGAAAGCAATGGCAACAAAAGCCAAAATTGACAAATGGGATCTAATTAAACTAAAGACTTCTGCACAGCAAAAGAAACTATCATCAGAATAAACAGGCAAGCTATGGAATGGGAGAAAAATTTTGCAATCTATCCATCTGACAAAGGGCTAATATCCAGAATCTACAAAGAACTTAAACCAATTTACAAGAAAAAAACAAACAACCCCATCAGAAAGTGGAGGAAGTATATCAAGAGACACTTCTCAAAAGAAGATAATTATGCAGCCAACAAACATATGAAAAAAAACTCATCACCACTGGTCATTGGAGAAATGCAAATCAAAACAACAATGAGATACCATCTCATGCCAGTTAGAATGGCAATCATTAAAAAGTCAGGAAACAACAGATGCTGGAGAGGATGTAGAGAAATAGGAACGTTTTACACTGGTGGTGGGAATGTAAATTAGTTCAACCATCGTGGAAGACAGTGCGGCGATTCCTTAAGGATCTACAACCAGAAATATCATTTGACCCAGCAATCCCACTACTGGGTATACACCCTAAGGATTATAAATCATTCAACTATAAAGACACATACACACGTATGTTCATTGCAGCACTGTTCAAAGTAGCAAAGACTTGGAACCAACCCAAATGCCCATCAATGATAGACTGGACAAAGAAAATGTGGCACATACACACCATGGAATACTATGCAGCCATAAAAATGGATGAGCTCACATCCTTTGCAGGGACGTGGATGAAGCTGGAAACCATCATTCTCAGCAAACTAACACAGGAACAGGAAACCAAACACCACGTGTTCTCACTCATAAGTGGGAGCTAAACAATGAGAACACATGGACATAGGGAGGGGAACATTACACACTGGGGTCTGTTGGGGGGCAGGGGGCTAGGGGAGGGATAGCATTAATAGAAATACCTAATGTAGGTGATGGGTTGATGTGTGCAGCAAACCACCATGGCACATGTATACCTATGTAACAAATTTGCACATTCTGCACATATATCCCAGAACTTAAAGTATTTTATATATACATATGTGTATATATATGTATATATAAATGTCTGTGTATATATATGTGTGTGTGTATATATATATGTACACACAGAAGTGGTGTTATCTCAAGGTAGCCTGTGATAAGTTAAAAATCGATTGCATAAATTCTAGAACAAATTCTGAAGAATGTTTTTTAATAACAGAGTTTAAATGTAACATTAATATTAAATTAGTCAAAATGAAGGCAAGAAACTCAATCATATCAATAATGACATTAAATGCAAGTGATCTAAACACTTCCAAAAATGACAGGTTGTCAGATTTGATAAAGAACACAACCAGGCCCGGCGCAGTGGCTCACGCCTGTAATCCCAGCACTTTGGGAGGGCCAGACAGGTGGATCACGAGGTTAGGAGTTCAAGACCAGCCTGGCCAACATAGTGAAACCCCGTCTCTACTAAAAATACAAAAACAAAACGCAAAAAATTAGCCAGGTGTGGTGGCAGGTGCCTGTAATTCTAGCTACTCAGGAGGCTGAGGCAGAAGTATTGCTTGAACCTGGGAGGCAGAGGTTACAGTGAGCCAAGATCATGCCACTGCACACCAGCCCAGGCAACAGTGCGAGACTCCATTTCAAAAAAAAAAAAAAAAAGCAAAACCAAACCACATGCAAATATACAAGTAACTCACTTAAATTATGAAGTCAAAAAAGGAAAAAAAAATAGAAGGTTGTAAAGAGATGTACAAGACTAACACTAAATAAAAGAAGACTGGCTGTTTTACTATCAGATAAAATAGATTTCAGAGCAAAGAATATCACCATAGATAATGAGACAAATTAATTAATGGTTAAAAAGTTAATGCACCAAGAACACATGACAATATTAAATGTACGTGCACCCAATATAAGAGCTTCAAAATACATGAAGCAAAACTGGACAGGCATAACAGAGAAAAATAAGTAGAATTACAATTGAAGATTTTGACACTTCTCTCTTCATAATTGATAAAGAAATAAAGATGTGGTATAACTGAACAACCCTATTAAGCAAATTAACCTGACTGACATTTATAGAATACACCACAGGGCACAGGATAGCACTCTCAAATTTACCCAATACATTACGGTCAGATCTATGTTTCTTATGCATATAAATGAAGTTTAGGCCCTCTAGCTGGTATTCAAGATTATTTTCAGTAGAGTTATCTATATGCTTCATTAACTTTACATCACTCTCATCCTTGTTCTACATTGCCATTCCTAGACTATCTAGCAATTTAACTTTGTAGCCCTACTGAAGTCATGAGTACATGTGCAGGATGTGTAGGTTTGTTACATAAGTAAACGTGTGCCATGGTGATTTGCTGCACAGATCAACCCATCACCTAGGTATTAAGCCCAGCATCCACTAGTTATTCTTCCTGATGCTCTCCCTCCCCAACAAAAAAGGCTCCAGTAGGTGTTGTCCCCTCACCATGTGTCCATGTGTTCTCATCGTTCAGCTCCCACTTATAAATGAGAACATGCGGTATTTGATTTTCCATTCCTGCATTAATTTGCTAAGCATAATAGCTTCCAGCTCCATCCATGTCCCTGCAAAGGATATGATTTCATTCCTTTCTATGCTGCCTAGTATTCCATAGTGTATATGTATCACATTTTCTTTATCCAGTCTACCATTGATGGGCATTGGGGTTGACTCCATGTCTTTTTTATTAAGAATAGTGCTGCAATGAACATATGCGTGCACGTATCCTTATAACAGAATGATTTATATTCTTCTTGGTGTATACCCAGTAATAGGATTGCTGGGTTAAATGATATTTCTTCTTCTAGATCTTTGAGGAATCACCACACTGTCTTCCGCAATGGTTGAACTAATTTACATTCCCGCCAACCATATAAAACTGTTCCTTTTTCTGCTCAACATTGCCAATATCTGTTGTCTCTTGACTTATTCATAATTGCCATTGTGACTGGCATGAGATGGTATCTCATTTTGGTTTTTATTTGCATTTCTGTAGTGATCAGTAAGGTTGAGCTTTTTTTATATGTTTGTTGGCTGCATGAATGTCTTCTTCTGAGAAGTGTCTGTTCACATCCTTTGCCCATATTTTAATGGGGCTCTTTGTTTTTTTCCTGTAAATTTGTTTAAGTTCCTTGTAGACTCTGGATATTAGACCTTTGTCAGATGGATAGATTGCAAAAATTTCCTCCTATTCTCTAGGTTGTCTGTTCACTCTGATGATAATAGTTTATTTTGCTTTGCAGAAGCTCTTGAATTAGATCCCGTTTGTCAATTTGTGCTTTTGTTGCAACTGCTTTTGGTGTTTTTGTCAGGAAACCTTTTCCTATGCCTATGTCCTGAATGGTATTGCCTAGATGGTATTCTAGGGTTTTTAGAGTTTTGAGTTCTACATTTAAGTCTTTAATCCATCTTGAGTTAATTTTTGTATAAGGTGTAAGGAAGGGCTCCAGTTTCTATTTTCTGGATATGGCTAGCCAGCTCTCCCAGCACCATTCATTAAAGAGGAAATTTGTTCCCCATTGCTTGTTTTTGTCAGAAGATCAGATGGTTGCAAGTGCGTGGTCTTCTTTCTGAGTTCTCTATTCTGTTTCATTGTTCTATGTTTCTATTATTGGACCAGTACCATGCTGTTTTGGGTACTGCAGCCTTGCAATATAGTTTGAAGGTGGGTAGCATGACACCTCCAGCTTTGTTCTTTTTGCTTAGAAGTGTTTTAGCTATATGGCCTCTTTTTTTGTTCCATTTGAATTTTAAAATAGTTTTTTTTCCTAATTCTACAAAAAAAGTCAGTGGTGGTCTAATAGGAAAAGCATTAAATCTATAAATTACTTTGGGCACTATGACCATTTTCATAATATTGATTCTTCCCTATCCATGAGCATGGAATATGTTTCCATTTGTTCGTGTCCTCTCTGATTTTCTTGAGCTGTGGTTTGTAGCTTTCCTTAAAGAAATCATTCACTTCCCTTGTTAGCTGTATTCCTAGGCATTTTATTCTCTTTGAAGCAATTGTGAATGGGAGTTCATTCATGATTTGGCTCTCTGCATACCTGTTGCTGGTGTATAGGAATGTTAGCAATTTTTGCACATTGATTTCATATCCTGAGACTTTGCTGAAGTTGCATATTAGCTTAAGAAGCTTTTGGGCTGAGATGATGGGGTTTTCTAGATATAGAATCCTGTCATCTGCAAACAGAGACAATTTGACTTCCTCTCTTCCTATTTGAATACGCTTTATTTCTTTTTCTTGCCTGATTGCCCGGGCCAGGACTGCCAATACTATGTTGAACAGGAGTGGTGAGAGAGGGTATCCTCGTCTTGTGCCAGTTTTCAAAGGCAATGCTTCCAGCTTTCGCTCATTCAGTATATTGGCTGTGGGTTTGTCTTCACTGGCTCTTATTACTTTGAGGTATGTTCCTTAAATACCTAATTTATTGAGAGTTTTTAACATGAATGGATGTTGCATTTTATCAAAATCCTTTTTGGTGTCTATTGACATAATCATGTGGTTTTTGTCTTTAGTTCCGTTTATGCGATGAATTACATTTATTGATTTGCATATATTAAACCAACCTTACATCCCAGGAGTGAAGCTGACTTGATTGTGGTGGATAAGCTTTTTGAAGTGCTGCCGGATTCGGTTTGCTAGTATTTTATTGAGGATTTTTGCATTGATGTTCATCAGGGACATTGGCCTGAAGTTTTCTTTTTTTTGTTGTATCTCTGCCAGGTTTTAGTATCAGGATGATGCTGGTCTCATAAAATGAGTTAGGGTGGAGTCTCTCCTTTTCCATTGTTTAGAATAGTTTCAGTAGAAATGGTACCAGCTCCTCTTTGATAAAAGCAGCAGTTGCAATTCTAGCTTCTGACAAAACAGATTTTAACCCAATGAGATTAAAGCAAAAAAAAAAAAAAAGAAGAAGAAGAAGGGCCTTACATAATGGTAAAGAATTTAATTCAACAAGAAGAACTAACTTTCCTAAATACAGATGTGCTTAACACAGGAGCACCCAGATTAATAAAGAAAGTTCTTAGCAACTTACAAAGAGACTTATAGTCTCACACGATAATAGTGGGAGACTTTAACACCCTACTGACAATATTAGACAGGTAATCAAGACAGAAAATTAACAAAAATATTCAGGATCTGATCTCAGCTCCGTATCTAGTGGACCTGAAAGACTCCTACAGAACTCTCCACCCAGATACAACAGAATATACATTCTTCTCATCACCACGTGATACTTATTCTAAAATTGATCACGTAAGTGGAAGTAAAACACTCCTCAGCAAATCAAAAGAACTGAAATCATAACAGTCTCTCAGATCACAGCACAATCAAATTAGAACTCAAGATTGAGAAACACGCCCAAAGCCACACAACTATATGGAAATTGAACAACCTGCTCCTAACTGACTCCTGGATAAATAATGAAATTAAGGCAGACCCTCTGAAACTCATGAGAATAAAGAGACAACATACCAAAATCTCTGGGATACAGCTAATGCAGTGTTAAGAGGGAAATTTATAGCACTAAATGCCCACATCAACAAGCTAGAAATATCTTACATTGACAATCTAACATCACTACTAAAAGAACTAGAGAACCAAGAGCAAGCAAACCCCAAAGCTAGCAGAAGGCAAGAGATAACCAAGATCAGAGAAGAACTGAAGGAGATAGAGACAAACAAAAAGAAAACCTTCAAAGAATCTATGAATCAAGGAGCTGGGGTTTTTTGAAAAATTAATAAAATAGATAGACCACTAGCCAGACTAATACAGAAGAGAGAAGAATCAAATAGACACAATCAGAAGTGATAAGGGTGATATCACCACTGACCCATAGAAATACAAACAACCATCAGAGAATACTATAAATACCTATATGCAAATAAACTATAAAATCAAGAATGAATGGATAAATTCCTGGATGCATACACCCTCCCAAGACTGAACCAGGAAGAAATTGAATCCCCAAATAGACCAATAACTAGTTCTAAAATTGAGGCCACCAACCCCCCAAAAAAGCCTAGGATTACTCAGATTTACTGCTGAATTCTACCAGAGGTACAAAGAGGAGCTGGTACCATATCTACTAAAGTCTTTTAAGTTAAAGTCTTTTTTAATTTTTGCCCTTCACCCTCATATCAGTTCTTCTAAACTAAGCCATAAACTTCTAAACTTATTTCTCTAGATGCATATCTAGTGTTACCTTGTTAATAATAAATTCTCCCTTTAAAAATGCAGATAGTAAGGTTGACCCTTGAACAATGTTGGGGTTAAGGATACCAACCCTCTGCAGAGTCTACAATCCGTATATAACTTTTGGTTCCCCAAATACCTAACTACTAATGGCCTGCTGTTGACCAGAAGCCTTACCAATAAAATAAACAGTTGATTAACACATAATTTGTATGTTATCTGTATTATATGCTGTATTCTTGCAATAAAGCTAGAGAAAATGTTATTCAGAAAGTCATAAGAGAAAATATATTTACTATTTGTTAAGTGGAAGTGGATCATCATAAAGGCCTCCAACTTGAGTAGGCCAAGTAGGAGAGTGAGAAAGAGGAGGGCTTGGTCTTGCTGTCTCAGGGGTAGAGATTCATCTAGGAGTTTTTTTTTCACATTGTCACAGATCTCCAAAATCTCTCCAATGTATTTATTTAAAACAATCTGCATATAAAGGAACCTGCACATTTCAAGCAATGTTGTTCAGGGTCATCTGTACTTCTATCCATAGAAATACCATATATTTTGTTGCATTTGAATTCTACTTTAAGAGACTTGCTTATTTCTTCTTTAATTTTTAGTTCCCTGAATGACCAGATTATGATGAACCTTTTATTCCTTCAAATTCTTGGAAGTATTCCTGTGCATAGTAAAAGTACAATCAAATTTTAAGTGAGTTGAAATATTAATGCTGAAAATGTTGCTAAATGATCTTTTATGTCATCATTAGGATGATCTTATAACTGAATAATCATCTGGAGCAATGAAATGTATCCAAAATTTAATCATTTATTAATTTAAAAAATTAGTGTGGTTCTAAAAATAAGAAAATGTGAAATATTTCAGCAAGTATAAATGTCTATAGAGTTTGCTGGAAAATACATTTACGTATTTTGAGAGTCAAAGAAACAAAAGGCCCTAAGTCCTGTGAAAAACTGACATGATCTGTGAGTAGACAAAAATTATATAATTAATCTACAGTTTGCATGAAAATAGGTGACCACCCCCACGTGGAAGCTACTTTAAAGAATGACTTCGATAAGAATCCTGTTTTCATACTTGACATCTTAGCGTTTTCTCCAGAAAATTAAAAGGCTACACTAAATTATGTGGGCAAAATAATGTAACCATTTCTTTTAAGCATCTGTCAACCAAGAAAAACATAATTATAAATTAAAATTAATTTATATTTATTAATTTATAATTAAGTATAAAATATTTACAGAATTAAAACAATAATATATTAAAACATATATACATATTTTGTTCATTTCTAATGTTCAAGGAATTTTTGAAAATTAGAGTAAACTTTAATAATGCTAATTTAAAATGTATACTTGAATAAATGCTTCACATTTGTGATTTAAGTTGAAACAGAACCAATTTTATCTATTACAATATTAAGTGAATATAAATTTTACTATAAGTTTTATATGTTAGGTTTATAAGAGTTATTTAGTTTATTAAAGTGTTTATCCATCAGGAAATTAAAATATTTAAAGGAAAATTAAATATATCACATTTATACATGATATTTAACTTATGTAAAATTCTAAAGAACGAATACTAAGTCTTTTAATGGGACCAAATATTCAACCACCTTTGGCCGTGATTAAAACAGTATGTTGATTTTTAGAATTAGGATAAAAAATATTTTCAAACTTAAAGCTTAAGAGCTAGGTTTTTGTTTAGAACTTTAATAATTAAATTTGAAGTTATAAAAAAATTAATTTCTAAATTATTTACATGTAAAACCACCCTCAAGGGCACACGCATACACATACACAGACACACACACAGTCTCACTATTAATATTTCATTAAAGATATGTAAATGCAGTCCACTAAAGATGAGAAGATTTACTCAAGGTCACATATTTATTCAGTGTTGAAGTTATATGTGAAACTTAGACCTCCGGAAGTATACATCAGTGCTCTAGTGAACTAATTTCAGCAAAGTCTAAGTAACAAGTACAGCAATTTTAATGAGCTACCTCATTAATCATAACAATGTCTCTAAATGAAGTTACAGAATAAGGATTTAAAATTATATAATATGTGATTATATAAACTTAACTCTCTAAACAAACACCTCCTTAACTTCCATGCATGACAACTTTCCTTGGTTTGCTTCAAATAAGGAAACCAGTTCTTAAGGAAAAGCAGTCATTATATTAAGGACAATTTTTTAGAACAAGAGATACCAGTTGAACAAATTATTTAATAAACAATGAAACAACATAGAGCTACACCATAAAAAATGGCCAAGATGACAGAAGCAGTACACCAGAGGCGAAGCAGACTGTCTGCAAGTGCTTGAGAATTAATTTCAAGGAGTCTCTGTTTTCTGCATCCACAAAGCTCAGAGTTAAAGGAAAATAGATAGATATCTATCTATCCTAGAAGATAGATATTTTATATTAGATAAAGAAATAAATACATATAATATGCTTTGTATAAGTGTGATTAATAAAATTACTGTTTTAAAAGATCATACAGTTTCATCACAGGGATTTTAACAGGAAAACAATCATCTGTTTTGGAAACTGAAGGTAAAACTTCATTTGCCTGCATAAAAGTGAACCACCTAACATTTCATATCAGAGTGAAATCTCTTCTGCCCAAAAGAAATAGGATATAGAAGAATTTTTAAAACTCACCAAAGCTTACAAAGAATGTTAATTATTATATGGAGATTAATAGGAATGGCATGAGAAATGGAACATTTTTATTTTAATCAATGTAAATTGATACTATCGAATAAGAGATAACTTAGATCTTATATATGACAGGTAAAATGAAAACAGTTTTTACTTATACACATTGCTTATTAAATGCATAACATGTTTTTCTTACTTTAATAATTTAAATTGTCTTTCATTAGTTACTTATATTTTTTGACAGGATGAACAGGCCCCACTGCTGAAAAACCCAGTGAGTATCTAGATGCTTTTGCTTTACACATTTGAAAAATATCTTGCAAATAATTTTAGATTTGTGATCTCATTCCATTGTGTATTTAGTTTTTCATTTCCACTAACATGCCTTTTTATCATAATTCCATTGAATAACATCACACTTTGGAAGGCAGAAGTTTCCCTGTGATCTGCCATCTTTAATACCTCATAGGACCTATTCAGGGATAGCCTACTAGTTGTGTTTATGCTCAGTGAGTTCCTCCAAGTGCAGTCATTCAGAGCACTAAATACTTTGGGTGATTATCATGAATAGACTTTCTTCAAAAAAATGAAAGACTAGCATCTTTCGGGTGAGTAGACACTAGTCTATGTGTATACTAGAATTCCATTTGCTTGTCTATTTATCAATTTATATATGCAGCTTAAAAATATGACATGGACTAAGTGTTAACTCTAACCTATGAGTAATTAAATACTAAATAGTTCAAAAATATTACAAATAACCAATTTATAACATTTGAATAATTGCACTATTTACAAATTATCTGTCAGTCTTCATACTCCTGCCAATTATCACAATTCAAAGTACATGAATTAAAAATCTTTTCAATTATCTAGTGAAGTTAAAATGCTACAAATATCAGTCTATAGAATGACTTCTATCCAGAGCAGCAAGAATATTTAAGTCTCTCCTCTTTCCATCATAAAGTTGCCAATTTAACAGTTGGTAAATCTTGAATGCAGTGTTGAGTCTCGATTTGTGTCTGCCGGCAATCAGAGTGTACCACAGGGTAGCCTGGTAAAAAAATCCTTTTGTGGCTCATTTTCTTGTCTCTCTAATTTTTATTACATCGTTTGCTACTAATAGTCTTGGTTTCTTCGTCTATTTTTCTCTGAATTATGCTTGTATCTCATTAAGCAGCAGCTGGGAGGCTATGAGTAACAAAACGGACTATTATACCAGCAGAACAAAGTTGTCTCTCTCAAAAATGCTGCTTTTGACTCTACAGAATGGCAAATAAATGCTACAGATATTCAAATCTTATGTAGAGTTCAATGTAGACTGTCTATCTATTCAAATCTGAAGTGTTTTCAATGAAGCGTATCAGCAATATCAAATGTAAAACCCTCTGAAAGCTTTGCTCACTCAACAAATATTTCCTTTTTATGAGGCATGGTCTTAATTCTAAGCTAAAAGAAACAACAAGCAAAAGCATACACATGAAATGAAGAGGATTATGGAACAATATTGGTAGGTAGGAGGAAACAAAAATGCATTCATTAGAGATGTTAAACCGGAGAGGTTTATATCAAGTTGCTTATTAAACAACACTCAGCTCTTCTCATTTTATATGCAGTTGGTTAGGCCATTAAAACTGAGTAAAGCACAAGCCTACTTTCCTGTGTTAAGAAATATCAAAAAGTTAGTCAAAAAAAAATAAGATCATCACTGTTTCAAACCAAGAAGTTATGAGAAGACAAAAAACGTGCCCTGAAAAGAAAATTCATTGCTTACAAAATCTCTACTATTTCTCATGAATGTGGATTTCACAATCTGCTCTCATAGTTTCATGTCTTTTGTTCAGTTTCTCTGTTTTATTAATATGCATATGCACTGTCTTCAAAACTAGATTGTAAGCTTTTTGAGGGATTGTAGAGCCAACTACAGATTTGAATTTAATTTCATTTTTTTCCCAAGATGTAGTCAAAGACATGTAGAAGTAATATTTTTGAATTAAAAAATTCCTGCATATTAAACAGTGAATTTTTCTAAAACACACATTTTAGAAACACATTTTGTATACAGGCCAAATAACAATTTGTGGATGTGCCAGCTTCTAAGACTCCCAAAATAATAGGAATTAGATTACGTTAACTTCTACTGGTACATTCTGTTCTTCTATACTTTTGTAACTACACTCCTCATAATATATTGTCAGAAATTACATTTAAAATAACGATTATTTTAAATTATTTACTGCAAAAGCAAAATGGCTCTGAGCAAGTACAATATTTATAACTGATATAATTTGTTCAAGAAGGAATGGCATGTTTTTCCTATCACCGCCAAGAGGGCTCTTGTATAACCCTTATCACCTCTTGTTCTAAACAAAGGACAGAGAGGTTCAAACAAGTGGCTGGGGTGTAAGATCACCAGCAATTTTCCTAAGGGTTGCTAGTTTTAGCTTGTCATCCTCTTAGCAGAAACAGTAGTCTACATGACATGGTATTTCTAAACAATAATTGCTTTGTATACTGCTTACTTCATGTAAATTTATTCTGTTGAACATTTATCGGCATTTTGAAGAAGAAATATCACAATCCACATGTCAGACTTGACAATATTCACAAAGTTCACCTGCTTCCTCTCATTCACTTCCATTAGATTAAAATTAACAAAAACATAAGAAAACAAACAAAATCAAGCACTTTCATGTTAATCCTTAGCAATATTACTTAAAACAAATGTTTCTTAATTTACACTATTTCTCATGACATGTAATCATGAGAAATCTATCTGTATTCTCTTCTATCTTGCTTGGTTTCTTTAAGATCGTTATTTTGAACTCTTTTATGAGCAATTTATACATTTCCATTTCTTTGGGGCTCAGTTACTGGAGATTTATTCTGTTCCTTTGATGGCATCATGTTTCCTTTCTTTTTCTTGTTTTTTTTTTTTGTGTGTGTTCCTGAAGGGAGAGGGTACTGCATAGGGGAGACTCTGGCCCCTTAAGTTGTTAGACACAGCAGTTGTGGGACACAGCACTGGCCCAGGAGCATTGGCAGCAAGGACCTAGGTATGGTGAGGCACAGCTGTGGCTTGGGCTCTGGGGGAGGGGGGCGGGGCAGGGAGCAGTGCAATGTTGGCTTTCCTCCCCATGGAGATGGTACGCTCAGCAGCTAAGACTCCAGAAGGCTATTCTAAATTTTGAGAGACAGGGTGCTGAAGCTGTTCTGCCCAGAGGGCAGGGTGATACAGATCAGTCAAAGGTATGTTTCCTTGGGGATGCTGGATGCCACAGAGGCTCAAGGACTGTGGCTGTGGCTGCTCTCCTAGTCAAATCTCCATTTCCCTGGGGGTGGGGCAGTGGGTTGCTTCATATGCTGAGGGGACATGGCTGCTTTGCTGACTCAGGCACAGTTTCTCTCCTGAGCTAGACCGGTTGTTTCTTGGGAGACAGGGTGTCATGTGGGATTGGACATCAGGGTCATGGCTGTTCTGCTGGGCCTAGGGCTCTAAGTAGATGGGGACTACCCAGATGGGAGAGATGGAGTGCCTCCTAGGAAGTTTGTTTCCAGTGGCTTAGAAGCTACAGCAACTCAGCTAGCAAATGGTGCACTACTGTGTAAGAGTGTGGCCGAATTGTGACAGAGCCTCAGGGACGAAGAGCTGTAGTGGCTACCAGTGCCACAGGTAAGATGTACTCTAGCAGTGACACTAATTCCACAATGTTACAGTACAATCACACATCTTGCATCACAGGCTTGCAAGACATGGTGTGGATTCATTCCCTGGAGTCGTGTAGCCACACAAACTCCAGGATGTTCCCTAAACTGGACCTAGGGTCTGTGAGTACTGCAGAATTCTTCAGTATCCCCATGAATTCAAAGACTGCAGGTGTCTTTAGCAGTAATGGAGGATTCTGGAGGCCTCCTAGTTAACTTTTCCCCACAGAGAGAAGTCTTTCCTGGTTCTGAACTTACTCTGACTGGCAAAATGGGATGGCAGAGACAAGGTGTTTCTTTCCCTTCTCTGTGTAGCCGTCCTGAGTTTCTATGCTCCACAGAGTTTCCATCACTTCCTTGTGGTACTCCAGTGCTTTTCTTTAGTCACTCTGGTTAAAATGTAGTTGTTTGCCATCTTGGTCATTTTTTTTGTGCTAGGGGATAAGTAAGTGTTAGGCATCTCTAGTCAGCCATCTTACTGATGTCTCCTCCTTCATATTTTATGCCATGTTTCATGTATGTTTTGCTTTTGTTGTTTCTTAAACATTGAAGCATCTGAGGACTCCCATATGGTAATAAAATACATGTGAAATATTATATTATTTTTGCTTGAGATCTAGTGGACTTTCAACTGAAACATAGTATAAAATTTTTACTAAAAAATTCCGTGAGTAAAAGCATTGTTTTAGTTTGAACTTTACTGATAACAAAACCTGGCACAAGGACCAGATACAGGTGATTTTTCTGGGAAGTTGCCTCAAGAAACAAGGGCAGGAAATGAAGAGAGTGAGGTGGAGAAGCAAGAAAAATAAGTATACATTATTGAGCTGATTATCTCTGTGGACAGCTAGGTCTCAATTCCCCAGGAACCTTCTGAGTAACCATGTAGAAAGTGCCTCAGAACTGACCCTCCAAAAGAGAGAAGACTGGGCTTTTACCCATTAGACTCTCCTACTCCACTGTGCAAGAGTTACTTCAGAGGATATTATAATCCCCATGAATTCAACCAGACTGAGCAAATTCCCTTGGTTTCAGGGAAAGCCCTGAGACGGAAAACACAGTAAGGTATGACTGCTTGAAATGTACTGTTAGTCTACACTTGGCCTGGGCACTCACCTGCAGTAGAATTCAGAGGTGGCCCAGGGATGTGATGTATGGATCAAAAGACATCTGCTACAACCATGAAACTACTCATATTAATTATATTTGAATTTAAGGAGAAGTAAAGCACAAGTAAAGGAATTTGGAATAAAGCATTTTATAAGCTTTGAAATCAGACCTATATTTGAAACCAGTCCCTACTTCTGAGTAGATGTTCAGCTTTGGGACAATCCATAAGTCTTCCTAGGGGATGACAGTATCCATCTTCTCTGGTTATCATTCTGATCAAATAGATTAAGGCAAGAGGAGACTGAAACATCATAATTATCTATGAGTGATAGTTACTATTGCTCTTGCCTCATCTATAGTGATAAGATCGCATTCATTGGGTATGTGTTTTATTCATTTGGTAGTATGGTAGGGCCAGGAAATTTGATTTGCTCAGCTTGTTCTTTTTATCTGTGTAGAGGCAAGTTACTACTCTGCTGGAGAGAGTGCACTCCATTACAACTTGCTTGTTATCACATTGCATCAGGCTTTTTAAGTTTCATCATAAGTATTACTTACTCAAGAAAGATTTCCTTAACTCTCTAGACTAGGTTAAGCACCTTGAAAGCTACCACCAAATCACTCAATAAGCCCTCTTTTGTAACACTTAAGGTACTTGTTACTAGTGTAAGCTCTATGACTGAGGAAAATGTTCATCTTGCTTTCCAGGACTTTCAATCAATATTTCTTGAATTGCATCAATATATCTTAATCATATACTAAGGGCATTCAATAAAGTTTTTGCCCTTCAGCCTTATCTGAAAGCAAAGATCATACAAAACCTTGGCTCCTTAGAACACTTACAATAGTAGAAATGTAGGGCAATACAATCTTTTAGATTTTTCACAAAAATAGATCTGTGTGTAATTTTATTTTAACTCTAAGGCACACCATTGAAATTAAGCCTGAGATGATCTTTATGATTCTTCCACAAGCATCCATTTATCTCACCATGGAACCACTGTCCCCCTCCACTATGGTAGATAAAGCAAGAAAAGAAAATGGTCAAGAGCCCAAGTGAAGAAAAGCACCAGAATACTGCAGGGAGAAGGCAGGAGAGGAAGAGATGCTGAGTAGGAATTTCTGCCTTTAATTCTCCCGAATGCTCTTTTCCATACTACCAGATTGACTAGAGTAGACGGAACAAACCCCCAGATTCAAGTTGTTTAAATATCCCACCAGCCTTTTCTGTTTAGATGATGAAATTAGAACAGAGATTCCTTTTTTCAGGGCCCATTTTCAAGGGAAAAAGTCATATGGATCAGTATTGAATACTATATCAGCCTTGAAACTTCCTGAGAATGACTTCAAGCATTTATTTGTGTTAATCTCTAAGTGAAAACAAATAAGTAAACTTTAATGCTTTCCCTTCTCTAGATCCTCCTTCTATCATTCAAACCACCACATTAACTTTTGCTCATATTTTTATCTTTTCTAAAGTTTTTTCTAAATTCTGATGTGATTTCCAGTCCTAACTTTGGTTCACCTCTTTATGCATTGGTTGATATTTATTAAATGTCATGTATGGTTTGATTTAGTTTTTAGCCCTGGATCTTTTCCTGAATTTCATCATGATATCTGACACAGTTCTAGCTCCTTCCTCACCTGGACTCATCAGAGCACACCCTTTGCTGACATTGGATTTATCTTTTATGTTCTGTCACGGCTCTTAGAATTGATAACTTTGGTTTATATGAACTCTTCATCCCGTTTAATCATTTAGTTTCCAATTCATTGGAAGTTAATAGATAATTGATGAAATTATGAGATTCCTGTGTCAGAATCCAACCCTGTCAAAAACATGTCTGACTAACCTTATATAGATTCATCAAAGAGGGAATTGGTTTGGTTACCATCACTAATGATCTTTTTCCCATCACACTCATTAAATTGTGTTCACTCGTTGCTCATATGACTTGAATGAGTGTTTGCTAGGCAGAATTATAATGGTATTGAAGGGAACCAATATCCTGGGTGTCTAATAAATACTTTGCTGGTAAAACTTTCAGATTATGTTCTAGGTTTTAGCATGAAATCAACTATTTTGCATATAATGGGTACCCAATGAATACTTACTGAATTAAATCAAGTGTTTTCTAAATGTTTGGCTTCAGACAAGTCTAAAGTACAATACATGGTGACACATTTGGCATTTGATTTGGAGTCAGTCCTTCAACAGCCTGTAACCTTTTATGTAGGCTATAATCACACACAGTTCTATTTTGGAACTTGGACAATCATGAGGCTGGAGATCACTTTGAAATCAAACAGCTTTTCACACAGCTGCTTAACTGTCTTGTGAAATATTTTAGATATGGGGTATATTCAGTTGGAAAAAGCAGCCTCCATCAAATGATGTGTTGAGAACACATCTACTTATCAAACAGGGTTAGGAGAAAAGTGTTTTACATTTGCAAAATATTTTAATCCAACCATGGTGCCTGAAAATATCTAAATGTTTGGAAAAATGATTAAGTAGTTTCAGATTATTAGAATCCATAGGTGAACTACTCCGGTATAAACAAAGGAATTTCTCAGACTAACATATCTTAAGGTAGCACTTGAAGATTCCATGAACTGTCAGCTGACATAACTTCCTAAATGGAAAGAAATGTTGAATATGCAACTGAAATATATGTTTTAGTATTAGTTATAAATGACTGGTAAGGTGTGTGTGATATGAAGATGGTCCTTGCTTGTACCTTCGCATAGCACTTGGCATCAATCCACGAAGAACAGTACCTACAGCCAGAGTTTCTGTTGCTGACATCTTTTTCTCTTAAACCATATGTCACATCTGGATTTCCTGTTTGTGGGGATGCCTCTAAAATGTGTCTCAGAGAAAAGTTGTCCAAGGAAAAATATAAAAGGGTTTGTAAACAAAAGCTTTTGGAGAATATGAGTTTCCGTATCTACTTCGTGGTGAATCACAACACATATTAAAAGCGATGGCAAATTGTGCAGTAAAGAAACTATTTTAGGTTTATTTCACCTGTTACTTACTTCTTATTTTTATTTAAACTTATTAATATCCCATGAACATAATTTCACATTTTGTGAGCTGCTGCTCTAGAATATAATCTATAAATGATATAGTGAACATTTCAAGTTATTGAGAAATACTTAAAGACCCTTTGGGCCCAAAAATGTCTTTATTACATGCTCTAGGATTCTCAAACAAATGGCTTAATTGAATAATTCATTACGGACTCTTTTGTGATTCCAACTTTTGCAACTACTAAAATGACACTTTCTTGCTAAATGCAGAACTCCAAAGATTTTCAGAGATGAATTTTCCAATTAAAAATTTGGCCTGTCTACTCTAATTTTCTCAAAGTTCTCCCTTGAAGAGACAACAACTTTTACCTTGGCGTTTAAGAATAAAATTTATGATTGGCATTCAGTCAATATGTTCACTTGGTTTTAAATTTATTTTAATGAATAGTATTCAAATGCCTACTATGTTTCAGTCAATATGCTAGACAATCAGTATACAGATGATCATGGCATGGAACCTAACCTAAGGGAACTCGTAGCGTAGACAGTAAAGAAGAAAGTTAAACAACTAAGCATAACACCATTTGATTTATACGTTGTAGGTTATTGCAAAATACTATAGTAACACATTGATTATATTAATTCTATTTCGAGGGACTTGCTCATCAATCCCAAGTTAATGAACAAAGGAAGACTATGTATTCCCCAGGTCAAGAATTCATTCATTTTGAATGAATATTTATTAATAAATATTTACTGAGCACCTATTGTGCCAGGTACCTTTCTAGGCACTAAGGGGACACAGTGAACAAAAAAGACAAACATAGCTGCCTTGTGGAACTTATTGTCTACTGGCAGAAAATAGGTAATAAATAACAAAATACATATATAAATAACATAAATAATAAAGCAAATACATTAGACAATAATTATAAAAATTAAAACTAAGCAAGAAAAAGTAATCTGAAGAATCCATGCAGCAGACAAGGGTGAAATAACAGATAATATAGCAAGGAAAAGCCTCATAAGGTAACTTTACCTCAAGCAGCAGGAACTGTGAGGGCTTAAAACTACTAGGTGGACACCTGCCTAGCACATGTGAGGGAGTAAAGAGGCCAGTGTGACTGCAGCAGTACAAGAGAGAATAAGAAAAAATGAGATCAAGATCTAAAGGGGCCAGATCAAGGAGAGCCCTACAGGTCACAGTAATGACGTTGCTTTTATTCGAAGTAAGATGACAAGTTGTTGGAGGCTATTAAGCAGAGAAGTGCCATGATTTGACTGGCACACATTTGTATGCATTCCAGTGCATCAGATCATATCTTAGAATATCTGTTGCTTCTTCTAATGAGTTAAGACTTTAGGGAACACTGAGATGGGTTGTAGTAAGTCTTTTGGAGTCAGATGATGTTCTATCATCTCCTCCACAAGACGTTCATGCCCTAAAGCCTGGAGCTTATAAATATGTTGCCTTTTATTGAAAAAGAGATGTTTATTGACATGATTAAAAATATATATCTGGAAATAATGTGATTATTATGGAATATATATATATATATATATAAAATCACATGAGTCCTTAAAAGTAGGGAATCTTTCCTGGCTGAGGTCAAAGAGAGATATGATGATGAAAGAAGAATCAGAAAGATAATACACGACAAGGACTTAGCCTGCCATTCCCTGCTTTGAAGATAGAGAAAGGAAATCATGATCAAAGGAATTCTGTGGCCTGGAAAAGCAGGAAATGGCCCTTAGACCCAGCAAGTAAACAGCTTCAAGCCCTACAACTATAAGGGACAGAATTCTTCTAGCAACTTAAATAAAGAAGGATATAGATTCTTCCTCAGAACCTACAGAAAGGAGAAGAAACCTACTGCCACTTCATTTTAGCCCAGTAATACCTGAGTCAGACTTCTAACCTACATAACTATAATATAATAAACTTGTGTTAGGTAAGCCACTAAATTTGTGGTAATTTGTTAAGGCAGTGTGTTATTTCATATTTGCATTGCTCTCAACCCCAATACTTGAGGTTGGGTAACTTATAAAGTAAAGAGGTTTAATTGGCTCACAGTTCTGTGAACTGTAAGGAAGCGTGGTGCCAGCATCTGCTTCTGCTGAGGGCCTCAGGGAGCTTACAATCATGGTGGAAGGCAAAGGGGTAGCAGGTGATGACATGGCAAGAGAAGGAGCAAGAAGTTAGGGGGGGAGGTGCTACACTCTTTAAAACAAAAAGATCTCACATAAACTCAGAGTAAGAATTCATTCATTATCAAAAACTAACACAGATATTATTGTAAACTGTGAGCTTACTATTTGTATAATAGTAAGAAATTAAGTGTGGCTGTTGCATAGAGTATTTAAGCAAGAATGGCAGGCAAAGTGATGAAGATGCTAAGAAGGATAGGACCAGAGTATGAGAAGCTTTTCATCCAATGGGATTCTTATTTCTATTCAATAGAAAGCAACTGTGGTTACATAAAGTAAAAAGAGACATTCTGAAAAGTGGACAGAAACTAAGGCAGTTCTAGAAGGCTGAAAGCAATAATTACTTATCCAGAAGAATGCTTCCACTGTCACTGCTGCTGAGTCCACAGATTTTGACCATCACTTTGATTTTTCATCAGTTGCTGAAAATTCAGTCCCAGAGAGAAATGTCCTGAAAATCAAGCCCATATCAAGTGTATATGAACTTTATAAAAGTTTATAGAGAAAGGATCAGTCTGTTTGACTTCTAAAATGAAAAAGAAGGAACTCCCAATGGTCAACATAACACTTAAAGGAGAATTTTCTCAAAATAGGAAAGGGAAATTGTCATCAAAAATGACAAATGTACATATCAATGTTTATATATGTAAAATGATTACATGGTTTGAGTCTGTGTCTCTGCTAAATCTCATGTCAAATTGTAACCCCCAGTGTTGGAGGGGGGCCTGGTGGGAGGTAACTGGATCACAGGGCTGGATTTCCCCTTTGGTGTTGTTCTCATGATAGTAAGTGAGTTATCACAAGATTTGTTTGTTTAAAAGTGTGTAGCACCTCCCCACCTCTCTCTTCCTCCTGCTTCAGCCATGTAAGATGTGCCTGCTTCCCCTTCACCTTCCGCCATGATTGTAAGCTGACTGAGGCTTCCCCAGCCATGCTTCCTGTACAGCCTACAGAACCATGAGCCAATTAAAACTGTTTTCTTTATAAATTATCCAGTCTCAGACATTTCTTTATAGTAATGCGAGAGTGGACTTATACATGTGATTACAGACATAAGAATAAAAGAGAAAAGGAAAATCTGCCAGACACATAAAGTAGCTTAAGAATGTATAATAGCAATGAATCATCTACAATTGCCAGTATGTTCTGATGAATGAAAGAAACCGTAGAGAAAAGAGAAGCATATAAAGAAAAAAAGCCAATCCTGAACAAAAGTTAATAAATTAGATTCTGCCTGATGAAACCTTTAAATTCTCAGAGCCATGTAATCTACAAGCCTTCAGAGTGAATGAAGCAGGTAAATATCTAGCTGAGCATGGCCAGTGACTAAGCAAAAGAATTCATAATATGAGAAACAGACTACTTATGCCTCCCAATGGATACTAAAATAAGCATCACCAACTGGGCTCAGTATTCTGGAAATCCAGACACAAAGACCTTTCTGTACCATCCTTTTTATTACACAGAGGGGTTTCCTTAGCTAGTAACATCTAAAAGCTGTTATTTACAGGTACATCCTGCTAATTGCTGACATAATATTCTCACAAGCACCCTATTAAGTCAGTATTGTAATGCCCCTTCTACAAACAGATTGCGAAGTTCAGAAAGATTTGAGAATTTTCTGAAATCAAGAAGATAGTAAGGAACACAATAAGACTTGAACTTAGTCCAATTTGAGTCCAAATTCTGTATTTCTCATTGCATTTCCATACCAAAAATTAATTGTATTTTTATCAATGAAGTCATGTGACAACTTCTATGCTTATCTTCAATTTATTTCAAATATTACTTATAATGTTGCCTGTAAAAAGGGTATATGTAAATAACTGGCATATAACCTGAAGAAATTGTGTTAGACTTGATATCTAGTCTAACTTGATATCTAGACACAGGTGTCATATGTGCTATTTTAAACAGTTTCTTCATAGAAAAAATATACATACCAATCCTCCTGGAAAGATTAAAGCAGTAGTTCACGAACTAGTTATATATGGGTCACCAGGTGTGCTTAGAAAATTATAAATATCTGTGCTTGTACCCCTAGAAATTTTTTCTCAGGAAAAATAATTTTAACTAGTAGTCCTAGATAATTATGACACACAACAACTATAAAAACTTGGAAAGAATGGAAAGAGCACATGAAAAGTAGAATACATTAACTGAATGCATAATTAATATTAGTTGGAAATAAAAGAATTTTACTTCAAATTATATGTTGTGGAATAACGAAATAAGCATTTTCTAGCTAATTTCAGCATTGGTTATATTAGGAAGTAGGTAGTATTCCAGAAACATTTATACAATGGCAAAAAGGACCTCCAAAAATACACAATTAGGACACTTGAAAAATTAGGAAAAGCAACACTTTCAGAACTTCAGATATTAAACAAAGGACTGTAAAAAATTCAAGGACTACTTATTCCAAAAAAAAAAAAAAAAAAAGCTCAATGGCAGCAAGAACAGTGACAGTGGGCTTTGTGGCATTTCCCTTTTTTTTTTTTTCCTTAACTTTAGAATCAGGGTACCTGTGCAGATTTGTTACAAAGGTGTATTTCACAATGTTGAGGTAAAAACAAGAAAAAAGAGAGAATCTTGAAAGCAGAAAGAGAAAAACGGCTCACCACAACCAAAGGGTCCTTCATAAGATTAACAACTGAAATAAGAAAATAGAAGATCTATAAACCAAGTAGAACTAAAAGAGTGCATGGAACGCTCTACCTAAAAGCATCAGAATAGACATTATTTTCAAGTGCATTTGAAACATTCTCTAGGATTTACCAAATGTTATGCCATAAAAATGCCTGAATAATTTTTAAAAGGGTTAAAAATCATACAAAGTATCTTTTCTGACCATGGGTAGAATTAAATTAGAAATTAATACCAAAACAAAACTGAAGACTTCATAAACATTTTGAAAATAAACAACTTACTTCTACATAACCAATGAATCAAAGAAGAAATCACAAGGGAAATTAGAAAATACTTTCATAAACAAACACTGAAATGTAAGTTATTCATCTAAAGTATTAACTAGAGGGAAATTATTGTTGTAACCTCTATATTATAAAACATGAAAGATGTTAAATTATTAGTCTAACTTTCCATCTTAAGAACTAGAAAAAGAAGAGCAAACTAAAACCAAAGCAGGCAAAAGGAAGGATCTAATAAAGATTAGAGTGTAAACAAGTTAAATGGTTATAGAAACGCAGTAGAGAAATTCAATGCTCAGAATTAACAGGGCTTTTGTTTGACCAAGAAACAAACAGAGAGAATATACAAATTATTAAAGCAAATAAGCAAATTATTAAAACAGCAATGAAAGGGGGACATCATCACTAACCTTAAGATATAAAAAGAAAAATAAGACAACACTGTGAAATACTATATGCCAACAAATTAGAGAGCCTAGGTCAAATGAACAAATTTCTAAAAAGATAAAAACTATTTACAATGAGTCAGGAAGAAATAGAAAATCTAAATAGACATATAAGAATTAAAAAGATTTTACCATTTTAAAAGTGGTAGGGCAATATTATGACTCGACCAAAAAGTCTATTTTAAACACTGTAGCCTGTAAATATGTTGCTTTACATAGAGATTTTGCATATGTGATTCAGTTGAGGAATATGAGATGGGAAGATTAACTCAATTAGTGGGTCTAATATAATTGAGTCCTTAAATGCTGAGAGCTGTTGCCAGCTGGTGTCAGAGCAAGATGTGGCTATGGAAGAATGGCTGGAGAAATATAACGTCACTGGCTTTGAAAATGGAGGGAGGGGACCATGACCAAGGAATGTAAGTGCATGTAAGTGCCCTCTAGAAATCTGAAAAGACAAGGAAGTGGATTCTTCCCCAGAAGCTCCAGAAAAAACAAAAAATGTAGCACTGCCGACACCTCTATTTTAATTCAGGAAGAATTGTGCTGGACTGCTAACTCTAGAAGTGTAACATCATAAATTTGTGGGGTTTTTAAGTCACTAAAAGCTTACAACAGCAAAGAAAAACTATATACAAAGAATTCCCACAATAAAACTCCATAACCAAATGCCATCGCTTGTGAATTGTACCAAACATTTAGAGAAGAATAAATACCATTGCTACCCAAAGTCTTCCAAAAATAGAAGAGCAGGGTCAGGAGTGATGATTCACATCTGTAATCCCAGAATGTTGGGAGTTCAAGGCAAGAGTTCAAGACCAGCCTGGTCAACATAGTGAAACCCCATCTCTACCCCAAAAAAAAAAAAGAAACAAAATTAGCCAAGCATGGTGGTACATGTTTGTAGTTCTAGCTAATTGGGAGGCTGAGGTGGAAGGATCACTTGAGTTGGAGTCTATAGTGAGCCATGATTGATTGTGCCACCACTCTCCAGCCTGGGCAACACAGTGAGATGTTGTCAAAAACAAAAACAAAAAACAAAACAAAACAAAAAAAACAGTGAACACTTCATTACTTTTTGAAGTTAGTGTTGGACTAACTTCAAAACTAGACCAAGATACTAAAACTAGACAAGAAAACTATAGATCAAAATCGATTCTGAATATAGACACAAAATAAAACCTCAACAAAATGATAGCAAACTGAATCTGGCAACATATAAAAAAAGGATTCATCATTAAATTCTTCAAGATTGGTTTAATATGTAAATATCAATCAATGTGATCACCACCCTAGTAGAATAAAGGACAAAAAAAATGACATGTCCTCAATAAAGCAGAAAAAGCATTTGACAAAATACAACACTTTAATTGTAAAAACACTCAAAAACTTGGGAGTAGAAGGGAACTTTTTCAACCTGCTAATTGGCATCTATGAAAAACCTACAGCTAACATTACATTAAATAGTGAAACCTAAATTCTTTATTCTTAAGATTTAGCACACGATGTCCACTTTCGTCACCTCTATTCAATGTTGTACTGGAAATTCTAGCTGGGACAATCAGGCAAGAAAAAAAGCATCAAAATTGGAAAAGAAGATGTAAAACTCTCTCTATTCACAAAAAACATGATCTTGTACATAGAAAATCTTGAAGAATAAACAAAAAATTATCCCAGAATTAATGAATTCAGCAAAGTTGCAGGACATGAGATTCATGTACCAAAATCATTTTTATATGCTCTAGCAATAAATAAAAATGCAATTAAGAAAACAACTTCACTCATAGTATCGAAAAATACTTAGGGTTAAATTTAATTAAAGAAATACAAGATATATGTACACTGAAAAATATGAAATATTATTCAAAGTATAGACCCAAGTAAATGGGAAAAGATTCCAAGCTCATGGATTGGAAGATTTTACATGGTTAAGATGGTAATATTTTTTGTACTTTATATAATTATTTTAAATAAATTCAAGAACTTAGAACAAATTGATACTTTGATAGAAAACTACCCGTCAAAATTGATTCCTGCAAGGACAAAAAGTTTCAATGGAACAATGCCAATAAATAATGCCAATAGATACAATAGAAAGTACTTAAAGAGCTCTTGCAGGTAAAAGCACCAGGGCCATATGGTTGTTTAGTAATTTATTCTTAAGAGATCCTTACATATCAGATACTACTTGAGTCTACAGCATTAAAAAAAGAGAAATATTCAAATTTCCTTTTATAAAGCAAATGTAACACTGTTCTCCAAATCTCACAAAGATTGTACCTGAAAACAAGACTACAAAAATGCTCATTAAAATATTAAGACAAAAATATTAAAGAAAAAATGTAAGCAAAGAGAAGAGCACATAAAGAATTCATTATGTGAAATAATCTGGACAACAAACCCCCATGACACAAGTTTATCTATATAACAAACCTGGACTTGTACCTCTGAACTTAAAATAAAAGTTAAAAAAAAAGAAGAATTCACCATGACTAAGTGTGGTTTATTTCAGAAATTCAAAAGGGGTTCAATCAAAACTTTTGATAAAGTCTATCTTATTAAAAGAGTTAGAGAGGAGAATCACAAAATTCTCTCCATAGATACATAAAAGACATCAATAAAATTCAATATACATTTATGTTAAATCCTTCAATATAGTGATGGATAATTTCTTAACAATAAAAAAATGCACTTATTTGGCTGCTCAATATCTGCACTAATCTTAAACACTGTGTTGAAGATATCCACAAGTGGATTAGACAAAAGAAAAGATGAGAGACAACATAATTAAAAAGGAAAAATAAGTTTCTGTCTTGCATATTGATTTTATAGCCTGCCATTTGTTAAATTCTCCAACTATTTGTAATAAAATGGAAGTGTACTATTTAAGGTTGAAATTTCCTATTGTTACAATCTACTGGTATGGCTGAGCCAAAGCTGTCATTTGCAAAGATTCCTGGTAAGAATTTAAAACAGTGCAACCCTCATGAAAGGAAAATTATCAATATCTAGAATTACATACACATTGACTTTTTCCAGCATGCAAATTTCTAAGATTCTTACCTGAGTTAAGAAGATACAAAATAACAAAAGACATACGTATCCATAGGTCTATTAATCATATTCTTTAAATGCTATTAATAAGTTGTATATGACATATCTCACAGTGACTAAGACATCACAGTGTTTAGAGATCCTGTAGCGTAAAGTATGAACTTACTTTTTCCAACTCTGCATTAATCTCCAAAGTTACTCAAATTATTTCTTTTCTTTCATCTCTTTGTCTACCTTGCTATCTGCCCCATTTCAGATTGGCTTGTTCCTGGAGTAAGATATACATGCACTCTCAATTATGTCCCTGAGTCTTTATTCTTCAGTTTTTCTTGTACTCTTCTTATATATTCCCTCTACTGTTTTGCTTGACCTCATCATTTTTGTCCCTTTTATGCTCATATTAATTTTCAAAAGTTCTTTAATCGTGCTACTAGAATCAATGACTGCCTCTTTTAGAGATGAAAATTGGTAAAACGACCTTTTTGATCCAATGTCTCCTAGAAGAGAATCACTTCTAAGTCATATTTAAAATTGAGACATTTTTCTGTGAGCACACACAAGGTACTTTCTGTCATGGACGGAATATTTGTGTCCTCCTCAAAATTATTATGTTGAAGCCCCAACCCCTAATGTGATGGTATTTGGAGATAGGGCCTTTGGGACATAATTAGAGTCATATTCAGTCACAAGGGTGGGGCCCATGTGATGGGATTAGTGGCCTTATAAAAACAGAAAGAGAGGGAGATTTCTCTTTTAACATGCACCAAGAAAAGAACATGTGAGGACCAAGCAAGAAGGCAGTTGTCCACAAGCCAGGAAAAAGCCCTTCAGGGAATCAAATCTGCCAGCAACTTGATCTTGACCTTCCCAACCTCTGGAACTATCAGAAATAAATCTCTGTTGTTTAAGGCACTGAGTCTATGGTATTTTATTATGGCAACCCAAGTAGACTAAGATATTTTTCTATTAGAGATCATTTACTACCAAATTTCAACCAATTTTTCTCCCTACTTTACTGTTTTTATTATAATTAGCTCTCATTTTTCTATATAAAATAGAATCAAAAGCAGGATTAACCTTTGAGGTCTGAAACTTCTCCAGAATGGTTGGGATCAAAATTTATTTTCATAATATTAAATGTTTATTAACAATTTAAATTTAATTTTTAATATTGATAATTTAGAAATGTTTCAGATTAAAAGCTTATTAACAACTTAAATTTAAATTTAAAATTTTATGATTTTTGTCAAACTTCAGAAATTCTCAAGTTTTTTCATATATGAGCTTTAAGATTTCACAGCATTTCAAGTTTTCTTGTGCAGTGGCTAATCTTAAATACTTTTTGAATTGACATCGATCATTAGCAATTGTCCCAATAATTTCACAAACTAGCTCTGCCTCCATACAGTTAAAACATAGTTTTTCTTCGACAAACCATACACATCCATTGCCCAGAGCCATAGGACATGTTCATATTGCAATAAAACTTCTGGCCCTGAACCTTAGGCTCACAAAGTCAGATGAGTCAGCACAGTGAGTGTGGGAGTATTTCTGGGCCTCATTTCTACACCAGGATAGCTGTCAACAACTTAACTATAAACAAAAATGATTGTAAAATATAAATATATCTCGCTAAATCTATCTTCCCCCTTAAACAGAACCCAACCATACTATTCTACCACCACCTGAGAGAAGGAAATGTAATGAAGGGAAAGTCAGTGTGAAAATATTAAAAGTCAATGACCATATACAAAGGCTAGGATGTAATAAAAGCCCATCAGGAGTTTCGCCTAGGCCTTTCCTGGGCCTTAAAGCATGTCAAAGTAATGAAGGAATTCTTAACAGGACCCATCTAGGATTAAACAAGTTTTATTGTGGGTCTGAAGAAACTCCCCAGGCCTCCACAAACAAATTTACTGGAGGTCTGAAGGAACTCCTGAAACCTCCATGATTTAGCAGGAGACAAGATAAGGGTAATCACCCGGACCCATTTAGATTAAGTAAATTTACTGAGACTCCAGAGGAAAGTCTTCAGGACTCAGACCTTAGTTATAGATTAAAAGAAGTGAATCACTATGTCTTCACACGAATGCACACTTACATGTAGACAATAGCTTGGAAGTAATATAAACTCTGGGAAACTTTGTAATTTTGAGTTGGTCTGATGATAATTTCCAGGCCCTCTCCCTGTAATTAGTCACAGAAATAAAAACTCCCTTCCTCCCCAGTTCATCTGCATCTTGTTACCGGGCCATGAGAAACAGCAGCTTGATCTTCAGTTTGGTCCGGGAAAAAACTGACAGTAGGTCTTAATTAAATGCAGTTAAAATCATTTATTTTTTGAATATTTATAAAAACATTCAATCACATGAATATATTGCTAGGCACCTCTCCCAAAGGAAGCAAAAACATCTGAAGCTTAAGTTTTATTAATTTCGTAGTAAATCCACCTGTGAACTGTATGCATAGTTTTAAAAAAAGAATCAGAGCCTCTATTTACCAAGTTTATGCTCATGAAAGTTCTTCACAAGATAATAGAATATTACATAATGAAAAAATTTAATGTGATGTCCAATTAAGAATTTGTATGAATCCATTGGTTGGGAGGAGGGACTGGGTGAAGGACTGGGTGAATATTACATAATGAAAAAATTTAATGTGATGTCCAATTAAGAATTTGTATGAATCCATTGGTTGGGAGGAGGGACTGGGTGAAGGGGTAGTATTGATGAGAAGAAATGCTACTAATAGAGAAGATAAGTAAATCCAGGCTGATGATTCTAATAATCAAAAAGTTAAGAAGAGTTCAAACCTAGTCATTTGTTCAGTTAACCTAAAAGGAGATCCTTTTTCCTTCTTGCACTGTAAAACCGGGGAGAAGCAGCAATCTCAAAATTTATGTACAATTCTAACCTGTAAGCATTTATTAGCTCCCTCCACTATAAATTGTGACAGTATTAAGTGTGTGTTCTAGCTTTAAGACTTTCAAAAATCCATTCCAATAGCCCTTTCTTGGAACACATTTTCTAATGTTATAAAGAATCTGTAGTATGAAGTAGTTTAAAATGTGTCTGTGAAATCTGGATAATTTACAGTTCTCTTTTTCTCTAGTCTAATTAAGGGAGCAAGTAGGCTGGGAATCATTTTCTATTTTAAATGCTATAATTGTAAATTGTCCTCAACTAAATCACCCAATAAATGAACATCTTAAGCTTATAATATTACATTTTCCTGAATCAAAGATTTGGGCATGAAATGATAAAATATTGAAAAATCAGATTCATACATATGAGCTAAAAGAATTTCTGTAGCAAAAGAGGCAGGGGACTCATTTAATTTTCAAGTATAAAACATAGACTTGAAGCTCACCCAGCTTCAAGTCTAAAGTTTCAACAACATAGTCATTTGAGGCACACACTAAATTTAAAAATAATCCGGTATACCAGATCCATGAACATAACAACTTTTAGGGTTTAGAGTGAAATTCTCCTATGATTGGCCTTTTAACATGCCATTTTACATGCCTTTTTATGGAGACAATCATTTCACAGTCCACTTGGCTTTACAGTCATCAGGAGGAGACCATAATAGGCAGGGCTTTATTCCCAGAAATATCTCCATCCTTAATCCAAATGAAGAATTCATGTTTACAAGTATACAGAGGAAAATTATTGGCAATATAGAAGCTTGTGGCCTCAACTTCTGGCTATTGGAAAAAACATTTTATCAAGTTATGCTTCAATCACTACAGCTTTTAAAATTCACAATGTAAGTGATAGAAGAAATAAAATCCCAGGTTACATTCAGATGCTATAGCTGAATTTTGAAAATCAGAAAATGCCAAAAGTATGCATACTTTATATCTGCACTGTAGTTTTACACACTCTCATATAGACTATATATTTTCCTCTCTGAAAAATCTATATCTGGTTGATTAGCAACTCTCATCCTTTCTCCTGCCCCCTTTCTAGTAGTAATAATTATACTAAAAGTTAGTAAATTCTCTATATTTTGTCCATCCATACTTTCATATTCCTTTATTCTCCTTGTTGAGCATTGGGGACTTTTTAGGGAATAAATGCCAATTACATGCCCCCAGGTTAAACTATTCCAATGTTTAAATGTATTCACAAGGTGCTGGCTGTTAATACACATATCCACACAATGTTTTTGCAATCTTTCTGTTTCGGAATCCATTTTATAATTCATTCTGTGTTGATATGCAGGTAACTTATCTGTTCTTTCCTATTATGGAAAACACAGAATTCTTATCTTGATGTGTGCCAGTGGCTACTCTAGAAATCTCCATTTAACGTGGCTCCCTGGGTATGAAAGGAGTGTCAACGCTCCATCCTAACCTTTATCCTCAGCCTTAGACAAACTTAACAAATTGTGAAAGATTAAAAAGAAGTGACTGAATTCTCAAATCAATGGTTTAAAGGCAGCCAATAAAATCTATAGGGAAGCCAATCTGTAAAAATGCATTAGGAATTTATTTTTGCCATGGAACTGAGAAATAGAAATGACAAACAAATGTGCCCTTGATCTTGTCATAAGCTAGTTTTACAGACTTTCAATCTCTTAGCTGGCATCACTCTATGTTTCTTAATGAAGTACTTGGATTCTGGTATTTTCCTCACCTTCTCTTTTTCAAAGTTCCATTCTTCCCCATTCCACTAAATCCATGTGCATATCCATTCAATCTTTCTACCTAGTGGAACTGTCTGAAACTGAAATCTTTTATAAGATCTTTAGGGAAAAATAAATCCTACTCTCACCTGAAAGTTAACCAATTCAGGGCTGCATCATATTTTTATTTCAGAAAACTGAAGCAAAACTGCTCATGCCTTAGGGACAAAAATAATCCCATATTTATTTGATGTCCTCACAGAATCTAACAGTGTATCAGAGTGCAGTGTTCATTCAAAAATACAGATGGCATACAAAATACTCAATAGTATAAATTTAAAATAGGTAGCATTTCACTGTTGCTATGGTCTCTAGCACTTCCTGTATTGTGATTGTCAGAGGCCATCTCTGCCATGTGGTAGGGGAAGGAAATCAATTGAAAAGTATTATTTGGATTTAAATGTGTATGCCTGCCATAAAATTTAAGAGAAATAATAAATGGATTTAGAATTTCTCTTTAACAGATTAATAAAAATGTTTCATCCCCTTTCACATAGACATGCACACAGCTACACAACGTAGGCTGACAAGTTCGTCTAAAGTGACAGGTCTCAAAAGAAGTAAAACAAATCATCTTCTGTTGAAGACCACCATCATAAATTGATATTTTAAGGGTTTTTTTTTTTTTTGGTAGAAAAGCTAGATGTCTATATAAGTCCATCTTTTCTAGAAGAACTCAGTGTTTTATTTTTATAGTGTTATTAAATGTCTACCTAATATACTAATGTATTAAGATCTCAGCCACAAAGACAGGTAGCTAATACTAAACTTGGGGGTCCAAATATCTTGACAGTTAAGAATTTTGTTCTCAAGGGTATGGCATTGGAAGACGTATTCTCCCTATGGAAAACAATTTTTTACTGGGTTGAAACATCTCAGTTGAAACTTGTCACCAGCTAGCCTTACTATACAAAAAATTTTCCACATGTACACTTTTCCCCACTGCTGCCATCATCTCTCTCTTTATGCGTACAGCTTACTAACATAGAGAAATTTCCTAATTTAAATATAAAAATAGTAACCACTATCATAATTATTATTTTCTCATGGCACCTTACATGTTGCAGTTTAATTATCCTATTGAAAATGTGTTAAACGCTCCCAAGTACATCATGAATAAGGATTATTAAATTTGCAGCATTACATACTGCATGGTTTTGCTGAGGCTTGGTTTCCTAAGGCCACTCTGGTCGTAGGCAGATTTCCCCTTTAGCTCACTCAACGCTTCATCAATGCCCTTGCCTTTGTCTTGTAGTTCCAGCACATAAAACGCAATTACAGATAAAGTCTCTCTGGAGACAAGCTTTTCATTGTCTCTCCAAAGTACATTTTCTTCATGCATTAAATTATATCCCAGGACATCCCACAACAGTAGCAGCAGCTTGGATTCGTGTTTCCTCTGGGTCAAAGTGACCAATTTATACTCTCACTCCAATACCTCTGAGTTCCGGTTGATTCTCCTGCTATAATTATAGTTGTAATCACATTCTTTAAAAGAGGATTTTTGATATATTAATAGATAATCAATAAACATAATTTACTGAAAGTAAAAATGTGAATGAAATAGATTATTTGACACTATAAATTGTAGACTATTTTCAAACCCTAAACTTTCAACATTTAAAAAAAAATTCTATTTCCTCTTTTTATGTGTTGCTGCTATCAGTTCTATGGCATTTGGCTATAATGTGGTGTTGATTTACATCTAATTCCCTATAATAACTGTTTTATCTTTCTTGTTATAAGCCATCTGGCCTTTGAATTTTTAGTTATCATCCCATAATATGAGGCTCACTCAATATGACCAGATGACATTTTACTTTGTTTTTAGTGCATTTGCTTTTCTCTCAGTAAAATACTTATTTTAACAGTAACAGGTGGATCAAAGATCATGATCTTTACCTTTTGGATTAAAATTTTATTTAAATCTTCTGCAATTAAAAACTATCTTACACCTTTAAAAAATCTGGTTGATTTTAATTTCTAAATTTACCACATTTTAAAAAGCTTTTTAAGTCTTTCCCTCTCTCTTTTCCTCCCTTCTGCCAATAATATTTATTAAACACACAGCAACAGAATAGACACTGGTGATACAGCAGTAAATAAGACAAGGACCCTCAATAGCTTTACAAGCTATTGTGTTGTGTTGACGTATTTTTAAGTGTTGGAGTCTAATTTTGGAATGCTTTTATTATTTCTTATAACCCACTACATTTTTAAACTAAAGCTAAATATATGATAATATAATAAAATGCAGATCAGATCATGTTGGATTCCTACTTATACACACCTGATATTTTAGCTCATTAGTTAGGAGGAAAAATGACATACATCAATGGCTTTTTCCTATTGATATTTAAAAGTGGATGTCGGGGTCATTAGAATAAGAACAGATATGGGTGACTAAGTTAAGAAGACCCAAAGGTAGTACAGATGTTGCTTCTATTGTTCCTATGAAAGAAATTCAACTGTGCCATAAAGGCCTCTGAGATTCAGGTTTACCACATACAATGGTCATAAGGTGAGCAGGGTATGCAAGCTTATGTCTCTCTACTTGCAGGATGAAGCATATTTTTCACACACAAATGATAGCTGATGGCCCAGCCTTGCTCCTAAGATCCTACCTACATCTTCCAAAAGGAGGGCCCCTTTTAATTATTTGCTCAAATGTGACCCTCAAGCTAATGGTGTCCACAATTCCATTACTAAAAATGTATCTTCCTTCCTCCAAGCAGCAAAACCGTCTTAACTGGCAAATTTTAGTTTTCTTTACAACCGTGGAAATTGAATGACTATTTGTTTCCCATCTCTCTGCAAAGCCTGGAAAGAGAAAAGGAAGGCAGGAGCTCAAAACATTGTGGATTGTTTTGGCAGCCCAAGCAACCAGCTGTTGACTGGAGTTCCACAGAACTAGCCAGGGATGTCAGTAGCTGACTCTGGCATCTGTGTTATGAATGACATCTCAGGGTAAAATCCCTCTCCAGTTTGTTGGCAGCTTAAAAACCTCAGAGTGAGATGAAAACATGGCTCTCAATGCTTAAATGAGTTGCTGGAATATTTTGGACCTGCTTGAGCCAGTATGAGATTTGTGCACATATCTGACTTTCAATCCAGGTTTGAATTGATATTCAGCACCCAAGAAATAGTGACTTGCAGTGAAAAGCATCTTTAATTAGTTCAAAAGCCCAAACTTCCATTACATCTGAATAAAGAATATTTGTAGAGGTTCTTCTGATCTTTCATCTGCCCATGATTGCTTTTCCTAATCAAAAGCAGCAAAGTAAGAGTCTTTCTCTTTTACCATTTGAAATATGCAATAATTTTTGGAGGCAAGCAGAAGGAAATTATCCTT
The DNA here is from genome assembly GCF_000001405.40 of Homo sapiens. Classification (NCBI taxonomy): domain Eukaryota; kingdom Metazoa; phylum Chordata; class Mammalia; order Primates; family Hominidae; genus Homo; species Homo sapiens. The sequence goes on along the minus strand of NC_000014.9, from coordinate 40,053,172 downwards.
TTCACTAGCAATAGCTGTTTAAATTTCAAAGATTCTACAAAAAGAGGTGTCCTTGTTCTGCTTAACAGCATTTTAATCCTTTCCAGTAGCAGTTTTGGATATTATATCATAGTTAAAAAAGTAAAGCAGAGATGCAGACTTAAGATGCTCAGTTTACAAGATGGGGAAAATAATCCTTGCTAATAGAACATGTCTAAAATTGGGGCATGAGACGGATAGGTGAATTAAGTCACCATATGCCCAGTCAATTAAGTAAAGTCTTGGCACATTAGAAAATGCTTATCTGATTTAAATAGAAAATGCTTTGCCTAAAAACACAAAGAAATGAAAATATAAACTAAATCACACATTGCTGACTAGTTACTGACAGCCAAAATGCTTTACAACTATTGTATAAGTATGTTATTTCAGAAAAAGCAATTTAATTTCATAATTACTTTTGAAAATTCCTTCTTAGGATCTTATGGAAAACCTCATACATTCATATATGATCATGCATCACTTAACAATGTAGACATGGTCTAAGAAACGCACGTTAGGCAATTTCATCATAGGGTAAACATGATAGAGTATACTTAGATGGCATAGCCTACAGCACACCTAGGCTATATGGTATAGCCTCTTGCTTCTCGGCTACAAGCCTATATAGCATATTACTGTACTGAATACTGTAGGCAATTGTAACACAATTATAAGCACCTGTATATCTCAACATATGTAAACATAGAAAAGATATGGTAAAAATATGGTATTATAATCTTATGAGAGCACTGTCACATACATGTTTCAATTTTCACCAGAATGTCATTATGCAGCACATCACTGTACATATATAGTAAGACCTCACTTATCTTTGTGGATAGGTTCTTGGAAACTGTGACTTTAAGAGAAACAGCATATAACGAATTTTACCATAGGCTAATCGATATAAACAAGAGTTAAGATCCTATGGCATATTTCTGGTCACAAAGACATCACCAGCTTCTAAATAAAGACCCCAAAAACTTTTAATATTAAATCTTGAAATAAATGTGAGATATACATATATTTAAGAAAGATTAATAAAAACAAGTAAGATGATTATTTACTCAATTTTTGGTGAATCAGTGAGTTACAGCAGTTATAATGGTGGTGTGTTAAATCAAGGAATAAATGTTTGCAAAGCAAAAACCACAATTCAGTTCGAAGACAATATCAAATGTGGCAGCCATGCTGAGCACTTCCATACCTCATTGTTTATTGTCAATACATAATTATTGTATCTTTATGAATTTTTATAATAGTATAATTTATATTTATTTATTAATTCAATTTTTCCAACCCACTTATGTCAGTTCAGGGTCATGAGTGACCTTGGCCTATCCTAGCAACTCAGAACGTAAGGTGGGAATCATCCCCGGACAGGACACCATTCCAACACAGGTCACACTCACACACACTCATTCAGACTGGGACCATATAGGCAGGCCAATTCAACTGACATACATAGCTTTGGGATGTGGGAGGACATTGGAATAGTAACCAGGGAAAACTTATACAGACATAGGAAGAACATGCAAACTCCACACACACGACCTTGGCTGAGAATTAATATTTTTTCCTCATCATGTTAAAGGAAACAATGTTATTCAATGACCTGCTGCATACACACCCACACATACACTCACACACATTTATACATATATATGTACACAAACAGGTGTACATGATTAGTAGTAAATACAAATATGTTTCATTGTTAAAGTACAAACTCCTTAACAGAAATAGACCATGCGTTTGGAAAACGCATGATAAAACAAAAAATATCTTCTGCAAATTTTCAAAATCATATATCTTAAGAAAAACATGGTTAAAGAATAAGTTTTTGATCAATCCAACTCTACTCTCCTGGATCACCCTCTACCTACATGCAATTCAGTGCAACACAAATACCCTCTGATCAGCAATTCTTTACTTATGATAGAAGGAATAGAGGAAAAATTCACAATCCCAGTAAACATTGGCTTAAATGGCAGCCTGGTCAATTAAAGTTAAATAATCTAAAATGCTAACAAAAGTATAAAATAATATTTTTAATGTTTTATTTTTATGATGTTAAATGTTATGCTAGTATATTATTTTCAATGTATTTTTAAAACTAGGGTGGAAACATCCTTATTCAGTCAAGCTAGATGTTCTAAGATTTATTAACCATTCTTATGATATAAATAATGTTCATATCTGTTTTAACACGAGCTAGAAGTATTTACTATTTGGAATAAAGTCCTAATCTTTGGAGGCAGACAGAAGGAAATTGTTTTTTTTTCTTTAGCTATTACTTGTGTATTCAGTGTTTATATAAGTCAGTTTTTATACTTTTCTCTCCAAGATTAAAGATATATCATATTTGACAGTTTTCATTCGTCTCCCTCAAATTTTATCATAACTACAGAACTCTAATGGAGAAGTATATTCAATTGCCTTTGCTGATAACCTAAATATGCTATTTGATTTGCAGATATGAAAATAGGGAAACATTACTTTTAGGAATATAAAATATCTTAATCTAGATATTGACTTTCTCAAGTATATAGGATAAGAAACAAAGTCAAAAGTTGTTTGTAGAGCTATTTATATTAGATGATAAGATTTTATTACAACAAGAAAGTTTCAGCAATTTTGTAGACATACCCCCAAAATAGGCATTTTCCATTGCTTCAATATGAAATATAATTTTTAAATGTATATAATTTGGTCAAATGTTTAGGTTTGTGCATCAATTTTTAAAATAGTTTAGAGTTTTACAATTGGATTGTTATTGCCATCCTCTCCACAATTGGATTTAAACACACTTGAGTAAAATTTTTGAAATTAGAGTTAAATTAATAGCAAAGAAATAACAGATACTTTGGTTATTTCTTCAAATAATGGAAGAGTGACTTTCTTTATAGTCACTAAGAAGAATCTTCTGCACAAATGTCCCTACATATGAAGTACCTTAAATGCTGAGCTCTAATCGTCAGTTTCTCCAGTCTGTCAGTCTTAAAATATTGCAGAGCTGAGCTCCCAGATGCCAGCTGGCAGTCCAATTTAAAGTAGCAGCAGCCTAAAGAACTGTACAAAGGATCTTATAGGTTATCTTCTTGCTGCATGTCATAAAGTCTTCTGCCATCTTACGAGCAATCACAAAGGACGCTATACAATGAAAGAGTTAATCAGGAACCTAGGCAAAACTCATGTGGCATTGTAGTCCTAACTTCCTTTTTAACCCCATTTATTATAAATTTTATAATATGCTATTTGTGCTTTCAGACTGCAAAATGAATTCATTTGAGAATTTTCTGAATACATTCATATCATTCAATTAGACTAACAAGTGAAAAAGTTATTCCTGTAAGAATGAATTTGATAGAAAATTTTACTTGTTGGCCTTTCATCAAAAATGCCATTGCATTTTCAAAGCAATTGTTTGCAGCAATCAGTTAAATATCTGAGTTTTATACAGGCTTATTTTTTGATTGCTCAAGGGAAGTCTGGCTACAATATCCTACTGCTTCGAAATGAACAGAGGCAAGGGAATATAATGGTAATTTAACTTTAAATAAACCTACTGCTCAGCAATGCTCAGCAGTCATAAATGAATACATTTTTTAAAAGCTGTGAATACTTTATCAGAGCCATTGTTCTTTATAATGTATTTCAGAGGCTTTGCAGGTACTATAATCCCAAATAGTATCCACTTAAAGTTCTCACCAGAAACAGTCTGCACTTAAACAAAAGCCTAAGGAAAGGTCAAGATGAGCATGACCATCACCAGATTAAAACACAGAATAATAAAGGCCCTAGATATGAAGGTTATAAGCAAACTGAGTATACATGTGTCTTACTCTGTCTGCTGCTATGACAGGATACCAGAGGCCAGGTAATTAATCAAGAATAGAAGCTTATTTGGGTCACACTTCAGGTGGCTGGAAGATCCAAGACCATGGCACTGACATCTGGCAAGGGTTTTCCTATAGTGGAAGGCATCACATGGCAAAGTAGTACATGCTTGAGATAGAGAGGGAAAGGGGAACAAACTCCCACAATAACAGTATTCATCTATTTATGAGGATGAAACCCTCCTGAATTAATCACCTCTTAAAGGACTCACTGCCTGATACCATTACAAGGGCAATTACATTTTAAAATGAGTTTTGGTGAGGGCATTCAAACCATACTAACATGCCAAATCAATATAGAATTAACTAGAAGGCCAGAAAATTTCAAATACTGAGGGCTAAGTATTAGGTTTATTAGATGACTATGTTTCTTTTTAAATTTCTTTCTTCTGGTTTTCTGGTTGCCTTTGAGATATTTAAATATCCATCAGCATGTCCAACAAAGAAAAATGAGAGAAATCTCAATATTGCTGCAGCCTTATTAATCTGATAACAGGTCTACAGTTGTAAACTGGAACCAGTAGTAAAAATAGTATTTTTGAGACATTTGTAGATTTAAGTTGAAGTTAATCTGGAAGCATCATTCATTTGTCCATGCATTCGCTCATGCTGAGGAACAGTGTAGAACAATGCGCAGGGATGACAGACTCATTTGTTTGAATCCTAGCTCTAAAACTTCTGTATCACATAACAGGTAAGATGTTTGACTTTCCTCTCTATATTTCAGGTCATCATCACAAAAATGAGTACAATAATAGAACTTCCCACCTAAGGTTCATAAAAGGATTAAATGAGAATTCCATTTGGGTAGTACTCAATTAGAACATGAGAAAAGCCCTCAAAAACCATTACTTTTAATAGATAACACTTGGTTTGTATTTACTGTATAAAAGTATTATGCTAGAAGCTTAGAATACAGTAACATATGATGCAGCCCTAAATTCAATAAATGCAGCTTCATCAAGGAAACAGAAACAAACAATTATAATAGAGTATTCATGATAAAAATATGTGCAAGGTTTTATAAAGGCCCTTCACAAAAGCAGGAGATGTAAAGAAAGAATTCCAGAAGAAGATACCATGAGGGCTTATTTTAAAAGCATAAGTAAATAATTTCTGAAAGGATCCAATTTGGATCCTCTATTGCTACTGGAAGACTTGATATCATTTTCCAACCTCTTTCCTATCTTCTAATTTTTCACTTGTTTGTATTTGCAATATCTGAAAAAAATATAATATGCACCAGAAAAATACAAACGAGAATAAAGAAAATCAAAAATTGGTCATGGATAACAGCTTGCATTCCCCTTTAATTGTACCTCCATGAAGACTTAGTGACAGGTGATAGGGTTGGGATATTTGTCTCCTTCACATTTCATGTTTAAATGTGATTCCCAGTATTGGAGGTGGGGCCTAGCAAGAGATTTTTGGATCATGGGGGTATATAGCTGCCCAAGGCTGCCCACTTCTTGCATCAGTGTGACCTGAATGTGAGACATGGAGTCAAAGGAGATTATTTCAGAGCTTTAAGGTTTCATTACTGCCTCATTGGATTTCAGACTTGCATGGAGCCTATAGCCCCTTTGTTTTGGCCAATTTTTCCCATTTGGAATGGGTGTACTTACCCAATCCCTGTACCTCCATTGTATCTAGGAAGTAATTAACTTGCTTTTGATTTTACAGGTTCATGGGTGGAAGGGACTTGCCTTGTCTCAAATGAGACTATAGACTTGGACTTTTGGGTTAATGTAGAAATAGATAAGACTTTGGGGAACCACTGGGAAGGCATGATTGTGTTTTGAAAGGTGTGAAAGATGAGATTTGGGAGGGGCCAGGTGCAGAATGATATGATCTGACTCTGTGTCCCCACCAGACCTCATCTTGAATTGTAATCTGAATTGTAATCCCCATGTCTTGGGGGAGGGACCTTATGGGGGTGGTTAGATTATGAGGGTGGTTCCCCTATGCTGTTCTCATGATAGTGAGTGAGTTCTTACAAAATCTGATAGTTTTATAAGGGGCTTTTTCCCCCTTTGCTCTGCACTTCTCTCTCTTGCCACCAAGAAGAAGGATGTGTTTGCTTCCCCTTCTGCCATGACTGTAAGTTTCCTGAGGCCTCCCCAGCCATGTGGAACTGCGAGTTAATTAAGTCTCTTTCCTTTATAAGTTACCCAGTCTCAGGCAGTTCTTCATAGCAACGTGAGAATGGACTGACACAATACTTCATGAATGGTTTGATGTTACGCCCATGGTAATGGGTGAGTTATCACTCTGGTAGTTCACACAAAAGCTGGTTATTTAAAAGAGCCTGGAAATCCCACCCCTCTTGCTCCTTCTCTCGCCACGTGACATGCTGGCTCCCCTTCACCTTCTGCCATGACTGGAAGCTTCTTGAGGTCCTTACCGGAGGCAGATGCCAGCACTATGCTTCAGGTACAGCCTACAGAACCATGAGCCAAAATAAATCTCTATTATAAAGTTACCCAGTTTCAGGTTTTCCTTTATAGCAATGCAAACAGATTAACACAATAAGACTTTCCTAGGCTTAAAACAGCTAAAAGTAGCAAGACATAGAATTCTATAAAAAAGTGGCCCAACATAACTTTCTAATAAAAGCTAGGGAAAAAAATTCTTTGGAAAAGACATAAAAGTTCTACTGTTATGCCAAAAGCTCTGAAAGACAAGGGAAGGCTTTGAAGTAGACCCAGGAAAAATAATTATTTTAAGTAAAGGAGAAAATCATGAAGTCATAGATTCCTTGATACCAAGGGTCCCAAGAAATCCAAACTTTTTAATACGCTTAATTGAAGTTTTTGAAGCCCCTAAGTCAATAAAATTGTCAATCACAGTAACTAAGGAAGTAATCAAAATTTTTATGTCTCGTATTAAGATTAGGCATGGACAAATTAACCATATCAGGAGAGGATACACAAGAATGAGTGAAAATTATAGGACACTTTTCCACTGTGTTAGAGTAAGTACTCTCTCTTTTGGAAAATCCTTATGGTTAGAGCTTAGGGTTGAAATTACAGGAAGGGGTTGATCAAAACTTTGTGGTAAAAGGAGAGGAGGACATGGGAAGTACATGCCCACTAAATCTTACTTTATTGTGGCCTTTTGGTCTAGGTTCAGCACAAAACTCAGAAACTTTTACCTGCTGTATTATGTTCACATGATCTCTTTTTGATAGAGAAGAATTGCCACAGCTTAGTCAATATCTGAAAATGATAACACTACAGTTTCTAAGACTAAATCTTCTCTCTATATAGAACATCCATAAACCTAGTGTGACATCCATTCTCATTTTACAAATAGCTCTTCTAAAATATATTTAAATAACGTTCTGCTTCAAGACAGTGACTGAAGAACTTTTGAGATTCTGTGAATTATTTCTTACTAGTCACACACATAGAGTGTTGAGGGAAGGCAAAAATAAATATCAAGGGGAATTTCAAAAGACTTCAAAATCCATGTGGGAAAGGAATGAGAGAAGCAAGTAAATATGTAACACAAAGGACCTAAAAAAAAAATCCTCAGCTTTGAGAAACAATATTTGAGCATGAATTTTATTTTTATTGAGAATAAAAGAAGAATCAGCAATATCCATCACTATAGTTCAGTTTTTCAGCTAAAGGACAAAAATAAAATTTTACTGTAGTACATATGCTCTTTAGAAACAGTTTGAATTAACATCACTTATTCTCTCAGAAACTTTTAAAAGAAACATTTTAGAGTGAGAACCAAAATATAACATATTTCTTGAATTGGGGTTGAACGAAGATGGAGGCCTCGGCACATATAGGTTGACAATTAAAATGAAATGGCCATATTTATTTCCAGTGCTTATGGGCATGGATTTTGAAGGAAAAAAATAAGATTGGGAGGTGGCTAATTGTAAGAACAAGAAATTTCTGCAGTTGTTGGAAAGAGAACAGGTGGTGGGTAAGATCTGGAAAAGTCCTGGATGTAGAGCAGAGTAGAAAGGCAAGATACAACATTTTTTCTTCTAATTTCAAATGTCAAGGACCACAGTTTAAAGAAGTAATGTATTGGCTGGGGAGGTCAGGAGCTTGAGATATTTCTCTAGGTGAATTCACCACTGCCCAGGCCCTCAGGCTCACAGAACAGATTTTCTCAGCAATAAGAGAATTGTCCACAAATTAATCAAGTTTACAAAAGTGCCTGGGCAAAAACAAAATCAGGCAATTTACCAGGAAAGGGTAAATTACCACCTAAAAATGACAAACATATAAAAATATATTTAGCTTCACAAGTCCTCAACAAATTAATATTAAAGACTAATAGATATAAATGTTAACTTGGCTATCTTAAAAATATAATAAATAGTAAGATAATAACCATTTATTAAAAATTATAATGAATTACATCAGAAAATGAGCATTCTTACCTACTCCTTTTAATAACAAATATTGAAGCAAATATTATATAGGGTAATCTAACAAAATGCCTCAAAATCCTACATGAATAGTTTTTTGCCCATATCTAGGAAATTTTTTTGCTAAAATTAGTTACAATGTATACAAATCTGTATATATTAGAATGATTTTCAAATGGAAAAAAGAAGTGGAAATAACCCAAACTTGAAAACGATGGTTAAGAAATAATCTTAGGGAAGTAGAACTGGAAGAATTATAACGATTTAACAGGAAGCTCAATTTATCTTAACTATTCTGGAAAGAGATTTTGTGAACAGAAGGCAGATGGTGTGCTATGGAAACATAGAGAAAGGAGATCTGTTATCCAAGGACCTTAGCTAAAGAAGGCAAAGTTGAACATTATGGTTATCTCTAAAATACTTATTGAGAGAAGATGGTTTCAGAAAAACCTTTAATATCATCTAACAATTTTTATTTTGTAATTTTTAATATCATCTAACGCTCTTTTTTCTGATTTTGTGTTCACCAGATAAATTCTGATTTTTGTTCACCAGTTAAATTGTCTATTTTTTAAATAGGAAGAAATTACATCATCTGTTCTTTTGAGAATCATGGCCTGGTTGTTAGATTTATCCCTGGAACGTATTTAAATGAAATTCTTCTTTTAAGACATATTTGCTTTGATTTTAAAATGTAAACAAAGTTTTAATTGTAGAATAGTCTTAGATTAACAGAAAAGTTGCCAAGATAGTACAAAGTTCCCAAATATTCCTTACCCAATTTCTCCTACTGCTAACGTCTTACACTACTAGAATACATTTGTCACAACTAAGGAATCAACTTTGGGCATTACTATTAGCTAGACTACATACTTTATTCATGCTTTGACTTATTAAAATAAACTAAGATTCCACGTGTAGAAATATGATGGAAACAAACATAACTTCAGAAAATTAATATTTTTAATCATGAAAAGGTCTTAAAAGGGAGAGAGGTAAAGAGGCCAAGAATAAAGCAGAAACACAAGTGAAGAAAGAAACAACAATCGCTCTGAGATTCTATTATTCAAATAACTGACAGGCAAAATTTTAAAAGTTGTATAGTACAGATTTTGGGGGAAATAGCTATTCTCTGTTCATTGCTTATGGGAGTACAATTGCTAGCTCTTCAATGTAGAATAATTTGGCAATAGGTATCAAAATTACAAAGGCATACAATTTTCACCCATCACCTCATCCAAGAATACCCCCTACAGGTATGCTTGGATATGTGAAAAATGATGTATGTACAAGAGTATTTATTATCTTGTGATTATATTAATAAATGAATGCAAACAACCCATATGCCCATGAATAAATTATGGCATATCCTAAAAAAAATCAGTTATAGAAAGAATGAAAAAGTTCTCTGCGATAATTGGAACTATTGACCAGCAAATATTTATTCCCTATACTCTTCCTTCTTCGGCAGAATATATTTTTCCACTCACTGATGTCAGGCTTAATCATAACAGTTGCTTTGACCATTGAGATACAAGGAAATATACATAGAAGGACAAAAAAGCTCTCCTACAATTATAGGAACTTTGTTATGACAGAAATGGCATTTCAGATTGTATCAGTTTTCTAGGGCTGCAGTAACCAAGTACCACTAACCAGGTGGCTTAAACAAAGACATTTACTGTCTCAGTTCTGGAAGCTAGAATTTTGTGAACAAGGTTGGTTACTTCTGAAGGCTGTGAGACAGAATCTGTTCCATGCCTTTTACCTAGGTTCTGGTGGTAACATATAGCATTTCTTGGCTTGTAGAGGTATTGTTTTTACTACTGCTTGGTGTTTTCGCAGTATGTCTATCTGTATCCAACTTTCCTTTAGTATAATGACACAGTCATATTCCATTAAGGTTACCCCCTATGCCAGCATGACCTCATCTTAACTAAGTTCATCTGTAATGATTCTATTTCCAAATAAGGTTACATTCAGAGGTGCTGGGGGTTAGGTCTGTAACATATGAATTGAAGGGGAGACACAGTTGAACCTCTAACCCCGATCTATGGAAAAATGTGATTATTTTTAATAAATAATACTAGGACAGTGGTAAACCATAGAGGGAAAGAGACAAAATTGATTATATCATATAGCAAAAGTGATTCTGGATAGACTGAATATTTAAATATGAAAGACAAATTTTAAAAGTTTCATTAGATAATGTCAAGAAATTTTGTCTACGAACTCACAAGAGAAAAATATTTTTAAAATAAGGCATGAACTACATTAATACATATATGCTCACTAAATTTTACTGCATCAAAATTCAGAAGTAATGTTCACCAAAAGACACAGTAAGGAAATAAAATATCCCTAAATCTAAGTAGAAGATAAAAAGAAGCTTTCTAAAAGTCAATAAGAAAAAGATAAATGGCCAAATATAAAAATTGGCAGAAGACATGAATGGGTAATTAATAGGAGATAAAACATAAATGATCAATAACTATATTAAAAGTTCCCAACATACTTTGCAACCAGTAAATGAAAATTACAACCAATGAAGATAACATTTTATACCAGCAAATTTTCAAAAACTAACAAATGTGACAAATCCATGTGTTACTAAAGATGTAAAGATTAGAATCAACAAAAACATTTATACACTATGTGAATATGCGTATATTCTATATCCAGCAACACCTTCTCTCTAGTATATACCTGAGAAAATGTCTTAACTGAGGAACCAGAATACATTCAAGAATTTTCATAGATTTCCCATAATAACAAACAACAAAAATATAGGAATAACTGAAATAATCATCGAAGAAGAATGCTTACACAGAGTCATGTATGGCTTAACGACAGGAATATGGTCTGAGAAATGCATTGTTAGGCAATTTTGTCCCTGTGTGAACATCGTAAGAGTATATATATGCAAACCTAGATACTATAGCCTAGTACACACCTATGCTCTATGGCACAGCCTTTTGCTCCTAGGCTACAAACCTATTCAGCGTGTTATTTTACTGAATACTGTAGGCAATGGTAACAGAATGGTATAAGTATTTACATATCTAAACATAGAAAAGATAACAGTAAAAATATGTTATATACATTTCTTTAAAAGGCAAATAATGGATTTAATTTTTGTTATTTCTCTAGTCAACATTTCTCATAAATCATTACTCATAATTTTCTGTCACAAAAATCTCAAAATCTTTTTATTCCTTAAAAATGTATATAAATCTATTACAAAATAACTCAATATTGTGACATGGAAAAAGTTGCCCAAATCCCCATAATGAAAGGGATAATCTGTCTCTGTAAATCGAGCAGTAATTTAAATAAAATAAACAAAATAATTTTAATAAAGACTTTTTTTTTTTTTGAGACAGAGTGTTGCGCTGTCACCAGGCTGGAGTGCAGTGGCATGATCTCAGCTCACTGCAACCTCCGCCTCCTGGGTTGAAACGATTCTTCTGCCTCAGTCTCCCGAGTAGCTAGGACTACAGGCACATGCCACCACGCCCAGCTAATTTTTGTATTTTTAGTAGAGATGGGGTTTCATTATGTTGGCCAGGGTGGTCTCGATCTCTTGACCTGGTGATCTGCCCACCTCGGCCACTCAAAGTGATGGGATTACAGGAGTGAGCCACCGCACCCGGCATTTTTTTTTTTTTTTTTGAGACAGAGTCTAACTCTGTTGCCCAGGCTAGTGTGCAGATGTCAACCACATCTACAAAATATCTTCACAGCAATACCTAGATTAGTGTTTGTTTAATATTGAGTACTTTAGCCTAGCTAAATTGACACATGAAACTAACCATCACAGCAGGGCATACAACCCATGTCCACATCCTATCGGCCAGAATTCAGTTACAAGTTGAAAGAAAAGAAAAGAAAGAACAATAGAGGAAGGGAGGAAGAAAGGAAGGGAAGAATAGAAGAAAGAAAAGAAGGGAGGGAAGAAATAGAAATAATGCAAATACTTATTTCCATTATTCTTGCTTTTCTGCATCTATGGTTGTTATGAAAATTAAAACTCGTCAATATTTAACAGTGTTTTGCAAAAAAAGTCAAAGAATAATGTAATTGACAGACTAGCTTATTAATAAAAAGCTACTAACACTATCCTGATGTAATCACAATCAGCAGAAGAAATAAATATCTAGAGATACTCCATCCCAGAGTTACAAAGCAAATAATTGAACAGATTAAACCACATTCTGATCTTGAATATAGATTTTTCACATAAGACGGGGAAGTGTTGAATAACAATGTGTGCTTCCATGATCTTGCTAAGTTACTCTAGCACTGAATGGTTCAAACATTCAAAGAGAAGTCAGCACCAAACTCTTATTCTTACCTTTTTCTCAGAGTCATACACATTGTTTTCACAAACTCCTTAAGTGAACTACACAAAGATAAATCACTTGTCAAGCAACTGACATATTAAAACATGAAAACCAAGATAAGATTTTTTTATATAAAACCCAAATCAGGCTTTTCCTATTTAGGAAGAGAATTGTTTGAATTCTTGCAGCAGCTTAGTGAATTGCAGAGGTTCTGATACATATTATAATCACTTAGAGAGCTTTAAACAATATAAATTATATCTGATAACTATATATTATATGTATCAAAATATCACTATGTACCCCATAAATATACACAATTATTATTTCTCAATTAAAAAATTTTAAAAAATATATATTGATTCTAAATTAATCACCCTAGGATTGGGGTGGTGCTTGGCACTGATATTTTTAAAGAGCTTCCGGTTATTCTAATGGGTATCCATAGTAGAAAAGTTCCGAGTACTGGAAAAAGTAATGAACCTCCAGTGACACAATGCATACTGAACATACATGTTTGCCTCCATTTATGTCTCTGCTCCTCTGAGTCCCAACAACTGAATATATGAGCCTGCCCTGCTCCTGCATGGGCTTCACTCTCTAACATGGATAACTCCTAATCTTTTATCCTTAATTTGTCCTTGATAAAAGCCTTTATTTGATTTGTTTCACTATTCAGAGTTCTCATGAATGAGATGAATGACTAGCGCGGAGATTCTCGGAGACTGAATGTTTGTCTCTTGTTTATTCTTATCATTTGAAAACGGGCAGTTTCTAGTCAGTCAGTGACTCTCTGGGTCATTGTCCAGTTTGAATCATGTATTCATGTCATGAGACCAAAGCCACCAAATATTTGAAGCTATGACAGAATTTTGCCAAAGGCAATGTAGAACTTCAGTGACCACACTGGAGAATTTGAAATATGAATATGATAATCCACTATGCGGTGCCTTGGAATCAAAGGGCTCAAAGACTTCAAATATCCAATTGTCAGAATTTTTAAGATCCATATGAAGAAGCTTCTAAAAGACCGAAAAAGTTTAAATTTCTCCTTTTAAGGAGCCTTTAAAAAAGGCTAATAAAACTTTGAGCATCTGCAATCCAAGCTTTACCTCTCATCTCTTTCTCTTGACCCAACTCAGGGTTTTCCTCCCTCCTACAGGTCCACCTGTATATTTGTTTCCTCCCCCCACTTGGTCTGTTCCTCTTTCTGCACCTTCCCTGGACCTTTTCCTCTCTCCCCTATTCTTTTTAAACATAACCATCTCACTGGTCCATAATGCCTCACAATGTCTTCCAAGATAAGTGGGAAAGAATATCATCCCAGCTCCACTGGAAATGTAGCTTCAAATATTGGTCTAGGTCAGAACTATAAGATCTACTCTTGTCTCACACTGAAAAATAAGAATTCAGTAAAGAACTGGGAATTGTCCTTGGGTCGTATAGTCTAGGACTCTCTCGCCCTCCCCAGTTAACGTATCTCCCTTTGAGACCCAGAGCTACCAAAATCTCTTTTGAAAAAAAAAGCAGAGTAACTTGATTACAAAATTTTATCAAATATGTGTCAAAGTTTGAACAGAAATGAATAACAAAATGGATATAAAATAGTATAATATCTCTTAGCAACTACCCCTGATATCTTTTCAATCCAAACTAATTGGCAAAATCTTTAGTCTTATAAAAAGGAAAAAATAAAATTAATCCCTGATCTTAGAGACCATGGCATTACCACCTTTAGAGACTATACCAACCTCAATCAGAGAACATTATATCTGTCCTAGGCATCTTTTTGTTAACACTCTTAAAACTGAGGTGGCAGATTTAGTTAGGAAGCAGAAGATAAAATAGTCTCCTATCTGCCTCCTATAAACAGATGATACGATGATCTGTCTGAATTACAAGAGCTGGCAAACAACTCTGAAGATACCTTGACTTGAGAAACAGAAAAATTAAAGACCAAATAATACTTAATCGGATTAAGCAAAAAGGACACCTCCATGCCGAATCTAGACAAAGACATCTGTTCAAATTATAAGAAAATGGGACACTGAAAGAACATTAGCCCTGCCTTAATTCAAAAGATAGAATACCAAAAAAGAAAGGACAAATTTGTGTAACAAAATAACATCCTCCAAGGACATAATATTTTCATTTTGCCCAAAATTGCCCTTACCACCAAAAAAATAAATAAATGTCCATGTGACTGGCAAAAACACTATCTTCCATTTGCTGTTAACCCTATGACCTTTTTATTATGCCTTCCTTAGAGTCACAAAAAGTTTTCCAAGGTAAGAATCTTAAATACCCTTCAAACTTTGCCTTTTTCTCAACTACTTCCTATCACTCTGGGACACTGCACTAGTCACTAAGCTTCTCTACCTAGAAATTTCACTCTGGTGAATCTGCTGGTACAAAACCTATTTTTAAAATGAGGTGCCTCCATTAAGGTTGAATCAGACAGCCACTTTCTAAATAAAATCCCCAGTCTGTGGTTTGATGATAGCACAGATATTATTACCTGATACCTACTCTATTGATACCTTAAGCTCTGAATCTGTTCGCAAGCTTCTGGGCTAAAAACAGTTCAGATGTAGGGCACATAAACGATGCTAAACCTATAATAGCCTCAATTGATCTGGCTGAGTCCATGGTAAAATTAGCCCAATACTCACTAAGGGAGAAATGCCATCTATTCTATCTGGTACCTTCTGAGACAACTCATTAGTCTCTGTATTAGCCCTAGTATTAACTCTGTTCTGTTCATTGAAAAGACAAATAGGTGCAACTTCTGTTGTGTGCAAGTTTTAAAGGCCATTAAAAGCTGTGCTTCTTGCTTCCTGTGTTCCCTAACCCCAATATCATTTTCTCCTCGACCACTGACATAGCTATTTACTCTCTAGTGTTAGCTCAATTCTCAGCACTCTTTAGTGTACACTTATACCCAGACTTACTGTATCTATTTGCAATTCGCTTGGGAAAATCAATGATATACTTGAATAGTTATACCCCAGGATTTACAGAAGTACTCTCTTACTCCTTGCAAATAATTATAAACTTAGAGACATTCACGTCTCAGTAATCCACTCTTATAGAGTATGTTGATGATCTTCTATTTTACTCTCTGAGAACCTTACAGAACTAATTCTCTTCACTTGAAAAGAGCATTACCAGAAAGGAAACACAAAGCATCTTAATATAAACTCCAATTTGACAGACCTTTGCTCTTTTACAGATTCATATGGCTTAATATCACAAAGATTTAATGTATATACTCAAGATTACCACCAATAAGTCAAAATGAGTTCTCACAAATATAAACCACAGGAACCCCTGAATGACCTACAGCCTGGAAACCTGGTTTCAGGGAAATGACATCACTGTAAGACTGCTCTTATACAATTCAGTCCCCAGCACTCCCCGATTACCAACATCCTGCAACAGAGTGATACATTTGCTAACAATCAATGAACCTACATTGACACATCATTATCAAATATGTTTTCAAACAATATAATTAAAAAATGTTGACTTTTATCTAAAAATAAAAGTTTAATGGACAGGACCTTATCAGGCACTATTAACCACAAACACTGCAGTAAAATTCCAATCAACCCTTGAATTCATATTTCCTAGATAAAGATGAAAAAACGTGTATTCTTCAATTGTCGATATGTATATAATATATATTATATATATAAAACTTTGTATATATTCAAAATTTGTCCATATAGTAAGGCCACAAAACAAATCTTAATAAATTTCAAAGGACTGAAGTCAAACACAGTGTGTCCTCTAGCTTCAATGCAACTCAAATCAAAGCAAACAGAAAACTAGAAAAACTAAATATATTTAACACTAAGAAACCATTAAATGGCTAATGGCTCAAAGAAACCATAATTGAAAATAAAACATATTTTGAATAACAACAAAATTCTGCAATACTGAAAATTTTCAGATACAGTTAAAACTCTACTTAGAAGGAAATTTATAGACACAATTGCATGCATGAACCGAAAAATAAGAAAAATTAAAAATCAGTGATTTTAGTATCTATATCAAGAATTTAGAAAAAAACAGTACCCTAAACACTTCAGAAAAGAAGAAAATAAATAATAAAATAAACATATAATAAAAGAATAAATAAAGCCAAAACTCAGTTTTTTGAAAGTCCTAAAATGGAAAATTAGTAATCACCAATGGAAAGAGAAGACATAGATAACCAGTATAAGGAATTCAGAAAGATGAGCTAACTACAGATGCTGCTACTGTTAAAAGAGATAAAAGTATATTATAAATAACTTAAGCGATGTATTTAAAATCTTAGATAAAACCGTCATTTCTACAAAGATATAAGTTACTAAACTGTTTAAAGAAGAAAGAAAAGAAAAAACTACAGTCTTTCTATTACTCCATAGGCAACCTTCCCCCAAACTTTCCTGTCAAACATTTAAGAACAAGTAATTTCTAACTTACAAAAGCTCCTCCAGAGATTTTAAAATGACAGAACGCTGCTCTTTTTACTGTGTGAAGCTAGCATAATCTTTATAATGAATCTATAAAGGACAAAACTGAAAAAGAAACGTTCAGTTCTTTCTAATTCAAATATATATATATATATATATATATATATATATATACACACACACACAAAAGTTCTAAACAAAATTTTTCAAAACGAACATAAAAAATTTTACCATGGATAGTATAGCAGAACCAACTTATCACTGAAATGCAAGATTGATTTAACATTAGAAAATAAACTAATGCTATCTCCACATCAGACAATTAAAGGAGAAAGGTTATGCCATCATGTTAATAGATGCAGGAAAAAAATAATAGATAAAATTCAACATTTTTAATTATATTGTTTGAAAACGTATTTGATAATGATGTGTCAATGTAGGTTCACTGATTGTTAGCAAATATATCACTCTGTTGCAAGATGTTGATAATTGGGGAGTGCTGTGGACTGAATTGTGTCCCCCCAAAATCATATATTGAAGCCCTAACCCTCAATGTGATGGCATTAGAGATAGGGCCTTTGGGAGGTGATTGGGTTTAGATGAGGGCATGGGGGTGAGGTCCTCATGATGGAATTAGTGCCTTTATAAGACGAGACCAGAGAGCTCATGCTCTCGCTCTCTCTCTCTCGTGTGTGTGTGTGTGTGTGTGTGTGTATCTCCACCATATGAGGATACAGTGAGAAGGTGCCCATCTGCAAGCCAGGAAGAGGGCCCTTACCAGGAACTGAATCTGCTAGCACCTTGATCTTGGACTTCTCAGTCTCCAGAACTTTGAGAAATAAATGTATTTTGTTCAAGCTACCCAGTCTATGGGTAAATCTGAAGTATCATCTAACTAGTGTGGGATCCAAAGTAAAAAATACAATGTTTTTAAGAGTTGAGCTTCATGACACCTGTCATCTGCTATTTGGACAGTATTTACTATCTTCATTTGGTTCAAGGAAGTCAGCCTCCCATCCTTGGAAATAAATTCATAAAATATATGAAAGGAAGAGACAGCTCATGGGATCTAAAGCACAATGTTGTCAGAGGTAGTGATTCCCAGGAGTTTTAGCCTCAGGTTCTGGAGCCAGGTGAATGAGTCTGTATCCCAGCTCTGCAAAAAGAGACAGAAGGAAAAGGAGGGAAGAAACCTTTGATAGCTCTAGTATCCTATTACATATAGAACAATTATTCTATTATATATGTAAAATGTTGAGATAAATTGATCTTAAAATTCCATAATTTTAAAAATTTTCTATCTCACCACTAATGGGACAAAATATTGCTTTGCTGAGATAATGGACTTACTTTTATTGTCAACTTTCTATTCCATGTACTCTGATAACAAACATTATTTTTATAATCCATGTCAAACTACCTTCTTCAAGAAGTTCAGGTTGGATATAAACACAAACATGAAGCTGTGACTTGAGTCACACTAAAAAGCTCAGGCCCAGGCAGAACAACTGAATAATCAGTGTCAGGACTAGGTCTTGGATGGCATTGGGATATATCAAGGAAGACAAGGAAAAGTTTAGCACAGAGGTATACGAAAGTAAAAAGCTATATCATGTAATTAAATAATTGAGTAAATACCTGGATAAGTACTTTGAGATGACCATATTAAGGTAAGTCTAATGCCAGGAGTTGCACATAGTTGGATAAAAGGGCCATTAGTCAGAATTTTATGCTGAATCCAAAATCAGAATGTCTCCTCAAGTAACAACAGAACAGTCAGCTAGCAGAGATCCAAGTATAGAGAAAATGTGAAGATTCAGACAGGCAGAGTAAGTGTTGTGGAAGACTGTTATCTTATCACTGAAGAAATTATGTTAGAGCAAAGGTTAATCAGACACCCTCTGTAATATATCCCTTCCATATTCAGGGCTAAAATTTCATGGCCTGTGGTATTTCCCATGCTAAATGACATTCAACTGCTTTGTCCAATAGGGCCTAGCAGGGGTTTTGCAGTAAGATCAAATGGCAATATCAAGATTCCAACAACAAAATACTACCATTCTAGAAATGTCTCAAATTTGAATATAAAAATCCCATCTATTGTAAAATTGTCTATGATAAATTGAATATAATTTTTTTGGCAAATTAAGGATGAAATTTAAAATCCCAAAGTCCAGACTCGAAATATCTCACCTTTGTGGATTAATTAACATTCAATAATTATCTCCCATCCCAACCTTCTAATTCTCCTCAATCTCAGCTGTTATAGTTAGGGTTCTTTTATCAAATGAGGCTCTTTCACTGGAATCAGTGTGTAGTCCTTTAGGAATTATGTTGTTGAATTATTCAATAAGTTTCTCTTGAGCCTTGCTTTAAAGAATTCAAAGTGTAGTAAAACAAGATTTCTGCAGTTCTGTTCTGATACTCCCCAAATTTAGAAAATAAGCCAATTTCCAGGCCATAGAAGTATTATTAGAAGTAGTTAGGAATGCAGTTGGAGTCAGTTTACCTCAGTTTTTTTTTTAAATCCAAGAGCTGTGAACATAAACACAAATGGAAGAGCTAAATTTTTATAAATTTAGACTGTGCTAATTTTGTTTACGTTATCTTAGAAGGGGTAGAAATCCATCAATACAAACTATTCTCTAAACAAGTGACATTGGAAACATGAATGTATTTTCTCAACCTATAGAAAATTTAGAATGCTGATAGACGATACTAATTCTAATTTGAAACGTCTTTCTTTTTCAACCAGCATATTTCCCCCCAGTACTGAATTAAATGAGGACTCCAGCTGAAACTACTGTGTTCACTTTCTCATGAGCAGGCATTTTCAGTCCTATATCACATTGGCTATTTCCCTTGCCTCTTGTAAATTTCTTCAAGACTATCTCACCTGCTTCCTAGGGAGCATGTTTTCTCATGCAGCCATCCCTGTAATGTGCTGTGACACACTGATGTGCTGTGGATGGCTTACTCATGTACTGAGTCTTGTCCTCCAGGCAAGTCATAGCCTTGGTACATTTACTCCACTGAGCAGCAAGATACGTTATCATGTTCAATATGTGCAATGACATGAAAGAGGTTAGGAAACACTGAAACCGCTCCAGAACCAAACTGAGAATACCTAATGAGGTATCTCCTGAGTCTGCAGATAGGCAATATGAATACAAGATTACTCCCTTTCTTAATCTTCAATGCCATATACAAGGAAATGCAGTTTGGAACAGTCAATCTCACTGTACCTGGTCAGGTCTGTCAACTCATGTCTAGCAGAACTACACCGAATCTCAGTGGCCCTCACAGGACTCAGCTGAAAAACAGTAAATACTCTTCTGCATTTTACATGCAGAATATATTTTCCCTATAACCAGTCCTTGCCCCTGTTGCTTCAGATTTATAGGATTGTTTGTAGAGTGACCATATAATTGATCAAACACTTTTGGTCATAAAATGAAACACTTAAACATTATCTAAGTTTTCCCTGAGGAAAGTGGCATATATAGCCACCCTAGCCATTCAGAAGCAAGCCAAAAACTAGGCAATAGGTTAATTTGGTGAAGTGAGACCCTGAGAATGTATCCTGACCAGGAACTAGGATTGCTTTCCTGAGGATGAGTCAGGGCGCCACCAACAAGGGGAAGTTCAATGGCCCAACGAGGGAAGATCATCACTTAGAAGCAAATAGTCACCAATGGTTCTCCATCTTTATCTTCTACTTCTCAACAATTTTTTCACGTTTGATTTTTTTCTCTGTTGAAACTCTCTCTGTATGACTAGGTAAACGCTCTTATCAGATTTTTCTGCTCCTTCACTGCTTGCACTTCCTCAGTTGTCTTTGTTAGCTCCTCCTCCCCTGTCAGACTTTTAAATGTTGGATTGCCTTAAAGGACTCCCCTCAACCTTTTTCTTAGTGCCATCTCCCCTTAGGTGACTTTTCTTCCCACCAATGGCTTAAAACAATATCTATGCCAATGGTCCTCCTAGTCATATGTCCAGACTAGTCAATTTACCTTTGCTGCAGATTAATAAACTACTTAACTTGTCATCACCACTGCATCTTAATAAAACCCAAGTAGGACACACTTTCTACCCTGTAAAGTGTACTTATCCTCAAAGTGTACTTATTCACCAAAACTCACTGAATGGCTCACTACTCATATGGTTTCTCAAACCTAACAACTTGGATTGATACTTGAGTATTCTTTTCTTTCCCCTCACACTCAATAACCAATTTACCAATTACTTTCTGTCTCTATCTCAAATATACATCACCTATTGGGTCATTTCTCACCTTTTCCATTGCTAGAACCCTAGTCCAAACCACCATCACCTCTCACCTGGAACACTACATTAACTTCCCAACAGATATCCCTGTCTCTCGCTGTCTCCAATGATCCATCCTCTACAGTGTTTTTCTGAATTTGTATCACAATTTTCTTCTTTTCTCAACACCACTGGCATACCATCACAACCAGAATAAACTTCTACCATGGCTCCTAAGATCGTGTGTATTCTGGCCCTTACCTACCTCTCTGATCTAAGCTCTCTCCATGTTCACTACACTCTAGCCATACTGGCCTTACTTCTGTCCCTTTAATAGCCAAATGTTGTTCGCATCCCCAGGGCCTTTGATCTTGCTGTTCTTTCTGTTAGGGATGCTATTCTCCAGGATTTTTGCACATCACTCAAGTTCCAACCAAATTTTCTCAGAGATACCTTTCTTCACTGTGCTAAAGTGCCCCCCTTCCATTGTATGTCCTATTTTACATATATATTTACATATGTGTGTATGTGTTTGTGTGTGTGCATAAAAAACACTTTTCAACTCCTGAAAATGTGGGCCAATGTAACCTCCTGGATGCAGGAATTCTGAATTATTCACTGCTTAAAACAGTACCTGGCACCTAGTAAGTACCATTAAATATTTCTGAACTGACAGGTATGGGATATCTGTCATTCTGAAAAGCATAACTAAAATTCATGGAAACACTACCTACATCTCAAAACTGTATGCTCAGATTTTTATTTTCACAATTTCAACTCTGAACTTTTTGTTCATTCCTCAGTTCGTTTTTCATCTTCTTCTACAAGACTGATACAGCTTTCTTTATTTCAACTCTTAAAATAGCTACCATCATAGACTAATAATATCTGCAAGTTGGAAAATTTAAAATATGCTTGTTTTTATGTACCATCACACTTAAAAATATTTATGCAATTTCTGGTCCATCTTTGTTCTTTATTTCTTTGCTGGCCAGTGGAACACAGATATAGGTCTTGCAGACCTCCTTCTCTAAATATAGTTTCTTGGTCTTGTTGCCACCACCACATACCTCTCTTGCACCCATACCTCTCATAAATTCCAACATCTGAGAGTTATGGAAAATAGGAAAAAGGGTAAAATAATTTCTTTCTTAATGTGCAGCTATACTTGTTCATTCCCTGCCTATGTTCATTCCCTGGCAAAGAATGCACAGATCTCAGGGATGCCAATGCTATATACACTTGCCTCCAAGCTCTCAGTAACTAGGCTTTTTTTACTCACAGCTTCACAAATATATGCAGGCACCTTGGAAATTTAATACCATATTACCATTTTAAAATTATATTTCTTAAAGGTCTGTTTCCCATTTTTAGGGGGTGGAAAGAGGCTGACTTTTTTGTTGACAAAAATACTATATAAAAACAAATTTGCTTCCTAAGCCTTTTCCACTGGTTAAGTAGAATCTAGTTATATAAAAAAATCTACAAAGACACTTTTCTGTATTTCTTATTCTTTTGTCACATTTCACTTTTCTTTTGTAACTGTATAAATCAGAGTGCTTCCTGGGAGACATATTAAGGAAATTAAATTCAGATTTAAATTATATTTTATGAAAACCACTCCTTCCAAGTAAATGACAGTAGACCAGGGGTTATTCAAGATCAGAGTTTAAGCAGACTATAGCTTCTGATTTTGGCAGCCTACAATTGCAAGTAGGTTGCAGAAAATGTAAAATTAGGGTTTTGAAGATACATTAGCACTCACATGTTCATTGCAGCAGTATTTACAATGGCCAAGACATAAAAACAACCTAAATGACCATCCACAGATGAATGGATAAGGAAAAGATGTTATATACATACAATAGAATAATATTCAGCCTTAAAGAAGAAAATTCCTCGGCATGAGACAACATGGAGCTAGGTGCGGTGGTGTGCTTCTGTAGTAGTCCCTGTGCCTGTAGTCCAAATACCTCTAGAAAGCTGAGGAGGTAGGAGGACTTGAGGCCAGGAATTTGAGGTTTTAGTGCACTGTGATAATGCCTGGGACATGGATGAACCTTGAAGATATTATGCTAAGTGAAAAAAGCAAGTCACAGAAAAACAAATAATGCATGATTCTACTTAGTATCAGGTATCTAAAATAGTCAAATTCATAGAAGCAAAGAGTAGAATGCTGATTAACAGGGGCTAGGGAGAGAAAGAAATGAGGAGCTGCTAATCAATGTGTGTAAAATTTACTACATGAGATGAATCAGTTCTAGAGATCTGCTGTCCTACATGGTGCCTAGGGCTACCAATACTGTATTGTACTACAAAAAAATCTGTTAGAAGGGTAGATCTCAAGTTCTGTTCTTACCACAATAAAAAAAAATTAAGGTTTAGCCTATGTATCAGCACTGTGAAAGGGCTTTTATTTTATTCTTTTCCTTTCATTTAAGGGCACTGTCTAATTTGGCAAGAGCACAGACAATTTACATTTTTCCAGTTATGTAAGGAGTTATGTGTGGAAAGTTGGCTTAAATAAGTATGTTTCATTTCAGTGTTATTTCAGCTTCTCTTGATGGTGCCTGAACTGCTTGGCTGTTCTGTCTCTAAATCTAGCTCAGGTTTTACTACCTTGTTGAGCCTTCGCTTTGTTCACCACAAATTGTACCACTTGTGCCGGCACGCTTGGGCTGCCTAAACACAGCCAACTGACCTCAGAGCTGGTTTTTCTACTGTGCTAAGCCCACTCACAGGACATATTTCATACCTATTTGATATACCAAGTGTAGTGTTGAGAGCAGCTAGACCAATACTCAGGAACTTCACCAGAGAGAAGAGGTTGGAGAATGCTAGTAAGAAGAGATCACAGCCTCAAAGGAAAGAAAAACCAGAAAGACATGAGACTAGAAAAACAGGAGGCCAGAGAGACACAGATAAGTAAAGATAGAGATTGAGGGAGGATGTCAATTAGCAGTACAGTGAATCAGGCACTATTTTTAACATAGTATTATTCCTAGATATAAAGTGACCCAGATAACAGAAAAACAGAATTAATTGTAAAATGATTTAGTTGTTTAAAAGTAATGCTAATCGAGTTATATTCTTAAAGCACATACTATTTATATCTAATTACTTTGCATGAAAGTACTGCATATTGTTAAAAGCTGAAGAAACCTAAGTGAGTTTCAGTTGGTTAAAACAACAAATGCAGCCTGTCTGTGCTCAGTCCTCATGGCCTCAGCATTTGCTTCTCTAAATTGGCTCATCGAGTATGACTGCACCTTAGAGAAAATCTGATTTCACTGCAAACCACAAGAAGAGTATCAATTCAGAGATGAAGAATTTCTTTAGAATAATCCAGCCGATAAAAACAGAATATAAAAAGTTTTAAGTACAAAGAAGGAATTGTTGGATAGGGAAAAATAATAATAATAATTGGTTTCAGCTTTAGTTCAAGTTTGCAAACAGTAAAACTTATTAGTCATTTTAGGTATTTGATTTCTACAAATGACAAATCCTTTTATTTCTATTTGCTTCCACCTAGATGCATATATTAAAGAAAAGGATTATGATAATCCATTTTAATACCATCATACAATAATAGAAATCTTTTTACCCCAGCAACCAAAATTTTCCAACTGGAAAAAAAAAACAGTAGGAAAAATTAGAAGCACATATAGCTAGGAGTAGGAGGATGGCAAGTAACAAGAAAGCAAAAACCCTTTGCAAATACTTCTCACCTATATATTTTATTATCTCAGCCAAAAGGAAGCCTATCTTTTCCATTCCCTTTTTTGCAAAGCTATCCTTATTTCTTTCTAGTTATTCCCACCTTCTAATGGCCACTGTTTCATTTGTTGAGAAAACAAAATTATATGCTTAGATAACACACGCAAGGTTTTCCATTAGTAGAGTCCCATTAGGCCCAGACTGTAAGAAAATAAATGCAGTATATTAAACTTCAAGCTGAAGTAATGCCTTTAAGATTGCTGTGCCTTAATTATTCTTTTAGTCTAGTCCTAGTAGGCTTTGCGTGAAAGTGTATTTATATGTGTATATATGTATTTATATCAAATTTTATTCTTCAGTAGGTCGCAAAAATGTAAAATTAATGTATTATTGAAAAATTGTATTGCAAGAAAACACCTATTGTATGTGACTGAAAATAATGACACATTGAGAAAAATGTGCTTTTAATGTAGCAAATTTAAGGATTATGACATTACTAATGCATTGGGTGTTTTACTAAGCTAGCCTAACCAGTAAAACTTAAATAATGTTGACCACGGAACCCATCCTAAACCATTCTTCTGAATAAAGGTGTGTTTATAAAATTAGAATAGGTATTTCCTTTCTCTGTGACTCTAGTGGCATTAAGAACATCTAAAATTTAGAATTAAAAGGAGTGGACACTGTTTTTCTACCTACTCTAGAGAAAAAAGTAAGCACCAGAAGTCTGGGTAGAATTCAGTGAAGCATCCTGAACGTCATGGCCAGAACCTGAGTGAAAACGTAAACACACACATCAGCACCCCTCATCCACAAGCAGAGCTCTTCAGTGCTTGCTTGGTGGCCTTCCAGCATTCTTCCATTCCTGATTTTATCAAGAATGCATCCATCTCCAGCATAGTCCAGGTGTGGTGCCCCAGGTGAAGCTGACTAACTTCAGTTTCAGGGACTGCCTTTAATTTTTTTTAAAAGCAATTCCATTGAACTCAGTTTCCAGAGACTGGTCCAGGATGGTTATATGTGGTAGGCCATGGCTGGGCCTGCTGCACTAAAAATTGGGCCTGAAAAATGCAGTAAGAAATACAGCCTGGAAGAATATACCTAAATTTCCTTAGGTGGTAATAGGTGGAAACTAATAGTACATACTCCATTCTGAACCAAAATAGTAAAAAAGGCAGAAAATCCAAGTGGCTTGGCAGATGTCCCACTTTGCACAAGCTTCAGAGACCACCAAATTTGGGTGTGCAGACTTCAAGAGTAGCAAAAGGAGACACTAGGGCTTTATGCTCTTAAAGAATACTTTATGTATGCCTTCTCCATTGCCTCTTTGAGAGTACAAGAGTAAACAAAACTAAAAGTAAAATAAGCCAAGTCCTATGTATTGTCACCATTGCTCAAACATGAAATAGATGATTTGTTCTGGCCAGCTCTTGGAAGAGTCGATAGGACTGGTAAGTACAGAACAAGGAAGGACTGATGTTAGAGTGAGACCACCAAGCTACCTAGATAGCCTGCTACCACTAGGATCAGGGTCACATGATCCATGGAATTTTAGGGAAAACTTATTGGAAAACACATGTAATTTAAGGAGTGGAATGTTAAGACAAAAGGTTTGCCAGCTCTGCCAAATTCCTGTCTTATAGGACCACACATCAGCTGACAGCTTCTAAGATGTGGGCATCTCTGTGGAGATTCTGGGACATTTGGGTGTAGAACACCCAAGTTATGAAGGGTTGAGACAAGGGTTTCTATGCAGAGCTGACTTTGTATATTGCCTGAGTCTTTCCTCTAATTCTTTAGCTGTCATGGCATTCATAAAAATGCCCATGGTCCTGGAAGTCCAGAGGCCAGGCCTTCTGGCCATAGATTTACTAACCTTTTCACTTTCTGCCTTCTCTCCTTGGAGGACTCTAGGTGAAGGTTCCCAACAAGAGTGGCCACCTCCTTCCCAGGGTCATCCTTAGGCCACAGTGCCAAGTAACGTCCCACTCCACTTGGACCAAACTGTTAACTCAAAACTAATGTGGATTAGGTAATGTGATTGTTAAGCAACGCTATAATTAAAGATACTCCAAATTGGAGCTTAGGGAATCAGGATGGCTTGGTAAGCCCCACCTCATCCTTCTGCCACAAGTGATGGGCTCTTTCCCAATCTTACTGGCTATTCTACTGAATCATAAGTAAAGCTACAATTACAGGAGGGAGTCCCAGGCCCTCTCCTAGTAAAGAAGCAGCAGAAACATTTGACTAAGCGACAAAAGAAGGGAAGGAATTCAGCTACCAGCTCCAAAGTAGAGAGGGGTGGTGCTCTTTCACTCTCTTTACATAGAGAGAAGTTCCAGGTTTGTGGGGAGACCTCAATGATGTCTGTAATAATGATTGTCATCTTATTGATGTTTTGTGAGACACCTGGTACTGCTAACTTTGGGTAAACTCCACAAGGGACAACAGAGGAAGAGAGGCACAGCATCACAGAGTCACAGAAATGTCGGGTATGACCCAGATCCTGCCTGGGGTGTATATGCAGTAGTTTAGGGACTCTTGCATTTAATAGTAAGAACATGCAGTACTATGATGTGCCTGTGAGCCAGATGGCCCCTGTCCCACTACATATCTCATGAGGCCCAGACTCTCGGTGCCACACCACCCCACCTCTCCTGTTGCCCAGAAATTGTTCAACATTGATGCAATAGTAGTCAGTAGTTCCACTTCCAACTGCAGAGATATTATGAAAGAGTGTTAAGGCAATAAGATATATGGCAGGCTAGAAAGTATGCTTCACAAATCACCTAGGACCCCAAGAACGAAAGGACATTTTCAGAGCTAGTTAATGAGGCAACTGAGAACTTTGGACCCAAGGCACATGTTACTTAGTTCTGACTAGGTTTGGCACACAACAGTGTACTTCAGTGTATCAAACTGGTGAAGGATAATAAAGAAAATATTCTCCAATTTTTTTTGGAGGGGGGAATCTTATAAAGAAAGTATATTTCGTATTAATTTATATTGGAATAAATCGGAAAAGTAAGTTATCCTTCTCAGCAGAAATGCCCTTATAAGGTCTCCATAATTTAAACTTAATGCAACTGTTCTTAATAGAGGCCAGTAAAATGAAGAGCTACCAAAATGAAGGGTTCACAAAGACCAAACCCACTAAATTTAAATTCCACTTTTTAAATTCCAAGAGCCAAGCCCTCATTATCATTTGTACCAGTCTTTAAATCTAGATATCCCTTTTGGTCTGGCCATCTTCTACTTTAAACCAGTGAAACATGAGTATAGAGATTAGATTGATAACAGTTTTTTTATAATGTTCTCTGTTCATTAATTGGTTAGGTGTTTATTAAAATTATATATTTATTGATTATTTAACAATGTATAGACAACCATCTTACTTGTTTGGCATTTTAAAATATTTCTAAATCTACACATTTATTGTATCAGGGAGACACTCTCTTTTATCAAATTAGTCAAAAGATGGAACCTAGGCAATAGTTTATAATAAAGATGGAAAAGGGAGAAAAGTTACAATTGGATAAATCCAAGAAATTAAGTTGAAAAGTCTATGAAAATGTTATTACAAACATGAGGGAGTCTATCTTGTTTGCTAATATCATGTGTATCATATGTATCCTCTATGAAGTACATAAAAATGGATAATTTTACATTGATTTTTAATCTATCATATTCACAAGCACTCAAGAAGCTTAATATATCTTTGCATAAGCATGAATTATAACTGTACTTGGGTCCAATGAGAACCCAATTTTTTTAAAGCATCAGCAAACATTATATTATTTTATATTAGTTAATAATGATGAAACAAAAATGGGAATTAATTTTATGTCATCAAATCTATCTAAATGAATGCAAATCCCTTATGAAATGAAATGACCAAGGAAAATCTCAAACTCCAGTGTAAAATTCTTAAGGTTTCAAAACAAATGCTTTATTCTGTGAATAGAAACGTTACATTTTCTCTTACTCATTACTGTATTCAGTGAAGCAATTCTGATTTTTTTGTGCATTGTATTATTATCAATGTACATAGTGCTCTGAAATAAACTGATGACTTCTACAGGGAAACAGATGTCAATCTACCAATTGATATGAAGGCTTTCCATATTTAGTGTTTCCAAGGAAACCCTTCTCTCAGTATATACTCATTCAACACGTGAGCATTGAAGAGATTGTTTCTCTGTGTGTGTGTGAGAGGAAAATAAAATAGAAGTGTAAGTTAAAAACTCTAGAATCAAACATTAGTTTCATGACAATAAAGAGTATTGAGAGAATCAGCTAACCATACTGATTTAATTGAACACAACTCAGATGACGTTTGAAACAAGAGAAACTAGAAGAAATAAATATGCCCTAAGGAGCCACGTTAGTGAAATATTTCAAGAGGGAAAGCCATTGTAAACAATACTAGAATGTCAATACAAAGAAGGGTGAGACAAGAAAACAAAATAAAATAACAGCAACAAATAAAGAACTGAAACTAAAGAAAAACAGAGGCAATGAATTATGACTAAAGCAAATCTACATGAGTTTATCAATATTTATTGATAGCAATGCTATATGAAGAAAATTGGCCAATATGATCAATTCCAAAATCAATGACTCAAGCAGCTGTTTAAAGACTTAAATGTTAGACCTAAAACCATAAAAACCCTAGAAGAAAACCTAGGCAATACCATTCAGTACATAGGCATGGGCAAGGACTTCATGTCTAAAACACTAAAAGCTATGGCAACAAAAGCCAAAATTGACAAATGGGATCTAATTAAACTAAAGAGCTTCTGCACAGCAAAAGAAACTACCATCAGAGTGAACAGGAAACCTACAGAATGGGAGAAAATTTTTGCAATCTACTCATCTGACAAAGGGCTAATATCCAGAATCTACAATGAACTCAAACAAATTTACAAGAAAAAAACAAACAACCCCATCAAAAAGTGGGCAAAGGATATGAACAGACACTTCTCAAAAGAAGACATTTATGCAGTCAAAAGACACATGAAAAAATGCTCATCATCACTGGCCATCAGAGAAATGCAAATCAAAACCAAAATGAGATACCATCTCACACCAGTTAGAATGGCGATCATTAAAAAGTCAGGAAACAACAGGTGCTGGAGAGGATGTGGAGAAATAAGAACACTTTTACACTGTTGGTGGGACTGTAAACTAGTTCAACCATTGTGGAAGTCAGTGTGGCGATTCCTCAGGGATCTAGAACTAGAAATACCATTTGACCCAGCCATCCCATTACTGGGTATATACCCAAAGGATTAGAAATCATGCTGCTATAAAGACACATGCACATGTATGTTTATTGCGGCACTATTCACAATAGCAAAGACTTGGAACCAACCCAAATGTCCAACTATGATAGACTGGATTAAGAAAATGTGGCACATATACACCATGGAATACTATGCAGCCATAAAAAATGATGAGTTCATGTCCTTTGTAGGGACATGGATGAAGCTGGAAACCATCATTCTCAGCAAACTATCGCAAGGACAAAAAACCAAACACCGCATGTTCTCTCTCATAGGTGGGAATTGAACAATGAGAACACATGGACACAGGAAGGCGAACATCACACACCAGGGCCTGTTGTGGGGTGGGGGGAGTGGGGAGGGATAGCATTAGGAGATATACCTAATGTTAAATGACAAGTTAATGTGTGCAGCACACCAACATGGCACATGTATATATATGTAACAAACCTGCACGTTGTGCACATGTACCCTAAAACTTAAAGTATAATAAAAAAAATAAATAAATAAAAAGTTTTAAACTAGTCAAAACAATTGATGGCAATATCCTCCATTAAAAGTGTTTGATATCTAACTTTTTTGGTATATTCAGTAAACATCCACTATTATCATTCATTTATGAAAATTGTGAAGGTTTCTGAAATACTAGGACATGCATAAATAAGAGGCTACTTATAGTTATAATTTTATTAGAAGGTTTTGTGCTTTCATGTGTTTAATGTGAATGTTTAGTATTAACATTTTTACTGCTTAATTAACATGTTTAATGTTCAATGAAATATCTGTGTACACATACACACACACAAACGTTTCATTGAGCATTTGAGAATACACACACATGCACACCACTTGAAAATGACACTGCCCTGCTAACACTCCTAACCCTCCAAGGGAACACTCCAGAATGAAATGATTAGCCTTCATACCTCTTACATCATCCCAGAAACATGCTAGCATCTAATACACTGCAAGTCATCATATACTTAGTCTTCTTTCACATACTTCTGAAGGACAACCCTGTGTAAGTTTACAGATTATGGACAGATGTTTCTTTTAAGACTTGGATGTATCTTCATCATAAAGTAGCTCTATTAGTGAAGTTCAGTCCAATCTTTCAAATAAAATTCACACTGATTTTATTTTCAGGGAAAACTAAGCTGCTTGCTTTCTTTCATGGCATGGTAATATAAATGTTAATAATTTTCTCCTTATGCTGATGTAGTATGCAGTGCACAAACTGGCAGAATAAGTGTCATTGTGTCAATGAGGCTTTAGACCAATAAGTTATCCTTTCCAAGGTAAAGGTCTAAGACTTTTATTTATGCAGGCTGGACCAATGGTTTTTAATAACATTTAAATTCAAAATAAAGCTGTGCTTTATGAAATAGATTAGATGTATGTAGGTGACCTCATAATGACTTGGCTCATCTATAACATGACTTCATCTCTATAATTTAAAGACAATTCTAAAAAAAAGAGCTAGTATACTAGGGATTGAAAACGACAAATCTTCATTCCCTACAACAAAATTCAGCTAAGAGATGATGGCACTGGGATTCAAACAAATTAGGGGAAATTGATATCCATCTTTCACTAATACAATGAGAAGCATATATCATTTTGGCAATTTAAATTTCCCCATAAAAAATTTGGAAGTTCGTTATTTATCAATAGTTATTTATCAATAACGACAGCCAACATTTGAACTTTGCTTTAACTATTAAACACGTTCATAAGTATTATAAATGGGAAAGTTCATAAGTTCTGAAAGTTCACAGTTCTGAGACTCAAATTTAGATCTCTTTCTCCCAGTCTAGTGCCCTATTCGCTGGACTTGAGGCTATCCCCAGGATCTAGACCCAGATCCATTAGTCATGTGCTGAAATGTTGGAGTTTAACTCCTCTGGATTTCAGGGTCCTTATAAGTAAAATAAAAAGATTGAATTAAGAGATCTCGAAGCTCTGTTTTTTAAGTCTATGATTAGAATAACAATAAAAGAAATTGATGAAATATGAAATTATGTTTTCTAAATGGAGCCTAGTGATTTGCAAAACATGTGCTTGTCTATAGAACTAAGTAGTGTTGCAATATACCAAGTAAACCATTTTGTGCATGTTTCTTTATCCATAGCACATACTATCGAAACTCATAGGCCCCCTAGGAGGATTAATAGTAAACTAAAAAAAAAGAAATATAAACACATCTTGTAATTTCTTATGAGGTAGAGCAATATGTAATTCTATTGTTTCATAATTTTTTGTTATATATTCTGTTTTATAACAGATTTATTGAGATATAATTCACATTCAACAGAAGTCACATTTTTAATATGTATAATTCAGTGACTGAAAATACTCTGCTTTCAGCCCTTTGCTCACTTAAAGCTTGTATCAATCTGCCTAAAAGAACATGTAGCTTCTTGGATCGGGGATTACAAAGTGGCAATCCTCACTTTTATTTTGTTCCTTAAAATGCTCCAGATGTATTCAGAGTCATTGTTAAAGTCCTACATGTTGTAATTCACTGAAAAATGAAAAATTTAGGCCAAGAGTTAGTCCTTTGACACCAGTTGAACAGTCCTTCTTTGTATTTCTTTTTTTCATACCTTTTCCGGAAGCCTTTGTGATGACTGAAAATGACAAAGAGGGAATGAAAGCAAATGTCAGCCAAAAGAGAGTTGAGTGGAGTTAGTTAAATGTTCTTTTCTAAAAGACCTTTAAAGTGTAGCAATTATAAGGAGTGAGAGATGAGTTGTGAGTCAGGATTTGTGCTCTGAATCTGATAGCATATTTGAACACATTTATACAATGAAGAAAAATGAAGTTCAGTAAAGACTATAAAATATTTGATAGTTTTGCTATTTTCTTCTGTGTCTTTTTAGTCTGTTACATTTTTTCAAACTGTTCTACTCAAATAAACCAAAGAATGGTGTGTGTGTGTGTGTGTGTGTGTGTGTGTGTGTGTGTGTGTGTGATATGCATCAATCCATCATGGACTGCTGTGTATCTCTATGTTTTACCAGTAACTATATTCCCAAATTTTTCAGTAAAATAGATTATCCAGAGATACATTTATTTTATCCTAGAGTTTCTATAACTCCCTGGCAAATTACCATAGTATGAAAACCCCCAATAGATTTGTATTGCACATCCATTCCTGTGTCTTGAATCCATAATCATAATTTACCTCACTTGTTTTAATTTAGAGGTTTTGTAGTTAATGAATGCTGAACCACTTTAAATAGTCTCTGGCTGCATTCACTGTGCTCTTCTCCTTTAACCACCATTTGTGGGACTGGTAGGAATATACACATGGTAACTAAGCCCATAATTACCAAAAGGCACACACAGTTGGGCATTCAAAAGGAACATAAAAGCTTTTTATCCTTTACTGTAGGTGCTTTTTCAACCTTTATCCTTTAATATACATGTGAGCTTAGAAAATACTTTAAAAACACACAAATGAGTTAATTCAGGGTTAATTATTTTCAAATTAAGATAGAAAACAAGACAGTAAGAGTGGTCTTTTTTAAATTCCTCTTTGTAATCTTTATTCAGTCTTCCAAACTCAATTAATTTACCTAATAAAAGCTTTCTAAAATATTGCCCTATGTCTTTCCATTCCCAGTCTATGTTAGGTGGTACTTTGAGCTCTCAGAATATCTTGGACTTGCCTCTAACAGAGTATTTATCACATATTTATAAAATAATGTTCTATTTGCTGATCTACTCCCTAGAGAGTGAGCTTCTTTAGTTCAGGAACCATGTGTTTCATTTATAAAACCCTAGTGGCACCCTGTGTTTAGTATGTGTTTGGTAAGTGATAATTAAGGACTTCATACACCCAAAACCATGGATTCTCCTGTCCTTCATTTCATTGTTGTATTTACTGATCTTCTATTACTTGTTTTCAATGGATGTGGACCAGAGCCAACCATTTTTAATCTCAGGTAGAGCTCTCATTTGGCCTTTTCAGATGGATTAGATTGGATTTGCATTCACCTTCCAGTTTAAAAATCTTCTCTACAGACAAAATTTACTTTTGATTCAGAACAGTATCTCTGAATATAATGCAGTGACCCATTGAAATTTTAATTTAGAAAGGGAGGTCCCATTATATGTGAGATTAAGTTGGTCTCCAGGGGATAATTTCAAGGGCTTCAGGAAAGATCCCTATCTAAATCCCTTTCTTGTGAGTCCAACATTATCCAGCCCATTTTTTGGTCTTATAAATAAAACCTGGGATGCCTACCTCATTATCAGCTATTAGCAGTGGCATCTCAGTGTGAATTTATTTTACTGCTATATTCCCAACATCTACCTGAGATCAACAGCCCCAAAAAGTATGGTTTTGTTAGACAAGAAGTAAAAGATAAAAGGTTCACTCAGGAGCCTGTAACACTAACTTCCTGGGAGGGAAGACAGTGGTGGTATCTCATTAGCAGTCTGTACAAAGCCAGAGAGTAGCAGAGGCCACTGGGCCTGAGAGGTAAAAAAAAATGGAAATACCTATTGCTTGTAGGAAACTACATGAAGGCATTAAGGGAAGACAGGGCAAAAGACAAAAGTTTCTCAACTTTAAAATAGTATGTGTGGCCTGTGTAATATCATTTTTTAATGACAATGACACACAAGAGGGGAATAAGTGGCTGATATGGTTTGGCTGTGTCCCCACCCAAATCTCATCTTGAATTCCCATCTGTTATGGGAGGGACCTGGTGGGAGGTAATTGAATCATGGGGGCAGGTCTTTCTGGTGCTGTTCTTGTGATAGTGAGTAACTCCTATGAAATCTGATGGTTTATAAAGAGGAGTTCCCCTGCACAAGCTCTCTCTCTTTGCCTGTCAGCATCCATGTAAGACGTGACTTCCTCCTCCTTGCCTTCAACCATGATTGTGAGGCCTCCCAGCCATGTGGAACTGTTAAGTCCATCAAACCTCTTTTACTTCCCAGTATCAGGTATGTCTTTACCAGCAGCATGAAACTGGACTAATATAGTGGCCAATTTTACCCTTCTAGGTCTAACCCTACTCTACTCTCAGATTTTACAAATAGTCCTGCAATTCAATATTTTGGCAACATACCTTTACGCACAGCAGATGTGTAGTCACTTAGTGAATTAATGCAATCAGTTCCATTTGTCTTGGTTTTGTTCATGCAAAGTAAAAGACAATTTTGCATTGCAGAAATAACCCTTCGTATAGAATATCTGCATAAGTATGCTTCAGACTTAAAGTTCACTTCTTACATGACTAGAGCCTCCCAAAATACAAATGGTGTCCGTGTATCATTTCAGCTAGAATCACTTATACAAATATCTACCACTGGCATTCTGATGTTTAAACTATTATTTCATTTTAAACTGACAATAAAAATCCTGCTGGACAGTTTACAATATATAATCAAATCAATGTCACTAGAAGGGTGAAGAATAATTTGTAATTCAAAGGACAGAAAATCATGGACTTGTTTCTGGTTATGAATAAAGGTCTCTAGAGGAAATACTGTTGAAACTAAAGACACACACACACACACACACACACACACACAAACTACCAATAACTAGCACTACACAATCCCTTGCTTTTAAACTATAATAGAAACAAAAACATTTCACAACCTGATTATTTATTGGGTCTCACATTTACCTCAACAGGTATCTGAGGCAGTTTTACTCATCTTAATTGCATAAAGCCAAGACCAATGTTACATAAGTAGTTGTAAGATCTGTTAGGGCTGGCACCAGTTTTCCTACATCTTAGTCCATTGTTCTTTTCTCCATACATGGTTACACCAGAATCCCTTAGCACTTTTGTTTGGTTATATTGAATGTACAAACACCCTAGATCAGCAGTTCCCAAGACTTCTGATTTCACAGACCAGTAAAAAATTAGAGACTAACATAGAGATTCTAAAGCTTTATTCTTCTAACAATCAAGCACTTTCCACCACAATAAAGAAGAAATGTTAATTTTCAACAAGTCAAAAGAGCAGCAACACAAAATAAAAGGCTTTTTGTAAACTTGAATAAATTTACCATCATAGAAAAGTCACTATTTTACCTTTACCTTCTTATTTTGTCACATACAGTACAAGAGAAGAGTCTTTCACGAGCAAGTGTAATGGAAATCTCCTTTTTAAGATAACATTAGCTCATTGTTGGGAGGGCCTCATCCATGGCTAAAGGGGGTTAATTTGTTTTAACCCCATACACATCTATTGACTAACTAGCTATTATTGATCTAGATCTTAAGTAACATAAACACATCATAACAGCTCAACCCCTGCCTTCAGATAACCTATGATCTAATAAAGAAGAAAAGACACAAAAAATTTAAGGAAAGATTAAGAGAAATACCATAACAGAGGAATAAAGCAAGATATGAAGGCTGGAAGAAAAATAGAATATGTACTTAAGTAAATCAGGAAAGGCTTCATGGTGAAATTGGAAAATGAAACAGGACTTAAGGAATGGGTGGCACCTCAGGAAACAGAAGAGAGGGAGAAAGTCTATATGTGTATGTTTTGGGGAGCCATAAGAATGGGGAAAGAGCATTCCAGAAAATAACAGAAGCAAAACATTAGATACAAAGTTTACATCCTATTTCAGCAATAGGCTATGTGTAATTATTAAAGGTTTTAAGAGGAAAATACTATAGTATAAGAATACTTTCAGAGGAACCAGTTTAAATTTATTTGGGAAAGTTATTAGAGCATATATTATTTCAAGTGCAAGGTTCATTGATTTTCACATTTCAATCACTGGATTCATAATCCAAGGGGCAAAAAAGTCTCCATAAAATAAAACATTTGTTATAAGTCCTTCATTGCATTTTGATGATCCAAAAGATGTGTCCCTCATACTGAATTCCATGCTGAAGAAAGAACATACCACACAGCACTGGCTACAAGATATATGGAAGAAAAAGGAACATGATCTAAGACAGAGAAAGCAGACTTCTGGGGAGAAGCTACTATAAAACTGAGGAAGAACTAGGGTGGTGGAGGGGTACTAGAAACCAATTCTATATAGGTATTAAAAAGTCATTCCAATTATAGGATGGCATCAATCAGGGTGACCAGCAGCCATGGAACCCTTAGCAAGGGTTAAAATAAAGAGAAAAGTAAACAGGCACACTGGTTTTCCAACTGAAGTTTAGAACAGGGAGATCTACACTTTTCTGCACTCTTCAAAAGCAGGTGTTAGAGACACAGAATAGAGTTATGAAGCCCCAGTTACTCCACAGACCCAGGCCCAATAAAGTCAAGCAAACTGGCCTCCACAGGTAGTATTTAAAGAGCCAACCATGCAATAGCATTGCTGGCATCCAAAAAATTTCAAAAGATTTAGCCCTTGGCTATAGAACACCAACAACTTATTTCCAAACCTCAATCTCCAATGCCTAACACTAGACTGAGTTAAATTGGTTCCTAAATAAGCAAGGCAGACGGAAGATGGCAGAATTCTCATCCTGAAGCACATTGATAGAGTTAGTTTGGGTCCATGTAATGATGGGGTACAATCCTAATTTTACTATTAGTACCCTCTTGCATATTATTCCATTATCAGCTTAATCTGTTAATTGATCACATTTATAATTGTATTATTCTTTTATCCACTGAAAGAGATTTCTGTTCCCTTACAATTTGTCCTTTCATATTGGCACCACTTTTTTGCACCACTACCTTCGAATATCCTTCCACTACTTCATTTTATTTATAAGAGGAGATTTACACAGAAACATGTATTTCAGTTCTTATTTTATAAAAATATCAGTTCCACTCATGTTAAATGGAACGCAGAGTCGAAGATGGCAGCTGCAGGACTGAGGGCTTTGTTTCTTGCTGACTGTTGGACAGAGGCCACCATCAGCTTGTAGGCTCTCTCAGTTCTTTCCTCTGCGGGTCTCCCAACATAGGCAGACCATCACATGGCAACTTCCATCTTCATAGTCAACAAGAGGGTGAGAGACTCCAGCAAGACGGCACTTCATCTTATGTTACACAATCGTGTAACCATGTATACGTAATCACATATATCTCATCCCCTTTGCATACGCTAGAGCTTAGAAGTAAGTCATATTTCCCACCCATGCTCTAGGGGAGAGAGTTATGTAAGGACAGGAACACCAGGAGTCAGGGACCAAGAGGGCAACCTTAGATTCTGTCCACTACAATTTATTTATTCCATAGGCTAAGTAATTTTAAATAAGGGGAGCCACATTTATAAGTCAAGTTTTTCTCTCTCCTTTAGTAAATATGATGAAACTGAGGATATATTCACATGTAAAACCAATTATTATATTAACTTCCTTTTGGATGTCAAGTTACCCAACTTTCACCTTTATAAAAAATGGTTCCAGAATCCCCAGTACAATTTTGAAGTACCGTCAGACCAAGCCAGTTGAAGAGAAGACAAATGTGATCTCTTGATGGCCATTTTTGCTGTGCTGCAAATCTCTTTGTTGCTTCCTTGTTTTGTCTTTTTAAGTTTAATTGAAATATCAAGTAACAAATTTTAGTACTATCACAGGCAAATATATTTTTTCCATTGCATTTTTATATTTCCCTTAATCCCCTTTGTTTACTAAAAAGAAACATACATAAAATCACAATTCAATATTTTATTTTTAGAATATCAGCTACGTTGTAGTTAAGTATGTTCATATGTCAATATATTTATAATATATGTATCTATCTACCTATATATATACTCTTATACAAGGTCATAACCCCTTTTAAGGTTTCTTGCGTTATAAATATTAATATTTCTTTCTTGTTAGGTTGATTTTCCTTTCATGGGCATTGTTCTTAAATTTGAAGACATTTGTTTGGCACTATATAAGCAACTTCTTACATATACATACACCTTTCCCAAAGTGAAGAACAGCAATAAAATAATAATTTGAATTCTACTGAACTGTCTTCCTAACCTTGGTATAATACCAAGGTCTTATACTAATTTATTTCATATTCTGTTTCTCATTTTATCTTTTTGTTCTAACTTTTTTAGTGTTTCTTAAACATTTTACTACATATAAAAAAGACTTTTTAAGAGATTTATCAGCAGCAGTTCAATTTTGAAAGTTCAATTAGTGCCAGGTTACTATTGTAAAGATAATCTATGGTACAAAAGAACATATCTATCCATTAAGAGAAGATACTATTTACTTTTTCTCAATAGTCACTGCATGGAATAGGTTTAAATTAATGATATGATCTTGGTTTTTGGAATAATGCTATCAAGATTGTATGGAATATGTTAATAACTAGAAAATATGTCTTAGACTGTATTTGTAATTATAACTAACTTCCTAGCAAGCTAACAAAGTTGGACAGGTGATCTATGGGTTTTGTTTGAGATGAACCACCTATTGTTTGCATTTCTATACCAAAATATTTATTCACCCAATATCACTGCTTCTTTTGCAGCAATCTTTGGTAGTGACTGCCTAATTCCAGCACCC
Source organism: Homo sapiens (assembly GCF_000001405.40). Taxonomy (NCBI): domain Eukaryota; kingdom Metazoa; phylum Chordata; class Mammalia; order Primates; family Hominidae; genus Homo; species Homo sapiens. The sequence goes on along the minus strand of NC_000014.9, from coordinate 40,013,315 downwards.
AAAGTACCACAGGCCTAGGAGAGGAGCAGGTTCAACATTATCCTATTTCTGCACTACACAGATTCCAAATCATTATTCTTCCACCTTTATGCAGAACATATTTTGCTTTTAAGGCTTACTTGAGGCGTATAGAGATTGAAGGTTTGTGTCTTACCACTCATCGCAATGAATGAGCAACTCAATCTTAGAGTTGTGTACAAAGAGAAAAATCCTGAAACAGAAGACAAAATACAATATTCGTAATGGCTGAGTACATGTCTAGTGTTCCCAGCGTGGCATCAGAGAACAAGACAAGAAAGACTTTCTGCATATATACCTTTGAATCTGTGTTTCACACACAAGTCATGAAAAACTGAAAATGAGGTCAGTAAGGTTCCCCAAAGAAACTGCTGCTGTTTATATGCTTAATTCAAGGGATGAATAACATAAGAGAAAGCATCATGCATATGTACTGATCATTAATGAACAGTAACATCATGTGGCATGGTTTAGCTGTGTCCCCACCCAAATCTCACCTTGAACTGTAATAATTCCCATGTGTCAAAGGTGGAGCCAGGTGGAGATAATTGAATCATGGGGGTAGTTTCCCCCATATTGTTCTCATGGTAGTGATTAAGTCTCACAAGATCTGATAGTTTTATAAATGGGAGTCCTCTAAACAGGCTCTCTTGCCTGCCACCATGTAAGACGTGTCTTTCTTCCCCTTCACCTTCTGCCATGATTGTAAGGCATCCGCAGCCACATAGAACTGTGAGTCATTAAATCTTTTTCCTGTATAAATTACCTAGTCTCTGATATATATTTATTAGCAGTGTGAGAACAGACTAATACATCATCTATTTGTTAAGCATTAAAAATTGCCCAGTGAATGTTCCAGCTTCATGCTAAGTTCTTTGTTTCAAGGGGGATGTTGGGGTACAGGCCACTGGGAAAAGAAATGTCTAAGACTATCTTCAACAGCTTGGCATCTTATATCACTGGACCCTAAGACATTTTCCTCTCCACACATGGATGATATCTATCATGCCTACAGAAGCTTGTGCCCATTTCATTCACTATATTTTAGCTAATTTCTTCAAGTTGAATAACTAAATTGTACTATCAGTTTAGTTGGGGAAAATCAACATGGATTTTTGTGGATATTCTTTTTAATAATTTTATTGATCTTCATTTTTGGAGTAAGAAAAAGGTATTTAATCATATTATTTTCTATTGTTCATCAAAATGTAGTCTATGATAAAAGGGTATCCTTAAAGCCAGTATTGAACAAATTAGTAACCAAGCTATATTAGTCAGGGTTCTCTAGAGGGACAGAACTAATAGGATAGATGTATATATGAAGGGGAGATTATTAAGAAGCACTGACTCACACGATCACAAGATGAAGTTCCACAATAGGTCATCTGCAAGCTAAGGAGCAAGGAAGCCAGTCTGAGTCACAAAACCTAAAAAGTAGGGAAGCCAAAAATGCAGCCTTCAGTCTCTGGTTAATGTCCAAGAGTCCAAAAGTTGAAGAACCTGGAATCCAATGTTCAAGGGCAGGAAGCATGCAGCACATGAGAAAGATGTAGGCTGGAGGACACAGCCAGTGTAGTCCTTCCATGCTCCTTTGCCTGCTTTAATCCTAGCCATGTTGGCAGCTGACTAGATGGTGCCCATCCAACTTGAGGGTTGGTCTGCCTCTCCCAATCCACTCGTTCAAATGTTATTCTCCTTTGGCAACACCCTCAAAGACACACCCAGGACAATATTTTGCATCTTTAAATCCAATCAAGTTGACACTCAATATTAATCATCACAAGTCTACCCCTTGTCAACTCGAACCCATATACATTTCCTGAAATCATATACAATCTTCAGAGAAATAAAAGAATAAGGTCATAATTACACCTAACATAAGACAACTATCTTTCGTACAACTAGAAGCACACCAATCCCAACCCAATTGTTTACATGAAGTTAACAACATTTAAATGCTGATATGAAGTCAAAAAATCTTATGTCACATGATAAAGGAAAAAGAAAATAAAATGAAGATATTTTCTTCATACAAGTGTATACATGCACAAACATGTTCTTAACAAACTAAGAAGGAAATACTCATGACAGTTATAGTCCTTGTTTTGGTAACTGGTCACGTGGTCATAGCTGGTATTGATGACTACCTTCTTCTACTACCCATTCTGTATTCCCTTTGCCTTCAGCAAGCACTTCAGCAAGTTGTGGCTTTTTACCTGGTGGAGTGACCCAAACCTTAATTCCTGAAGGGTCTCGGCAATTTGTAGTCCTGCCTGGAAGGGTTGTTTTAGTTTCCTATTAACCTTAAACAGGGAACGGTAATACTAAGAGATGCCCTAAGGGATCTCCTGTATTCCACGCATACTCTTCCTTACCTCCATTGTGGCACAGTAGACTGATTTCATCTTAATAGTCTGGGCAATCACCCAGACAACATTGTAACTCCTTTCTTAGCCTGCTGACTTAGAGGTAGAAGGAGCCCAAAATGACCAGGTGGCAATCCTAACTTCCAGTTTAATGGAATCATTGTTGTGTCTCCTGGGGCAGCACTTCTACCACTGGAACTAAGACCTCTAGGCCGGCACAAAAAAATGTTGCAGGAACAGGAAGCAAAAATTTTGCTAGTGGGTCACTAGAGGTGATGGTGAGTCGTGCCACTTCTACTTCCACCCCTTGATCCTTCTACCTGTGAATCCTGGCTATGGGGGAAACCATACAATATATTGGACACTGATTCAGAGCATACGCAGCCTTCTGAGAACTTTGTCCCAGCCGTGCAAAGTATTCTCACCTAATTGACATTGTAATTGTGACTTCAAAAGACCATTCCACTGTTCCATCAATCTAGCTACTTCAGGATGATGGAGAACATGGTAAGAATCATGAGTACGAGCCCAGTGCCACACTTCCATAGTTATAAAGTGAGTGCCTTGGTCAGAGGCAATGCTATGTGAAATACCATGACAGTGGGTAAGGCATTCCATGAGGGCACGGATGGTAGTCTTGGCAGAAGCATTGCATGCAGGATAGGCAAACCCATAACTGGAGTAAGTGTCTAGTCCTGTGAGGACAAACTTCTGCCCTTTCTATGATAGAAGAGGTCCAATATAATCAACCTGCCACCAGGTGGCTGGCTGATCACCCCGAGGAACAGTGCCATATCGAGGACTCAGTATTGATATCTGGGGCTGGCAAATTGGGCACTCAGCAGTGGCCATAGGCAGGTCAGCCTTAGTGAGTGGAAGTCCATGTTGCTAAGCCCATGCATAACCTGTAGCCCTGTCACCATGGCCACTTTGTTCATGGGCCCATTGGGTGATGACTGGGATGGCTGGGGAAAGAGGCTGAGTGGTGTCCACAAAACGAGTCATCCTATCCATGTAATTATTAAAATCCTCCTCTGCTGAGGTCATCCTTTGGTGAAAATTCACAGCAGATACAAATATCTTCACAGTTTTTTACCACTCAGAGAGGTCCATCGACATACCTCTTCCCCAAATTTCTTTGTTACCAATTTTCCAATTATGCTTCTTCCAAGTCCCTGACCATCTAGCCAAACCGTTGGCTATAGCCCATTAACCAGTATATAATCATGCATCTGGCTATTTTTCCTTCCAACTAAAGTGCACAATGAGGTACACTGCTCAAATTCTGCCAACTGGGAATATTTCCCTTTGCCACAGTCCTTCAGGGATGTCCTAGAAAGGGGCTGTAGTGCTGCAGCTGTCCACTTTCATGTGGTGTCTGCATATTGTGCAGAACCATCTGTGAACCAGGTCCTTGTCTTCTCTTCCTTTGTCAACTGATCATAGGGAACTCCCCATGAGGCCATCAGTGCAGGCTTGGGGAGAGAAGGCAGGGTGGCAGGAATGGGGACCATGGGCATTTAAGCCACTTCCTCATGTAACTTACTTGTGTTTCAAGACCTGCTCGAGCCCAATCACATATATACCACTTTCATTTCATGACCGAATGCTGCTGTGCACAATCCACTTTACAGCTAAATGGGACAGAAAGCACCCAGTTCATGACAGGTGGTGCAGGTCACATGGTGACTTGATGACCCACAGTCAAACATTGTTTCTACCAAAGCCCAGTAACAGGCCAAGAGCTGTTTCACAGAATAAGAGTAGTTATCTGAAGAAGATGGGAGGGCCTTGCTCCAAAATCCTAGAGGCCTCTGCTGTGATTCACTTATGGGAGCCTGCCAGAGGCTCCCAACAACATCCCTATCTGCCACTGACCCCTCAATCTCATTGGATCTGCTGGGTCGTATGGCCCAAGTGGCAGAGCAGCTTGCACAGCAGCCTGGACTTGTTGCAGAGCCTTCTGTTCTGGACCCCACTCAAAAATGGCAGCCTTTCTGGTCATTCGATAAATGAGCTGGAGTAACACACCAAAATGAGGAATGTGTTGCCTTCAAAATCCAAATAGGTCCACTAGGCATTGTGGCTCTTTCTTGGTTATAGGAGGGGCCAAATGCAGCAACTTATCCTTCACCTTAGATGGAATATCTTGACAGACTCCACACCACTGGACCCCCAGAAATTTTACTGAGGTAAAGGGTCCCTGATTTTTAGTCAGATTTATTTCCCATCCTCTGACATACAAATGTCTTACCAGTGTGTTTGCTGCTTCTTGCTCACTGGATCCAACCAGCATAATGTCATCAATGTAATGGACCACTGTGATATCTTGTGGAAGGGAAAAGGATCAAGATGTCTCCGAACAAAATGACGACACAAAGCTGGAGAGTTGATATATCCCTGAGGTAGGACAGTAAAGGTATATTGCTGGCCTTGCCAGCTGAAGGCAAATTTCTTCTGGTGGACCTTATGGACAGGAATGGAGAAAAAGACATTTCCCAAATCTATGGCTGCATACCAGGTATCCAGAGATGTGTTAATTTGCTCAAGCAATGAAACCACATCTGGTACAGCAGCTGCAACTGGAGTGGCCACTTGGTTAAGCTTATGATAATCCACTGTCATTCTCCAAGATCCATCTGTCTTCTACACAGGCCAAGTGGGAGAGTTGAACGGGGATGTAGTGGGAATCATCACCCCTGCATCTTTCAAGTCCTCAATGGTGGCACTAATCTCTGCAATCCCCCCCCCAGGGATGCAATACTGTTTTTGATTTACTATTTTTCTAGGTAGAGGCAGCTCTAATAGCTTCCATTTAGCCTTTCCCACCATAATAGCCCTCACCCTACCAGTCAGGAAACCAGTGTGGGGATTCTGCCAGCTATTAAGTAAGTCTATGCCAATTATGCATTCTGGCACTGGGGAAATGACCACAGGATGAGTCCGGGGACCCAATGGACCCACTGTAAATTAAGCCTGAGCTAAAACTCCATTAATACCTAACCTCCATAAGCCCATACTTTAACTGGAGGACCACAATGACATTTTAGGTCCCCAGGAATTGACGTCAGCTCAGAGCCAGTGTCCAGTAGTCCATAAAAGGTCTGATTATTTCCCTTTCTCCAATACACAGTTACCCTGGTAAAAGGGCAGCAGTCTCCTTGGGAAAGGATGGGCAAAAGAATAACAACATAAATTGTTTGTAGTGTAGCGTAGTGGGGTCCTTCCTCAAGGCCTTCCCAGCTTCCCCCTTCATTCATGGGGTTCTGGGTCTGTAAACTGGCTCAAGTCTGGAATTTGATTGAGGGACTGTGATTCTCTGTTTTCATAATTTTAATTAGTATTTTGTCCACTCAACCTGGAAGTTTTCTGCTTATATAAATTAAGAATGCAGTAGGCTTCCTATAAATTTCACTTCTAGGAACACCATGATTAATTAGCCAATGCCAGAGCTTACACAAGTCAGATTATTCTGACTGCTTGCTTTGCCTCTGCTGTCCATTACAGTAACTATACCCATCTTGCCATTGGCAGTTGAGTGCCACCACTTGGCCCCTGCCATCTCAGGATTCAATTATTCCCACTGCATTTAAATTTTGTAGTTGAGTAACTGCAAGTCCCACTATAAGATGTGGCATACAGAGAAGAGAAATCACAGAGCTCTTCAAGGATGCGGGTGCTGCCCTCACAAATCTATTTTGCAAAGTTTTGGTGAAAGGTATGTCTTCTGGAGCCATGAGTTAGAATCCCTGAGTTTATTGTTTTCTTTCATCACTTTGTCCACTAAACTTAGCAACAACCAACCAACTTAATCATATTTTTTGGTTCCCCATATATGGTCAAAGGTATTATGTATATAGACAGTCTAGTCTTTCCATGTTCCTTTGCCTGCTTTTATCCTAGCCATGCTGGCAGCTGACTAGATGGTGCCCACCCAGTTTGAGAATGGGTCTGCCTCTCCCAGTCCACTGACTCAAATATTAATCTTTTTCGGCAATACCCTCACTGACAAACCCAGGAACAATACTTTACATCTTTAAATCCAATCAAGTTGACACTCATTAACCATCACATAAACCATTATTAATATTTAGAAAAGGTTTCACTTTCCTGAAAAACACAATAAATTTAGTTCATATATGACATTGTGCTTGATCTCTCATTATGGAGACTATGACAGTTGGAAATGTGGTAAAATTGCAATTATCTAAACTAAATTTTAAATTCATTTTTACATGACCTTTCAAATTCTTAAATTCCAAATGGGCTTGACTTGAGAAAAGGGTATAAATGTAAATATATAACTAGGCCTGGTTATAGAACTTAATAATGTAGTCTTTAGCAGAATTGAAAATATTCATTAAAAATCACACCTGAAGATGAGACAAGTCTATGAAAGGAAATATCTGAATAAATGTATAAGGATCTGAAAAAAGTTGACTAATTAACGTGTTGCCTGAAAAAAATTTATAATTCATATGTAATGGTTTCAATAATGTTTTTAAAAGAATAATATTTTTCTTGTTGTTTAATTCACAATTATATTCATTTAGCAAACTTTCAAATGCACATGTTGCCAGGCTCAAATGCAAATGCTTCATTATTGTCATCTAAAAAGAAATGATTTTAAAAATTCAAAGTACAATGATTTGGCTGCTCCTGGAAATTTGAGCTTTATTCTATCTCAAACATCTCAAAAATAGATAACACACACATAAAAAAGATAAAGCTGAGGTTATTTTGACCCAAGTAATGAATAAAACCTTAAGCTAAACCAGGAATATTTTTAATAGAACTTTTCTCTTTTCACATTATGTTCTTTTAATCTGTTTATAACTTTGAAAAGGCATATAAAAATAATTTATTAGAGTCAAAGTGTAATATTTCTGAATTTAAAAATTAAATAGCTATAACACACTAATGGTCCCTGAAACTTAGGCCTTAATGCCTATCAAAATATTCTTTTGCTCATAAAGATGATATAAAAACCTACTTAAAACTAATGTAGGAAAAGTATATTTTTCTGAGTTTTTTACGTTTATAAACAACTAAATTTTAAAACTATCACTACTTCAAATTTATATATCTTTACATAGAAAGTCACTTCAAACTTGGCAACTGCCTTTCTAAAGTGTTTACATAAGCATCTAACTGGAGAAAATTAAGAAATCTAAACTATTAACAAATTTAGAAATTACCTAGAACTGAATTTTAGTGTATATTTTTGTTGTTGATGTCAAGTGAAATTCAGAAAAAAAAAATGGTATCGGGGATAATTTCCATCACATTACTCTCTTCCTCCCTCTCCAGTATGTTGTCATCATTTTTGCCAAATGATTGAGTGGCATTCATGTACTGAACCCCCAAATGACCCAACTGACTATTTAGTACCTTTTCATTTTTTTCTCTTTTTATATTACACAAAAAAATTCAAAGAGGTCAACTAATTTTAACCAAATGTAGATGTTAAAATTAACACTGGCATAAATCTTAGTTACAAAAAGCAACAATATCTTTCAATACGATCAGTAAAAAGTATTAAACACCTGTTGCAGAAGGCATTAGTCACAGAGGTTGGGAGTAAAATTATAGATGCTCTGTGTGATAGTCAGCTGCCTGCTACTCATTCCCTTGTATAATTATTTACTCTCCTTGAATGTGGGCTGGACATAGTGACATGCTTTTAACAAACAGAATATAGCAAAGTGATGGAATGTCATTTCCAAAATTAGGTTATAAAAGACTGCGACTTTTGTCTCTCACTACTCTCCACTTGAAGCAGGCTCTCATGTTGTAAGCTGCCCCACAAAGAAACACATATGTATGGTAGGTAACTGAGGGAAGCCTTTGGCCAACAGCCAGTGAGAAACTGACACCCTCTGTCCAATAACTGGGAAGAAACTAAACCTTGCCATGACCACTGAGTGAGCTGAAAAGCCGATCCTACCCCACTTGAACCTTATCATGACCATACCCTCAACTGACATCTTGATAGCAGCCTTGTGAGGGATCCTAAGCCAGAGAGCACAGTTAAGATGCACCCTGGACTTCTGACTCAATGACACTGTGAAATAATGAATGTGCATTATTTTAAGCTGCTAAATGTTGGAGTAATTTGTTACACAGTAATAGGTAACTAATATACTCTGCCTTCTAAAAATGTGTAAGTATTTTAAAAATAAAGTTTATTTTAATATAAGGCAAGTTGTGATGTTATCAAGATATTTTTTAAAAGCATTATGGTATTACAAAGAATGATGATTTCTGACAAGCAATATTATAAGGAAGGAGATTGTAAAAATAAGGAAAAGTGGAAAAGATTAGAAATTATGTCAGGAAATCCATATTTTAGGAAGAAAATTATGGTCCAATTATGCACACTGGATTAGAAGTAAAAGAGAAAATAAGTAGGATATTAAAAGGCCATTGCAAAAGTACAGATGAAAAAGAATAGGAGTTTAAGCCATATGGCACTGGCAGTAGAAAAAGAAATAGGGAAATGGCCATGAAGTGCTTGGGAGCAAAAGTGGTGGGTTCTGGTAAACAAAATACTATGAGGAAACAAATAAAGAAGGAAGCTGAAGATGGCACTAAGATGTTCAGCCCAGTTGATTTGGAGAAATGTTGCCATTATGAAACAAAGAAAAGAGCCCAAGTGGAAGAACAATGTAAAGGGACAAAGTAAGTTTGTCTGAACTCAACTTGCTTGAGTAACAGCAGGATAATATGTTCAGTAGGGAGTTAGCACTTTAAAATACAATTATGATACTTAGGAACAAAGTCAGAACTGCAGGTACGGATTTGGGAATAATTAACTTAAGGATGGTGGTTAAAGCCATAAAAAGAAATTAGTTAGCCCACTCAGTGCTTAAAAACCTCTTGTTACTCTCCACTACCCGCAGGATAAAGTATAAAATCATTAGCACCCCACTTATCCAACCTCAGCTGCTGCACACTCCAACATACACTCGACATTCCAAACACACAAAATGACTAACAGGTCTCCCAAGATACCATCCATTTCCGTGCCCTGTGCCTGAGTCCTTGCAGTTTTTCCTTCCTGAAACGCCTCCTCCCCACTAACTCACTTAGCCTTCATGAAACTTCAGATGTCACCTCTTTTGTGCTTCTAGAACACATATTCCTAATCACTGTAAAGACTTTATCACATTTTACAAGTTTTCTTGCCGTTCTTTCCCCAACACACCAAAACTAGGGCAGAGATCATGACTTATTAATTTGGTATACCCAGTGGTGACCTGAATATATATAGCACAAACTCAATGTTCAAAGCCAAGATAATTATTGGAGAAAAAAAAAAAAAAAAAAGAAGGAAAGGAGGAAGATGGAGAGGCTTAGAAGAAAAGTTGGAATAATTCTCCTTTAAGAGGCAGATCAAAGAGGAAGAAATGAGGGAGACTAAAGAAACAAAACAGGTACTTGTATTTTAAAAGGATGGTATCTCCTAATATCAAATGTAGAGTTTTCTTCCATCACCACTCTCAAACTGGCTAGACCTTTATCATTTCATTCTTTAATATAGTAAAATTCATCTTCTGTAACATTTGAAAGATTTTCTTTTATAAAAATCAGAAAACTTTTATCAAATCTACTAGGAATTGGCACTGTGCCTTAAAAACACTCTGCAGTACCTGGGAGAGTTGCTGACTAATAATTTAATAGTTTTTCCCTAATGCCTCCCATACTAAAGAGTCATAAAACATAAGCCCATCATTATTTCACATCTTTTTAAGATTCCTAAATTTGCCTCACATTATTTCTTAGTACACATTGATGTAAATTCTTACGGCAACCTAAATAATTATCTTCAATAATATGTCCTGTTGGTCAAACAAGATCCTTCTCCCCCAACCTTCCACGTATTCAAGACCTTTCCCCAAACCCAGCTGCATTTTTGCTCTTCAGCAGTTTTATAAAACTGGGTAGTTGAAATGTTATCCTGCATACAGACCACTGTCTTTACCACAGCCATTACTTGCCACAGTTGGCTATATAAGGAATAGTGCTTGTTCCGGACACTACAGCTAGCACGTGTCAGATTTATCTTGCTTCAGTATTTTACTTTTGATGGAAATTATAATAACTTGGTTGTTACTCTAAACTCTTTCCTTCCTAAGGTCACTAAGTACCAAAAACAGGTTAATGCATGTGGTTGGGGGTTTTTTGTTGTTTCTTTAACAGTTTACATACTACTATAAAATTTTGTTTTACTCCTTAGAGAAAATGTAACATTTTTCCAATATAGGAGACGCTCTCTTCTTCTAAGATTAAAAATCATAATAAATTATGCCATTCTTCACCTGACAATACATCCCCAAGACCACTTACCCTTAATGCTTGCCAAAAAAAGACTGACAGTAGAGTGTTATTTTTTATGATTTTATGGAATAGATTTGCCTTAAAATCAGACGCCATATAGTAAAAATAAAAATAGTATCTGTCGAGCACTTAGTAGGTGCCAGGCAATGAAATCCTGGGCCTCAGAGAGGTCAAGAGGCATCCCCATGGCTGTGCAATTAAAATGTGTGGCAGAAAAAGAACTCAAATCTAGGATCTGGCTTCAAGGACCAGGTCTTTAACCACTGCTTTATAACCTGCAAGATCTGAATTTCTATAACACCTTATGATTTAAAACAAAACTTTAATACATTATGATCCCCAAAACACCAGTGATGTCAGAGCAGACATTTGTAATTAATAAGTGATGAAGTCAAATTTGCTAATTTCAAGGACCATTTTTATGAATTTTCACCATGGATTCCAGGAACTTCATGAATGTATTTCAAAAGACATTATCATAGAAACTGAAAAAAAATAGTATTGAAATGGAATTATTTATTAGAGTCCTCACAAGTGACTCACTTAGCACTGTATTTCTGATTCAGTTAAGAGTATATATATTTTGGCAGCAATCATTGCTAAGAACTCTCTGAGCTGGTACAAAGCGTCCAGTTGAGCTGATGAGTTTTCCACCTACGAAGAGCATCTCCTGGGATTCAATATCTCACTTGTTGGCTCCAGCCATAGGCCATGTCTTCCCCTAAATCCTGTAATCCAACACTTGCCTCCCCTCTTCCTTCAAGGTCTAATTCCCTAAATATCTAGAGAGAAAAGGAAACCCCCTCATCCATTTCACTTGCAGGGAACACTTTATGTCAGACAAGGGGACAAAAAGTTCATAAAGCTTATTCTAAAGAGGGTCACATGTTAGAGGACAAAAGTAGTTCAAGAAATACCACTGTGCACCTGCTCGCATTTCTGCACATAGTAGGTGTGCGATAAGAGTTGGTTGATGAAAATTGGGCCCAGATATCTTCCTTAGGCCTATCATACTCCTTCTAGCTCTTTCTTGGTGTCTCAAGTGGCTAGGTAAAATTTTTATTTTTTAAAGAATCAAGAGGGAAGATTCTGGGCTACAATTCCTAATGATGAAAATTAATTTAAAAGGCACAGGGGCTGACACAAAGACAATATATTAACACAATGCAAAATTCCCCCAGGGAGAAATCTCCAGGAGGTTTGGCAAGATCTCTAGTTTAAGATTTCTCCTGGGGGCTGCAGGATGGACTCAATCCTGGCTTTCAGCTACATGCCTTATTTGCTGGTGACTGGACAATGACAGACCCGGAGACACCTCGGGCTACCCCAGGTCCTACTGAAAAGCACACTTTCCTTTTTTTTTGTTTTGGTTTTTTTTTTTTTTTTTTTTTGAGACGGAGTCTCGCTGTCGCCCAGGCTGGAGTGCAGTGGCCCGATCTCGGCTCACTGCAGGCTCCGCCCCCCGGGGTTCACGCCATTCTCCTGCCTCAGCATCCCGCGTAGCTGGGACTACAGGCGCCCGCCACCTCGCCCGGCTAACTTTTTGTATTTTTAGTAGAGACGGGGTTTCACTGTGTTAGCCAGGATGGTCTCGATCTCCTGACCCCGTGCGCCCGCCTCGGCCTCCCAAAGTGCTGGGATTACAGGTATGAGCCACCGCGCCCGGCCGCACACTTTCCTTTTCAAACCATGCCAGGAGATATGAGAGTTCTCCAAGGGTCCTGTGTCTGCAGCGACCACCAGAAATTTGTAGATGTTTCTGTCGGGGCTTTACTGTCTATAGTTACAAGACAGCTAACTGAGCCATGACCACTTATTTCACAGTGAAGTGGATGCCTTTGAGGGAACTTCCTTTAGAAATCGACAGGCCTCCATGTTCACTGTAGTTATGCAGTTTCATCTGCTGCTCAAGGAACACAATTTCAGAATGAGAGAGTTCATCTCAGTGCAGGAGAAAGGAGCAGAAACGGAAGCTGCAATTTTTAATAATAATTTTCTCCTTTCTTCCATCAAAGACGCCTAACTGCTTATCAGAGCTTCTGATCAGCATGAGATACCATTACAGAATTATCAACTGAGTGGATATAATTCTATTATGGAGGAGTTATTTGACAGATGAGTGAGTTCATGTCACCTTATCATGAATAAATATTAGATTTTTGTTAGACTTTTTAAATAATTGGAACATCTCAGAGATTCTTTACTATATTCTCAAACTTCAAGGAGCCCAGGAATGCCAAGCTGCCTCCATCAGCACAGTTAAAACAAGGCCTTCTACATTTAAAATTGCTGGTAAGCTTTCTGAATATGAAAGAAATGCCTTTTGTGTGGAGAGCCAAAAGCAAGTATAATCCAGATGTGAGCTGAAGCTATCATCTGCTTTATGATTTTCTCTAGCCTCTATCTCATGTCTAGGGGAAAGGCAATCCCTTCAGGCAGAATTTTGCCGAATTTGCCAATTTTGCCTGTATTCTGTTACCTCTAATTCTGATTTCCTCTCCTGCTAAATTCATTGTTACCTGTGTTTGACCCAAAATATTTATTCTCTCCTCTCTGCTCAGCACAATCTCAGATATTATAACACTTTTTCTCTGATTCATCAAACACCATTTGATCAAGAAATTTGTGTATATGACAGATACTGCCGAAGGTATGTGTGGAGCAAGATGCCTGTGATGACAGCTCCTGACAAGAAACACCAAAAAACTGAGTATGGACAATCCTTTCATCATCCCTCTCCTAGGTTTCCACTCTTGAGTTCTCTACTGTCCACCACTTGGTATTGTTTTTCTGACTCTCTCTTTTTCTCTCCTGGGTTTACTCCCACCTTCAAATAACCACTTATTTCTGATGCTGAGCAGTCCAGCCATCAGTATCCTTCAAAACCATACCCTGGAGTGCTCTTGCTTCCCAATATAAAGAGGTATCTCAAGGTGTTTGTTAAAAAACGCTCATCTATGTAGGAGAAAAAGCTTGCCACTCCCTTGGGGCAGAGCAGCGACCTTCAGGGTAACTTGTAAACAGCTCTATTTTCCACTCTGTTCTAAAAGAGTTTTGTCAATCAAACAAAATGCAGGTGTTAACAAAAAGTCAACTCAAAAGTGCAATATAATTCCTTGACAATCATACTATTGTAATATCTGTCTTGGTAAGTATAACCTAAGCCAACAGCTGAAATAATTTATTCATTTATAATAACATTATAAACCATGACTTAAAAAGAAAAAGCAATGTAATCTGGCTATTCACTTTTCCTTAAATTGCTACTTTTTTTAACCTTAAAACAGTGGTGCGTTTGTCATGCCTTTAATCAGATTTCCATAATATTTCTGTGAAATGCAAGATTTAAGCCAGAAGTAAACTACAGAAAACCAATTTATTTTATTATTTATCATTAACTAAATCATATTATACAATGGCTATAAAAGTAACAGCTTTCTTGAGCTTAATTCTACCAGCTGATGATATGTCTAAATATTATGGGGGGTCGAGGTTGCATACACATGTGTGGGTACGTGTGCACGTGCATGTGTACTGAATTCATGTGGTGGCACGTGAACATTTAGAGTGTTAGCCAAAAGTTATATTTTTACGGTTTCTTTATTTTACTAAAATCAAACGAAAAGATTATTTGGTTAAAGTTTTGCTTATCATACCTACTTGTATTATCTAATACAACATCCTCCAGTAGCAAAGATGTCATTAAAAGATGACATCTTTTAATTAAATATGATGCTCATATTGGACCTAAACAAAAGAGCATTCTAAAGCTATCTGTTTAGGATAAAAATTTGGTGAATAAAATCAACATTGTTGCAGAACTGCAATGTTTGCTCATACCACAAAAATTGTAATTTTCTTGAACAGCATGCATTTCAATTAATATTTATGAAGTCCTCAAATGTGCCTCTTAACTGAAGCAAATTTTGTATTCATAATGGTCTCCCACAAAGGCTTTGGCCAATAATAATATAATACTACATGTCTCAGAATTTACAAGCATTAAATTAAAATGTAACTATAGTTTATAACATGCCAACGAAGCACACCAACTAGACAAGCATAATCCAGAGGATTATATCAGTCTAGTATTTGGCTATTCAGGGATTTGACATCCAAAATTTGTGTGTGGGAGAAGCAACTTGAGAGCATATTTCATTCAGAACCATTGCAAAAAGTACAGGTAGAGTTCTTGTCACCTCACAACTTATCTTTATTATGTACATACCATGAAACCCACCAGATGCAGGGTCTAGTGTTTTAGATGCAGCAATAATTGCAACATAAGCAGAAACTTTAAAATGTAGATGAATCCAACGGTAATATATTAATATTAAATTGAGATATCTTACAAAATATTTTTTCGGAAGGTCCTTTGACAAATGTTTCATACAGCTAACTGCAGGATTCCATTATCACAAAGAAAAAACTATAGACTCTATATTCCTAATACATTCTTAATACATCCAGAATTCATCCATTTTTTGCCACTTCGCTGATAGGCTAAATCATCATCTTGGCTTGTGTCTCCTACTTCTACTGTTGTGCATTCCCCAAAGTCTATTATTAACACAGCAGCCAGAATCATCTTTTAAAAGTCAAGTCAGATCAGGTCACTCCTTTGATCAAAATCTGCAACTGGGCTGGATGCAGTGACTCACGCCTGTAATCCCAGCACTTTGGGAGGCAGAGGAGGGTGGATCACCTGAGGCCAGGAGTTCAAGACCAGCCTGACCAACACGGTGAAACTCCGTTTCTACTAAAACTACAAAAATTAGCCGGGCTTGGTGGCACACCCTTGTAGTCCCAGCTACTCAGGAGGCTGAGGCAGGAGACTCACTTGAAACTGGGAGGCAGAGGTTGTAGTGAGCCAAGATCGAGCCACTGCACTCCAGCCTGGGTGACAGAGTGAGACTCTGTCTCAAAAAAAAGTAAAAAATAAAAATAAAAAATAAAACATGCAACTGATTCCTTCTCACTGCTAATAAGAGCTGGACAAGGTCCAACATAGTCTACCTGGCCTCAATTCCTACTTCACTCTTCTTTGCTTACTCTGCTAGCATCCACAGCAGTCTCCTCCAGATCCTGACACTCGCTGGACAGGCTCCCACCTTGAGAATTTGCTGTACAATTTCCTCTGCCTGAAATGCTCTTTCCCCAGGTATCCTCTTGGCTAACTCCCTTACTTCTTTAAGATATATTTGATCAACCTCACCTTCTCAATGAAGGCCCCTTCACTATTTAATATAGCAACATGCCAAGCCCCAAGCCTCTTCCCCTCGCTGTACTCCTGATCCTATTTATCCCATTTCAGTTTTCCCACAGTATTTTATCGCCTTTTAAAAATTTATATATTATATATTATTTATCTTGAATGTTAGCTCCTTTTTAGTTCACTAATGTATCCCCACACACAAACTTTTTTTTCTTTTTTTTAAACAGAGTCTCACTCTGTCACCCAGACTGGAATGCAGTGGTATGATCTCAGTTTAGTGCAACTTCAGCCTCCCATAATCAGGCAATTCTCATGCCTCATTCTCCTGAGTAGCTGGGATTACAGGCATATGCCACCATGCCCAGCTAATTTTTGTATTTTTAGTAGAGATGGGAGTGTCACCATGATGGCTAGACTGGTCTCAAACTCCTGGCCTCAGGTAATCCACCTGCCTTGGCCTCCCAAAGTGCTGGGATTACAGGCATGAGATGCCTGCCGGCCCTAATGTATCCCATTTCTAAATACGCTGGGCACTCCATAAATATTCACTGAATGTTGAATGAATGAACATGTGATATGAATGCCACATGAGAAAGCTTCTCGTCACCAACACAGACAGTATAAAAGCTTCATGGAAAAGAGTTGTTTATATCACTAAGTATTCAAACTTAAGTAAATGATATAAGATGGCCCTCTATAAGTGCCAACAGACATCCTGAAATATCCTTCCGGAAACTAAGAATAATTTACTCTCTATGCATAATTTCTGATAGCCTTATAATTTTATAATTTACCATGGAAAAAACAGACACTAGGATCCCTTGGATACTGATATGGTTTGGCTGTGTGCCCACCCAAATCTCATCTTGAACTGTAGCTCTCATAATCCCAATGTGTTCCACTGGGAGGTAACTGAATCATGGGGCGGGTTTTTCCCGTGCTGTTCTCGTGACAGTTAATAAGTCTCAGGAGATCGTTTCATAAAGGGCAGTTCCCCTCAACAGTGGAGGACATGAGCAATAGGCTTAGGATGATGCATATGTGAGGCCCCAGTAGTCTGAAAATGTGCATAAGATGTATCTGACACATAGTTCAGCCTTTAAAAACAGTCCTGCTAAGTTACTAAAAGGATAATGTCTCAGGATTTGCCTAAAACTTTTGTCCTTACAGACATTCTTTCCTATATTTATTCTTTGCTCATTTTTAAGTAATATTTTCTGTTTCCCATAGAATAAGGCCAGGGTATTTGCCTGTCTTGCAAGACACAACCCATAAATTGCATCTAATTTTCCCAAGGAAGCAACCCAGAAGCCTGAATTAAACAACACCCAGAGCACAGATGAACCAGGCACTATCACACATTTTATCAATTCTAAACATTTTTCTCTGAGAATATTAAATCATTTTGATGCAACTCCCCCAGAATTATCTCAAATTACTTTTTCAACTAAAATTATTTACAAATATCTGCTAGATGTACATAGTACAAAAGTATGATAGTTACAATGGAAAATGCAAAAGTATTAGCAAGAACTATTTCTCTTCTTCTCTATGTATATTTTGTATTTTCCAACGTATTTAAACATAAAGTATATATTATTTTTATACTAGAAAAATAATAAAAACTTGTAAGATGTGATTATAGGGAGACAAATGGTTTTTGTATTGTAAGGAGTTCTAAGGTTCAAAACGTTGTCTCTTTTGTTCATTGCTATTGGTTTATGGTTGTTTTAATTAATGAGAGGAAACATTAAATTAGAGCCACTAATGAACTTGGAAAAAAACTATCTTTAAAAGAAACACAGCCCATAAACTAAAAAAAGAATTTAAAGTGTCCTGGATTTGCCATGAATCTTATAGTAAGTGACAAAGCTCAGTGGTAAAGGGTTCAATTCATCAAGAAGAGCTAACTATCCTAAATACATATGCACACAATACAGGAGCACCCAGATTCATAAAGCAAGTTCTTAGAGACCTACGAAAAGATTTAGACTCCCACACAATAATAGTGGGAGACTTTAACACCCTACTGACAATATTAGACAGGTAATCGAGACAGAAAATTAACAAACATATTCAGGACGTGAACTCAGCTCTGGATCAAGTGGACCTGAGAGATATCTACAGAACCCTTCAGCCAAAAACAACAGAATATACATTCTTTTTATCATCACATGACATTTACTCCAAAATTGATCACATAATGGGAAGTAAAACACTCCTCATCATATGCAAAAGAACTGAAATTATAACAGTCTCTCAGACCACAGCACAAACAAATTAGAACTCAAGATTGAGAAATTTTTCTCTCAAACCCATATAACTACATGGAAATTGAACAACCTGCTCCTGAATGACTCTTGGATAAATAATGAAATTAAGAAAGAAGTTCTTTGAAACTAATGAGAAAAAGAGAACAACATACCAGAATCTCTGGGATGCAGCTAAAGTACTGTAAAGAGGGAAATCTATATCACTAAATGCCCACAAGAA
This sequence comes from Homo sapiens, assembly GCF_000001405.40. Lineage (NCBI taxonomy): Eukaryota > Metazoa > Chordata > Mammalia > Primates > Hominidae > Homo > Homo sapiens. Next base: position 39,994,883 of record NC_000014.9, on the reverse strand, counting down.
AAAGCTAGAAAGATCTCAACTTAACAACCTAACACCTCAACAAAAGGAACTAGAGAAAAAAGAGCAAACAAACCCCAAAGCTAGCAGAAGACAAAAAATAACCAAAATCAGAGTCAAGCTGAAGGAAATAGAGACATGGAAAACCCTTCGAAAAATCAATGAATCCAGGAGCTGGTTTTTTGAAAACATGAATCAAATAGACCACTAGCTAGACTAACAAAGAAGAAGAGAGAGAAGAATCAAATAACACAATCAGAAATGATAAGGGGGATATCACTACTGACTCCACAGAAATACAAATGACCATCAGAGAATACAATAAACACCTCTATTAACATAAACTAGAAAAAAAAAATTTCCTAGACAAATACACCCTCCCAAGACTGAACCAGGAAGAAACTGAAGCCCTGAATAGACCAATAATGTGTTCTGAAATTGAGGCAGTAATAAATAGCCTGCTGCCAAAAATAAAAGCCCAGGACCAGACGGATTCACACCCAAATTCTACTGGAGTACAAAGAAGACTTTATACCACTTCTACTCAAACTATTCCAAAAAATTGAAGAGGTAGGACTCCTCCCTAACTTATTCTATAAGGCCAGAATCATCCTGATACCAAAACCTGGCAGAGATACAAAAAAAAAAAGAAAACTTCAGGCCAATATCCTTGATGAATATCAATGCAAAAATGCTCAATAAAATACTGGCAAACTGAATCTAGCAGCACGTCAAATAGCTTAAGCCATGAGCAAGTTGGCTTCATCCCCAAGAGGCAAGGCTGTTTCAATATACACAAATCAATAAATATGATCCACCACATAAACAGAACTAAAGACAAAAACCACTTGATCATCTCAATAGATGCAAATAAAAGGCCTTTGATAAAATTCAACATACTTTCATATTAAAAACTCTCAATAAACTAGATATTGAAGGAACATATCTCAAAATAATAAGAGCCATATATGACAAACCCACAGCCAATATCATACTGAAAGGGCAAAACTGGAAGCATTCCCCTGAAAACTGACATAAAACAAGGATGCCCTCTCTCACTGCTCTTACTCAACATTATATTAGAAGTTCTGGCCAGGGCAATTGGGCAAGAGAAAGAAATAACTGGTATTCATATAAGAAGAATGGAAGTCAAATTATCTTTGTTTGCAGATGACATGAACCTATATCTAGAAAACCCCATCATCTCAGACTAAAAGCTTTTTAAGCTTATAAGCAACATCAGCAAAGTCTCAGAATATAAAATCATTACGTGGAAATCACTAGCATTCCTATACACCAACAACAGGCAAACAGAGAGACAAATCATGAATGAACTGCCATTCACAATTGCTAAAAAAAAAGAATAAAATACCTAAGGAATACAACTAACAAGGGAAGTGAATGACCTCTTCAAGGAGAACTACAAACCATTGCTCAGAGAAATCAGAGGATACAAACAAATGGAGAAACATTCCATGCTCATGGATAGGCCAAATCAATGTTGTGAACATGGCCATACTGCCCAAAGTAATTTACAGATTCAATGCTATTCCATTAAACTACCATTGACATTCTTCACAGAATTAGAAAAAAATACTTTAAAATACATATGGAACCAAAAAAAAAAAAAAAAAAGGCTGACTAGCCAAGGTAATCCTAAGCAAAAAGAACAAAGCTGGAGGCATCATGCTACCCAACTTCAAACTATACAACAAGGCCACAGTAACCAAAACAGCATGGTACTAGTATAAGAACAGACACATAGACCAATGGAACAGAACAGAGAACCCAGAAATAAGACCACGTATCTACAGCCATCTGATCTTTGACAAACCTGACAAATACAAGCAATGGGGACAGGATTCCCTATTTAATAAATGGTGCTAGAAGAACTGGCAAGTCATGTACAGAAAATTAAAACTGGAATCCTTCCTTACACCATTTACAAAAATTAACTCAAGATAGATTAAAGACTTAAATGTAAAGCCCAAAACTATAAAAACTCTAGAACAAAATCTAGGCAATATCATTCAGGACATAGATATGTGCAAAGACTTCATGACGAAAATGCCAAAAGCAATTGCAACAAAAGCAAAAATTGACAAATGGGATCTAATTAAACTATAAAGCTTCTGCACAGCAAGGAAATAATCACCAGAGTGAACAGTCAACCTACAGAATAGGAGAAAATTTTTTCAATCTATCCATCTGACGAAGGTCTAATATGCAGAATCCATATGGAACTTAAACAAACTTACAAGAAAAAAACAAACAACCCCATTAAAAAGTAGGCAAAGGACATGGACAGACACTTCTCAAAAGACAACATACATGCAGCCAATAAACATATTTTATAAAGCTCAACATCACCGATCATTAGAGAAATGCAAATCGAAACTACAATGAGATACCATCTCATGCCAGTCAGAATGTCAATTATTAGAAAGTCAAGAAACAGATGCTGGTGAGAACGTAGAGAAAAAGGAATGCTTTTACACTGTTGGTGAGAATGTAAATTAGTTCAACTGTTGTGGAAGACAGTGTGGTAATTCCTCAAAGACCTGGAGACAGAAATACCATTTGACCGAGCAATCCTATTGCTGAGTATATATCCAAAGGAATATAAATCGTTCTTTTAAAAAGATGCATGCACATGTATGTTTATTGCAGTACTATTTACAATAGCAAAGTCATGGAATCAACCTAAATGCCCATCAATGATAGAATGGATAAAGAAAATGTGGTACATATACACCATGAAATACTATGCGGCCATAAAAAGGAATGAGATTATGTCCTTTGCAGGGACATGGATGGAGCTGGAAGCTGCTATCCTCAGCAAATAAATGCAGGAACAGACAACCAACACCACATGTTCTCACTTATAAGTGGGAGCTGATTGATGAGAACACATGGACACGTAGGGGGAAACAACACACACTGGCCACCTGTGGGGTGGCAGGGAGACTATAGGGAAGAATAAAATGGATGCTGGGCTTAATACCTGGGTGATGGGACAATCTGTGCAATAAATCACCATAGCACACGTTTACCTGTGTAACAAATCTGCACATCCTGCACATGTACCCCAGAATGTAAAATAAAAGTTGAAAGAAAATTACGTATTCACCACTGCTCGTTCTTATATTAAACAGCATAGTACAAATGCTCAAAAAGTTATCTAAACTAGTTATTGGGAGGTGGCTGAAGTCAGAGCACTGAAGTAGACTGGAATATGCTGGCAGTGAGTCTTCTTACATTAGACTCTCCTAGCTCATAGAATTTAAAAAAATATGCATTGTGTATTTTAAATAGAAAAATATATATGTCACATTTTACTCTTGATCATTTTTACTTTTAATTAATGTTTTAAAGAATTTTAACTTTTCTACACAATAAAAAGCATTTCAAAACTTAAGGAAAAAGAGAGACAAAGCTTAAGCAGGATATGCATAGCATAAGCTCTAAAAGACATAAAAATGAGCATCCATAACAGTCCCCTCACTGCAGGTACACTGTGCTGGGTTTGCAGGACGTATTTTAACTTAAAGGGCACTGAGTTAATCCCTTGTGCTCAGAGACCTTCAAGGGCTGGCAGGTGGAATTTCTCATGTACAAAAACACTGTAACACAAGAGTGTACTTCTACAATGAGAAGTATCAGCTTTCAGAGTCTACATTACCTCTGCTTCCTTCACCATGAATAATCATTAATGATCCATGGAACTCTCAGTAGGATTGCAGGTGTGCCTCTTTGTGCTAGTCAGAATGTCATATAATCAAAGAGCTGGAAAGGATCTTCAGGACTCGCTAATGCAGTGCTTCCTTCTGGAAAATGAGACCCAGGAAGAATAAGTACTTTTTTCCTAAAATGTTCTATACAAAAAAAAAAATCATCAATGTATTAAGATAGTTTGCCTCTTAATTCCATAGCCTATGCTTTTATTATTGTAAAAGATTAATAAACTCCACACAAATAAATATATAATTTTCTCAAAGACAAGTCAACTTTAACATAACAACACTAACTCCAAAACTAACATATATACTTGAAAACTAAGATTGTGGAAGTGAAGACCTACATTATTGACTCAAATTTAAGAAAAATCTCCTATCCTTATACCAATGAAAATCCACCCCCCACCACCAAATAATCATCTTCCTTATTCTGGATTCAAATTTTAGCTTACAGATAAGAAGCATTTGTCCACACAGTACCAAACTCCATTTAATGTACCAAATAAGAATGTCACAGATTGGCCAGCTTTGAAATCACCAATTAATGAAGTGCTGTGAGAAGAGAAAATTAACATTTTTCTCAACTTGTTTTTGCCAATAATCAAAGCTACAATTGGGATAGTTAGTAACTCCATATTACCCTTTCTAGCACAAAAACAGACACGAAGTATAACAAGTTAGCACTTGGTTCTAATAAAGCATGTTTTCACTGAACCACAAAGTGAAGGATGGAAGGCATATAAGCTTCGCAAAACAGAGACCTGGGATCTAGCACTTGCTAGATGTGAGATTCTATGTTAGGTAATCTCTAACATAACATTTCCCTATCTATAAAATGACAAGGATAATGTCTTAAATGAGATGGTGTTACCAAAGTTGTTGGCCCAAAGAAGGTACTTAATATAGGTAGATATATATTCTTCATATGTACTCCAAAGGGTAAGGCCACTTTATCTCAGTTTGAAAAGAAAAACTGCATTTGTTTTATACATTTTTATAAGCAGTTTTATTGAGATATAATCCATATACCATAAAATTCACCCTTTTAAAGTGTACACTTCCATGGGTTTTAGTATATTTACAGAATTATAAATCATTAATGAAATCTAACTTTAAAATATCTTCATTACCCTAAAAAGAAATTCTGCGCCCACTAATAGTTACTCTCATTCCCTTCTCCTACTTGCTAAGCCTAGGCATTCACTGATCTTCTTTCTGGATGTACAGAGTTGCCTTTTCTTAGCATTACAATATCAATGGAATTATACATGTTTTCTTACTGGCTTCTTTCACATCATGTTTTCAAGGTTTATCCAAGCTACAGAATGTCAGTATTTTATTTCTTCATATTGCTGAATAATATTCCACTGTATTGATATGTTACATTCTAGTTTTCATCAGTTGATGGATATTTGAGTTTATACTTTGAAGTATTATGAATAATGCTGCTATGAACATCAGTGTACAGGGTTTTATACTGGCATGTTTTTATTTTTCTTGGTGTTATATATAAGAGTAGAATTGCAGAATGCATGTACAGTAATTCAGTAGTTAATATTTGGCTATGCACCAATGAATGAAATTTCTGAATCTAATTATGATAACTCTGTTTACCCACTTGGAAGTACAGTCAAACTGTCATAGTTCATTCATTTGAAATTGTTTCTATAAACAAATATTTTCACTGTAGTGCCATTAATTTAAACACAGCAGCTACATAGGCTCTTTGAATCAGCCAGATCTAGATTACAATCCTGGGTCTGTCACTGATTTGCTTCGTGAATATTAAGTTTCTTAAATTCTTTCAGCCTCAGTTTACTTATTCTTAACACCTACCTACGAGAGCCACTGTGAGCATTAAATATAACCATACATATAAAAGAACCAGCAATGAATAGATTTCGATAAATATTTCCTTTCCCTCTTCCCTTCCTTTCTAAAATCTACATTTACTTAAAGAATGCCTGAGCTGTGGTGTTTGGTTTCTTAGTGTAACAATGCCATCTGCTGGAAATGCCAAAATGGTACTTAAGAGGAAATGGATCACACAGAAACATTAAAGGTGAAGTTCTACTATTCCTGAAATCAAAGCAACATTTTTCTCACTCTATTTATATTTAAAGGTGCCTCACTCTCTACATATATACATGACAATTTTCTTAAAATCATTCATGATTATATTAAGTCCTTCAGTATATCAAAGGGGTAAATTACTAGTAGAAACAACTTGCCATGAGTTAAAGTTGTTTTCTTAATAATAAATTTTCCTAAGAACTATAGTTTGCTTTCAAATGTTTGTTATAGATCTATGAATTTAGCTATGAACTTAGATTTTTTAATCATCTGGGAGCCTTGTTACTAACAAAAAAATTATTTAAAACTCTTAGATCACAATACTTTTATTTCACAAGAAGTGACCCAAAGGATGACAAGTCAACTATTTTTCCTAGAAGTAAAGAGAACATGTACTTTTATGGAGTAAAACTGTCTTTGAAAATTTTCTAATTGTGTAAAAATAGATGATTGATTAGATGGACTAAAACATAGCACATACTTATTATGGAATACTAGTCATTAAAGATCAAGTCCTCAAAAATGTGTAATAATATATAAAAATCATGATTTGTTATATATGTGGATTAAATAATTATATTATAAAACAATGTGTATACTTGATCAAAATTTTGTTCAGATAAGTAAATAGAAAAATTATAAATAGGTTGGTAGCCCCAAATGGTCACCAAAATGTTGATGATGGTTTTTATATATTAACTGTGAAATTAATGTATTTTTTTCTTTATGTATCTAGAACAGAATTCTTGAATTTCCTGCGATAACTGGCATTGTATCACAATAACTTTTTTCTTGCTTATTGGGACATATTCATATGAGTCCTAATCATTTTCCTTAATATCTTTACAAGCTATATTTGGTAAAATTTTAAGTTATTTCCCTTTAAAATATCCTTCCCAGTTCTTGCAGATTGCTTGGGTGAAAATTAATAATTCTTCGTATAGTCTTCTTTCATTAACAGTAACCCAAGATGTGACCTGACATATAACTAAAGAAAAAAATCCCTAAGTACTCAAAGTTACTGTGGAGGTTTTATCATCAAGAGATGCTGTCCTTCCAGGAGTTCTGTAGTGTTCAATGCTGCAACGACTCTTGATTTTTATGCACTTTAAAGACTGAGGAGAAGTCTAAACACAGTCGGAAAGACAAAGAAACTTTAAATGTGCTCAGCATAATGACATAAACATTTTCCCCTATTTGTCAAAGGGTAGTTCTGCAGGATTACAACCACAGTAAAGAAAATGTTTGTATTTGAAACATGGATTTTGGTTTTGCCATTTGTGTATGTGTAAGTAATCCACTGGACACCAAAAAAAGAACGGAGAAGGATATGGATACCTCACTAAATAGCATCCTCCAAGGGACTAGATTTAGAGGGCTAAAGCCCAGCCTCACAGTCTGTTGGGAGATGTCCATGTCCCATCATAGGAGCAAGGAACGCATCCTATGGCAAGACAGTCATGTGAGGGGGTGGGATTTGCTACAGGGGCATGGAGACCTCCATGCAGAGTTTTGAAAAACAAAGCAGAAGAGACGGTCCTGAAAGCAGAAGAATCTGAGGTACATCCACGAAATCTGAAATAAATTTAACCCTTTTATTCTCTTTCCATGGCTCACGAGTACCATGATATTTCAACATTTCATTAAATATTTATTTTCGTGTCTCCTACACAGTAATCTCTACTAGATCAACTCCCTCAGTAAAACCTGTAATAGCCATATAGACTTGGAAAACAGTCAATTAGAATTAGCAATGATAAAACAGAACTGAGGCTTTCCCACATTCATTTCTTTAAGACCCAAATGTGGTAACAGCAAAATGAGAGGAATGGAATTCTGAGAAGTATCCAGCACAAATCCATATTTTTTTGCCTAGGTCAGATCAAAGTACAGCAGGGAAAGGCAAAGCACAGAACTGACTTAGAATTGGACATGATAGAAACAAGGTTTTTTGCTGACTATCCTATTGAGAATCTTTGAAATGGGTAGAGCAGGAGGGAGGGATGCTGAAATCAGGATTACCTATACACATTTGGTGGCTAAGTGATCAGTTGAAATTCAGAAACATTGAATTTCTACACGTAGTGAAAAGCACTGTGTTTGTAAATGAGAGAAAATTCCTAACCAAGTTGAAAAATAGGTCAAATAGATCCTTTGATATAAATCACCCAGATTATATCAAAGTCACATAGTTGTTCCTGGAGAGACCGGAGGGGCCTAATTTTAACTTGGGCAACTATAATTTTTGGCTTAGTTTTATTATTATTTTATGGTAATTAATAATTCATGATGATCACACTTATTTAGGTGCTTTTCACAATTATCTCATTAAAACATAACAAAGAAATCAATTTTTGTTTCCACTTGACAGAAGGAAACAGAAATCAGAGAGATTAAGTAACAATTGCAAAGCTTGCAAATGACAGGAGTTCTAAAGCAGGTCTGCATGAATCCAGACTTCCAAAAAGAGATTAAACTTTTGTTATTTGTTTTTACTAAGAGATCATTGGAATACATTTTGGATATGAGAGGAAAATAGGTAAATTGAGTTTGAATTTTTTTAATGTATAATTGGGCAATGGGAAAGAAGGCATGAAATAAAATGTCCTTTCCTGTTTAATGTCTGATGTACATACTATGTTTACTTCCTGAGGAAATATATATGTGTAAATAGGCATCACAGAGAGTGCCAAAATGTAAACCAGCCTACAAATTTCTCAGGAGCCAATCAAAAACACTATTAGGTACTGTATATATGAGTACTTATTTATTTAGGTAGATACACATTAACAATTTAACTGCAAGCAGACATCAAACATAATGAATTGCTAAATAGATGTTATAAACAAAAAGTTAATCACAAGTCCAAAGGAAAGGACATTAACATATTCTGGGTCAGATAAGAAAACTCAGACCTGGAAGAAATTAAATGGAAAGGGCTTGAGGGAGCACGAAAGATGAGAATTTACAGATGAGAATATTATTACCTTGAGCGAAGAAACTAGGTAAAGAAAGCTGTACTAAAATGACAGGCCAGCTAGTAAACTGTCCTGGGGTCAGTCTACAAAAGACACTAAATTATAACACAATAAATCATCACTGTGATGCTAGAAACTCAGGTCATTCAATAACATATAGATTTGTCCTATTCCCGCTAAAGAAAAAAATATCTGGCTAGAGTGAAAATTGAAATAAACAAAAAGAATGTTTGTTGTTGCAGACTCCACCACCAATAGTATTGAGCAAATACTTTAAGAATATTGGTTTTATGGGGTACTATTTATTAACCAGCCCTGGGAAGCTTAGTAATCAGCCTATCTGAGGAAATTAAATGCCTCCATTCAGCCTATCCTAGGAGAGTGCATGAAAAGATACGTCTGGAATAGAGAAACTACTTAGAGTTTGGAACCAATTTGTACAGGTCCTTAAATAACAGTATCTTTAAACCAACATCCCTTACCTGTGCCTATTGCCCCAGATGAGAATGTCATTACCTTGAGTGAAGAAATTAGGATAAGTTCCTAGCATTTTCCAAAGCGTTGTCTACAGGTGTTTCAATTTCATCTTCTCATGTTAACTCCTCAGCCCAATCCATTCTGGCCTCCGACCCTTACACAACATGGAATTATTCCTCTTAAGGTCACACATGGCTTCCTTGTTGCCAAATTAATGGACCCGCCTTTCTGACCTCATTCTGTTTTAAGTGACATTTGACAGAATTAGCAGTTCCTTTCCTTGAGAAACACCACATCCTCAGCTTTGGGAAAGCCAGACGGTTTTTCCTCCTGCCACTTTGGCCACTGCTCTTCAATCTTCCTTACTAGCTCCTCTGCCCATCCCCAATATCTACATGGCAGAGTTCCTCAAGATCTTGCACAAATCTTATTCTCTCCCTCTACACACCCAATCTGCTGGTCTCACCTTTCCCATGGCTTACATATGGTCCATATGATACCATCTCCCTAATTTACATCTCTAGCTTAGACCTGTCCTTCAAGTTCTAGTCTTTGTAATCTAATATCTTATTTGGTATATTCACTTGGATGTCTCACAAGAGGCCAGACTTACAGATGAGAATATTATTACTTTGCAGATGAGAATATTATTAAAAGAAGTCTGATATTGACTTCTTGATTTTACTTCAAAATATGTTTCTCATCTACTTCTCTCTCAATGAATGGTAAGCTAAGAACCTGAGGAAAAAAAACCTTTACTCTTCCCTCTCCCTTACCTCCCAAATCAGTCTATCTGTAATTCCTGTTAATTCTATTTCAAAATCATATCTTGTTTATTGCTCCCCATCTCCATGGCCACCACTGTAGTCCAGAACAGCACTGTTTTTCTCACAGAATGTCTCCTAATCAGTTTCTTGCTCCTTCTGTTGCCCTCTGCTAATTCATTATACCCAAAGCAGCAGAGTAAACTTTCAAAAATTAAAAATGTAAACCAAATCTTGTTAACATCTGCTTAATACCCTGCAGGGTTTCCCATTATAATTGGAATGAAATCTAAAGGCTTTACATGCCTTAGCCTCTCATTATGTCTCCTCTTGGACCTCTCTCCTGCCGTTTGCCACACACCAGCTGCACTGGCCTTCTTTCAATTCCTATAACAGGCCAAGTTCTATGTCTGGGAGGCTTTTCTCAAGGGTATTCATATGGTTGGCTGTTTCTCATCCTTTGGGGTCTTGGCTTTAAACTTCCGCAGCTCAGAAAGAGCCTCTTCACCACTCACCTGAGTAGAGTCCTTTCCCCACATTGCCACTGCTCTATTCCATGACAGCATGATTTCTTTGTTTCATAGTACTTTGCAATGGCAAATGGCATCTTCATATTAAGAACTTCTAGTTTTTCTTTTTCTAATCCCTTATTTCTTGGAAGTTATTATTTCCTTTTATCTCTGTAAGGATCCTAACCATTTACGTTGCATTTTATGTGTTGCTTTTTCTGAGGCCTTCTCTTATTTTTTAGTTCCTTTTCATCTCCAAGTTCGTCTTCACTCCCTGCCCCATTCCCAGACAACCATTCTAATGTTTTAGATACATAATCCTTCAACTGTCTATGTCTTCTTAAATATGGAGAGCTATTTCCTAGACAGATATGCATAATTTACATACATTTTATTGGCTTGTAGACTTCATTGTATTTCTGCTATTTTTGTTCAGGTACATATTTTTTAAGTCTATGCTGGTCTATGTCCATTAGCCATTGTTTCCAAGTGCTACATACTATTCCATTATGTTCAATCTATTTGCTGCTTCAAGCCTCCCACTACCACTACCAAGCCTGCAACAATTTTTTTCACATATTCTTATGAAAATGCTTGTATGGAAAAAAAAAAAAGCCCAGGAGTCAATATGTTACAGGAAATATTGGTGTATAATTCGATAAGTACTCCAGAATTGCCCTCCAAAATGGCTGCTCCAATCTACATTTCCACAAGGGTTCCAGCAGTTTCATGTCCTGACTGACATTTTGGATCTATCCTATTTTCTAATTTTTGCTGATAAGTATAAAGTGATATCTGACAACTTTATTTGCATTTTTCCAATTCCATAAGTTTAAGCATCTCTTCCTACATGTGTTAGCTAATGAAATTTTATTTCTATTCCCAATCCCTATTTTTCTATTGAATTTTATAAACAGATACTGAATTTTATCAGATTCTTTATCTGTACCTATTGAAACCACCATTTTATTATTAATATTATTATACTTTAAGTTTTAGGGTACATGTGCACAACGTGCAGGTTTGTTACATATGGAGACAACCATTTTTTAACCTTTATTTCGTTAAGTGATAAGTTACTTTGATATACTCTTTATATACTGGGAAAAACTGTACTTGCTCTTAATATTTTATGTGTAATACTCTGTTGAATTTCGTTAGATATTATCTGATTTAGGAATTAACATTTTATTTAGGAAATAGGCTTATATTTTTATTTTCTGGAACTATCTTGATATGATTTTTAGCATCAGGGTAGGAATCACCTCATAAAACAAGATTATTTAGAAATATTTATTTTAAAGAATTTTAGTATATTTTTCTTTGGCTCAAAATTTTCTTTTTCCAGGCTATAATATATATAGCCTGGAAGGTACATATATTGTACCTTTTGGCATTGATCTTCATTGCTAATTTAACGGTTTCTGGTTATGAGTTCATTTTCCACAGCAGAATTCTCCTGAGTGTGCCCTGGGCTCTGCTGTCTCACCACATGACATGGACGTATTGGTTCCCATGTAACAGATTTCAGAGACGTCATCCTTAGATTACTGTTAATCCCCTAACCTGCTTTACATGGGCTGCTTCACAGTCTTCAATCCAAGGGGAATTCATTTCCTCATTTTGAAGATGGCTGTGCATTAGTTAACTTTCTAAGAATATAGCTACCAGCATTTCTCTCAGTATAAGATGAGTTTGGAACAAGTACCGATACCAATATTGCATAATTGGTCTATTAATTGGAGCCTTTTTGGTTAGCTCATTTATGTGCACATTGTCCCTCTGTCCCTCATCTACTAAATTATTAGCCCTGTGCAGGCAGAAATTATGTATATTTTACAATAACTAGAACAATGACCGCCCCTGCTACTAAAACATATTTCTGGGTGTATAAAGCAGGTAGCCCAGTGTCTCTCAGCCCAGTAGGAATTTCAAAGAATGTTACTCCCTTTTTCCTCTCCTCTCCCTGATATTTAGTATAATTACTGCAGTGGTGCATAAGAATATATTAGAGGTATAAGAAATGAAAACAGGGACACGGAGGTTAAAAACTGCTCTCAAACAGAAAGATGGCAATGCAAATGCATAAAAGCTTCTTATTGATTTTTTAATAAGGGAAAAATTTTAAACTTACGAAAGAAGAACGGCTGCCTCTCAATGGAAAGGGAGAATAGAGCCCCAAAAACTAATACAGGATGATTAGCTTCAAAAAAGAAAACATAGGATAGGAAGTGTTATCTATATTGAATTAGATCTACTAAGAGGATACCCAAGATTGGAAGTTGTTGAGCAGACTTTGAATATGTAGATAAAGTGTTATAAATATACACACAAATTATGGCATTATCTGCACATTGCACATAATTGAAATCATGAAGGTAGAAATATTTTTCTGACAAAAAAATATGTATATGTAGACTAAACTAGATGGCTGACAACAGTGTCCTATAAATGTTCACATGGAGGAGGCAAGAGTAGAAGGAGAATTAAAAGGATACACATCACCAAAAAAATGATCATCATACAGGTCAAAGAAGTGAGATCCTAGGTGTGGAGATCAACAGAGCCAAAATAAAAATATCTAATATTTATCAAACATTATAAATGTACCACACACTGTTCTCTGTTTTGGATGTGGCCAGTTATGGCTGCTCTAGAATGGCTTCAGTTGAAATAACTGGGTTCTCTCTGTATGTGGTATTTCATGCTCCTTCAGACTGGTCCAGACTTCTTCACAACCTGTTGAAGGGTTCTAGGAAAGAACAGAAGAGCTAGGTATTTTGAGATGTAAGATCCAAACAGGCACAACACCTCTCTTTCCCCTTCTATTGGCTAAAGAAAGTTAATAAGGCAGACCAAATGCAAGGATAGTGAAACAGTCTCTATCTCTTGATGGGAGGAGTTTGCAAGATCACAGTGTAGAGGACAAGATTAAAAGGAAGCCATTAGTTGTGGCTATCAATGCTACCAATCTACCTTAAAAGGTAAAAAGTAACTTGTAGGTCAAAAATATCTTACAATAAATGATTGAAGGATTAACATAAAGGAGATATCATATTTTGGGTCATTTTCTTCCAATTAGAACCTGTGGGTAGGAGTGGGAATTCACTCATTATTCAGTGCAGACTACCTGTGTGGGACTGAGCTAGATGCTGGAGACAGAAGGAAAAGACACCTCTCCTGCCCAACATCCAGGGCAGGATACAGACAAGTCAACAAAGGTTTATCATAGCAATATGGTACATGGTAAATGAGATCAAGAAAGGCTTTCAAGTGACATCTAAGAAAAGTCCTGTAACATGAGCAAGTAGTGAGGAGAAAGTCTGAAGAGGAAAAAACATGTAGAAAGAAGTTAACTATCTAGATTTTTTTTTGTTCTAATTCAATGACAAAGACATATCTGGGACACATTATCAGGATTAAATACTATCACTTCTTTCTTAGCCTTCTACCAGTCTCTGCCCCAATCTGTTATCCTCTTATCCTGGTAACCGCTGCACGGACCACAGTCTTTGTAACTCTTAACTGAGTATGTAGCAACTAGTTAACCTTCTAATCACTTCGTCTCACCTATATGCTTCCAGAATTCACCAGGGTGCTTATATCTCACTCTCCTGTGGCTATGCTTCTTCTTCAGTGTCTTAAACTTCGTAGAATTTTGTGTTTTATTGTTCATAATAACAAGCAACTCTCCAAATTACTCTGCTTTGAAAGCACTAATAGTCTAAATTCAAATTCTCACAACTATTTTGATGACCCCATCAAAAAGAAAAATCAAAAATTCAAGAAACTAACATCAAATTAATGCTAGAAAATGCTAGAAAGACCTCATAGGCTACAATTTATTTGGCAATTCTTTAAAGGAATGAATTCTGATAAAGAACCATAGCCAAAATGGTCTTTAATAACAATAAAATAAACTATGTAAGTACACGGCATGAAGATACTTATAGGTACCTCTAATAAGCACATTTTTTGTTGAAAAGTTGTATAATGAAACACAAACTCTCTGCTAATTTCATTAGGGATCTATTAAGCTAGCAGGACTCTAATACACAAATGGAGTAATTGTCTTCATCAACAGCAGGAGGACAATTTACCAGAAGAAGAAACCATTTAGATGGCACAATTAAGTTATATTTCTTCTCCTTTTCTTCCAGATAAATTAAAAAGATGAGCATTAATGTTATTTATGGTTTTCAGAGTTTTCTTCCATTTTCTCTTTTTGCCTAGTTTTACCATCACTTATTGTCGAGCTCCTTCTATGTGTCAGACACTCTCGATTACCTATTCAGCAGCCATTGCCTGTTTTTTCCTCCTGCATAAACACTGTTCCCAGCCCCAGCCCCAGAAGCAGAGCCTGATTAATCTAGCCAGTCACAGTAATTCCAGTCCCCCTTGGCATGAACATGTGATGTGATTTTTGGCCAATGAGACAGAACAGGAAAGCTACCAAAGTCTTTTGGTAGAAGTTTCTGCGGTCATAAAAAGAGGCAAGGAAAAGATGGTCCCACTTCTTCTGCTGGATGTTATTGTATCTCCACATGACTGACTTCAGGACTAGAACAACCATCTTGTAACCCATGAGGAAAGGAACCCACGATAATGAAAATGTCAGAGAGACAGGATATAAAGAATCAGATCACTGATGACTTCATTGTATCCTCTAATTAACTAACCTTGGAGCAGCCCTACCACACATGATAAAACAAATTTCTTACGATTAAACCTCTTTTTAGTTGGGGCTTTTCTGTTATATATAGTAGAAAACATTCTAACCAAATAATAGACCCTAAATACAAATTTCTTCATTGTGAACTCTTGTAGGACATAATTTGGAAAGAGCCAGTTGTACATCAAACCAATCAGTATTTAATAGAGAGAATCCAGCACTATGAAGGAGACCTCTGTAACTAAATTAACTATGATGAAACAATTCAGACAAACTAAAACCATCAAACAGAGATGAAAACTTGTCTTTAAAATACTGATATTACCATACTGACATGTTTCAACTTAAATGACAATGGAGACAAAATCATGATACAAAGTTGTAGTAAATTAATAATTGTGAGTCAATAAAATTATTTTCCTTTTAAAAATGGAAACAAATATTTCTCTATTTATATTGTATTTTAAAATGTATAGGTGCCTTATAAAAGTAAAACATTTTACTAGCCTCACATCAGAGGCAATATCCTCTAGTTGTCAGGCTAAGAAATCAGACAGATCTTTTTGGTTTTGTTTTTTGTTTTTTCATTAGAGTCAAGTTGTCAAAACAAAATTTTATTTTTTTAATGTAGAGAAGTGGGGTCTTACTGTGTTGCTGAGACTGGTCTTGAATTCCTGGCCTCAATCAATGCTCCTGCCTCAGACTCCCAAAGTGCTGGGATTACAGGTGTGAGTCACCATGGCTGAGAAATCAGTCAGATCTTGATTGAACCTGCAAACTATTTGGCTTTCTATGTCTAAGTTTCTTAATCTATAACATCAAGATTATACTAATTACCTCATAAGATTTATATAAGGGTAAGTTGAAATAATCCCTGTAATGTCCTAATATATATAAAGTGGTTGGTATTATAAGCTATCATTATTGTTCCCACTTTAATTGATATTAGTTTATAATTCCTTAAAGAGATGCTCCCCAGTGTCAATGGTAATGAACCCATTTCCCAACCTATAAAGTTTCTATTGATTACGGCAGGTGCTTGAACCCAATCCAGAATGAAATTCCAGAGATTCGCTGGAACAACATTGAGCAACAGAGACTACTATTTGAAATTCTTGCTTGTTTCCTTACTGTTTATGAACTAAAATGTTGCAACCATGGTTGTTACTATTTATAAGGTAATCATGAAATACTAGTCCTGTCTATGATGACAAAATATAGGATTCTGAGTTTCTTGCAGAAAATCCTGCAGAATAGGAGACAGCAAAACACCATGAGTAGTGATCTAAGTGAGAGTGAGCATTGCTAGCTAGCATTTGTTTTGGCCCTGCCATCCAACTATATGACCTTGGGTATGTCTCCTTACATCTCTGATTGTCCTGTAAAATAAAGAAATTGGGAGTCATCATTTTAATAGTCCTTTTCATCTCTCACATTTCATCACTATTATCACTATTACAGCTATAAGATAGCATGTGTTGACTATATTCTAAAAACTGTGCTAAGTGCTTTATGTGCAGGTGCCATTTAATTATCCCAATAGATTTAGTAGGCAGATATTCTTTTCCCCGTAAAAATTATGAAACTCAGACTGAGAGAGGTTAAATGATTTGCTCAGCATATCAGTCAGAATGTTTATAATTTCCTATTCTGTATTCCTTATTTCTAGTAGCCAAAAAATGACTACATATAGAACAAGTCTGAAATATATTATGATGTACCCCTGTTGTGGTACTTTGCTCTCAAAATTACAGATACTTGAGTTAAGTTGACCCATATTTTTAAAAACAAAAAAGAAAAATTTTTATTATGCCATGTTTGTCAAGCCATAAAAAGTGAAAAGATCAATTTTCTATGTTAAATATCCTTTTCAAAATCAACATATATCAGGTTTGCTTATCTAGAAATAGCTTTGTAATTTTTTTCATCATACTTTAAATGTACATCTGTCTTTCTATACAATATCACCATAAATTACGTATATTGTTCTTTATGGTAAACAACCAAAGAAATTTTTAAGATAAGTATATATATCATTTAATTTTCTGATATTTTTGCCCTTTCTTAAGTTTCTAGTTCACTTACCAGCTGGACATCCAATACATATATTATTTTATTTTGAGAAATGAGAGTCTGTTCTAGACACGACCCACTTGCCATTGTAATAGATAGAATTACTGATTATATATACCCTTCTCAACAGAAAAAGGATACACAATTGCCTCCTACGACTGTGATAGCAAGATGGCAGTTACAATTGGCACCTAGAGAAACAATTTGCCATCCACTAAACTAACAGAGAGACAAAGAGAGGAGGAGAGAGAGAGATTACAGGCACGACAGCCAAAGCAGTAGAGAGAATAAACAACCCTCAGTCCTTATTTTGAGCAGAAGAGAAAAAAGGCAATTTACACTTAGAAATACCATCTCAGGAGAAATCTATTGTTGAAGGATGACTCATATTATGTCTTTTACAAGTTCTTTTTGCTCACTCTACAGATGAAACAGGAAAAGGTGAATATAAAATCTAAAAGCAAAAGGGGCTTAGCCAACCCACAGGCACCAGGAAAATAAATTATGATGACTTCGCCAATGACAATTATAAATGACTTTATATACAGTGAAGTTTTAGAGAGCAAGACATAAAATTGATATTTCCTCTGGAAGTTATTTTTTTCCTAGAAAATCAGATTTATACCCATAGTCCCTTATCTTATGTTGGTGGGAAACACACAATATAGATGGTCTAATAATATGGGTACTGGGCTACCTGCTATTCCTACAAGCTATTTCAATGTACAGATTTTTAAGATACTTTACATCTTCACATTTCTTGCTAATATTTTTATGTTTAATATCAAATTTCACCAGTTTTATAATTCCTTCCTCTAAATTTCTTATCAGTACTTGAGAAGAATAAAGATGACTGACTTTTCTAATTTTATCAATAGAAATTCAGATACAAATGTGTGTACAAATAAAAATGTGTGATCTTAAAGAGACAGAGACAGAAACAGAGAGAGAATAAGAGTGATTCCTGCTGATTGACAGCTGTGGACCTGGGTGAACTAAGCTTATATGGATATTTTTATAAATACTGACAACGGCTGTGCTTATTCCTATTTTTGAAAAATATGAGGAAAAAAAACCACTTCTGCATCCCTTGAACACAAAACCCAGCCAAGACATGAACAGAATTAGTATTAGCATTGTGGAGCCTTGCAAAATTTAACCACATATGCGCTATCTCAGCAGTATAATCGATAAAGGATGCTGTCTGCACAATCTGCAGAAGCATGAATTGTGCTGCAAGAGAACAATATTTTGGAAGTTACAGCATTGTGATGTTTGTGGCAGGGCTGGTAGATTGAAAAGGTAGTAAAACCCATAAACAGATAGTAATGTTTCTTTTTTACAAAGAAATTCATATAATGAAAGAGATTGTGGTATAATACATCGAATTCCTAATACTCTAATGACCATCTGTATTATAAATTAAACAAGGATCTTTGACATATTTTTATCCTGCCTTTGCTTTAGTGTTGAAGGTGGGGAAAGAGGCTCAGAGTTCACTCTTCTTATTGAAAGTGAAGCTCCTTATGTAATCTAAGAAAAAGAAAACCAACAGCAAAGCAAATAGATTAAGATTAAAAAGCATTTCATTCCTAAGGTCATTATCCTATATTCTGATATCTCTTTCATTGGAAAGGTCTGGTGTCAAAATCTATAAAATATAATATTCAGCACCATATGGTTCTAGAAACACTTTCACAGTGGGTCTGTTTAAATAGTAACAAGAATCTCCACCAATATTCACAGAGTACCTATTGTGTACTGGGCCCTGTTTTGGGATCTTCACATGTATGTACCTCTCACTTAATCCTCACAATAACTCATTAAAGAGAGATCATTACTACTTTTTGAAAATAAGGAATTGGGACTCAAAGAAATTAAGCAACTTCCCTAACATTGCACAATTATTATATTACGGAGTTGGTATTCTCTTAATTTTTTCAGTTCCCAAACTCATCAACTAATGTACACATCAGGCTTATTTTTGACATAACCCCATCAGGGAAGAATGCCAATCTCAGGACTGCTTGAGTCAATCTGGGTTATGCATAGCATTTCCCAACATGGTCATTTACGTGGTTGCCCAAACAATGATCATACAGTATCATTAACATTTATAAACCAATGTGTTGACAGGAAAATCAGAGCAAGTTAATGGCGTCACAACACTGCCTATTCTTCCTTCATGTTGTCATATTTCTCAGCTTTTATGAATGATAAACAAAAGCAATAGCAATATGTGGCATTTTTTGTATTATGAAGTTGTTATCTAAGACATGAGCCATTATCCCTTTGAATGCATAAAGACTCATACAATCAATTCGTTCTATCTGGGCAAAATATTTTAACTCTAAACAACTATTAATGTATCTTTTAATTAGACTATAGCTGCACAACCTGTTTCTCTCTTTGTCTTGGCTGACTTGAAATTAAGAACTAAAATCCTTTTATCAACTATATCAGCTTCTTCATTTTAGAGTTTTCAGTATAATACTTTCCTCCTATGGATTATATGGTTGCAATGAACTGACAGGATGTTCATTCATCTTCACTAGGCTTCCCTTCTAGCCTATTGGTTAAAAAAATACTGGTGCTAGGATTATACGCCCCCAAAATTCTGATTTATTGATTTGGGTTGAATTCCAAGGGTTACAATTTTTAAATATGTCCAGATGAGTCTAATGTTCAGCTGTGGCCTAGAACTGTTAACAGAGCACTCTTGGATCAAGAGTTAAATAGAATGTGCTAGGATTGCTGAAGGAATCATTTCAACTAGGAAAAAACTGTCAGACTCTCACTGTGTTGTTAACCGTCTTGTCTCAGGGATTACTAAAATAAAGTATCCCATCAAATTCTAAGTACCAGTCTACACACTACCATTTTTTATATAAGGGAGCTAGAGTGCCTAAGGGAAGCCGTCTTTTCATGGAGCAGTACAGAATATAAACTACTCCTAATCCTCAATCAAGGATCCTTCGCCATGGAGGAAGAGGGCACATTCAACTCACCCCTTCAGTGAGGGGCAGAATAGAAGCACTTGCACAGTTTTCTGCAACTGTGTAGAATGTGATGGCATTTTTTACGATTTGCTAAGTTATTTGCTGAGTGCCAGGAGAGGGGGACCATGCAGGTGAAAGTAAGCAAAGCTGAGAGCAGGTGTTGCTAAGAGGTATGAGATTCTCTTCAATGAAGAGGAAGTTGTATGGATACCCAACAGTTCATGAAAACTCCAATAGCAAAAGGTTTCACCTTTGTGGGAAGAAAACTTACCACAGAACTGTGCACAGCAAAGCTGAGCAGAGCCCTCAAAAGATTAATAATTATACTGCAGCTAACAGTCAGAACACAAACCCCAGTCACTCAGGGAACCAATGACCAGTTTCACATCAAGTTCATAAGTAACCAACAGGCAGTGAATAGCACCTCTCACCCACTGGCCACACATACGTAAATATCTCCAGGAACCCACTCCAGCACACACACACCATGCTGCATCATCAGGCTAGGGCAGGTTTGGGAAAGCAAATCCAGGAGGAACAGGAAGTCTGAATCTTGCAGATCTCCACCACCAAGAAGCCCCATCTTACATCCTCCTAGACTATTCTGAAGTTGAGACTGATAAATTGGGAAGTGGTTATGATTTGGCTACTCACAGGATTGGGCTGATATTTGAACTGGAATGAAACAAAACATAAGCTGTCTTCTTAAGGAAGCTGAGGTCATTCAAGGCCAAGAATGATCCTTGGAGAGTTTCAAATTATGCACAACTCACATTTGTACCTATCTAAGTGTTGACTATTCAACCAAGCTTCTCCATAATTATAACATTTCATTTTCCACTTATGATTCAGATTTTTTGGCTCTTTTCTCATTATTCATGTTTTAGGAGCATAAGTTGAGTACTTTTTAACCTTTTAATTGAGAGCTGCTTCAAATGACATCTATTTTGAGCAGTAATGATTCACATGATGTATGTCAAAAATACATCTGCTAAACATAGTTCATTTACTACCAAGTTATGTCATTGTATGTTTTAGGAGCATAAGTTGGTACTTTTTAAACTTTTAATTCAGAGCTGCTTCAAAAAACATCTATTTTGATCAGTAATGATTAACATGATGGACTAAAATACATCTACTGAACATAGTTCATTTACTACCAAGTTATGTCACTCTGCTACAATCTGGGATTGTTACCAGGAAGCACAGAAGTCCCAGTCCTTGTCAACTTGGGAGAAAGATTTCAGTCAAGAGGTGGTTTAAAGATAACAGAGAGCTTCACTGAAAGAAAACAGGAAAAAAAAGAGCTTATTGCAGAAAAAAATAAGCACACACCAAGAGAGGAGTGGGCTGCTCTTGCAGGAAAATAGCCCCAAGGGTCCTGCACTGTGAGTTTTATCATGTCAGGCTTCCTCTTCACATTCCCACTTCTGTCTCAAGTTTCCACCTTTTCCCTTTGTCTAGTTTTCCCACTTCTGGCTTACATCCCTGCCTTTGTCCCCACCCAGGCTTGTGGGACCCTCCTTTACCATTGGTTAATCCACATGCACAGGCCAGTGATCAATATGAATCTTAATGAATGGCGGTGTCGCTCATTACCACCACCCCAGAAAGGTTGTATAGCTGTCAAATCTCTACTTATTGCACCTGTGTATCTCTTGGGACAGCCCCTTTTGCTCTCTTTCCTCCTTTATCATCATGTATCTAGCAACATTCTGACATTTTAACTGTAGAGTGAATGATTATTGTGACATCTTCAGAGGCATTCCAGGGTGTTTCTGCCTAGGTACCTCCTCTCCTTCCTGCTCACCCACTCCAGCATTAGAGATGCTATTAATATGTAAATTTGGGGTGGTCCCTCAAGCCTCAGACTTTCCAGACTTTTCTTTTCTCAAGGCTACCCCTCCTGCTTATGCTTGGTTATCTGCCTAATCTAAAAGGTTCATACATGTAATAAGACATTGTGTTTGTCTTGAAGTTTTTGAATTATTGTACTCTTAACTGGTTAAAAGCTCACCACCTGGATTTGGACATATCTGTGTTGAAACTATCTTCCCCAAAAGTTAGGAGGATAGGCTATAAAGGAACTGGATTTTAATATAAATGTGAAGTTTTAATTATTTAAATGTTCACTAGAAGTCAATTATATTTCCATTAAAATGCAAATGTGCATTTGAATTCAAGCAGAGGTACATTACAGAAAGGAATGGGCAGTGAAGTGCAGGGGATCTTTGTGACCAGGTGATGGGAAAGAGGATAAAGAGTTGGATGGGTGCTGTACTTACTTGGTGTGCTTTTTGAAAAGAAAGAAAAGTGAATGAAGTAGAAGCTACCAAGGATATGCTCCAACAGCCTGGGAAGAAGAGAATTTTATAGTGAGGCAGAAGGAAATTAGTCATTCTGTTTCAGGAAAGGGGTCCCGATCCAGACCCCAAGAGAGGGTTCTTGGATCTCATGCAAGAAAGAATTCAGGGTGAGTCCACAGTGCAAAGTAAAAGCAAGTTTATGAAGAAAGTCAAGTGGTGAAAGGACAGCTACTCCATAGGCAGAGTAAGATGATCCCAAAAGTAAGAGGAGGAACACATCCACCCTAGGTACAATGCTTGTATATACAGGGAGATGTGGTCAGCTACAAGGATTTGTGATAAAGGATTAATTTTCTTAATTAACTATATTTTGCAAGAATTAATATTATCTTTAAAGCAAAATTAAGAATGCCTTTGTTCTCCAGATATTGGGATATCTGGACACTACCCAGTCTTGGTCTGTGTTAGTAAACATTACTGTTTCCTTAACTGTAAACATTTAGAGGCTAAGAATGCCTGATTTTCTGAGAATGCAGCCCAGCAAGTCTCAGCCTCATTTTCCTTGCCCTCACTAAAAATGGAGTCGCTCTGGTTCTAATGCCTCTGACAATTCTATAGGGAATTAGCTACTCTGGGACTACTAGGAAATGTTGATTTGAAGGGGAGGCCCAGAATCATTTTGATTGTCACTATAATATAGAGGAATAAACTATAACCATAACCAAGAAAGTCTCAATGCCTTAAAGAAAAGAGCTTGAACATGATATTCCTTATTTGTTTCATAGGGCTGCTATAACAAATTACCACAAATGTGGAGTCTTAAAACTACAGAAATTTATTTTTTTACAGTTCTGGAGACAAAAGTCCAAAATTAGGGTGTCAGCAGGGCCACACTACCTCCAGAAGCTCAAGAGGAGACTCCTTCCTTGCCTCTTCCCGCTTCTGGCAGATGCTGGCATTCCTTGACCTCCTTGGCTTATGGCCACATGAAACCAATCTCTGCCCCTGTCTCCACACTGCCTTCTCCTGCATGTGTATCTTTCTCTCTTCTCTCTCTTGTAAAGACCCTTGGCATTGAATTTAAGGCCCACCTGGGTAATCCAGGATAATGTCTCAAGGTTATTTAATTATATCTGCAAAAACCTTTTTTCCAAATAAGGTAGTTTTCATTGGTTTCAGAGATTTACATGTGTACATATGTTTTTGAGAGCCAGAATTCAAACCACTATAGTCCACCCTATTGCCCTCAAATATTTATATTTTTCCAATGTGCAAAACACATTCAGGCCATCCCAACATCCTCTGAAATATCAGCCTATCACAGCCGTCAACTGTAAGTATAAAATCCTATCTGAATGTCATGAGCTCAAAAGTCCCAAATCTCTTCATCTAAATCAGGTATGGGTAAAACTGTTAGCAGCAGTGAATCCATATGGGTCTGCAGCAACCTCAATCCTTGCCTCCTCAGAAGAAACAATTTGACCAAGGGGCATAAGGCAGAGTGAAAGACCAAGGCAGAGTGAAAGACCGAGGCATATTTTAGAGCAGGAGTGAAAGTTTATTAAAAAGCTTTAGAGCAGGAATGACAAAAAATAAATAGTATGCTTGGAAGATGGCCAAGCAGGCAACTTGAGAGATTAAGTGCACAGTTTGATCTTTGAGTTGGAGTTTATATGCCAGCATGCTTCCCGGGGGTTGTGTCCCTTCTCTACTGACTCTTTCCTTGGGGTGGGCTGTCCACATTTGCAGTGTCCTGCCAGCACTTGGGAGGGGTCATATGTACAGTGTGTTTACTGGAGTTGTACACATGCTCATTTGTGGTGTTCTTCCCTCACCAAATGTTCCTAGAAGGTCATCTACCACTTAAACTCCACTGTTTTGCCATTTAGTGCACATGTTTGAGCCCAGGCCCAACTCCTGAGACCTTATTGGGAAGCTGCTAATCACCAGTTTCAGGTGTTTCTATTTATTGGAAGACTTCCTTTCCCTTGTACTGGCTATGACCAATTATTATTTTAGAGAGACAGTTAACAACCATCTGACCATCACCTGATGGTTGCCTAACATTCCTGGGTTGGTAAAGGAAGCCTCCCCTGACCTGCTAATGTCTGACTAGCTACCTACTGTAACAAAACTAGGTATGAATAATCCTGGAGCCAAATTCCTCTCCACCTGTGGAGCTGTGAAACTATAAAACAAGTTATCTGCTTTTAAGATAAAATGGTGAGAATGGAATAGGGTAACAGTTATAGATATTCCCATTTCAAAGAGGAGAAATTGGAATAAAGAAGTCACCCATCCCTAGAAAGTCTAACGTGCAGCAAAAGAAATATTAGGTTTCAAGGCCCAAGAATAATCCTCTGTGACTCTAGGCTCCACTCATTGGGCCTGCTGCTCTGGCCTAGTAGGCATCTGGGCCTGTGGCTCTGGGATCATATGTCTCTGGGATCATAGCTCTGGCATTGGAATCATTATTCTTGAAAGGTAGCACATGTTTCTAGGTAAGTAGTTCTTGCAGCCCATTTCCTGCCTTTAGACTCCCAGAAGTCCAATAGCCTTCTTTCATTTTATCCTCTGTCTCTTTCAGTCCAGCCTGGTAGTGTGTCTGCAGACATAAAATCTTCACAAACCTTGTGGATTTCCTAAGTATGTCAACTGGTCTTGTGTCATTAGGGAAGAAGGTCCTCCACAGATTTCCCTGGATAACCTCCTCTCTATTCCTGGCTTCTTCTGACAAGGTTGAGTGTATGTATGATTCCATAAGACATACATCTAATCTCAGCAAAAGGTGGTCCAGCCATACCCTTGGCTTCTCTCCAGAGCATGCTTTCCTAATAGTAGCATCTTTTGCAATCTGTATATATTGCAAATTTCCCAAATCACAAGTGCTGCTTTTTTTGCCTCAATGGTTCCTTCCTCAATTTATCTTTTTCATTTTATTGTAATCAAAATGAAGAAACAAAGCCACACCATTAATACTTAGCTTGGAAATTTCCTTGGCTAAATATCAAAGGCTATCACCTACAAGTTCTGTTTTCCATACAACTATAGGACACAATTTGGCCAAAGTTTTTTCTACTAATTTAACAAGGATTACCTTTCCTCCAGTTTATAATAACATGCTCCTTGTTTCCTTCTGAGCTCTTATCAGAAACATTTTTGCTCATGTCACTATATGTATTATCGAAGATGAGAGAAGCTTTCTCTAGCATGTTCCTCACTTCCTTCTGAGCACTCACCATAATTTGGCTTTTTCTATCTTGGCCTCAAAATTCTTCCAGCCTCTACCTATTATCCATTTCTAAAACCACTTCCATGTTTTTAGGCATTTGTTACAGCAGCACTCCACTTCCCCCTACCAAAATCTATACTAGTTTCCTACAGCTGCCACAACAAATTATCACAGATTAGATGTCTTAAAACAACAGAATTTTATTCTCTTACAATTCTGTCAGCCAAAAGTCCAAAATCAAGATATAGGTAAAAGTAGACTCCTTCTGGAAGCTCTAAGGGAGAATCCCTCTTTGCCTCTTTCCAACTTCTGGTGGCTTTCTGCAATCCTTGGCTTCCTTGTCTTGTGGCTATATCACTGTCATGTCTGCATCCATCTTTCCATTGCCTTCTCCTTCTCTCTTGTGTGCCTATTATGAGTATACTTATAGTTATGTACTTATAAGAATATCAATTGGAGTATGCTTGTAAAAACCACAACCCTAAGGGTCAGATTTCAGAAAAAAATAGAGGGCAGGTGGGGAATTTGTGAATGAAAGAGAAATAAGAACAGCAAACACCTAGCTAAGATCAGCCAGTGATCAGCTGCCTAGACATTTGAGCCTCAGGAAGAAGCACTTGTGCTTTATTCTAACATATCATTTGGTCACCACTGCTCCTATAGACCACAGCAACATTCAGTTATGTACTTTGGCCAGTATGTATGTCCCACAGGTAGACCTCAGGAAAGGGTGAGGAGGAGAAGAAGATTACAAAGAGGAAATGAGACTGAACTTAGGAAAGCCATGGAACTTTGGGGAATGTATATAATGAGGCAATGTTCTTCTCAGTGTCATGCCCTAGGACAATGGCCAAAAAAAAAAAAGCTTATAAGGGATTTTTAAAGAGTTAAAGAAAGGGAAACCACCTGGGTTGACACACTTTCCACTTTTCATCATACCGTCTTCAGTTCCTAACTAAGCAACTTTCAGAATTTCCTCTTAAAAGCACTCTTAAATAGAATTGTGCCTACCACAAAGTACCTACCCCATGAAAGTCCCTATGCTCCTGGCAGATTGCTCTACTACTCAGCTTCTCAGGGCATTGATGCTCTGTAGTGTTTCTGAAATCAGATTTTTGTGATTGTTACACCATATTCCATGCTTACCTAACTAATGATCTGTGTTCTTTACTGCAAGTTGGAGAAGATTATTTTCTGAGGAGAAAAAAACAAGAAACTTTAATAAACTTTTAAAGATTTAATAAGATAATTAACTCTTAAATGACCTTGAATCTTTTATAAATAAATGTCTTTTTTAATGAAAGAAATATTTTTCTCCTATGTCCCTGGAATTTCAGTCTAGCATAGGTTTTTATGGTCAATTTATAAGGCTACTAAAATAGAATTTACTGAGAAAGTAATAGAACACAAATTCAATTAAGGGAACACAGTCGTCTTCCTTAGTATGTAAAGGAAGTACATCAAAAAGCAACTCTACAGCAAGATGTAGGAGCAAGGTCACATCTTTCTTAGGCTAAATTAAGATAAATTTCAAAAGCTCCCTTAACACCTTGCTAAAGAAAATTGCATTTCTTTCTAGTATATTTACTAAAGTTGCTGTGCTTCCTGCCTTTAATGACCAACCTCTTTGACCAGGTTCTGCTAAAATCTCACAAAGATGAACTTCAATTATAAGCACAGTGCAGTGTCAAAGTTGTATAAGCTAACTGCGACAGCTGTCCAATGCCTAGATGAGGGAGCTACCTCTCTATGTTAGCTCTGTTTTAGGATTGCCCTTGATTGAACTCACCAAAGACAACTACTTTCTTTAATATCCTTTTTTTCATCATCAATATTTTTTTCAATGCACACAGAAAGAAGATAAAAAGAGCTGAGATTTCTAGTTCGCCTGAATCACCCTGATTGCATTACATGACCTTGGCTAACTGAGTTCTAATGTTTCTGCTGGCTTAGCACAAAATAGGTAGAATACTTCCTTTCTATAGAGACAGTCCCACAGTACCTCAGGCAAGTGACTGGGTGTGCCATGGATATTTTATTAGCTAAAAATTTGAGAAGATTCATCAGTTTTCAAAAATCATATGTGCAACACATGGTTAAGGTAGATGTCATTACAGAGGTAGACTTAGATTCCAAAAAGCACTCTCGAGTACAGAATCAGAAGCATTTATCAGAGTCCTTATACTAAAAAGAAAAAACAAAACTTTTGCCTATAGATTTTCAAATATTAGCTGTTGGCTTACATCTGTTGGACTATTTCAAATATCTCCCAGCATTGCCTGCCTATTGCTAAATTGGTATTTCAGACCTAGCTCTCTGATTTTCCCCTATTATTCCATGCCACTGCCTCTGGAACATAGAAGATCTCTTTACCAAGCCTTTACATTAATTTATTCTAATGCTGACTTTTAAAGCCACTCAAGTAAAAATAATATAGAACACAAAGCTATCATCAATGAAAGACTAACAAATACATAAATCGTAAAGTATTAATGGGCCTTGCAAATCTATTTTAATTATCATAACCAAATTTTCTCTCAGTCTGTGGCAGAGTAGATGTTCCATGTGTTCTGCTGTCAGCCTGACTTTCATGTTAGCCCATGTCCCTTCTGGTGCTTTTCCCTCTGAACCCCACACCAATCAGCCAAAATGTGATTTTTTTTAGGTGTTTTCAAAAACTGTTCCATTACTACAGAAAAAAAAGTTACAATGAACTACCCAGTTTTCCAAATATATTTATTTTAGTAGAGTGTTCATTAAGTTGACATATTAGAGTTATATCATTATGTTCCACGATAAAACAGCTTCATTTTAGTAAATAGATAATGAAAAGTAAAGTACTAAATTTAATAGGGAAAGAAGAATGTCCTGTGCACCTATCCTTTTATTACCCTGCTCTGAAATATTTTGAGAATTTTGTTAGGTTATTGTAAAGCTTAGAGTTGCTGTTAGCTGAAATTTAGGGAAATTGTGAAATTGAAGGAATTGAATAAACATGTAGACTCATTGTTATTTGATGACAGAACAAAATACTAAATATAACACTAGAATGCTAATCTATACTTCTTTCCTGTGATATACATGGGATTAAAATGGGTATAATGTTTTCATTAAAGTATGTGACCGTCCTAAGTACAGAAAATAGAGAATGTATTTTTTACAGCTGTTCAAAGAGTAACCATTGCAATTCCCAAAACTAGAGCAATTTCCTTTACCTATTCAGAGAATGTGGCCACATATTTATCATTCTGAATTCTTCTTAGTGATGACACTCTAATGCGATAGTTGATTCATGTTTCCAATACACATCTTACACTAAATGCAATATTACTCAAAGTCCAACCTAGATTTCAAAGGCTCAAAAGAAGAACATAATCCTTTCAACTCAAATTTAAGCATTAAGACTCTGTTTAATCAACTCGTGAGCAACGGAGAAGTCAGGAATGGAACCCTGGACTCTAAACCACAGGTTGTACTTTGTAGATCAACTGACAATAATTACAAAGACTGACCAACTAGCCTGTGTACACTTTGTGGGGAGAAAGATAATATGGAACATATTTGGCCTCTGGAAAATTGCAAAGAAAAACAGCTGAAGTCCACTTTTTTCCCCTACAACAGAATTCATATTCTATACTCAGGTATTTTCTTCACGTAGCTGGGATTACAGGTGTGCACCACCATGCCAGGCTAATTTTGCTCAACAAAGTGCCTACTGTGGCCTCCTATAAAGTCACATACTGTTCCTACAAAGGCATTTTTCAGAGCTACCCAGGAAAAGCAATGGCACCATAATCCATTTAAATATCTCAAATTAAATTAACAGCATAAGAATCCTCATGCCTTCTCAATTAATGTGTTTACCTCTTTTACTTACTTTCTGGATAAAATACAAATGCCTTACAAAAAATTGAACTGCAAATCTGTCATATATAATCTCAAGAATTATTAGAGTCTAAGTATTTAATGTCTTCTAATATGTTATAAATGTAGATGAAGAAGGAAATGGATGATTAATTACATTTCCATTATACAAAAAATCTGGAAGAATAGTCAACATTTAAAACAAAGTACAAGACTAAATAAATTACTGTAAGATAAACTAGAGAATTACAATAAAGTATTTTAGAAGCAAGGCACGGAAGGCGGGGAATACTGAAAAGATGTGTTTTGGCCCAAGCAACATGACTAGACAGCCCAATATCTGGCATTTAATGTCAAGAGAGCTTTATTTGTTTTTTAATTCTGCACTTCTTCACTGAGACTTTTTTTTAAGTTTCCATAGTTCCCTCTTTCGTTTTTTAAATTTTTTATATGTTTTAATAGGTTTTGGGAAACAGGTGGGGTTTGGTCACATGAGTAAGTTCTTCAGTGGTGATTTCTGAGATTTTGGTGCACCCATCAACCCAGCAGCATACAGTGTACCACATGTGTAGTTGTTTATCTCTCACCAGCCCCCACCCTATCTCCCAAGTCCCCAAAGTCCAATGTATAATTCTTATGCCTTTGCATCCTCATAGCTTAGCTCCCATACATAAGTGGGAATATATGATGCTTGGTCTTATATGTGTGTGTGTATATATATATATGTGTGTGTGTGTATATATATTGTATATATATATATGTGTGTGTATATTATATATATAATATATATATTACATTTTCTTTATACACTCGTTTTCTTTATACACTCATTGATTTATGGACACTTGGGCTGGTTCCATATTTTTGCACTTGCAAATTGTGCTGCTATAAAACGTGTGTGCAAGTGTCTTTTTCGTAAGTGCCTTTTTCATATAATGACTTCTTCTCCTCTGGTAGATACCTACTAGTAGGATAACGGGATCTACTTTTACTTCTTTAAGGAATCTCCACACTGTTTTCCATAGTGATTGTACTAGTTTACAATCCTGCCAACAGTGTAAAAGTGATCCCTTTTCACCACATCCATGCCTATATCTATTATTTTCTTGTTGTTGTTAATGGCCATTTTTGTAGGAGTAAAGTGAAATCATGTAGTTTTGGTATGCATTTCCCTGATCATTAGTGATGTTGAACATTTTTTCATATGCTTGTTGATCATTTGTGTATCTTATTTTGAGAATTGTGTATTCATGTCCTTAGCCCACTTTTTTATGGGATTGTTTGTTTTTTTCTTGGTGATTTGAGTTCTTTGTAGATTCTGGCTATTAGTCCCCTGTCGGATGCATACATTGTGAATATTTTCTTCTACTCTGTGGGTTGTCTGTTAACTCTGCTGCTGCTGCTGCTGCTGCTGATGATGATTATTATTATTATTGAGATGGAGTCTCACCCTGTCACCCAGGCTGGAGTGCAATGGCGCGATCTCCACTCACTGCAACCTCCACCTCCTAAGTTCAAGCGATTCTCCTGCCTCAGCTTCCTGAGTAGGTGGGATTACAGGCATGTGCCACCATGCCCAGCTAATTTTTTGTATCTTTAGTACAGATGAGATTTCACCATGTCGGCAAGGCTGGCCTTGAACTCCTGACCTCGTGATCCAACCATCTCAGCCTCCCAAAGTGCTGGGATTACAGGTGTGAGCCACCACATCTGGCCTGCTCATTATTTCTTTTGCTGTGCAGAAGCTTTTTAGTTTAAGTCCCATCTATTTATCTTTGTTTTTTGTTGTATTTGCTTCTGGGTTCTTGGTCATGAAGTCTTTGCCTAAGCTAATGTCTAGAAGGGATTTTCTAATGTTATCTTTTACATTCTTTATGGTTTCTGGTCTTAGATTTAAGTCTTTGATCCATCTTCAGTTGATTTTTGTATAAGGTGAGAGATGAGGATCCAGTTTCATTCTTCCATATGTGGCTTGCCAATTATCCCAACACCATTTGTTGAATAGGGTATCCTTTCCACACTTTATGTTTTTGTTTGCTTTGTCAAAGATTAGTTGTCTATAAGTATTTGGCTTTATTTCTGGGTTATCTATTCTGTTCCACTGGTCTATGTGCCTATTTTTATACCACTACCATGCTGTTTTGGTGACTATGACCTTATAGTATAGTTTAAAGTCAGGTACTGTGATGCCTCTAGATTTGTTCTTTTTGGTTAGTCTTGCTTAGGCTATGTGGGCTCTTTTTGGGTTCCATATGAATTTTGGGATTGTTCTTTCTGGTTCTGTGAAGAATGATGGTTGTATTTTGATGGGAATTGTATCAAATTTGTAGATTGTTTTGACAGTATGGTCATTTTTACAATATTGATTCTACCCATCCAAGAGCATGGGATGTGTTTTCATTTGTTTGTGTCATCTATTATTTCTTTTGGCAGTGTTTTGTAGTTTTCCTTGTGGAGGTCTCTCATGTCCTTGGTTAGGTATGTTCCTAAGTTTTTTTTTTTTTGTTTTTTTTTTTGCAGCTATTGTCAAGGGCATTGAGTCCTCGATTTGATTATCAGCTTGGTTGCTGTTGGTGTATAGCAGACCTACTGATTTGTGTACATTAATTTTGTATCATGAAACTTTGCTGAATTCATTTACCAGTTCTAAAAGCTTTTCAGAGGACACTTTGGGTTTTCTAGGTATACAATCATATTACCAGCCAACAGCGACAGTTTGACTTCCTCTTTACCGATTTGGATGCCCTTGATTTCTGTCTCTTTTCTTAGTACTCTGGGTAGGACTTTCAATATTATGTTAAATAGAAGGGGTGAAAGTGAGCGTCCTTGTCTTGTTCCAGTTCTCAGGGGGAATGCTTTCGACTTTTCCTCATTCAGTATGTTGCCTGTGGGTTTGTCATAGATGGCTTTTATTACCTTAAGGTATATCCCTTCTATGCTAATTTTGCTGAGGGTTTTAATCATAAAGGGATACTTGATTTTGTCAAATACTTTTTCTGTGTCTATTGAGATAATCATATGATTTTTGTTTTTAATTCTGTTTATGTGGTGTATCGCATTTATTGACTTACATATGTTAAACCATTCCTGCATCCCTGATATGAAACCCACTTGATCACGGTGGGTTATCTTTTTGATATGCTGTTGGATTCACTTGGCTAGTATTTTGTTGAGGATGTTTGCATCAATGTTCATCAGGGATACACATCTGTAGTTTTGTTGTTGTTGTTGTTGTTGTTGTTATGTCCTTTCCTGGTTTTAGTATTGGGGTGATGCTTGCTTCATAGAATGATTTAGGGAGGATTCACCCTTTCTATATCTTTTGGAATAGTTTCAGTAGGTTTGGTACAAATTCTTCTTTAAATGTCTAATAGAATCCAGCTGTGAATCCATCTGGTCCTGGACACGTTTTTGTTGGCAATTTTTTTATTACCATTTTAATCTCCTTCTTGTTGTTGGTCTGTTCAGAGATTCTATATCTTCCTGGTTTAATCCTGGGTTTCCAGGAACTTATCCATCTCCTCTAGGTTTTCTACATAAAGGTGTTCATAGTAGCCTTGAATAATCTTTTGTATTTCTGTGGTACCAGCTGTAATATCTCCCATTTTGTTTCTAATTGAGCTTATTTGGATCATCTCTCTTTTCTTGGTTTATCTCACGAATGATCTATAAATTTTATTTATCTTTACAAAGAAATAGATTTTTGTTTCATTTACTCTTTGCATTGCTGTTTTTTTTTTTAATTTCAATTTCTTTAAGTTCTGCTCTGATCTTCATTATTTCTTTCCTTCTGCTGAGTTGGGGTTTGGATCATTCTTGTTTCTCCAGTTCCATGAGGTGTGACCTTAGATTGTCTATTTGTGCTCTTTCAGACTTTCTGATGAAGGCATTTAATGCTGTGAACTTTCCTCTTAGCAGTGCTTTTGCTGTATGTCAGAGGTTTTGATAGGTTGTGTGACTTATTGTTCAGTTTGAAAAAAATTTTAATTTCCATCTTGATTCCATTGTTGACCCAATGATCATTCAGGAGCATGTTTTTTGTTGTTGTTTTCTGGTGTATGTGTGTGTGTGTTTGTGTGTGTGTTTTTGTTTTTTTGTTTGTTTTGTTTTTGAGATGGAGTCTCGCTCTGTCACCCAGTCTGGAATACAGTGGCTTAATCTCAGCTCACTGCAACTTCTGCTTCCTGGATTCAAGCAATTCTCCTGCCTCAGCCTCCTGAGTAGCTGGGACTACAGGTGTGCACCACCATGCCTGGCTTTTTTTTTTTTTTTTTTGGTATTTTTGGTAGAGATGGCGTTTCACCATGTTGGTCAGGCTGGTCTCGAACTCCTGACCTGATGATCCATCCACCTTGGCCTCCCAAAGTGCTGGGATTACAGGCGTGAGCCACCGCACCCGGCCAGGATCATGTTTTTTAATTTCCACGTATTTGCATGGTTTTGAGGGTTCCTTTTAGAGTTCATTTCCAATGTTATTCCACTGAGGTCTAAGAGAGTACTTGATATAATTTTGATTTTCTTAAATTTACTGAAACCTGTTTTGTGGCCTATCATATGGTGTATCTTGGAGAATGTTCCATGTGCTGATGAACAGAATGTATATTCTGCAGTTGTTGGGTAGAATATTCTGTAAGTATCTGCTAAGTCCATTTGTTATAGGGTATAGTTTAAGTCCATTGTTTCTTTGTTGAATTTCTGTCTTGATGACCTGTCTAGTGCTGTCAGTGCAGTAATAAAGTCCCACACTATTACTCTGTTGCCATCTATCTCATTTCTTAGGTCTACTAGTAATTGTTTTATAAATTTGGAAACTCCAGTGTTAGTTACATATATATTTAGAATTATGATATTTTCCTGTTGGACTAGGCCTTTTATTATTACATAATGTCCCACTTTGTGCTTTTTAACTGTTGTTGCTTTAAAGTTTTTTTTTGGCTGATATTAGAATAGCTACTCCTGCTCGCTTTTCGACCCCTTTACCTTATATGTAAGATTAGTCTCCTGAAGAGAGCAGAAATGTGGTTGGTGAATTCTTATGCAGTCTGCCATTCTGTATCTTTTAAATGGAACATTTAGGCCATTTACATTCAACGTTAGTATTGACATGTGAGGTACTATTCTATTCATCATGCTGTTTGTTGCCTGAATACCTTGTGTTTTTTTTTATTGTGTTATTGTTATATAGGTCCTTTGATATGTATGCTTTAAGAAAGTTCCATTTTGGTGTATTTCAAGGATTTATTTCAAGATTTAGAGCTACATTTTGCAGTTCTTGTAGTGCTGGCTTGCTAGTGGTGAATTCTCTCAGTATTTGTCTGGAAAATACTGTATCTTTCCTTCATTTATGAAGCTTAGTCTCGCTGGATACAAAATTCTTGGCTGATAATTGTTTTGTTTATGGAGGCTAAAAATAGGACCCCAATCCCTTCTAGCTTGTAGGGTTTCTGCTGAGAAAACAGCTGTTAATCTGATAGGTTTTCTTTTGTAGTTTACCTGATGCTTTTGCCACACATCTATTAAGATTCGTTTCTTCGTCTTAATTTAGATAACCTGATGACTACACACCTAGGTGATTATCTTTTTGTGATGAATTTCCCAGGTGTTCTTTGAGCTTCTTGTATTTGGATGTCTAGATCTCTAGCAAGGCCAAGGAAGTTTTTCTTGATTATTCCCTCAAATATGTTTTCCAAACTTCTAGATTTATCATATTCCTCAGGAACACCAATTATTCTTAAGTTTGGACACTTAACATAGTCCCAAACTTCTTCAAGGCTTTGTTCATTCTTTTAAATTATTTTTTGTCTTTGACAGATTGGGCTAATTCAAAAGCCTTGTCTTTGAGCTCTGAAGTTCTTTCTTCTGCTTGTTCAATGCTATTGCCAAAACTCTCCAGTGCATTTTGCATTTCTCTAAGTGTGTTCTTGATTTCCAGAAGTTGTGATTTTTTTTATTTATGCTATTTCACTGAAGAATTTACCTTTCATATCCTGTATCATATTTTTTTATTTATTTAAGTTGGACTTCGCCTTTCTCTGGTACCTCCTTGATTAGCTTTATAATTGACCTTTAGAATTCTTTTTCTGGCAATTCAGAGATTTCTTCTTGGTTTGAATCCATTGCTGGTGAGCTAGTATGATCTTTTGGGTGTGTTAAAGAACCATGTTTTGTCATATTGCCATAATTATTTTTCTGGTTCCTTCTCATTAGAGTAGACTATGTCATAGGGAAGATCTGAGATTTAAAGGCTGCTGTTCAGTTTCTTTTGTTCTACAGAATGCTTTTCCCCTTCCCCTAGGAATGGGGCTTCCTGAGAGCCAAACTGTAGTGATTGTTTTTGCTCTTTTGGGTCTAGCAACCCAGCGGAGCTACTGGGCTCTGGGCTGGTACTTGGGAGTGTCTGCAAAGAGTCCTGTGATGTGATCCGTCTTCAGGTCTTACAGCCATGGATACCAGCACCTGCTTTGGTTGAGGTCGCAGGAGATTGAAGTGGACTCTGTGAGAGTTCTTGATTGTATTTTTGTTTAGTGTTCTGGGTTTGTGTTGGTTGGCCTCCAGCCAGGAGATGGTGCTTTCAAGAGTGCATCAGCTTCAGTACTATAGGGAGGATGCAAACTTGCCCTAAAGACACCTGGTTAAGTATTCAGGTTGCTCAGGCAGTGGGCAGGGCCATAAAGCTCCCAAGAGATTATGACCTTTGTCTTCAGCTACCAGGGTGGGTAGAGAAAGACCACCAGGTTGGGGCAGGGATAGACTAGGTGTGTCTGAGCTCAGCCTCTCCTTGGGTGGGGCTTGCTGCATCTGCTGTGGGGAATAGGGGTGTGATTCCAAGTCCAATGGAGTTATATTCCCAGAGGGATTATGGTGCCTCTGCTGAGTCATACAGGTCACCAGGGAAGTGGGGAAAGCTTGCAGTCACAGGCCTCACCCCACTCCCATACAGTCCACAGTCCTAAAGGCTGGTTTCACTCCAACCATGCCCCGTCAACAGCACCGAGTCTATATCCAGGCAGCTGGTGATCAGGGCTGAGAACGTGCTCCAGACCACAAGCCTCCCCACTGAGAAAGCAAGTGGACTCACAGTGTTTCAGTGTCTCAGGGAGACTGCAGCAGTAATCCAGTCTCTTCAGAGGGTCTGTAGATTCTCTCAGCTTTCCTGGTATGTTCCTGTGGTAGTTCTTGGAGCAAATATTCATGATATGAGTCTCCACACACTGCTCTGTCTATCCGAGCAGGAGCTGCGAGTTAGTTCTGCCTGCTATCCACCATCTTCCACAGTTAACTCCAAGAGAGATTTTAAATGTATAAATATATCAACCAAGGAAGGAGCCAGAATGTATAAACTTTTATCAAAAGCAGATACATCTTGCCCAAAGAAGACATTTTATGCTTTCCTAAAAATACCCATTTAATTTATATTTTTAAATAATTTTTCTGGTACTAAACAGGAAGGCAATGTCCTAATTAACTTTGAGCTCAAAGTAGAAAAGTAAAAAAGAAGGGGTACTAATAAAAATAACCAGCTTTTTGTCTTCCAAATTTAAGCAAGGGTGTAACATGAGACAGTCTCAGTGTTTATCTAATATCTGTAGGGAGTTATTAAGAGAAAGTTGAGCGATCTAATGGTGCTCAAATCAACTTTTCCACCTCATCTTAGCTTCGTATGTGAGTGTACTGTGATACTAAAATGTCATTCAACAGCCTGAATCTCAGAGGTACTTTCAGTTTCCAGCTTCTGCTATGATAAGGCTAGGTCTATCAGTCACAACAACACAAAGGCTATGGATAAAAGTAAATATGAAGGAGTCATGCAGAAAATGCCAGTTCAAAAAGAAAGTATCTAATTTCATCTAAATTACGAGAATTCCAGAGTGGTTCAGAGGAAGTAGCTGAAGACCACCATCTCTAATAGTTATGAGAAATAAAGTTTAAGTTTCATTGGCTTTAAAGGGGAACACTAAAAAGAAAAATATTTAAAAATTTGAAATTTTTTTAAAATCCTAAAACTTAAGAACATTATATCAACTTACTTTTTTCAATTTACTTGAATAACTGCATTATTAATTCAGTTTTATTTTTAACTAATTGCACTTTATTGGAGAAGATTTATGGTATAGAGAAGGACTAATCGT
Source organism: Homo sapiens (assembly GCF_000001405.40). Classification (NCBI taxonomy): domain Eukaryota; kingdom Metazoa; phylum Chordata; class Mammalia; order Primates; family Hominidae; genus Homo; species Homo sapiens. The sequence goes on along the minus strand of NC_000014.9, from coordinate 39,957,073 downwards.
TATGAATGGAGAAGTTATTCTTTTTCTTTTTTTTTTTTTTGAGACGGAATCTTGCACTGTTGCCCGGGCTAGAGTGCAGTGGCATGATCTTGGCTCACTGCAACCTCCACCTCCCAGGTTCAAGCATTTCTCCTTGCCTCAGCCTCCCAAGTAGCTGGGATTACAGGGGCCCACTACCACGCCCAGCTAATTTTTTTGGTATTTTTAGGAGAGACGGGGGTTTCACTATGTTGGACACGCTGGTCTCGAACTCCTGACTTAGTGATCTGCCTGTCTCAGCCTCCCAAAGTGCTGGGATTACAGGCGTGGGCCACCGCGCCTGGCTGGAGAAGTTATTCTTAACTTTTCACAGAAAAAAATGCAGATTTAATGTTTTGTTATACCTTTATACGCCAAATGCATAATGCTTCATGTACATTTCATCAAAAGATGAGTATTTAATGGTATGTGTCAAAAACAAATTCATTCCTTCAGTTGGAGTTAAAACATCATCATAACTACAATGATGCCACCATGTGGCAAAAAGTGTGATTTCTTAAAACCTGACATTCTGTGTAGCATAACTTAAGAAAATTCATACATTAAGAAAATTCACAATTTAATGAATGAGGTTGTGGTATTTATAAAAACCTTGCTGTCTGCCTTTGGCTCATTTATTATTCCCTATTAAATCATAAGTCTTCTCCAAGCTTATCTGCATTGTAATTCATTCAACGATTATTGAACCCTTGACTCTGCTAGTCACAGTAGCTAAGCCCTAGAAACACAGGAATTCACAGGTCAAACATTGTCTCTGCCTTCATTGTGCTTACACTCTCACAACCATTTTACCAAATTTGCTTACTTATAACTTTAGTGTTAAAAAAAAAAAAGATTCCTTCTTAAATCTACAAAACCCAATCCTGTGAAACTTAAGGTATCAAAAGCATCTTTGCACTCAGTTCAAACATTCACATTTATTAAAGCACTTCTAATTGTGATCTTCGACCTCCTGGAGTATTGCAAGACAGCTCTTTTGTCAATACTAATGAATCACTGTGTATTTTTTGTATCACTATTAGGCAATTAAAGACACACTGAATAACGCACTTTTAAAAATGGCTTGTGCCCACCTAAATGACATTTCAAAGTGGTATTGATTTAAGGAGTGTAGCAAAAATGAGTCATTTTAGCAAAGGAAATTCTACTATAAGTGGATCTCACTGCACACATACCTAGTATCCTACATATCAAAATATCCAATTTCAGGCACTCAATGAATCTTTTTCATGAAAGTAACTTGAAATTCTGCTATTTTTAGAGTGCCATTATACTAAACTGCAAATACTGCTGTCAATTATCTAAAGTTCAGCAAAATGATAGCAACAAAATAGAATCAAAGGACAGAGCCAAAACAAATTCACCTTAAAACTCACAGCCTTGACGCACATAAGTGGAGTATTCCCTGCCAATTATTTCTTGCAAACTTTATAAAAGATAATTCATTTTCAAATTAATATCCCAGCAACAAGATGGTTAGAAGAGGAGCCAAAGAATCATTGTTTGAGAATGACAAAATTAAATGCCACCAATAAATACAAAGACACTAGGACAAAAAACATATGCTTCATTTTCTAAAATACCCCCCGGATTACAGGAAAACTTGTCCTTCTCCTGAAGATACTAGCAACTGTGTATTTCAGAAAATTGGGAGGGGTTGTTATGGGGAGAAAAAAAATGGGGTCTTTCTGAAATCTATGTACAAAACAACTAAAATATATACACATTATATACATCTGTCAAATAACCTAACAATAAAACAGCCTCCCTTCCATTTCATTTTTTTATGTCATTATTTCAACAGTTCTTTTAGTCATCCAGGATTAAGATGAGGGAGTGAGCCTTGATGTCTACTTCTTTGCCACCTAGATCTAATATGTTCTGGGTTCTTTTATTTACCCTGGAATTTCTTGAGAAGTAGTTGACAAGAACATAAGTTCAAATCCTGTCTCCACTGCTTTGACCTATGTGACTTGGGTGAGTATGTGTCTCAATTTCTTCATCTATAAAATGAGGACAAGAGTACCTTTCTTATAGAGCTGTTGTGAGGATTCCATAAGTGAGTGTGAGAGAAGTATTTAGGGCAGCATCTACAACACAATAAATTCTGTAAAACATTGGTTCTGATGATTATCCCTCACGGTTTTTCTCTTTCCTCTTGGTCTCCACCCCAAGTCCATCCTTCATCATCACCTCACACGTACGGTCTGTAACTTATTCCTATCTACGCCCAGTTTCTTCCTCCTCCATTCAACCCTGCGTGGGCCCTCATGCCAAGTGATTCTAGCTAAATTACTACCTTTATAATTTTACTTGAAGTTCACACTGATATCTCCAAATAGTCCTTATTAACAAACTGCCTACCAATTTTCTAGTGCTTGGCGAAATCCAATTAAGCCTTTTATACAGTAAGTCTAAAATGAACAAAGAAGGTAGATGTCAAACTATATAGACCACTCTCTCCCATTAGAAAATGCCTGGGACAGCATGTCTTATTCAATTTATAATTTTTAAATTCCTATTTCTCCTACTTAAATTTTTTTCTGTGTAAACATTTCCCCCTAACGTCTAAATTTGTCAGTAGTAGAGCCCTCTATCTTTTGCAACTCCTCCCACAATTATTAGCCGAATTCTAAGTAAATAAAAGACCTGGAATTGTTGAATACGTAGCAAAATGCAATTCTGAATAAGATGCACATTAATGCCACTAAATATCAAGCTAGCAAGAATAAAGTTAAAATTTTTGATAATCAATCAATGCTATTTTCCCCCCACTACATTCCTTGCCCTATTCTCTCCCGTTTTCTGTCTATTTTTAGGTTCATCTCATTTTTTCAAGTTCCAGGATATATGTGAAGGATGTCCAGGTCTGTCACGTAGATAAACAGGTGACATGGTGGTTTGCTGTACCTATCAACACATTACCTAGGTATTAAGCCCAGCATGTATTAGCTATTTTTCCTAATGCTCTCCCTCCTCCCACCCCTTCCCCCAACAGGCCTCAGTGTGTATTGTTTCCCTCCCTGTGTCCATCTGTTCTCATTGTGCAGCTCCTACTTATAAGTGAGAACAAGCAGTGTTTGGTTTTCTGTTCCTGAAATCATTTGCTGAAGATAATGGCTTTCACCTCCATTCATGACCCTGCAAAGGACATGATCTCATTACTTTTTATGGCTGCCTAGCATTTCATGGTGTATATGTATATAGTCCATGGTGTATATATATCCAGTCTCTAACTGATGGGCATTTGGGTTGACTCAATGTCTTTGCTATTGTAAATAATGCTGCAATCAATATACGTGTCCATGTATCTTTGTAATAGAATGATTTATATACTTTTGGGTATATGCCTAGTAATGTGATTGCTGGGTCAAATAGTATTTCTGGCTCTAGATTTTTGAGGAATTGGCACAGCATCTTCCACAATGGTTGAACTAATTTACATTCCCACCAACAGTGTAAAAATGTTCCTATTTCTCTGCAATCTCACCAGCATCTGTTGTTTCTTGACTTTTTCACAATCACCATTCTGACTGTCATGAGATGGTATCTCATTGTGGTTTTGATTTGCATTTCTCTAATCATCAATGATGCTGAGCTTCTTTTCATGTTTGTTGGCTACATGAATGTCTTTTTTTGAGAAGTGTCTGTTCATGTCTATTGCCCACTTTTTAATGGGGTTGTTTTTTCTTGGAAATTTGTTTAAGTTCCTTGTAGATTCTGGATATTAGACCTTTGTCAGATGAATAGCTTGCAAAAATTTTCTTCCACTCTGTAGGTTGCCTCTTTGCTCTGATGACCATTTCTTTTGCTGTGCAGAAGCTCTTTAATTAGATCCTATTTGTCAATTTTTGCTTTTGTTGCAATTGCTTTTGGCATTTTGTCATGGAATCTTTGTCCATGCCTATGTCTTTAATGGTATTGCCTAGATTTTCTTTTAGCGTTTTTATAGTTTTGGGCTTTACATTTAAGTCTTTAATCCATCATGTTAATTTTTGTAAAAGGTGAAAGGAAGGGATTCAGTTTCAATTTTTTACGTATAGCTAGCCAGTTTTCCCAGCACCATTTATTAAAAAGGGAATCCTGTCCCCATTGCTTGTTTTTGTCAGGTTTGTTGAAGATCAGATGGTTGTAGATGTGTAGTCTTCTTTCTGAGTTATCTCTGTTGGTCTATGTGTCTGTTATTGTACCAGTACCATGCTGTTTTGGTTATTGTAGCCTTGTAGTATAGTTTGAAGTCTGATAACAGCTTTGTTCTTTTTACTTGGGATTGTCTTGACTATACAGGGTCTTCTTTGATTGCATATGAAATATAGTTTTTTTTCTAATTCCGTGAAGAGTGTCAATGGTAGTTTGATGGGAACAGCATTGAATCTGTATATTACTTTAGGCAGTATGGCCATTTTCACAATATTGATTCTTCCTGTCTATGAGCACGGAATGTTTTTCCATTTGTTTGTGTCCTCTCTGATTTCCTTGAGCAGTGGTTTGTAGCTCTCCTTGAAGAGGTCCTTTACTTCCCTTGTTGGCTGTATTCCTAGGTATTTTATTCTTTTTGTAGCAATTGTGAATGGGAGTTCATTCATGATTTGGCTCTCTGCTTGTCTCTTGTTGGTGTATTGGAATGCTTGTGAAATCTGCACATTGATTTTGTATCCTGAGACTTTGCTGAAGTTGCTTATCAGCTTAAAAAGCTTTGGGGCTGAGACAATGGGGTTTTCTAGATATAAGATCATGCCATCTGCAAATGAAGACAATTTAACTTCTTCTTTTCCCATTTGAATATCCTTCGTTTCTTCCTCTTGCCTGATTGCCCTGGCCAGAATTTCCAATACTATGTTGAATAGGAGTGGTGAGAGAGGGCATCCTTGTCTTGTATCAGTTTGCAAGGGGAATGCTTCCAGCTTTTGCCCATTTTATATGATATTGGCTGTCTACTCCCTCACTCTTGATGTCAAGGGAGGAATGGAGAACTGAAAAACTCCTTAACAGTTTTTCTAAAATTTTCTTTTTCAAAAAACCTTAAACTCTTAGGGGAATTTAGATGTTTTAAGCAGTTGGGATACAGATATATCTGAAATACAGAAATATATTTTGTACAAAACACACACACACACACACACATACACACACACACACACACACACAGAGAGAGAGACAGACGCATTCCTAGTTCTATCTAACTTGATGGAGAAACATTCCCCTAGCTCATACTAGAAAAAGGAGTGGGAGAGGAGAGAACAGAAGAGTGTGGATAAACAAAACGAACTTTTGCTAAGACCACTCCTGAGGGTCACGTCAAGCCCAGATCCTAAAGAAGGAATGGTTGTATTATTCACAGTCAGATGGAACCACTAATATAGTGTCCTATGTTCAAGGAGCTGCATAGAAGTTGCAAAGATAATAAATAGAAACAAATGGTCAAAGCAAGCAAAGTAATGTTAACCTGGTTACATAAGGGAATAAACTATAGGCCAAGTAGGACAACAGGTGGCATTTCAACAACTGAGATTGCATTTATGTTTTTTCACAGGCCAACTGTGGTAGTTTTTAGGGTTGCTTCATAAAAAGGAAGGTATCTTTATCTCACCTTAGGCCAACAAATGCTTATCTAAGTATTCACTGGAAAAGCATTCTCTAAATTATAACTCAATCAAATCAAACCACCTATATTCATTTGTATTCTTCACAGAATCAGATCAGGTGACTCACTAATAAACTAGCACCTCCTCTTCCATGAGGCAAGCATTCCCTCCTATAATATTCTTAACAAATTTTCATCCATTCTCTCCCAAAACAGCGTCAGTGACGGGGAGCTCACTGCCCTATTTGGCTGCAAACATCATGATTCTTCCTCATATTGTAACAAAAATTACCTTTCCATAACTTTCCAGTCCAGGGGGCACTAAAGAAAGCAGAGTGCGGACCTGAATCCACAGCATATTGCACAGAGAAGGCACTCGGTAATTATTTATTAAACAAGGGAACAAATAAGCAGTAATTGACCTCATTTTAGCCTCTAGAGCCCACAGAACACTTATTCTTCTATGTAATAATCCTTTAAGTAATGGAAAAGAAAGCCATAAATGTTCACCCTCTCCTTCAAATCTGGTTAGACCTTATTGGGGAATGAATCCCAACACTTCAGAATTAAATTTTCTTAGGCACTTCTCCTTCCTCTAAGCTTCTATGTTAAAGAGCTATAAAGACACATGCATATGTATGTTTATGGCAGCACTATTCACAATAGCAAAGACTTGGAACCAACCCAAATGTCCAACAATGATAGACTGGATTAAGAAAATGTGGCACATATACACCATGGAATACTATGCAGCCATAAAAAATGATGAGTTCATGTCCTTTGTAGGGACATGGATGAAGCTGGAAACCATCATTCTCAGCAAACCATCACAAGGACAAAAAACCAAACACCGCATGTTCTCACTCATAGGTGGGAATTGAACGATGAGAACACATAGACACAGGAAGGGGAACATCACACTCTGGGGACTGTTGTGGGGTGGGGGGAGGGGGGAGGGATAGCATTAGGAGATATACCTAATGTTAAATGATGAGTTAATGGGTGCAGCACACCAACATGGCACATGTATACATATGTAACAAACCTGCACATTGTGCACATGTACCCTAAAACTTAAAGTGTAATAATAATAAAATTTTAAAAAAAAAGAGCTAATAATTTGTGGGCAAACAATTAAGTACCCTTCTAGAAATATGGTTAAATTTTTTTAAAAATCTGAAGTAAATGATTATACCTCTCTTCAGTTTATCCTTTTTATTAATTCAATAAATTATCAATTCAGATTTTTATATAGTAGTGTATGTAATGGGGAGGCAAAAGTATATGTTTATATATAAAATATGGGGCGGGTGCAGTGGCTAATGCCTGTAATCCCAGCACTTTGGGAAGCTGCGGTGGCTGGATCACGAAGTCAGGATATAGAGACCATCCTGGCTAACACAGTGAGACCCCGTCTCTACTGAAAAAAAAAATGCAAATAAATTAGCCGGGCATGGTGCACATGCCTGTAGTCCCAGCTACTTGGGAGGCTGAGAGGAGAATTGCTTGAACCCAGGAAGCAGAGGGTTGCAGTGAGCCGAGATCAAGCCATTGCACTCCAGCCTGGGCAAAGAGCGAGACTCTGTCTCAAAATAAAATAAAATAAAATATGAACAAAAATAAAATTATAAATACACATAAATTACATATTAATTATATATTACATAGTATGCTATCATATGAATATTTAAATTATAAATATAAATGTATATAAAATTATATGAGATATTAATCTAAATTATGTTAACAAAAAGAAAATTTTGAATGACTAAAAGATTCAAAATAATTACAGTAACCTCAACCTCCTAGTATTTTTTATTGGTAATGAATATTCTGAATCAGATCCTTTCCAAAGTAAAGTGACCCTAAGAATTATTTAAGATATTGATTTTTATACATAAATACAGGGTTCATGGAGGTTTGCTGACACCAAGATTAAAAAGATTTAGTAACAAATTGTAACTCAACTCTAAGTCTCCTGAGTACCTGGCCATTTGTATTCCTGCTCTGATATTAAATACGTATTGGACTGCAAATATATTTGCAAAATAGAATTTGGTAAATAGAAAATGCGGCATGCCATATAACTAGTTGCAAGAGGAATGAGCAACTGAAAAGTAAGTTATTTATTCATCCTACTTAATGCGAAAATCATGGGAAACAGCAAGTAGTGTAATGTGGCATTTTCAGCAATCATCTCTAAAAAGTCAACCTTTGTCTTAGCAGAGTGAGACAAAGCACTTTACACAATCACACTGTAGAAAGAGAAGAATTTCTCACCTGCCAATGATGATAATATAAGCACAGAGATAACCGAAAAGAAGATATTTTGTGAACATCTGTAAGAGTAAAATATTCAGCAGCAGTGCATTAATCAATACCAATTGGAGATAGTGAGCAAGTAAGGCATACTTTATTTAACCACTTAACATTTGACTCCAACTACCATAGATTCTTACAGTTAAATAAACTTGGCACACTGTACAGATCAAATATATAATATTTCCTTGCATGTGCAGTAGACTGTTTCAAGTTAATACATTTGCAGGCAACGATCCTTTATATTTTGCTATTGCTTGTTACAAGCCAATTCTAGGGCATCCATATTCAGCAATCAAAAGGGAGAACAAAATACGGACAATTCTAATCCCCCTCAAATCAGTTTAGTAAATATTAATGTTTATTCATCATTTTAAAAAGAGAACATTTGCCTGAACTGCTGATTGTTTAATTTTACAGTCTGAGGTGCAAAAAAGGAGCCCCATTCACATCTCTCAGTGCAAGGCTCAGGCACTCATGTACACGTAAGTTCCAACTCCCTCCCCTTTATGCTTCCAGGGATTCCTATGTACTATATATACTTATTGGAGAATGTGCAAGTGTTAGGGGGAGAGGGTGGAAAAGAATGAGGTGGGGATGATGGGGAGAGATGGCACCTCATGAGGATGTATTGAAGAGGAAAGCCTGCTAAGCAGAAGCTTTGTTTGGGGTTATGCCTGAAATGTGATTACTCAACAAAACATTCTACTCTGTAAATGAAGGCAATCAGGTTCCACTTGCTCTAGTCAATGGAAAAGACTTCCCTTCAAAACTTTGACCCGTGGGTTAAAAACTCTTTTGATTTTTGGACTCTGCCACTCTATATGAAGCTACCCTGGGGCAGGGATCAGAATAAGTTTCTGTTTCTGGACTGCTGGCTACGATGCAGAAATGGGACATGAAATTGAACCACCTATGAAATGAAATCTAGGGAGAGGCAGCAAGAATTGAGCTTTATCCCAGAAATGTGGGACTTGTAGAGCAATAGCACCACTCTTGGTAAAACTAACTGAAATACCTGAGTCCCAGAGGTTGAGCCTGGGTCTTCTATTCTTACTGATTCCTAGAACATTTCTAGATATAGCAGTCCTTTAAAGAAGAAGGTTATAGATATTAGTGTTGTTTGTCAAATATTTCTGGTTCTGTGCCACTGGCGACATGATAGGACTGTATTTTCTGCCTCTTTTGTGGTGTGGAGGCACCACATGACTAGTTTTGGTCAATGAGATGGAATGAGAATGATGTGTATCAGTGCTAGGAAAAAGCATTCATTTGGCAGTGCAGTGCCCTTAGAGTTCTTTCTCTTCCTGCGAAGATGACCAGGAACATCAGGGAATGGATAGACATGTAGGAAAAACAAGGGAGAAAAATTGTGTTATCACTGTAAGGCATGGGGGCTCTTTGTTACTGCTGCATGACATAGCCTTCCCTTATTTAGGGATTTTTTTTTTATTGTAAGCTCACTTGAGAGTGCTCCATACCTCAGAAGACTTACGCACCAAGAGACTAACTATTTCTTTGAATTCACACACACAGCCATTTCCTGGGTTCAAGGCAACATTTTGAGGGCTCAGGACAGCTTTTTAACACATGTCACTACACACACTTAAAACCACCTACTCTCCTTAATCCTAATTCCAGACTCAGAGTTAGGACTACCCTATGGGTCCAATTTTTCCCTTTGCTGATGGTTACATCATCTCAGGGAACCCACTGTGCTTCCCCACAGTAGGACTTTTTCAGAAACTCCCTTAAACATAATGATGGAGGGGCAGAGCAAGATAGCTGAACAGAAGGCTCCACCAATTGTCCTTCCAACCCTGGGCAAGGACAGCAATTTAACAACTGCCCACACGAAAAAAAAAAAAAGAATCTTCATAAGAGCCAAAAATCAGATGGGCACTCAGAGTACCTGGATTTAACTTCATAGCTCTGAAAGAGGCAAAGAAGAGGGTAGAAAAGACAGTCTTGAATTGTTGATGCCACCCCTCTCCCATCCCCTGATAGTGACCATGTGACACACGAAGAGAGTCTGTCTGCTTAGGGGAAGGAGAGCACAGTGATTGTGAGACAATGCATTGAACTCAGTGCTGACCTGTCACAGCAGAAAGCAAAATGGAGCTGAACTCAGCTGACTCATGCCCACAGAGGGAATATTTAAACTGGCCCTAGCCAGAGGTGAATCACTCATCCCGGCAATAAGAACTTCAGTTCTTGCAAGCCTCACCACCATGGGATAAAGCATTCTGAGGCTCTAAATAAACTTGAAAGTGTGGGTCAAAGGATCAATTAAGAAAGAAGTTAAAAACTTTCTTGAAACAAGTGATAAAAGAAACACAACATACCCACACCTATGGGACACAGCAAAAGCAGAACTAAGAGGGAATTTTATAGCTGTAAGTGCCTACATCAAAAGAGAAGAAAACTTCAAATAAACAACCTAATGATGCATCTTTAAGAATTAGAATAGCAAGAGTAAACCAAACCCAAAAATAATAGAGGAAAATAAATCATAAAGATCAGAGGAGAAATAAATGAAATTGAAATGAAAAAATAACAAGATCAATGAAACAAAGTTGTTTTTTCAAAAAGATTTAAAATATTGACAGACTTTTAGCCAAACTAAGAAAAAAAAAGGGTAAGACACAAATACATAAAAGCAGAGATCAAAAGAGAGATATTACAGCTGATACCACAGAAATTCAAAGTTTCATTAGAGACTACCATAACTACTTGCCAATAAAGTGGAAAATATAGAAGAAATAAATAATTCCTAGACACATACAACCTAACAAAATTGAACCCTGAAAAAATTCAAAATCTGAACACATGAATAACAAGTAATGAGATCAAAGTTGTAATAAAAAGTCTCCCAGCAAATAAAAGTCTGGGACCCAATGGCTTCACTGCTGAATTCTACAAAACATTTAAAGAAGAACCATTACTAATTCTACTCAAACTATTCCAGAAAATGAGGAAGGAATACTTTCAAACTCATTCTACAAGGCCAGTCTTACCTGATATCAAAACCAAACAAAGACATATCAATAAAAGGAAACTACATGCAATATCACTGAATATTGATGCAAATATTCTCAACAAAATACTAGCAAATGAAATTAACAATACATTAAAAAGATAATTCATCATGACCAAGTGGGGTTTATCCCAGGGTTGTAAGGAGGGCTCAGCATATGTAAATCAACTAATGTGATACATCATGTCAACAGAATAAAGGACAAAAATCATATGATCATTTTATTGATGCTGGAAAAGCATTTGATAAAATTCAACATACCTTCATAATAAAAACGCTCAGAAAACTGGGTATAGAAGGAATATACCTCAACATAATAAAAGCCATATATAACAAACCCATAGCTAATATCATACTGAACTGGGAAAAAAACTGAAAGCCTTTTCTCTAAGATTAAGAACATGACAAGGATACCCCTTTTCATCAGTGTTATTCAACATAGTACTAGAACTTCCAGCTGGAATAATCAGACACGAGAAAGAAACAAAGGGCATCCAAATTAGAAAGGAAAAAGTCAAATTATCCTTGTTTACATATGATATGATCTTATATTTAGAAAAACCCAAAGTCTCCACCAGAAAAAACTATTAGAACTGATAAACGAATTTAGTAAAGTTGCAGGGTATGAAATCAACACAGAAAAATTAGTAGTATTTCCATATGCCAACAACAAACAATCTGAAAAATAAAGAAAGAAATTCCCCTTAGACCTAAGAATGAAATTAAATATGTAGGAATTATTATGCTAAGAAATGAAAGATCTCTACAAAAAAAAAAACTATAAAACATTGATGCAAGAAATCAAAGAAGACACACACAAAAGGGAAAAATATTTCATTTTCATGGATTAGAAGAACGAATATTGTTAAAATATCCATACTACCCAAAGAAATCTATAAATTTGATGAGATCCTATCAAAATACCGATGGCATTCTTCACGAAAATAGAAAAAAAAATCCTAAAATTTATACTAAATCACAAAAGACCCAGAATAGCCAACGCTATCCCAAGCAAAAATAATAAAATTGGAGGAATCACACTACCTGACATTAAGTTATACCACAGAGTTATAGTAACCAAAACAGGGTGGTATTGGCATAAAAAGAGATATAGATCAGTGGAACAGAATAGAGAGCCTAGAGATAAATCAATACATCTACAGTGAACTCTTTTTTGACTAAGTTGGCAAGAACATTCAGTGGGGAAAGAAGAGTCCGTTCAGTAAATGGTGCTGGGAAAACTGGATATCCATGTGCAGAAGAATGAAACTAGACTCCTGTCTCTTGTCATACACAAAAATCAAATCAAAATCGATTTAAGACTTAAATCTAAGACTTCGAACTAGGAAACCACTAAAAGAAAACAGAGGGGAAAATTTCCAGGACACTGGACAGGACAAAAATGTCTTGAGTAATACCCCACAAGCACAGGCAATCAAAGCAAAAATGGATATATGAGGTCACAAGTTTAAAAGCTTCTGCACAGGAAAGGAAACAATAAACAGAGTGAAGAGACAACCCACAGAATGAGAGAAAATATTTGCAAACTACCCATGTGACAAAGGATTAATAACTAGAATATATAACTCTACAGGAGAAAAAATCTAATAATCTCGTTAAAAATGAGTGAAAGATTTGGATACTTTCTCAAAAGAAGACATACAAATGGCAAACAGGTATGTGAAAAGATGCTCAAAATAATTGATCATCAGAGAAATGCAAAGTTAAAACTACAATGAGATATCATCTCACCCCAGTTAAAATGCCTTATATCCAAAAGAGACAATAACAAATTCTGGTGAGGATGTGGAGAAAAGGGAACCTTCATACACTTTTGGTGAGAATGTATATTAGTGAAATCACTATGGAGAACAGCTTGGAAGTTTCTCAAAAACCTAAAAATCGAGCCACCATATGATCCAGCAATCCCACTCATAGGTATACATCCAAAAGAAAGGAAATTAATACATGCAAGAGGTATCTGCACTACCATGTTTATTGCAGCACTTTTTTACTCACAATAATTAGGATTTGGGAGCAACCTAAGTGTTCAGCAGATGAATGGATAATGCAAATCTGTTACATATACACAATGGAGTACTAGCCAGTAATAAATTTAAAAAAAAAAGAATGACATCCTGTCATTTGCAACAATATGGATGGAACTGGAGGTTATTATGTTAAGCAAAATAAGCCAGGCACAGAAAGACAAACTTTGCCTGTTCTCACTTATTTCTGGGAGCTAAAAATTAAAATAATTACACTCACAGAGATAAAACACAATTGCATTGCTTGTAACATAAAGGATAAATGTTTGAGGTAATGGGTACCCCCTCACCACCAAAAAAAAAAAAAAAAAAAAATCATACTGATGGATCTCCCTTAGCTCTCCGAGAGCTCTAACGACATTTAGAAGAGTTAGTTTCCATCAGTCTAGAGAAAAATACTCTTTTCCCTCACGTAGTGTTCCTACCAGGTAAATGTTAGAAAAACTAAGGGCTCTGTACCAAGAAAAATTTCTAGTAGTTCAATCATCTATAGTTGTTTTCTCTAACTATACAAGAACAGCTCCTTATATTCAAGTGAGAAAAGAGATTTATGACAGAATACTTAGTAAAGTTCTTATTATGTATGAACCTACTTTTTTCTAGCTCATTTTCATGCACAAATTTCAGCCCAACTTTGACTAAACACACAAGTATATTAAAGTTGTTTGCAGAGGTATCTGCACATGTGCATGTGTGCATTGTGTATTTTCTGGCTCTTGGTCTTCCCTACGCAATGATACCATAGACAATTACAAAATCAAAAGGCTTCTAAAAATTGCATATTTTTTGCAAGTCAAGAGGCAGCAAAAACCTGACAGGAACTGATAAAAGGCTATTTAAGGTGCTTTTTATCTTAATAAGAAATATGAATATTCATCTTTTACTGCAGAAATAGTAATTAATCTAGCTACAGAGCCCACTGGGAACGTTATGTAATATATAGTTCTGAACCACATTACCTTTTAAAAATCTGAAACCAACAGTGTAAATGTGTTCCTATTTCTCCACATCCTCTCCAGCACCTGTTGTTTCCTGACTTTTTAATGATTGCCATTCTAACTGGTGTGAGATGGTATCTCATTGTGGTTTTGATTTGCATTTCTCTGATGGCCAGTGATGATGAGCATTTTTTCATGTGTTTTTTGGCTGCATAAATGTCTTCTTTTGAGAAGTGTCTGTTCATATCCTTTGCCCACTTTTTGATGGGGTTGTTTGTTTTTTTCTTGTAAATTTGTTTGAGTTCATTGTAGATTCTGGATATTAGCCCTTTGTCAGATGAGTAGGTTGCAAAAATTTTCTCCCATTTTGTAGGTTGCCTGTTCACTCTGATGGTAGTTTCTTTGGCTGTGCAGAAGCTCTTTAGTTTAATTAGATCCCATTTGTCAATTTTGGCTTTTGTTGCCGTTGCTTTTGGTGTTTTAGACATGAAGTCCTTGCCCATGCCTATGTCCTGAATGGTATTGCCTAGGTTTTCTTCTAGGGTTTTTATGGTTTTAGGTCTAACATGTAAGTCTTTAATCCATCTTGAATTAATTTTTGTATAAGGTGTAAGGAAGGGATCCAGTTTCAGCTTTCTACATATGGCTAGCCAGTTTTCCCAGTACCATTTATTAAATAGGGAATCCTTTCCCCATTGCTTGTTTTTGTCAGGTTTGTCAAAGATCAGATGGTGTCAGTGTGGTGATTCCTCAGGGATCTAGAACTAGAAATACCATTTGACCCAGCCATCCCATTACTGGGTATATACCCAAAGGATTATAAATCATGCTGCTGTAAAGACACATGCACACATATGTTTATTGAGGCACTATTCACAATAGCAAAGACTTGGAACCAACCCAAATGTCCAACAACAATAGACTGGATTAAGAAATGTGGCACATATACACCATGGAATACTATGCAGCCATAAAAAATGATGAGTTCATGTCCTTTGTAGGGACATGGATGAAACTGGAAACCATCATTCTCAGCAAACTATCACAAGGACAAAAAACCAAACACTGCATGTTCTCACTCATAGGTGGGAACTGAACAATGAGAACACATGGACACAGGAAGGGGAACATCACACTCTGGGGACTGTTGTGTGGTGGGGGGAGGGGGAGGGATAGCATTAGGAGATATGCCTAATGCTAAATGACGAGTTAATGGGTGCAGCACACCAACATGGCACATGTATACATATGTAACAAACCTGCACATTGTGCACGTGAACCCTAAAACTTAAAGTATAATAATAATAAAATTTAAAAAAAAGTCTGAAACCCAGCTCGTCCTAAGTTACAGATAATGGGTTGTGGACCTCTATATCCTCTGACAACTTGCATCCATCAGGCTGTTTTCACACCAACAGCAGTTCTTTATTAAATCCGGTATACCCATTAAATCTGATCACGATTGCATACATGTACTCTGTAAGTCTGACTATTAAAATTCCCAAGATAATTAATCCACTGCGTGTGAGCCCTGATAGATCCATTTCACAAGCAGAAGGGCTTCAGGTTGTATGGGTATGAGAGGCAGAATAATGGTCCCCCAAAGATGTCCATGTCCTAATACTCAGAACCTGTAAATATGTTACCTTAAATGGCAAAAGAAACTTCACATATGTGACTATGTAAAGGATTCTGAGATGGAAGATTACCCTGGATTATCCATTGGTCCAATATAATCATAAGGGTCCTTATAGGAGGGAGTCAGGAGAGTCAGTCGGAGAATGAGACATAAGGACAGAAGGAGAAGTCAGAGAGAGAGACTTGAAGATGCTATACAGCTGGCTTTAAATATAGAGGAAGGATTTGCAAGCCAAGGTACGCAGGCAGCCTCTAGGAGCTTGAAAAGGCAGGGAAACAAATTCTTCCCTAGAGCCTCTAGAAAGAACACAGGCCAGCCAACACCTTCATTTTAGCCCAGTTATACTAGTTTTAGAATTCTGGCCCCTAGAACTCTAAGAGAATAAATAAATATGCGTTGTTTTGAGCTACTAAATTTGTGATAATTTTTATTAATATGAAATTAATAGAGTAGAACAGTTAGGATAGAAATACCAACATTAACCCCTAAGATTTAGCCAGTCTAAGTCAATAACAGACTTTTTCCCTGAGGCATAAAAAAATAGTTCCCTCTAGAATTTACAGGCCCTCTTCTGATTTGAAGGGGGGAGAAAAAACAAATTAGAAACAACATGAAAGTTTTCTTCATTTTTTTCTTTTCTTGATCGGAAACTTGAAAATCAAGGTTTACATGAAATCAGAAATGTTTTACACTTTTTAGTACTTGATAATTCAATATATAGTCATAATAATATAGAGGATCTAATAATTCAGAAGCTCAAGGAAAATTATATTAGAATACTGAAAAGTCATAAATAAATATAGGAAATACAATAAAAGCACTGTAATACTATCTTCTAACAACTGTAAGTGGTTTACAATTGTCTCATGTAATACTTCTATAATTACAAAATAAAACCACAGCTCTTTTTGTTTCAGATTCTCCCTAAATTCTGAGAATATTATATTTAAACAGTATGATATACCAGATAGCTTCAGCCATGGGGAATAGGTGTATAGTTTACGTGATCATCCATGCAAGTCTCTGTGGTTGCCTGAACCATTGCTTTGTTTCAGCTCCTGGTTTCTACAAATATCTGACGAAGGAAAAGCTGATGTCTCAGAATTATGACAGTTTGTAAGAACTCATTTTCCCAGGATTCAAAAGCAATTAAAAAAAATCTCACATAGATTTTAAACAACTGCATTTAAAACTACACGAAATGAAAATGATTTGGTTAATATAATTCACTTTAATCTTCCAAGTTTCTTCATCGTTCAGCTTACAACTGGTAATTCGAGGGGAATTGTCTTCTTTCTTAAAAAATAAAAAAGAACTCCCATGCCTACTGAGCAAAAGCAACAAGACACAGAAGTCATAAATTTTATCTACCTCTTGGTATTCTCTCTTATTGATTTCTGTGTCCTGGGTTGTTTGGTTCCCTTCAGCACTGACACACCCAGCTGGTACTCCAAAGGGGTGCTTTGTTAGATGCTATATTCATCTGCTTAGGCTATGATAACAAAGTACCACAGACTTGGTGGCTTAAACAAGAAAATTTTATTTTTCACAGTTCCGAAGAAGTCTAAGAGGTTAAGGTGTCAAAAGCTCCAGTTTCTCCTGAGGCCTCTCTCCTTGGCTAACAGATGGTCACCTCCTGTGTTTTTTCTGTGCACACACATCCCTGGTATCTCTTCGTGTGTCCAAATTTCCTCTTCTTATAAGAACACCAATCAGATTAGAATAGGGCCCATCTTAATGGCCTATTTTACCTTAACCATCTCTTTAAAGACTCCAAATACAGTCACACTCTGAGTTACTAGGGGTAAGAGCTTCAGCATAGGAATTTGGGAAGGGTGGCACAATTCTGCATCTAACAGATGCTGAAGCAGAAAGGGAAAAAGAAAGTAAAAATGGGTCAGAGAGATAAAACAATTCAACCTAGACAAATGTAAATTGTTTTCATTGTTGCTTAATTGTTTTTCCCTAACTGGCCCTTAAAACCTGGCCTATTCCATACTCCTGACACAGAGAAAAGAGAATCTCAATATCTTAGTTTCAAAGGGTCAGTTCAAAGACACCAGCTTCACACCATAAATCTTCACAAATCCCAGGAGGCTTCACACAGAGAATATCTCTAGGACCTAGTAGCCTTTCAGTCACTGTGATGCCTCCATGGTCCAAGAAGGATTCTAACACTAATGCCCAATAAATTCCTCCCATTCCTAATTTCTGGTCTCAGGGACAAGCCTCTCTCCTAAGTAAACAGCAGCTCTATGAGGACTTTATTCTCAGGGTGTGACTCAGCCTACTTTGTGGAGAAATGTGTCTTATTGCAATACCAGGCTGGGCAATATGGCAAAAATCCCTTAATCATACAAGAAAAAGTATGCATATCAAAGAATTGTACAGGTGCAGATACAAGCACAAGCAAGGCAGCAGCTTGATTATCACCTTAATAATTCAAATACAAAAACTGAAAATTCACTGTTATGAGAATGTGCTATAAAACTAGTTGCTATGAAATAAAATTCAACATAAGATGGCTCTCTTCAAATCTATTCCAAAACCTTCAGTTACAGAGAAAACAATAGTTTTCAAAGTGGTCACTTCATGCCAGAATTCTAAGTTCATTTCTAACCTCCTCAACTGGAGTTATAGTGAGATCATTATATATAGAAAATGAGAATCCATAATTAATAATCACAGCAGGTTCTGGCCAATGCCACAATGTGCTTATTTGTTATTTGGTTTATTTGTTTCACCTTTCTTATATGATATTTGACAGCACATTTAAATAATAAAAAACTAAATATTTGCAAATATCATTTGCTTTAGTTATTTTTTATAACATCAAAATAATCAAAACATCAATATTAAACAATGTTCCTTTCTTTTGTCTGTTTCTCTTTAGCATGTTCAAAAGAAACAGAGGAAAAAACTCTTCGGAGGAAAAAACATTGTCATAAAGATTCTCCTAATCAATCAGGTATAAAACTGTATACCTAATATAATGAACAAATTTCTGTAGGTATTAAAATCTATTTTTTAAAATCTCACATTTAGTAGGTGTTTTTTTTTTTTTTTTTTTTGAGACGGAGTTTTGCTGGAGTTCAGTGGCGCGATCTCGGCTCACTGCAACCTCCACCTTACAGTTTCAAGTGATTCTCTTGCCTCAGCCTCCCAAGTAGCTAGGAGTATAGGCGCCCACCACCATGCCCAGCTAATTTTTGTATTTTTAGTAAGGCAGGGTTTCACCATGTTGGCCAGGCTGGTCTCAAACTCCTGACCTCATGATCTGCCCTCCTCAGCTTCCCAAAGTTCTGGGATTACAGGCATGAGCCACCGCACCCAGTCACTTAACCCAGTCACTTAATAGGATTTATACAGATATTTGGAACTAAGAGGACATCCAAACGGGACTGAAAAAAAATGTCTAAAATATTGTGAATTTTTCAAAGTGATAATTTTCTTAAACTCGGCCTGTCTCCATGTCATAGAATTAGAGAATGCCAAGAGCTGGAAAGCAACTTAGTTGTTCCAGTCCAATCTCAACACTATAGGAAAATCCCTGCTGTGGAATCCCTAACATATTTTATTCAGCAGCTACCTGAATGTCACCAATGTTGGAGAGCTTGCTTATTTACAAGCAACGTGCTACATCACTAGAAGAGAAATATTAGGAAGAAAAATAATTTTTGTTGAATACTTACTATGTGCTAGAGTGGGCTTCAAACAGGTTTCAGTTTTGTAAGTCAGAAAGAGATATCTGATGACAACGTGAGAAATAAAGACTTTCAAGTTCAGTTAGGAGACTAATTCCAAAGCATACACGATGATGAATGTTTGAACCAAGTATATTAACAATAGAGATAAAAAGTGCATGGTGGATGCGGAAGACATTTAAATAGAATTAGCAGGACTTGGTGGGACTTCCATTCAGTACAAAATAACTCTGAGAAGTTTTATTTTTTTTTTAACATTTGAAAATAATTTCACAAAAGTTTTATTTAAAAAAATTATATTGTAAATTTATGTAAGAAATTCTCTATCCATTATATGACTTGTATAACATCCACAGTATACTAACAAAATATTTTTAAAATATAGGATAAGGTGTCTAAATAATAAATTTTTAAGACTGCTTAGAGCCACTATTAAAAATCTGAGAATAAGGCATGAATATTTTTTGATCTATAGAGATTATATATCAGCATGCTGGCATTGGCTTTTATTATAGAATAAGCATTTTAATCTTCAATAACTTTCTTTTTTTTTTTTTTCTTTTTCTTTTCTTTTTTTATTATACTTTAGGTTTTAGGGTACATGTGCACATTGTGCAGGTTAGTTACATATGTATACATGTGCCATGCTGGTGCGCTGCACCCACTAACTCGTCATCTAGCATTAGGTATATCTCCCAATGCTATCCATCCCCCCTCCCCCCACTCCACCACAGTCCCCAGAGTGTGATATTCCCTTTCCTGTGTCCATGTGATCTCATTGTTCAATTCCCACCTATGAGTGAGAATATGTGGTGTTTGGTTTTTTGTTCTTGCGATAGTTTACTGAGAATGATGATTTCCAATTTCATCCATGTCCCTACAAAGGACATGAACTCATCATTTTTTATGGCTGCATAGTATTCCATGGTGTATATGTGCCACATTTTCTTAATCCAGTCTATCATTGTTGGACATTTGGGTTGGTTCCAAGTCTTTGCTATTGTGAATAATGCCACAATAAACATATGTGTGCATGTGTCTTTATAGCAGCATGATTTATAGTCATTTGGGTATATACCCAGTAATGGGATGGCTGGGTCAAATGGTATTTCTAGTTCTAGATCCCTCAGGAATCGCCACACTGACTTCCACAATGGTTGAACTAGTTTACAGTCCCACCAACAATGTAAAAGTGTTCCCATTTCTCCACATCCTCTCCAGCACCTGTTGTTTCCTGACTTTTTAATGATTGCCATTCTAACTGGTGTGAGATGGTATCTCATTGTGGTTTTGATTTGCATTTCTCTGATGGCCAGTGATGATGAGCATTTTTTCATGTGTTTTTTGGCTGCATAAATGTCTTCTTTTGAGAAGTGTCTGTTCATGTCCTTTGCCCACTTTTTGATGGGGTTGTTTGTTTTTTTCTTGTAAATTTGGTTGAGTTCATTGTAGATTCTGGATATTAGCCCTTTGTCAGATGAGTAGGTTGCGAAAATTTTCTCCCATTTTGTAGGTTGCCTGTTCACTCTGATGGTAGTTTCTTTCGCTGTGCAGAAGCTCTTTAGTTTAATTAGATCCCATTTGTCAATTTTGTCTTTTGTTGCCATTGCTTTTGGTGTTTTGGACATGAAGTCCTTGCCCATGCCTATGTCCTGAATGGTAATGCCTAGGTTTTCTTCTAGGGTTTTTATGGTTTTAGGTCTAACGTTTAAATCTTTAATCCATCTTGAATTGATTTTTGTATAAGGTGTAAGGAAGGGATCCAGTTTCAGCTTTCTACATATGGCTAGCCAGTTTTCCCAGCACCATTTATTAAATAGGGAATCCTTTCCCCATTTCTTGTTTTTCTCAGGTTTGTCAAAGATCAGACAGTTGTAGGTATGCGGTGTTATTTCTGAGGGCTCTGTTCTGTTCCATTGATCTATATCTCTCTTTTGGTACCAGTACCATGCTGTTTTGGTTACTGTAGCCTTGTCGTAAAGTTTGAAGTCAGGTAGTGTGATGCCTCCAGCTTTGTTCTTTTGGCTTAGGATTGACTTGGTGATGCGGGCTCTTTTTTGGTTCCATATGAACTTTAAAGTAGTTTTTTCCAATTCTGTGAAGAAAGTCATTGGTAGCTTGATGGGGATGGCATTGAATCTGTAAATTACCTTGGGCAGTATGGCCATTTTCACAATATTGATTCTTCCTACCCATGAGCATGGAATGTTCTTCCATTTGTTTGTATCCTCTTTTATTTCCTTGAGCAGTGGTTTGTAGTTCTCCTTGAAGAGGTCCTTCACATCCCTTGTAAGTTGGATTCCTAGGTATTTTATTCTCTTTGAAGCAATTGTGAATGGGAGTTCACTCATGATTTGAGAAGTTTTATTTTTAAAAACATGTCTGAGTATGAGACAGAATTGCTCTGGATCTCCAACTAACTGCAGCCATAAGTTAACAACAATGACTGTAATAATTACAATAGACAACATTTATTGAATGCCTATTACATGCCAAGCACTCTTCTAATCACCTTTTGTGTGTTTTAAAATTGAATCCTCACAACAACTCTATGAGATAAGTCTATTATAACCTTTTTAGGCCAAGGGAACTGACATACTGAGAGGTAACTAACTTTTGAGACTACTCAGTAAGTGGTAAAGTCAGAATTCAAAGCCAGGTAATTGAATTCTACAGTCTAAGCTATAGCTGAGGACCAGGGTGAAGGAGGCTATTTCAGACAGATAGGGATAAAAAATAAAGATCATACTGAAGAATACTACATTTAATTCTCATTTCCCCTCCTCTATTTTTTATTCTTTTTTCTCTCTGGTTCATTGTCTGTCAGGACACAGAATGATAATCTCTTTATTATGCATCTGAATGACTGGTTTATTTCTAAAGACTTCTCTTTAGGGAAGACTGTCTCAAAAGAAACATTACCACTTATTTTCATGAGAATGCAACAGGCATAAGTGATTATATGCTGTGAAGGTTTTTAATAATTTCAAAGCAAAATGCTATCATTGAAATGAAGATTTTAAAAAATATTGTTAGACATTAACACTTAAGTAATAGATTTCTGATGCTCTTATTTTTTCCATTTTTCTTTATGATTTAAGTTATTTAGGTTTGGGTTATTAAGACATATACTTCTTTCTAAGAAACACTGCACTTATTCAAATAAATATATTCATTGTTCACATGGTACTTCATGAAAGTCAAAGAATCACTGAGATATAAATGATCTTACAGATTATCAAATGTTCCCTGGTTATGTGGCAAACAAAGAACTGAGCAGTTATATATCAAGGGCTTTGTGCAAATTTCCAAAGAATAGCAGCGGTGGAACAAGCACCTAGACCCCTCAACCAGCAACCTGTGTTGAGAAAGGAGTCTTAAAATGTCATCTGTAATGCTCTTGGCCAAGTGCTTTTCCTGCCCAACATCCCTGGTTAGGAACTTTTCACCTTCCATAGGAGTAAAGTGCCAGCTTAATAAAATAGGCTCCAATTGGACCTTTCTAACTTCTCTGGCAAACTACTCACCTTTTGAGTTCTGATTGTGCATTTCAGCAAGCACTTATTAGATACCTATAAAGATAACAGAAATGTATGGGGATGAAAACAGTGCTCCTGCTTTGGGTACTTGATGAAACAGATGTATAATGTGGTGTGTAAAGTACTATACTGGGTCCATGTGGAAATTATTATAGCAGTGATTAGAGGTTTAAAACGTTCCCCCAGTCCTCTGGGATAATATTTGAGACTGAAATCTTCCTTCTTGTTTATTGCTTCTAATTAAGGGACTTGACCTTAGCCCAGTGAGGCTGTGTTGATGACTTGTGTTGGGTAACACTGAGGAATGTGAGATGAGGGAGGATGTTTCCCAAAAAATCTCTGAGTAAAGTCAAGATCTTCCCCCAATGTAATGGAACTTCCATTTCAATCCCATTTAAGTCCCTTCCCAACATCTGTCAGAATTATAACTGATGATAATGAAAAATTCCCAATGAAAGCTGCCTATAAATGTACAATCCTGGATTTCCTAAAGTACTGAGACAAAATTCAGAGAAATGAAAAAGTCATAGGTCACAGAAGTTGCTTACGTGTCTTGGCAAAAGGTCTAGACAAGATTCAAAAATTAACATATGTTTAATGTTTGCATTTCAGCAGATTCAGGCAATAGACTTCCAACTACTAAAAATGTCTTGCCATATGCTATGTAAAAAGCCAAGTTTTTGTAATCAGTTGAGCTGGATTTTAATCCCAGATCTACCTACAACTATTATATAACCTTGGGGTGGTTTTTAAATCTATCCAAACCCCAAGTTTTATTCTTATCTGTAAAATAAAAACAATAATATAAAAATTACCCACTGTTTTAAGATTAAAATAAGTAGTATATGTAAAATTGATGACACTGGGGTGGTAAATCAAAATTATTTCTTGTTTTGTTTCCCCAACCCCTCCTCCCTTGCTTGAATGGTGACAGATCTTACTTACCTTTGCTTTTGACTTATCCAATACAAAGATAACTCTTCATTCCTAGAATGTACAACCCCCAAAAAGGGGGTTGTACAACAAGGATCATGCATCCTTGTAAGGACACACCACTACCAGAGACACACCCTGCAAGGAAGATTTACAAAATTCAAGCCATGATCCTCTGCCCCTAGAGGCCCAGATCCTGATCCCTAGGGCTTCCTTCAGCCAGCATTAGCAGTAAATATAAGGCTTTTCACAACTACCTTAGAACTTAAGGTCCAGCAGCACATATCAGGCTAAAGCTAACCTCAGAAAGTGTTAACAGCGTCTGTAATCATTTCCATCACACGCTTCTCTTGGAAAACTCATGGTTAGCCAAACACATCTTGCTCTGACTCTGGATACCCTTACTGAACACACAGCAGCTCCCTCAAGTATCCACATCCACAAAATACTTTGGGTCCCCCTCTCCACCTCGTTAACTGAGCCTCTCACTGATCATCTTCCTCTCAAAATCTTCCATTATGCTTTCTGGAGGACTTATTCTATGGTCATTATTTACACTTTAGTGAACGCCGCTTTCACCTTCTGGACTTATATGCAACCTGGAAGCTCTGCTTCACAGCAGCATTGCTAAGTGGAAGCTGCTCCTCCATATCCATGACTCTTTTGGGAAATGGTTGTAGAGGCTCCTTTCTCTCCACCTGGGTTCCTATGCAGGTCCACACTGAATGTGTGACCCTAAGAAGAGTCATTTAATCTTGGCCAGACTCGGATTCCTGATTTGTGAAGTGGAAAAGATTGTGGTAGCTATCTCTGAGATTACTCTTACAATTCAAGGAAATCATATATATAAAGCAATTTGATCAACAAATGACATTTAGTTAGTACTCAAATTATGACTATTATTCTCATCATCCAGATTATCTTTGTCATCATAATTACCATCTAATCTTTCATTGCTTTTATAAGGCATAGTTTTAGCATAGCTGTAATATATTTGTATATCTCTAAATTGCCCAGGGGAAAATACTCAATATACAGAAGGAATTGAATCATTTAATTTCCTTATTCTGAGGTATTTTCCAATACCAACAACCAATTCTTGTATTCTCTGGATACCAACTGGGTGTTCAACAATTCAGTTCAATTTGGCATTAGCTACCTGGAATTAGCACAGACCCTGTAGCTTAAGGGTTCAGCGCTGCAAGACTGCTCTCACCAGTGAAAAATCTCAGGCCTCTCAAAAATCCTGGACCTTCTGCATGTCTGAACAACTGCCTATACCTATGGGGTTCACAAAAGCTCCACCCCCTCAAGTTCACTAATTTTCTAGAATGGTTCACAGAACTCAGGAAGGCACTTTACTTACATTTACTGGTTTATTATAAAGAATACAAATGAATAACCAGATGAAGAGGTACATAGGACAAGGTCCAAAAGGGTCTCGAGTGTATTAGCTTCTGTCCTGTGGAGTTAGGATACACCACTCTCCCAGCACATGAATGCATTCACAAACATGGAAGCACTCTGAATCCCATCATTTAGAGGATTTTATGGAGGTGTCATCATGTAGTCAGGATCGGTTATTAACACAATCTGCAGCTTTACTCTCCTCCAAGAAGTTAGAGAGGGATAGGGCTGAAAGTTCTAGGCTTTATAGCTGAATTATAACTTTAAAGTCTGGAACTTTCAGCCCTACCCCTCTCTAACCAGCCCCTATCCTGAAGCTATTGAGGGTCCCACCAAGAGTTACCTCATTAGAACAAAAGATGCTCCTATAACCTGGGAAATTCCAAGGGACTTAGGAGCTCTGTGTCAGGAACGAGGGACAAAGATCAAATATTAGAAAAAAAAAGACATTCCTATCACCCCTAACATAAGGGTCTTAGGAGATCTATGTTACGAACTGGAAACAAGGACCAAATACATATTTCTTATTATGCCAGATTTATGAAAGCCATGGGGAGGGATCTGGAGGAAGTTCCCCAGGATTTTCTGAAAACATTGTAAACTTTATTTATGAAGGAAAGGAAGAAAATAATATGCTTCAGTTGGGATATAAGTGTTTATCACCTGCGAATACATGTGGTAGAGGAAAATGTCTAACTCTCTTTCTTGGGGGTCACAAATATGATTAAATTTACTATCACCTTATAAAGCCAAAAGACAAGTACGTTAGTGAAATGATGGCAGGTATACCCTGCACTGGGATTTATGTTCTATGATACAATCTTCACATGAAAAACATACTGAAAAGCAATAGATAAAAGCAGCAATCAGAGCACAGTGCATGCTTGGAGAACAAGCAAGCAAACAAAACAGCAGCCTTAGAGGAGTGGGTTTTGTTTCAGCCTCCATGGGCATCCCATGCCATCGTGTCCAGCTGAAAGCCTTTCACATGATCCACCCTGAAGGCGGTGTGTGCATCTGCTAGTGTGTTTGCATGTCAGTTTTTTTCCGAGCTCAACACTTTATTAGTAACTATATCTAATTATTTCCTTGATCATAACATTTATCATGCTCAGGTGGAGAAAACTCTAAAAATGAATTAGCAAAAAAGCTACCAGAATGTCTGTTGCAGAATAAGACTCCATTAAAAAAAAAAGACAAAATAAAACAGCTAGAGAATCATTAAACTTAAACTGGATCTGGAAAATAGCAAATAAATGAAAAGAATTCACTGAGACTATGAGGTAACTAAGTGGAAAGACAAGACATCCAGTGGTTATGATCCACTTCGCTACTCCAGTGGTCAATAGAAAAAATGCCAAAGTGAATATTATTATTAAAAAACATCAGTAGCCCAAAGGGTACAATTTTATATTCAGTATTAACTGAGTTTTATAGACTATACATCTTTATTTGGTTTATTGCAGAATCATTTTTAAAATTTTCAACTAATCTAAGTTATAAGCATCTTGAAGGTATGAACTCTGTTAGCCTTATTATTAAGAACTATAATATAGATGCAGAAAAGGCCTTTGACAAAATTCAACAGCCCTTCATGCTAAAACTCTCAATAAATTAGGTATTGATGGGACGTATCTCAAAATAATAACAGCTATCTACGACAAACCCAAGCCAGTATCATACTGAATGGGCAAAAACTGGAAGCATTCCCTTTGAAAACTGGCACAAGACAGGGATGCCCTCTCTCACCACTCCTATTCAACATAGTATTGGAAGTTCTTGCCAGGGCAATCAGACAGGAGAAAGAAAGAAAGGGTATTCAATTAGGAAAAGAGGAAGTCAAATTGTCCCTGTTTGCAGATGACATGATTATATATTTAGAAAACCCCATCGACTCAGCCCAAAATCTCCTTAAGCTGATAAGCAAATTCAGCAAAGTCTCAGGATACAAAATCAATGTGCAAAAATCACAACCATTCTTACACACCAAAAATAGACAGAGAGCCAAATCATGAGTGAACTCCCATTCACAATTGCTTCAAAGAGAATATTCAAAGAGAATAAAATACCTAGGAATCCAACTTACAACGGATGTGAAGGACCTCTTCAAGGAGAACTACAAACCACTGCTCAACGAAATAAAAGAGGACACAAACAAATGGAAGAACATTCCATGCTCATGCATAGGAAGAATCAATATCGTGAAAATGGTCACACTGCCCAAGGTAATTTAAAGATTCAGTGCCATCCCCATCAAGCTACCAATGACTTTCTTCACAGAATTGGAAAAAACTACTTTAAAGTTCATATGGAACCAAAAAAGAGCCCACATTGCCAAGACATTCCTAAGCAAAAAGAAGAAAGCTGGAGGCATCATGCTACCTGAATTCAAACTATACTACAAGGCTACAGTAACCAAAACAGTATGGTACTGGTGCCAAAACAGATATATAGACCAATGGAACAGAACAGAGCCCTCAGAAATAATACCACATAACTACAACCATCTGATCTTTGACAAACCTGACAAAAACAAGAAATGGGGAAAGGATTTCCTATTTAATAAATGGTGCTGGGAAAACTGGCTAGCCATATGTAGAAAGCTGAAACTGGATCCCTTCCTTACACCTTATACAAAAATTAATTCAACATGGATTAAAGACTTAAATGTTAGACCTAAAACCATAAAAACCCTAGAAGAAAACCTAGGCAATACCATTCAGGACATAGGCATGGGCAAGGACTTCATGTCTAAAACATCAAAAGCAATGGCAACAAAAGGCAAAATAGACTAATGGGATCTAATTAAACTAAAGAGCTTCTGCACAGCAAAAGAAACTACCATCAGAGTGAACAGGCAGCATACAGAATGGGAGAAAATTTTTGCAACCTACTCATCTGACAAAGGGCTAATATCCAGAATCTACAATGAACTCAAAAAAATTTACAAGAAAAAAAACAAAAATCCCATCAAAAAGTGGGCAAAGGATATGAACAGACACTTCTCAAAAGAAGACATTTATGCAGCCAACAGACACATGAAAAAATGCTCATCATCACTTGCCATCAGAGAAATCCAAATCAAAACCACAATGAGATACTGTTTCACACCAGTTAGAATGGCGATCATTAAAAAGTCAGGGAACAACAGGTGCTGGATATGGAGAAATAGGAACACTTTTACACTGTTGGTGGGACTGTAAACTAGTTCAACCCTTGTGGAAGACAGTGTGGTGACTCCTCAAGGATCTAGAACTAGCAATACCATTTGACCCAGCCATCCCATTACTGGGTATATACCCAAAGGATTATAAATCATGCTGCTATAAAGATACATGCACATGTATGTTTATTGCGGCACTATTCACAGTAGCAAAGACGTGGAACCAACCCAAATGTCCATCAATGATAGACTGGATTAAGAAAATGTGGCACATATACACCATGGAATACTATGCAGCCATAAAACAAGAATGAGTTCATGTCCTTTGTAGGGACATGGATGAAACTGGAAACCATCATTCTTATCAAACTATCACAAGGACAAAAAACCAAACACTGCATGTTCTCACTCAAAGGTGGGAACTGAACAATTAGAACACTTGGACACAGGAAGGGGAACATCACACACCAGGGCCTGTCATGGGGTGGGGGGAGTGGGGAGGGATAGCATTAGGAAATATACCTAATGTTAAATGACGAGTTAACGGGTGCAGCACACCAACATGGCACATGTATATATATGTAACAAACCTGCACATTGTGCACATGTACCCTAGAACTTAAAGTATAATTTAAACAAATTTTTTAAAGAACTATAATAATAATACCCTTATCATTTAATGTGTCCTGCACACAAAAAAAGGCCACATTTAAAAAAATGCTCTTTATTTCATACAGTCAATAGAGAGGAAAAAATATAACACATGGCTTTTTAGAGATTCTCAGGGATACTACGTATTATAACATATACTGAAAAGTTCCACATCCTGGGAAAGCCCTTGTTTCTAACCCAAGGAAGCTGAGATTAATTGGTCATCCTATAAGATAATGAGATGTATATTATTATTCAACACTCTATTCACTTGCCGACCTTTAAAAAATGGTTCCTTATTGCCCTTAAGCATCTAGTTTTGTAATTTGTTTTCCTGTAAATTAATTTTAGGTACCTTCCCATTGGATCCTAAAAAATTAATGTAAAAAAAGAAAAAAGAGCTTAAAAAATTTAGGTATCTAATATTCTGAGAAAGATTCATCGTTCCTGTGTTTAATCCCTGATAGAATTCTGCCTTGTTCACAATGTTCAGTTTTATTTCAGATGAAGCTCTGTCTATACTTTTCTGATTATTTTTCTCCACAGAATTTTAGAGCTCTAAAGAAGAAACGAATAAGTTCCATCATTTCAAGTCAAATTTAGGTATTTACATAACACAGAATATGTTTCAAAAAGTGCCAAGCTCTGTCCTCCCAAGAAAGAACTTCACAAATTAAGATATTCCCTTCAAAAACATCATTAACCACACTTGATAAAATAAATCTATTTCCATAGCTTCTATAGCCAATCATAAAGATGGAGGAGTTTAGGTTAAATAGACCCCTGGTAACTGACACTGTGAGGCTAGGAAATTAGAAATGTATTAATGTTCCATTGCAGACAAAAAATATTCGATTGGTCAACCAAGTAGGCAAACAATATTTATGTCCATGTTGTTACAAAATTACATAATTATTAATGGTTATTGCTTATAGCAGTTTTTTCTTCCTAATTTTGATGTCAAAAGTTGATCAAGTTCCTTTAGCTACCATTCATCAGATTTAAGATTTCAGTTGCTTGACATAAAATCTTAAAACATAGAAAAGTGCCAAATTTTAAAGTACTTTATCCAAAATATTCAAATTTGAATATTTGCCATTTTTCTGATCATTCCCACCCAAAGGGTTCTGGAAAAATAATTTTCTCAAAGTCAGGCATCTTAAGATTCGAGTTTGCAACCTCTGAGTAAAGAATCATTATCACCTGCTAATATTCTAATTTTTTACTATATCGATAAGATGATCTTTGCCAGTTACTGAAGGTGAATTTTAGTAGCTTTGGTGGTTCAAAAGGGAAATTATGACCAATAAGCATCCTAACTAGCTCAGTCATTAAAGTCATAACATTAGTAACTGACCAATATAGATTTTAAGAATGCTGGTTCTAACGCCTGATTGCCTAGGTTGGAATCTTGCTTTGATCACGTACGTTCTGCATGACATTGGAAAGTGAGTTAAACTCTCTATACCTTATTTCTCTTACCTATAAAACAGGGCTGGCTGAGCACGGTGGCTAACACCTGTAATCCCAGCACTTTGAGAGGCCAAGGCTGGCAGATCATGAGGTCAGGAGATCGAGACCATCCTGGCTAACATGGCGAAACTCCGTCTCTACTAAAAATACAAAAAATTAGCTGGGCGTGGTGGCATGCACCTGTAGTCCCAGCTACTCGGGAGGCTGAGGCAGGAGAATCACTTGAACCCAGGAGTTGGAGGTTGCAGTGAGCCAAGATCACGCCACTGCACTCCAGCCTGGGCAACAGAGCGAGACTTTGTCTCAAAAAATAAAAAAAGATAGGGGTTAATAGCAGGTCTTATCTTAAAGGGTACTGTGAGAAGTAATTGAGTTAATACACATAAAACTCTTAGAAGGATTCATAGTAGACTCTTGGCAAATGTTTTATTACTTGTTATTATCATTATTATTTTTATGGAATATTTCATGTTTTGTCTTAATGATTAAATTATATTTTCTTAGTAGTGAAAAGAGACCAGGTTGATTACAAAAATTAGTTAAAATGTATGTTTTTCTTTAGAAAAGTACTACAAACTTCAGTTACACTTTGATTAAGGATTAAATAAAATTATGTATTTAATGCACCTTAGTCATGGTAGACACTGGGAATCAGAAAAAGATCACTGTATTAATATTCCAAAACTAGTACAGTTAACTATCTTAAAGTTAAGATTTTAAAATTCCAGTGTGAGTAGATAATTTACAGGAATCAAAAGTCCAAGTCAATTTAAAATTCACCTTCACACAGAAATTATTCATATTTTACAAATTTTCCAGTTCAGAATCAATTCTGCTAAAACAAGCAAACAAAAACACATCTACACATAAAACACTGTTTTTAAATTCAGATATGTACCAGAAGTCAACAGATTAGAAGGATTTTTCAGATTATGCTGAATAGTTCTGATTACCTCCCTTTTCCTACAGAATATATTTACCAATTAAAAGGGATGGAAAAAATCGCATTTACTTTTGCACCAACCTAATAATTCCTTTTTATAATGACATAAACATGGGAAAATATCTTCTGAGTGTAAATTATTTGGAAGAAAGATGGGCAGATATTCTTGAAGAAAACAACATTACCTGATGCATATACTAAAACATGGGGCTAATTGGCCCTTTTCTCTAAAAAGCGAATAAATTAGCTGATCACATTTAGGAATTATTGAGTAGATAAGTGCACTTATGTTTTCATGAAATCTTTTAGAAATAGTAAGAGGACTTTGCTAAAATGTAGTGATATAGTTGGGATATTTGTCCTTGTCCAAATCTCATGTTGAAATGTAATCCCTCAATGCTGGAGGTGGGGCCTGGTGCGGGGCTGGGTGGGTAGATTATGGGGGCAGATCCCGCATGGCTTGGTGCTGTCCTCACGATAGTGAGTTCTCAGGAGATATGATCATTTAAAAGTGTGTGGCACCAATAATAATGGGAGACTTTAACACCCCACTGTCAACATTAGACAGATCAACGAGACAGAAAGTTAACAAGGATACTCAGGAACTGAACTAAGCTCTGCACCAAGCGGACCTAATAGACATCTACAGAACTTTCCACCCCAAATCAAGAGAATATACATTTTTTTCAGCACCACACCACACCTATTCCAAAATTGACCACATAGTTGGAAGTAAAGCACTCCTCAGCAAATGTAAAAGAACAGAAATTATAACAAACTTTCTCTCAGACCACAGTGCAATCAAACTAGAACTCAGGATTAAGAAACTCACTCAAAACCGCTCAACTACATGGAAACTGAACAACCTGCTTCTGAATGACTACTGGGTACATAACAAAATGAAGGCAGAAACAAAGATGTTCTTTGAAACCAACGAGAACAAAGACACAACATACCAGAATCTCTGGGACACATTCAAAGCAGTGTGAAGAGGGAAATTTATAGCACTAAATGCCCACAAGAGAAAGCAGGAAAGATCCAAAATTGACACCCTAACATCACAATTAAAAGAACTAGAAAAGCAAGAGCAAACACATTCAAAAGCTAGCAGAAGGCAAGAAATAACTAAAATCAGAGCAGAACTGAAGAAAATAGAGACACAAAAAACACTTCAAAAAATTAATGAATCCAGGAGCTGGTTTTTTGAAAAGATCAACAAAATTCATAGACCGCTAGCAAGACTAATAAAGAAGAAAAGAGAGAAGAATCAAATAGACGCAATAAAAAATGATAAAGGGGATATCACCACCAATCCCACAGAAATACAAACTACCATCAGAGAATACTACAAACACCTCTATGCAAATAAACTAGAAAATCTAGAAGAAATGGATAAATTCCTCGACACATACACCCTCCCAAGACTAAACCAGGAAGAAGTTGAATCTCTGAATAGACCAATAACAGGATCTGAAATTGTGGCAATAATCAATAGCTTACCAACCAAAAAGAGTCCAGGACCAGATGGATTCACAGCCGAATTCTACCAGAGGTACAAGGAGGAACTGGTACCATTCCTTCTGAAACTATTCCAGTCAATAGAAAAAGAGGGAATCCTCCCTAACTCACTTTATGAGGCCAACATCATCCTGATACCAAAGCCAGGCAGAGACACAACTAAAAAAGAGAATTTTAGACCAATATCCTTGATGAACATTGATGCAAAAATCCTCAATAAAATACTGTCAAACCAAATCCAGCAGCACATCAAAAAGCTTATCCACCATGATCAAGTGGGCTTCATCCCTGGGATGCAAGGTTGGTTCAATATATGCAAATCAATAAATGTAATCCAGCATATAAACAGAAACAAAGACAAAAACCACATGATTATCTCAATAGATGCAGAAAAGACCTTTGACAAAATTCAACAACCTTCATGCTAAAAACTCTCAATAAATTAGGTATTGATGGGATGTATCTCAAAATAATAAGAGCTATCTATGACAAACCCACAGCCAATATCATACTGAATGGACAAAAACTGGAAGCATTCCCATTGAAAACTGGCACAAGACAGGGATGTCCTCTCTCATCACTCCTATTCAACATAGTGTTGGAAGTTCTGGCCAGGGCAATCAGGCAGGAGAACGAAATAAAGGGTATTCAATTAGGAAAAGAGGAAGTCAAATTATCCCTGTTTGCAGATGACATGATTGTGTATCTAGAAAACCCCACTGTCTCAGCCCAAAATCTCCTTAAGCTGATAAGCAACTTCAGCAAACTATCAGGATACAAAATCGATGTGCAAAAATCACAAGCATTCTTATACACCAATAACAGACAAACAGAGAGCCAAATCATGAGTGAACTCCCATTCACAGTTGCTTCAAAGAGAATCAAATATTTAGGAATCCAACTTACAAGGGACGTGAAGGACCTCTTCAAGGAGAACAACAAACCACTGCTCAATGAAATAAAAGAGGATACAAACAAATGGAAGAACATTCCACGCTCATGGGTAGGAAGAATCAATACCATGAAAATGGCCATACTGCCCAAGGTAATTTATAGATTCAATGCCATCTCCATCAAGCTACCAATGCCTTTCTTCACAGAATTGGAAAAAACTACTTTAAAGTTCATATGGAACCAAAAAAGAGCCCACATTGCCAAGTCAATCCTAAGCCAAAAGAACAAAGCTGGAGGCATCACACTACCTGACTTCAAACTATACTACAAGCCTACAGTAACCAAAACACCATGGTACTGGTACCAAAACAGAGATATAGATCAATGGAACAGAACAGAGCCCTCAGAAATAACGACACATATCTACAACTATCTCATCTTTGACAAACCTGAGAAAAACAAGCAATGGGGAAAGGATTCCCTATTTAATAAATGGTGCTGGGAAAACTGGCTAGCCATATGTAGAAAGCTGAAACTGGATCCCTTCCTTATACCTTACACAAAAATTAATTCAAGATGGATTAAAGACTTAAACGTTAGACCTAAAACCATAAAAACCCTAGAAGAAAACCTAGGCAATACCATTCAGGACATAGGCATGGGCAAGGACTTCATGTCTAAAACACCAAAAGCAATGGCAACAAAAGCCGAAATGGACAAATGGGATCTAATTAAACTAAAGAGCTTCTGCACAGCAAAAGAAACTACCATCAGAGTGAACAGGCAACCTACAAAATGGGAGAAAATTTTTGCAACCTACTCATCTGACAAACGGCTAATATCCAGAACCTACAATGAACTCAAACAAATTTACAAGAAAAAAACAAACAACCCCATCAAAAAGTGGGTGAAGGACTTGAACAGACACTTCTCAAAAGAAGACAGTTATGTAGCCAAAAAACACATGAAAAAATGCTCACCATCACTGGCCATCAGAGAAATGCAAATCAAAACCACAATGAGATACCATCTCACACCAGTTAGAATGGCAATCATTAAAAAAGTCAGGAAACAACAGGTGCTGGAGAGGATGTGGAGAAACAGGAACACTTTTACTCTGTTGGTGGGACTGTAAACTAGTTCAACCATTGTGGAAGTCAGTGTGGCGATTCCTCAGGGATCTAGAACTAGAAATACCATTTGACCCAGCCATTCCATTACTGGGTATATACCCAAAGGACTATAAATCATGCTGCTATAAAGACACATGCACACGTATGCTTATTGCGGCACTATTCGCAATAGCAAAGACTTGGAACCAACCCAAATGTCCAACAATGATAGACTGGATTAAGAAAATGTGGCACATATACACCATGGAATACGATGCAGCCATAAGAAATGATGAGTTCATGTCCTTTGTAGGGACATGGATGAAATTGGAAATCATCATTCTCAGTAAACTATCGCAAGGACAAAAAACCAAACACCGCATGTTCTCACTCATAGGTGGGAATTAAACAATGAGAACACATGGACACAGGAAGGGGAACATCACACTCTGGGGACCGTTGTGGGGTGGGGGGAGGGGGGAGGGATAGCATTAGGAGATATACCTAATGCTAAATGACGAGTTAATGGGTGCAGCACACCAGCATGGCACATGTATACATATGTAACTAACCTGCACATTGTGCACATGAACCCTAAAACTTAAAGTATAATAATAATAAATTTTTTTTAAAAAAGGAGAGAAACAAAATATAAAAATTAAAAAGAAAAATTAAAATTAAAAAGAAGGTGTGTGGCACCTTCCCCTCACCCTCTCTTGCTCTACCTTCTGCCATGTGAGAAACCTGCTCTCCTTCACCTTGCGCCATGATTATAAGCTTCCTGGGGAGCCAGAAGCGGATGCTGGTGCTATGCTTTCTGGACAGCCTGCAGAACCCTGAGTCAATCCTCTTTTCTTAAAAATTACCTATCTCCAGTCTCAGGTATTTCTTTTGTTTCATTTTGAAGTGGAGTCATGCTCTGTCACCCAGGATAGAGTGCAGTAGTTCAATCTCGACTCACTGAAACCTCTGCCTCCCAGCTTCAAGCAATTTTCCCACTTCAGTCTCCCGAGTAGCTAAGACTATAGGTGTGCACCACCATGCCTGGCTAATTTTTTGTATTTTCAGTAGAGATGGGGTTTCACCACGTTGGCCAGGCTGGTCTCAAACTTCTGACCTCAAGTGATCTGCCCACCTCAGACTCCCAAAGTGTTGGGATTACAGGCGTGAGCCATCGCACCTGCTACTAATAAGAATTAATAATACTCAGGGATAAAGTTAAAGGTTGAGAGGAAATTACATACACACACACTTTGGTAATTATATCAGTCACCTATTGCAACAGTACACTCCTTAAAAAGGCCATCCAAAACTCAATGGCTTAAAACCACAGGTATGTATTCCCACACTCATGTGTCTGAGGATCAATAGTGATTCCAATGAAAAGGGCTGGGCTCAGCCAACTGGAGAGCTGTTCTTCAGGTCAGTTAGCCTTTGCCCTAGGCTATGGGCTGGACTCAGATCT
The DNA here is from genome assembly GCF_000001405.40 of Homo sapiens. Taxonomy (NCBI): domain Eukaryota; kingdom Metazoa; phylum Chordata; class Mammalia; order Primates; family Hominidae; genus Homo; species Homo sapiens. The sequence continues at coordinate 39,920,667 of NC_000014.9, read as the reverse complement.
ACATTACATACATGATCTACCTGAGGGTCTTATAAGGGTCTGTAGAGCACAAAATAGGGTGAAACTTCTAAAGCCCCTGCTTGTGTCATATCTGCTAACATTTCATTTGTCAAAGCAAGTAATATGACCAACCCCAACATCAATGGGGCAGGTCAACATACTCAATCCATATAGTTCCCTGACCTCCTACCTGGGTTTTGCCAGCCTCCCTTACTCTAGGGGCTGGTCCATGATTTCCATATCTTTGACAAATGGCTAGAATTCTCTGGAATCATGGTATTGACAACAAACTTGTTTAAAGCCAAGTCTCATTTTCAAATCACCAAACTTAACCTCATGATTCCAATTGATGGCAACTCCTGGGATACCAAAGCTGGGTTAGGATAAACCTCTTCACCTCTGTGCTTCTTGTCTGCTCTCAATAGGTCTGTTGCTGAGTTGCCAGAGTACATGGTGGCTGAGGACTTGTGGGATAGAAGATTATAATTTGGTCTCCAAATTTGGGATGAGGTACACCTGGAAATGTGCTACCTTCTTAGGCACTTTCTTAACCAACTTTGAATTTCATTTCCTTTACATGTACCTAATTATGGTAAAGTTAATATGTAAAATTACATATTTGTCTTTGTACTGTTCGGATTAAGGTGAGTGAGTAGGCAGCTGTGAGACTTTAGGCTTTAAGTTACTGGCTCAAGATCACAAGTTAATCAAAAGAAAGATGAAGTAAAGTCAGGTTCTTTTCACTTTCATTTCATTGAGCCTCTACCTCTGCATTTCTCTGCAGATCAGTGTAATCTGTTAAGGACTGAATGTCTGTGTCCCCCCTCACATTTATATGTTAAAATTCTAACCTCCAATATGATAGTATTATGAGGTGGATACTTTGAGAGGTAATTAGATCATGAGTGGGATTAGTGCCCTTGTAAAAGGGATCCTATAGGGCTCTCTCACTGTCATCCTGCCCTGTGAGGAAGCATGAGAAATAAGCAGTCTGTAACCCAGAAGAGGGTCCTCACCAGAAGGCGACCATGTTGACATCCTAATCTCAGACTTTCGGTCTCCGAAACTGTAAGAAATACATTTCTGTTGTTTATGAGACACCCAGTCTATGCTACTTTGTTATAGCAGCCCAAACTGCTAAAATTTGGTTAAAATCTGAAAAGTTGCCTATTACCCTCACAAAGGTTACTTACTTAGTTCATTCAATGAAACACAAGAGATTAAAGATCTGTTTATCAACTTTTTAATCATCTAATAAAATGTACAGTCTTTAACATGAATCTTATTATGTTTATTGGTGTGCATCTGAATGAATAAAATTAAGCGTTTAATCTTAGTCTCCTGTTCCTTTTTTGTTCCTCTCTGTAACATGAATTTTCATCTTCACTGACTTGTTTCTGCAAATATAAAAAATGCCTTCATGCCTGCAAAGATTTTCTAATTTTAAATAAGATCAATCATTAGACTTAAAAGTTTATACTCTGATATATTCCATTAGTTAATTTATTCATGCAACAGCTACTGCCACATTTTATGAATAAGCCTATGCTGGGCACAGGAGATGTAACATCAAACACAGAGATAATGGCTTTCAGCCTTAGAATCATAGTCCCATCTATTTGATGAGATATCCTCAATACTGATCCAATTTGAAAGGCTTATAATATTATACTTTTATACATTTTAATCTCTGGACATCCTATTTGTCTCCTGTAGTTTAACTGACATTCAGTATTCCCTACAGACATTCTGCTATCACCCTGGTCAAGTTTTGTTTTAACTGTACTAGAAAAAGCAATTCATTTCACTTCTTACCACTGTCATATTGAAATATTGTCCTTATCTGAAGTATCTTTAATAAAGCTAAAGGACCAATTATATGTGAAAAAAAAATATGTTCATAAATACATTAGTCACAACATTTTATTCTGAATGCTTAACCTATTTTTTCATCCATGGAAGATCAGAAGGTCTTATGACTATTACTCCTCTTAAATTAAAAAAAATATGTTAAAAATAGTCTTTGAAAATGTCTGTTCTTAGCTAGGTGTGGTGGAGGGCCCGGATAATCACAGCTACTCAGGAGGCTGAGGCAGGAGAATAACTTGAACTGGGAAACAGAGGTTGCAGTGAGCCAAGATCGTGCCACTGCACTCCAGCCTGGGTGACACAGCGAGACTACATCTCGGAAAAAAAAAAAAAAAAGGAAAATGTCTGTTCCTCTGGAGAGTCACTAAAATTCATATGTACCCTATTAGGAACAAATGTGAAAAACAAATAAAAATTTCAATCTGTATATTTTTTATAATAGAAACACTTAACGTAGATCAACCTTCTTTTATTTTCTACCTTCATGTAATCTAACCACTGTGATTTTAGAGCTTGATATTTTTCCCTTACAACAAATATTTCTCATAATACTGAATAAATAATTGCTGGGTCTAAATTTTTATACACTTGTAAAATAAACAATTGCATTATGAACTATAGAAGTATTTCTCTTATTCTTATTTTCATTTTTAAGTTCTTAAAGCAAACATTGATACTTTTGCATCCTTAATTATTACATTATATAATATGAAGTTAAAAAAATGAAATTCTTTTCATGTGACCAATTTGTTCTACAAAAATGGAAATTTTCACGTCTCAACCTAACAGTTGCTTATTTATCTGATTCTCTTCCTTCATGGCCAGGGACTGTACCTTATTTGTATTTGGATAAGCTGAATGCCCACAAGTATCTTTCTGCACCTGAAACACCAGATTTCCCTCAAGATTTCTTTCTACACCCTCCAGTGCCTTTGGCAAGATTATAACTATCCAGAATGGGTCACTCTAGCAGTAACTTAAACTTGCTACCAAAGAATCCTTGTGGGGATAAAATGAGAAAATATATTTGAAATCCTGAATGCAGTTCCTGGCACATAGTAAGGCTGTAATGCATTAGTACTTATTACTAATATTGTTATTACAAAAATGGGGCAAAGCCAGGTATAAGTGACAACTTATAAGGAGTTCTACCAAGAGTGATAAGAGGAATATATTAGCTAAGGCTTCCAGGAAGTATCTCAAAAGATTGAAGATTTTTCATGGTTACATGGGCTAAGGATTAGTAGAGAAGGGCTATATCACATAGCTGATGAGACTAGAATGCAGGGAGAGGCTCTATAGATGAAGGGGAAAGAATTGACTTAGATTTCAAAAAGGATTGACTTAGATTTCAAAGCAGTCAATCCTGATTATACAATAGATTGACACTTTCAACAGTTATTGGTGCATTTGAAAGAAACCCCTGAGTATCTCATATGATCATTCCTTTTCTGTAATAAACAGAGCAGTGTTAGGATTCACTGAAACGCATTCATCCTTTGACCTAGCACCATATGCATCCATAGAGATATCTTATGTTTGTCTCTCCAGATTTCAAATATAATTTTTTAGTATTCCTATACACCTTAAAAATCATGCAGTGTAAATTGTGGGTTAGATTAAAAGAATTGTTCAATGTTGCATTTTCAATAAATATTTTTTGCCTCATACTACAATGCCATTTACTTTGAGGTCCTCTAAATTGGTCTTAAGGGTGAGGAATTAAAGACAAATTATATCTGAGAAGGACCCTTCAATCACTGAAACTTTTCTTGTCACATTAAAAAAGACCAAAAAGGGAATAATTTTAAAAAAATGAATTTTCATAGCACTTACTATGTGCCAGGACTATGCTAAGTACAGTGGGTGTAGGAGTTTGATAAGACTATGTATAAAAAGTACTATGTGCCAGGGCTGTACTGTGCTAAGTAAATATTCTTCTAAATAGTCTTGTACTGTGCTAAGTACAGTCTTGGCACATAGTAATTTTTGTATACTTTGTGGGCTATCATTATCCCCATTTTACAGATGCAGAAACCGAAGGCTATCCCGATTTAAGTAATATGCCCAATGTCCTACTGTGAGTAAATAAAAGAACTAGACTTAATCCTAGGTTTGTCTGGCTTTTGGTTCTGGGATTGAGAAACTGATACTAGTGAGCAGCTGGGAGCTCTGCTACCAACCTGCACATTTACCACAGCTGAAATTTAGCTTAGGCTAAAGGTGTTCACCAAGGAATAGCTATGTAAGCATTCAAAATTCCCCCATTCTTCATTCTACATGAACAATAAAAACATGTTAATTTTATTTGTACATTTGTCATCTTGAAATGTGCCATAAGTGAAAAGAGATATGATACTGGGTCATTTCTAGGAAATGTAAGAGTATATAATTTACAAATATTTACGTATTTATTTTATAGCTTGGCATTAGTAACTGATAAATTAGACACGTTTTATTTAAACAAACAAATCCTAGATTCCAGTAAAAGCTGAACAAAATCCAAAGTACTAAACTTGCTAATAGTGTAATATTGTCTCTTTAAAGTCAGAGGCTATTTCTCATTCATATGTGTATCCATACACCTGGCACAAGCCCTAAGGAATGGCACTTGATAAAGGTCATTGAGTTTAATTTATTTAAAGGAATGCTGAAGAGACATGCATGAAATGTGGGTGTTTGGGCTCTAAAGGCTTTAACAAAATACACCACAATGAACAGACTTGCCAAAAGCAGTTAAAGATTTAGATTGAAGCTGTGTTTTTAAACATGCCGTATTCTTAGTTTACTTGATTAGAAATAATAACAGATAACTTGTGTTTCCCTACTGTGTGCTAGGGAATATGCTAAATGAGGTTTATATGGAGTATTCCATTTACTTTTCATTCTCATTTTACTGATAAGAAAGTTTAAGTTCAGAGTTTTAGTAAAATGGCCAGTGAGTAGTGAAGACAGAATTTTTAAATCCCAGCAACTTTGTTATTTATTATTATTTAACTACTCTAAATTTATGCCATAAAGCCTCTTTAGAAGCACCAATAATCTATATGTTTTCTCACTTATAAAATTACATGGTGCTTTATTATAGTTCTGTTCATCCATAGCTAAAATCTGTATTTGTCTGGCATCATAAAAATACCTATCACAAGGGACTTGTCTGAAAGATTTCCCTTAAGTGGTTATATTGTTACCTTTTTTTCTATTTCTCTATTTATATAATAGTTTAATAACAGAGGTAGGAGAGAAAAGGAATGAAGTGAGGAAATGTTTCTACTATCAAAGTGTTTCTTCAATTACCAACTTTCCTCTTCACAACTACATAAATAAGGACATTTTAATACCCTAATTAATATCCATTTTTAACTCTATGCCATGTTTTTATTGCCATCCTCTCATTAAAAATCTAATGAGCATTAGCATTCTGACAATGATAATAAATGCCAACAATCCATATTCAGTTATTAAAGCTAATGGTTCTCCCATTGGAATGTAATATATGCTTCAAGCTTTTTTGCCAAAAGCTCAATGATACTTTTATCTCCAGTCGACCAATTGCACATTTAATTTAATACCTATTAAATGCAAACAGCAATCCAGAAATTACATTAGAGTTGTTACCTGAGCCATCCAGAGCCAGCACCTAGAAAGTGAAAATTAGGTAAAGGACTAATGTTAGTCACAGAATAGAAATGATAAGCAAACTCCTGCCTCAGCAAAGTGGCTTATTTGAAAAGAAGAAATAAGTCATACGACAGGCTCTAAGTACAACAGCAGGACAGAAATTGCTGCTTCTCACACAATGCTGAGAAAAATATTCTTCAAAACATTCTTGTTTCTATGAACGCTTCCAATTAGCAAATCTTAGCTCTAAATTCTATTTTGTCTAGTTTTCCAAAAACTACAGCTTTTTTTTCCCTTGGCAATACCTGTTCTCCAAGTTGTTAGCTTGACATTTTCTTTTAAAAGGAAGAGGACGGTTTAAAAAAATAAATATTAAAAGCTGCAGAAATTGATTTGGACAAAATAGAAAGGCCTTTGTGTCTAAAGAGCTGTTGGACTTGAAATTAGGAAAGGCCTCATGAATATATTACTTAATGACATAGATATATTCTCTGTCTGAAAGGTTAAATGCTAAATCTAAACCATGTCACATGCCCACTTAAATACTATGATATAGCCATTGGTTTGGAGTTTGCACATCCAAACTGCACAAAGTATAAATTCTGTATTGATTTTAAATTCATTTTATACTTTTTCTTCAAAATGTTTTGTTTTCTTTGAAATGAGCAATATCATCATCAATAAAGCCTAAATGTCCCTTTTAGACTAATGGTCTAAAAATACCAAGGAAATCTCAAAATTCTTTTTCTAAATATTTTAAACGTCTCCTGATTTTACAAGTCAATATATACAAGTATTAGAATATAAATCCAGGAAAAGTAAGACTTTGTTAACTTTTTTATTTCAAAAGAATCAATTTATCAAACCAAAATCACTTTTATCACAAGCATGAGATACTTGTCAAAGAATTAAGATTGCTAACACTTGAGGTAAGTAAATTTAGAGGTGAAGCTTATTAAGACAATGTAGTCAGACCTCTAGCTTTTTTCACATCTCTTACAATGCCAAGATTGCAAGGCCATGACTACTCTTTTACCCAATCCATTACTCAGAGTTGTTATGCAGCTGATAACTTTAAGAGATGAATGTCTTCTTTTCCACAGCTCTCACAAAGAACAGGCTTGCTTACTCTTGCTACAAAAGTGGTAGATTCTCCAATCTCTGTATTCCTCAGTTGCAATATAAACCTACTTGAGTGCAGATCAGACATCTGAACCCACTGCATTGCCCCCGGGGGCCTGCAGCTGAAGGGGAACCAGTACAAATACATTGATGTTCAGGTGCCATATGTAATAAGGTCTTTGGTCTCTGACCCTAGAGTCTCAAATCTTCCGCTAGCACCCAGGAAACATTAATAAGCTTATTTAGCAGCTTCTAAAAAGGACAAGATCAAATTTAAGACCTGACAAAGGTTACTTAAGGTAAGGCTAATTAACCTCTCTAAGCTTCACTTTCCTCATCGGTAAAAAAAGGAGATAGAATAATGCCTATCTTGAGAATTTTTAAGAGGATTAGATGATATTGTGCCTATGAAGTTTCTAGCACAAAGAAAATACTCAGCAAACATTTGCTTTTCCTAAAGTACTCCCACATAAGGGAATATTTAAAACCATGTCAGAAGGTTTATTAAGTTTATTCTAGGCATTTTAAAATTCCTCACATTTATTCAAATCTACCTTTCAGTTTGCACATCCAAATTTTTGTAGAAAATTTTTGTAGAAATATAACACTGAATCACATGACACTATACTGAACTCCACTTGATCTCATTATAGTATTTCTTTAATATACAGCTAATTTCTATTTCTTAATATTTTATTTTTAAATTTTTATCTCATCCTAAACTATATTCATATGTAGTTTTCTATTTTTCTGCTATTAGGTCTCATAAAACAAACTGAAGATTCCCCATTAATTCTATATATTTTAGAAGACTTAAACATTGGAATTATCTCATGTTTTTAAAACATAGGGAGAACGCTAATCTTCTAAATCTTTCTGAGATGAGCACTTTTATAGGAGACAGTTCTTGGACAAATTTTTCAATGTCCTTCACTGTTACTACTCTAGTCTGGATTTCTATAAAGACAAACATTGCCAGTTGTTTAACACACATTCCCTTTCTCACTATCACTACAGAGGCTGAAAAGGTGATATGTTTTTCTACCCTCTCTTGCAGTTCAATGGGGCCATGCTGTCCCAGTTACGGTTGATAAACTGAAAAGGAAAGCCTGCTGTTTGTTATAGCAGATTGAAGGTAGCTGAAGGAGAACCTCCTCTCACTAGCTGCTTTATTCACCTTATTACTGGCCCATTACTGTAGCCCCAGCCTTGCCTTTCCACCTTCACTACCAGAGGAAGCTTCAGGATGAATGTCCACCAACCCCACCACCATGAGCTGGGCTCTGAGGAAGCCCTCAGGTCTTTCATTTGCTGCCTGCTTCATCAACGCCTTGCTCCCAGTCTTTGCTGGTCTGACATCAGTGGTTCACTGCACTCTTGTGGAAACCTAGGTATTTACTTTTTATGGTATTTTCCTTTACCTCAGTCCAAGCTTACCTTCACTATACTTTTCACAAATTACTCAAGGTTTCACTATACTTTCCAGATATTTCTCAGAATCACTTCTGCTACAGCACAGACAGCGACTTTAGTACACACATATGCATGTGCACATACGACTTTCGGTCATTTCAATAAGATTAGAGGAAATATAAATTGTTACAAATAACTAGACTGAAACAAAGATGCTCACCACATATTCTGGAAGATCTGGATAATATCCACCTCAAAAGGTTAAAAAAGATCAAAGGTGTCAATGATAATCTGGGGTCACTGAAACTGCTAGAAAACTATTTACAGAGATTTACACCCAAGGTAATCTCAGTTTGCCAGAAAACTAAGGATGTTTCCCATGAGAAAAACACACCGTGGAAGAAGTAACAGTCCCCATTAGATGAATTCATTGAACATGAAGAATAATGGAGAAAGAAATAAAAAATAAGCTTAAGATTTCAGTCTTACAGCACACTTTACAGAATGAGCACACTTTTACAGAAATGAGCAAGTTTAGTGGGAGAAGAAACCTGGAGTGAGACATATAAGGCCATTTTTAAACGCTTTTAGCATTTTGTGTTTCATATGAAGACAATACTAAAAGAGAAAATACCCTGTTGATGGATGGAGACACAGGACCAAACTCGTAGTCTAGCACTACAGACCTGCGAGGAAGTCATCAACTCAGATGTAACCTCTGAAGCCCGCCAAGTAGATGGCTTCTCTGAGAGGAGAGAAGAGAGAGGGACACAGGACCAAGACTTCACTTCTCAGTTAGAATCTCAAGGCAGAATATCAAGCATAAAAGAAGAAACCTGGAACATTAAAACTACTCACTTTTCTTTAAATTATCATTTGTGGTCATAAATGAAATTTTATCCTCTCGATTTTGATTCCATTTTTTTTCAAATTAGCTCTTGCTTTGTTGTTCTATGATCATATTTACAACTGTCCACAATAACTTCATGAAATTTCAAGATTTTAGTGATATTTTCTGCTACATGGAAACTGAAATTTTTATCAATTTCTTTCAGTTCCATGACATTCATAACAAAATTATATAAAATTCAAAGCTGAGCTTTTCTACTAACTGCAATCTAAGCTACCTGCTTTAACATGCAATATCATCATTATCTAGTTTGTGATACTTGGGACAATTTTTAATCTAATTTGTGATGTTTCTAGCCAAATCCATTTAATTAATTTAGTTAAGAAACTTTCATGAGACCCTTCCTATACCAGGTACTTTACTAAAAATTAATATCCTCAAATACATTTTCTTCACTTATCAATTATAATATTCTGTCATCCAAATACTGTAGTTTAAATAATGATTTACTCTTGCTAGGCACATTTTCTCAACTGTTCTGAGATTTTAGAAGGCAATAATCACAATATTATTTTGAATATGTAACATCCTATTAAAGAAGAAACCAGATAAACTTTAAAAATATATTCAAATATATAGATGGAAAAAATCAATAATAATAAGTTATCAATATAGTTTAAAGAAAACGAGAGTATAATTGTGACAGGAAAATATATTTTTAAGTCAAAGAAAATCCTATTTTATTAATCCAAAATAAACACATCTTAAATACATCCCAGAGAATTCTGGCTGGGATGATTGTGTTCAAAGGCCCAATATGTTTGTAAAATCTATATGCCTTCAGCAAAAATAGAACAGAGAAAAGACTTGGCATTAAAGAATGACTAAAGCACTCTAAGGTCATGCTGCTAAAACCAATGCCTAGAATTGAAACTCTGTCCTTGAAATCTCAAAATCAAATTACTGCACCTCATAGCAACAGGCTCAGAAGAAATCATTCAGTAGGGAAACACAAGACAAATCTCCCAAAGGCAGGCTAGGATTTAAAATAAAGTGCTGAAAAAGTAAGAAATACAACTTCACCAGCCAGGAGGGGGAAAAAAAAAGATTACCTCCTGAAACAATGAAAGCAAACATACCAGCTGTACTTAAAAGAAAGCAAAAAGTAAATTTTATATCAGTGACATGGAAAAATTTTTTAATAAAAGGAGATGGATACTTGCTGTTTTGAGGATTTTAGGAAAAATAAATCCATAAGCAAACAAAATATGCTGAAGATGCGTGATCATCTACCCTTAATTCTACTGGCCTTTGTCATGTGTGTATCATGAGAAAAAACAGAGTTTTCATGAAATGTGGAAATATGTCCAGCACTATGCTACATACTGGGCTATAATGATGCCTTTTAAGTGCACCAGAGTTCAGAGAAGGGGACAGTTAAACAATTTTGTGTGGTCTAACTGTGCTACAGTAATAGGAGTTGGCACAGAAATTAGCAAATGGGACCAGAAGTGAGTTGTTGGGAAAAGCTGTTTAGACTGGGAAGCAGAAGCTAGGGTGAGAAAGAGCAGAAGGTAATTAGGTGAAAAGGGGGTAATTAGTCAAGAGAGAGGACACAGCCCAGGGAGATCCAGAAGCAAGAGAGCACAGAAGGCTCACCAGAGTGGAAGGAGTTCAGCATTTCCAGGGAACAGAAATGAAGGTTGGAGAGTAGTTTTTTGTTTGTTTGTTTTTTTTAAAAAAAGAGTCCTCTGGAAATGACATTCCTGTGTTTTGCAGATTTTTCAAACTGTCACATCCATTATTTTTGTGTTGATAAAAATGCAGCCAATATTTTTTAGTATTGGGAATTTTAAAATATATTCTGAAAACAGACATTCAAGACACCTGAAAATATTTGATTCAGGCAAAAGGTAATAAAGAAATTTTTTAAAAGGAAAAAATGGATTTGTGCTATAAGCACAGTTAATCAATGAGAAGCCAAGATAAAATTTAAAAAATTGCCCACTCAAGTCCCACCAAGAACCAGAGTAAAGGAAAGACAAGCATACAAATTAAATTTGTGAACAGTAAATTTTGTGAATAAAATTAATTTAGGAGAAGGATAATTTCATAACCAAGATTTTAATATTTATATAGATATAGATAACATAGTTAAATGAAAGTACCTCAAGAAAAAAAGTAAAGACATATATAACAGAGGAAAGGGTCCTGGCAAGAAATATCAAGACACAGAAATAATACATAAATATGTTATTTGGGTTTATATTAGTGATGAATTAGTAATCACCTATTAAATGCAGGTCCATTCATTATCATCAGCTCATTTTCTGAGCTCTTACCGTGCCCAAGTACTTTTTCTTCATAAACTAATTTAATTTTTAAAGTAACTTTCTGCTATAGAAATGACTATACCAGTGTTATAGATAAATAAAATGAGGCTTAGAGAAGCTATATAAGTAGCATCAGCTTACCCAAGTGTTTCTGACACCTAAGTCCATGTAAGGTAGTTATCCCTGCTATTAGGGAATGCATGACTGATAAGAGGAACTAATGAGATTATCTGAAGGTTAGGCCTAAATACTTCTATAAAACATTCCAGAAAGAGAAAAGAACATATATTTTTAGGAAGTCTTTTGGGGACATTCTTGACTGATTAGTTCAATTTATCATTCTTTGCTAAGACCTGAATTCTTGCTCAATCCAATCATCTTCACAGTTCACAGATTCTAACCCTGGTCAGTTGTCTTATACTTATATACTCATATACATAAGAGAAGCTGGGTGAAAGAGTGAATGCCAATGAATGAATGCTAAGCAGCAATTTCTCCATTTCAGTTCACAGCCCTGGAGGGAGATCAAAAGCCTCAGTGTATAGAGATAACTGCAGCAATCATGATCACCAGTTCACTTTAGATGTACATTAAGGTTCCTAGTTCTCAACCTTTATCATGTATTATAATATAATCACCTGGGGGTTTCCTAGGACATGTCAAAAGATTCTGATTCAATTATTCTAGCGTGGCCCAAGCACTGATATTTTTTAACTCTCCCCATGATACTAAATTGCATCCAGGGTTGAGAACCACTGAAGCAAGCCAATCAAGATAACCCCATTGCCGTCGCTAATAATTGCTTTAGGAATAAGCATGAGGTTCAGTTGGCCAATGGAACATGAGAGAAAGTATTTTGTAGCAATTCTGTGAAATTTTTCCTAGCTTTGGAAAACAGAAACCAAGGGAAAGATGCATTCCTCTGCATTCCTCTTTTTTTTTTTTTTAAGACGGAGTCTCGCTCTGTCACCCAGGCTGGAGTGCAGTGGTGCAATCTCAGCTCACTGCAAGCTCTGCCTCCCAGGTTCATGCCACTCTCCTGCCTCAGCCTCCCGAGTAGCTGGGACTACAGGTGCCCGCCACCACGCCCAGCTAATTTTTTTTGTATTTTTAGTAGAGACGGGGTTTCACTGTGTTAGCCAGTCTGGTCTCCATCTCCTGACCTCGTGATCCACCCGCCTCGGCCTCCCAGAGTTCTTCTTTTGAATATTATCATGCCTGGAATTGATGCATGGAACTATAGCAGGCATCTTGTGATCTTAAGAGAAACCAACTTTAAGATAAAGTCAATGTTGAGGATACCAGAACGGAAACATGAAAGGAAACAGGGTCCTGATGACATTATTGATGTCTGAGATCCATCATGCCTTCAGACTTCCAATCATGAGAAGGAAGAGGTTTTCTTGTTTAAACTTTTTGAATCAGAGTTATCTATTACTGTTACCCAAATCTCCCTTACTGATTTAGCACATGACAATAATCATTATATGTCATATTTCTGTGACCAAAGAATTCTAAAAGTGTATTAAAAGCTTACCTCAGTTTTTAATATTATTGCTCAAGATTAATTATGTCATTGTTACCAACAGTTTTCCAGCCATTTGAATTTAGAAATGTGTCAGAATTTATTCTATTTAGAAATTTCCTCACAATTCAGGACCTAAAAATTAGAGATAAGTCATTTTTTTTCTGAGTTTATTCTACTATGCTTATGTAGTCCAGCCTAATTTCTAAAGCTATCATAACTACAAGTAGTTCTAAGAATCTCCTAACAGTAAATAATCTAGCCTCATCATCATTCATTTCTTTAGGTAGATGGTCAACAAACACTAAGCATTTTCTACAGACCAGAAACCATGCTCCTGCTGGGATATATAGATTTTGAAACATGTTATCTGCTCTTAAGAAGGTCCCAGTCTAGGAAGAGAAACAACAGATAATTACAATACCACTTGATTAAATTATCCTGGAGACTAATAAGATGATTTTTGCAAAAAAAAAAAAAAAAGTCAAGTCTGGTTTTTAAGCAGAGAAACAAATCTCATTAATTCATATTTTTATTAAACTTCCAAATATTTTTGTTTATTAAAATACCTACAATATCTCCTAGGGAACAAGAGAATTATAAAAAGTGAAAACCAAGTAGTCAAGAGGACTAAAAAACAGAAATGAGATTCCTCAATTGTAAAGCAAAGAGTCTAATTTTAAAACAATATAAAAATCCTGAAACTTTGATATATGGATTTTTTTTAAAACATTGAAGGAAGTTGTTCTCAAAACTTAATGTTTTACACAACTGTTTTATTTGAAGCAGAGGGCTTTAATGAAATTGCCTATTCAGAAAGTCATAAATAAGAGCAAAATATCCTTCTATCCTTAGGTATTAATTTTCCACATCAATCATCTTTGTTCTGTTAGAAAGCTAGCATTGCTCTATAATATTTTCCAATTTCCCAGAAAAGTTGGTTTGCATAATATGACTTCAGAAACAACTGTCAAAAAGAAAACTGATTTGATTATACTCTGGATTTCTAAGACTGACTAAACAAGCACTTTATAGAAATAGCTCAATTTATAAAGCTCTGATGTTTTCCACTTTTTTTCTTAGTCAATAGAAAAAATATTGACCATGGGAAAGAAATAATAGACCGTATTTGGTTTTTAGATGCAGGTACTCTTTGATATGCAATTTTAGATCCTCATATGGGAATCAAAAATCCTCTTCTGTCAGCTCATAAAAAGATGTCATCAGACACTTGAGCAGGATATATGTTTTAACAGTAAGTAATATCCCAAATATCTTGCTCAATTTCAAAGTTCTACATGATTCTAAAAAATCACGAGTATGCATCTGTTTGATTATTCTAATCTTGAAAAATACTCTAATAAGAATAAACTAAAATTGATTCATTGCCATTTCAAAAAGTAATTATATTGTAGTTACAAAACACTTTTGCCTAAGGTGTATGTGTCCTCATAGTAAATTTGATTATTAAATGTTATCTGATATTCTTTTGTGGGAACATGATCCTCCAAGCACAAATTCTTTCCCTGAAATACATTCTACTTCCTAAAATTATAAGTCTGAACCTTTAGAAAGACCAGAAAAGGACTTATACTTTGGACTTGATAAGGATGATTTGCAATTAGCCCAGCCTATCTTCTGAGTGCCCAGATTGATATTCAGGTCTTGAGGAATCCAGCACACCTGCAAGCTAGACTATTGAAGTTGTCCTAAATTTCCTTTATCTGGAAGATTCAATTCAGGTTTATGACAAATCCATTAAATGCAGGAAATAAACTTAATTCTGGAGCTGTCAAAAAAGGAACAGAGGATAAGCTAGGTAAGGAAGCCTTGGTTATGCCTGACACTAGTCGGATTTCATTGTCAGGTCATGGTCTTATGAGGTATACAGACTCAACCACTGATTGACAGCTCATTGGTGGACCTTTCAGTGTGGGAATATTACAAATGCTAGAGCTCCCAGCAACGATGGATATAACTCTATCACCAACTTACTACTCACTAGTTCTGTATATTTTCAATCCTTGAAAGTAAGGATCACCTAGTAGCTTCCTTTATGCCACACAGAGACTATGTGTGCTACTAATTTTCACGATAGAAAGAAAATAGAATTTGCCCTGTGTTTGCCTTTGAAGATTCTTGATGTCAACTAATTCACATTTTAAAAGCTTTTGACACTCAGGAAAATATTTATAACAAAATATTCTTATGAAACCAAAGTTTTGATGTATTTAGTCTTATCAAAATATTATATTTAATAGCCCATGAAACTTTATTTCTGGTGAATAAACCATTTTAAGTATAGAGCCTGTTTTTGAAGTGTAAAAATAGCTCAAACATTATCCCCAACACATTTATGTACACACACACACACACACACACACACATTTGTTGTCAAGGAACCCTAACAGTCTAGAATTAAAACTATGCAGCTAACAGATCTTCAAATGTTCCCTTTGAACACTGAAGCTGGCCAAAGAAAATTACCTTGATTTTTATATTGTTTATAAATTCATATTTATATAAAAAATACTTGCCAAAAAAATCAAAGTAGTTTTATACTTTATTATGTTTGTCTTTTTGTGTCCCTGTGACATTTATAGAATCAATTTATAGAAAATGAATCATAAGAAGAGAAAATTAAAAATTGTTTCAGAAGTTAAATAAACTAAGAGTCATACTATCTGAATAATGGTCAACACTGCAACCAACAGCTAATGACTTCTACACACATACTACATCCATAATAACTGAAGGATAGAGACTTCTTTGATACTGCAGCTTGAAGAAACAAGCTGAAAATGGTCCATTTCTCAAAAAGTTTAGAAAATTGTGATTTTTCCAGGCATACACAGGAAAACTTGATCATATTTTCCAGTGATGGTTACATATAATATGACTTGTAAACTAAATTTGAAACAAATGACCAAATGAATAATTAAAAAGTGAGAAAGAGAAAATAAGTGAATGAAAAAGAAGTCAAGAATAGGGCTGGATATCCAGCTTTAACATCTAATTCCCTCATTAATTAATGAATTGATTAAAAATTTGCATATGTTCATTTTATATTTGTATGAAAGTCATGATTTACTTTTTCGAAAATTATTCTCTGGCAGTTTTGGAGGACCCATTGGCTGCTTCAAGATACCTAAGGTATTCATTAAACTGCATTGTTCAAACTCTTTTCTAACATTATCTTAGCCAGGCATGCATTTTCCTGGCTCTAAGAGTGAATACCAAGAACCAGTAGAATAATAATGTTACTGACTCTAGTTTTTCATGTGATCTTGAATTTA
The DNA here is from genome assembly GCF_000001405.40 of Homo sapiens. NCBI lineage: Eukaryota > Metazoa > Chordata > Mammalia > Primates > Hominidae > Homo > Homo sapiens. The sequence goes on along the minus strand of NC_000014.9, from coordinate 39,904,638 downwards.
TTGTGGGTTTTTTTATTGTTTCTGATTTTGCAAAAGGATGTTAATTTTTCTGCAATGGTGATAGCACAGATTGAGAATTTGGTGACCTCTGTCAAGATCATAATAGAAATTCTATTCTTTCAGCTGAAAGATGACAGAATCTGGTGGTTAGATGTTTTTGTTTATCTACTGGTCAGTTCATCAGTGCAAATCAAATAAGAAAATATTTAGTGACCATTGACAAGGAGAAAAATTCTGAAATATGGACTGATGAACTTCAGAGCTGTAGTTGACACCATAGATCAAAAGCTACTTGCCTCTATGTGCCCATAAATGAGATAAGCTTTTACCTTTGAGAGGTATTAATAAATTAGACTGCAAAACACATTATTCAAAAAAAGAAAGATTTGCCCACTCAATTTTTCTATTTCAAAGTCCACATTCACATAAGTGAATCTTTGGACAAATCAGAGGGGTTTATTAACTTTGGCTTAAGGGAAAATAACATGTCTTTCTCTGACTTATGATTGTACACGGTAAAATAAAATTTACATTTGTTTTCATAAGGTTTAGACTAACTTATTATTCTTATTAACTGATCAAATAAGCTAAGATTACTCCTATGTAATGTTTAAGTTAATAAAAAAATACAAATTTGTGTTTAATAAATTGAACCATAATGACAAAATGTTTGTATCAACAGTAATTATACCTTGTAGTACAACAGTTTAAACATAACTTCCATAATCCTAAACTAACCGAAAACTTATGACTAATATTTAATTAAGTTAATAAGTAACACTTGGATATCTAGATAATTTCTACATAAGATAGAATACTAAAACACTAAGTTCATATAATTTTACTTATATTCTGTAGAGTGGATATATGTTTGTATCTTATTAATGGACACATATCTTTTTTACCACTGTAAGATGTGAAAGGGATGTGCGCAGCTGTAGAAAGTTATGCTATGTATATTTATAAACTTTGCTGGTTTGCTAGAATGCTTGTATATCAGAGTTTCAACTAGGCATCGCCCCCTGCCACCAACACAGCTTTTTCTTTGAAATAAAATGTTAGATACATTGGTGAAAAGTTATCATCAATATAGGTTGTTGAGACAATAATAGAGGTCAATACTGACATAGAAATGAACCTGTGTATGTGATTTTGTTTTTCCAAGAGACTACATTCTTCCTAGCACATCATCTCAGTTTGTTCCAGAATATGAAAGATCATAGTGAAAGGCAAAACTTGAGGGAGTGTAAAAAGTAGTAGAGTTTTAATTTAAAACAAGTGAATTTTATTTACCTTGGTTTATAATACCTGAATCTGAAAGAAAACCATAAAATGTGTTAAAATTTTGACAAATTCACTCAGTTTTAATGAGTTTAATCAAAAGATAATAAATACAGATTAGGTGACCCACAAAAATTTATTTCCAAGTATTATATTAAAGCAAAATAAGAATTTGGTTTTCTCTGTAAAATAATAAATTGGTGTTTGGGTCCTTAACAAGGCATAGTAAAGGGATTTTTTTAACTTTCCTTGTAACCTGCCTAGATAGCACAGATTCTATGTTTTACCAGCATAATCTTTTGTGTTTTATGTTATTATGATAAACTTCTTATTTAAAAATTCAAAAGCAAAGTTACTTATTTTTCAATGACCTCGGTTACATAAAATTCTGTTATATTCTTCTAGTTATATTTTGAAATATTTTACAGTCACTTTGACTAATTAGATAACTAAGCTGTTATTTCTCAGGCAGCCATGATTCTGTATTAATCAAATAACCAAGTATTTTTTATTAGCCCTTTTTATGTTTGCCTTATGAGAATCAGATCTAAAATCTAAAACAGATCAACAAATAAATAAAGTGCCAGGATGTCCTCTACACCTAAAAGCAATCTCATGAGATTTCCCAGAAAGCCACTGGAGAAGAAAAAATATTTAATCTTTCATCATACAAAATGAGAAATACTAGAAGTAATTAGCATTTTTATATGGAGGATGCTCCCTATTTCTTAATTAGCTCAATTATTTATAACAGCTACTATGGAAATATCAAACCAGAACAGATGCTCAGCATTCAATGGGTTAAATTTATATAGGCAGATGTTATTAGCATAAATATTTCAGAAAGTATATATTTTATGGGTAGAAGCTTGATATTCATCAATGTCCCCACTGTTAATCAGGTTTTAGATTTCTTCAAATCTAATTGAACAGAGTAATAAGTAATGGGATCGAAGTCATAATAAAGTCTCCCTGTAAAGAAAAGCCCAGGACTCAATGGCTTCACGGCTGAATTCTACCAAACATTTAAAGAACTAATACCAATCTTACTTAAACTATTTCAAATAATAGAGAAGGAAATACTTCCATAATCATTCTATGAGGCCAGTATTACCCTAATACCAAAACCATACAGAAAAAAAAAAAAACCCTACAGGCCAGTACATCTGATGAATATTGATTTTTAAAAAATCCTCATCAAAATGCCAGCAAACTTAATTCAACAACACAGGCCAGTATTAACCTAATACCAAAACCAGACAATAATACAGAAAAAAAAAAAAAACCCTACAGGCCAGTATATCTGATGAATATTGATTTTTTAAAAATCCTCATCAAAATACTAGCAAACAATTCAACAACACATTAAAAATATCATCCAGGCCAGGCACAGTGGCTCACACCTGTAATCCCAGCATTCTGGGAGGCCGAGGCGGGTGGATAACGAGGTCAGGAGATTGAGACCATCCTGGATAACACGGTGAAACTACTAAAAATACAAAAAAGTAGCCAGGCACGATGGCAGGCGCCTGTAGTCCCAGCTACTCGGGAGGCTGAAGCAGGAGAATGGCGTGAACCAGGGAGGCGGAGTTTGCAGTGAGCCAAGATCCCGCCACTGCACTCCAGCCTGGGCGACAGAGAGAGACTCAGTCTCAAAAAAAAAAACAAAAACAAAAACAAAAAAACATTCATTATAGCTAAATGGGCTTTATCCCAGGGATACAAGGATAGTTCAACACATGCAAATCAATCAGTGTGATACATCATATCAACAGAATGAAGAACGAAGATCATATAATCATTTCAATTGATGCTGAAAAAGCCTTTGATAAAATTCAACTTCCCTTTATGGTAAAAACCCTCAAATAATTGGAGATAGAGGTAACCTACCTCAACATAATAAAATCCATATACAACAGACCCACAGCTACGATCATACCAAATAAGAAAAATCTGAGAGCTTTTTATCTGAGATTTGGAACTTGACAAAGATGCCCTGTTTTACTACTGTTATTCAACACAGTACTGGAAGTCATAGCTAGAGCAATCAGACAAGAGAAAGAAATAAAAGGCATCCAAATTGGAAAGGAGAAAGTCAAATTATCCTTGTTTGCAGATGATATGATCTTATATTTGGAAAACCCTAATGACTCCACACAAAAAAACTGGTAGAACTGATAAACTAATTCAATAAATATGCAGGACACAAAATCAACATACAAAAAGTCAGTAGCATTTCTGACAACAGCGTACAATCTGAAAAAAAAAAGAAACTTTAAAAGTAATCCTATTTAGAATATCTAAAAAAAATAAGTACCTAGAAATTAGCTTAACCAAAGAAGTAAAAGATTCCTATAACTTTAAAACACTGATGAAAGAACTTGAAGAGAACACCAAAAATTGGAGATATTCCATGTTCATGCGTTCAAAGAATTATTATTGTCAAAATATGCATACTACCTAAAGCAATCTATAGATTCAGTGCAATCACTATCAAAATACCAATGACATTCATCACAGAAATAGAAAAAAGAACTCTGAAATTTATATGGAACCACAAAAGACCCAGAGTAGCCGAAGCTATCCTGAGGAAAGAGAACAAAAGTGGAGGAGTCACATTACCTGACTTCAAATTATCCTACAGAGCTATAGTAACCAAAACAGCATGGTGCTGGCATAAAAACAGACACATAGACCAATGAAACAGAATAGAGAACCCAGAAACAAATCCACATACCTACAGTGAACTCATTTTCTGCAAAGGTGCCAAGAACATACACTGGGGAAATGACAGTCTCTTTAATAAATGGTACTGGGAAAACTGGATATTTATAGGCAGAAGAATAAAACTAGACCTCTTGCACCATACATAAAAATCAAATCAAAATGGATTAAAAACGTAAATCTAAGACCTCAGGCTGTGAAACTACTACAAGAAAACTTCGGGGAAACTCTCCAAAACATCAGTCTGGACAAACATTTATTGAGTAATACCCCACAGGTATAGACAACCAAAGCAAAAATGGACAAGTGAGATCACATCAAGTTAAAAAATCTTTGGCACAGCAGAGGAAACAATCAACAAAGTGAAGAGACAATTCACAGAATGAGAGAAAATAGTTGCAATCTACCCATCTGACAAGGGATTAATAACCAGAATATATAAGGAGCTCAAGCAACTCTATTAAAAAAAAATCAGAAAATGGGCAAAAGATTTAAATAGACATTTCTCAAAAGAAAACATACAAATGGCAAACAGTCATTTGAAAAGGTGTTCAACATAATTGATCATCAGAGAAATGCAAATCAAAGCTACAATGAGGTATCATCTTACCCCAATCAAAATGGCTCATATCCAAAGGATTGACAATAATTAAATGCTGGTGAGGATGTAGAGAAAAGGGAAAACTTGTACGATGTTGGAGGGAATGTAAATTAGTACAACCACTATGGAGAATGGTTTGGAGGTTCCTCAAAAAACTAAAAATAGAGCTACCATATGATCCAGCAATCCCACTGTTGCGTATATATCCAAAAGAAACCAAATCAGTATATCAAAGACATATCTGCACCCCCATGTTTGTTGTAACCTCTTCATAATAGTCAAGATTTGGAAGCAACCTAAGTGTCAGTATAGTTAGCGTTCCTAGAGGGACAGAACTACTAGGCAGGCAGGCAGACAGACGGACAGACAGACAGACAGACAGACAGACAGACAGACATAGATAGTTTATTAAGTATTAATTTACTTGATTACAAGGTCCCACAATAGGCTGTCTGCAAGCTTGAGAAGCAAGGAGAGCCAGTCCAAGTCTCAAAACTGAAGAACTTGGAGTCCGATGTTTGAGGGCAGGAATCATCCAGCACAGGAGAAAGATGTAGGCTGGGAGGCTAGGCCGGTCTCAGCTTTTCATATTTTTCTGCCTGCTTTATATTCACTGGCAGCTGATTAGTTTGTGCCCTCCAGATTAAGGGTGGGTCTGCCTTCCCCAGCCCACTGTCTCAAATGTTAATCTCTTTTGGCAGCACCCTCATAGACACACCCAGGATCAATACTTTGCATCCTTAAATCCAATCAAGTTGACACTTAACATTAACCATCACAAGTCCACCCCTTGTCAATGTGAATCCACACACATCTCCTGAGATCATAATCTTCAAATAAAGATAGTAATAAGGTCATAATTACACCTAACATAATAGAACTATCGTTCATACAACCAGAAACACACCAATCCTCAATCCAAATACTATTACATAAAGTTAACAATACTTAAATGCTGATATGAAGTCAATAAATCTTATGTGATAAAGGAAAAGGAAATAAAATGAAGATATTTTCTTAGTACAATGGTATATATGCACAAACATGTTTTTAACAAAAGAAGGAGGAGATACTCACAACAATTACAGTTCTTATTTCTGCAGCTGGTCACATGGCCGTAGCTGGTATTGGTGACTTTCTTCTACTACCCATTCTGTATTCCCTTTGCCTTCAGCAAGCAACTCAGTAGGTCATGGTTTGTTTCCTGGTGGAGTGACCCAAACCTCCATTCCTGAGGTGTCTGGGTCATTTGTAATCCTGCCTGGATTGGGCTATTGTAGTTTCCCATTGACCTTAATACTAAGAAATGCCCTAATGGATCTCCTGTATTCCATGTATGCTCTTCCTTACCTCCATTATGGAATAGTAGACTGATTTCATCTTGATAGTCTGGGTCAATCACCACAGCCAACACTGTAACTCCCTTCTTAGCCTGTTGACTTAAAGGTAGAAGGAGCCCAAAGTGTCCAGGTGGCAGTCTTAACATCCAGTTTAATGGAATCATTGTTGTGTCTCCTGGTGGCAGTGTTCCTCCCTCTGGAACTAAGACCTCTAGGCCAGCAGAACGTAATGTCATGGGAACAGGAAGCAAAAATGTTGCTACTGGATCACTAGGGGTGATGGTGAATGGTGTCACTTCCACCCCTTGATTCTTGGACCCATCCTGGCTATCAGAGAAATAGTACCATATACTGGATGCTGATTCAAAGCATACCCAGCCTTCTGGAGAACTTTGTCCCAGCCCTGCAAAGTATCGTCACCTAGTTGGCATTGTAATTTTGACTTCAAAAAGCCATTCCACAGTTCTATCAATCCAGCTTCTTCAGGATGATGGGGAATATGGTGAGACCAGTGGATTCCATGAGCAAGAGCCCACTGCCTCACTTCTTCAGCCATAAAGTGAGTGCCTTGGTAAGAAGCAATGCTGTGTGGAATACCATGATAGTGGATAATGCATTCCGTGAATCCATGAATGGTAGTCTGGCAGAAGCATTGCATTCAGGAGAGGCAAACCAATATCTGGAGTAAGTATCTATTACAGTGAGGACAAACCTCTGCCCTTTCTATGATAGAAGAGGTCCAATATAATCAATCTGCCACCAGGTAGCTGGCTGACCACCCTTAGGAATGGTGCCATATCAAGGACTCAGTGTTGATCTCTGCTGCAGGCAAATTGAGCACTCAGCAGTTTCTGTAGCCAGGTCAGCCTTTGTGAGTGGAAGTTTATGTTGCTGAGCCAATGGGTAACCTCCATCCCTGCCACCATGGCCACTTTGTTCATGGGCTCACTGGGCGATGACAGGGGTGGCTAGGGAAAGAGGCTGAGCAGTGTCCACAGAACAGGTCATCCTATCCACTCGATTATTAAAATCCTCCTATGCTGAGGTCACCCGTTGGTGAGCACTCACATGGGATACAAATATCTTCAACATTTTTGACCACTCAGACAGGTCCATCCACATACCTCTTACCCAAATTTCTTTTTCACCAATTTTCCAATCATGCTTCTTCCAAGTCCCTGACCATCCAGCCAAGCCATTGGCTACAGCCCATGAATCAGTATATAATCACACATCTGCCCATTTCTCCTTCCATGCAAAGTGCACAACCAGGTGCACTGCTCAAAGTTCTGCCCACTGGGAAGGTTTCCCTTCACTGCTATTCTTCAGGGATGTCCTAGAGAAAACAGCTCTCTATGTTCGGATGGTGCCTGCATATTGTGTAGAACCATCTGTGAACCAGGCCCTAGTCTTCTCTTCTCTGACAACTTATCATAGGGAACTTCCCATTAGACTATTGGTGCAGGGTGTGGGAGACAAGGCAGGGTTGTAGAAGTGGAGACCATGGGCATTTGAGTCACTTCTTCTTGTAACTTACTTATGCCTTCAGGACCTACTCAAGCCCAATCACATATATATCACTTCCATTTGATGATGGAATGCTGCTGTGCACAACCCACCTTATGGCTAGATGGGTCAGAAAGCACCCAGTTCATGATAGGTAGTTCAGGTTACATGGTGACTTGATGACCCATAGTCAAACACTCAGTTTCTACCAAAGCCCAGCAACAGGCCAAGAGCTGTCTCTCAAAAGGACAGTAGTTATCTGTAGAATATGGCAGGGCCTTGCTCCAAAATCCTAGAGGTCTTTGCTGTGATTCACCTATGGGGGCCTGCCAGAGGCTCCAAACAGCATCTCTGTCTGCCACTGTTACCCCAAGCACCATTGGATCTGCTGGGTCATATGGCCCAAGTTGCAGAGCAACTTGCACAGTAGCCTGGACCTGTTGCAGAGCCTTCTCCTATTCTGGACCTCACTCAAAACTGGCAGCCTTTCAGGTCACTTGATAAATAGGTCAGAGTAAAACACCCAAATGAGGAATGTGTTGTCTCCAAAACCCAAATAGGCCCATGAGGCATTGTGCCTCTTTCTTCGTAGTAGGAGGGGCCAAATGCAGCAACCTATCCTTCACCTTAGAAGGAATATCTCAACATGCCCCAAACCACTGGAGCCCTAGAAATTTTACTGAGGTAGAAAGTCCCTGAATTTTAGTCATATTTCCAATCCTCTGGCACACAAATGTCTCACCAATATGTCCAGTGTGTTTGCTACCTCTTGCTCACTGGATCCAATGAGCATAATGTCATCAATGTAATGAAACAGTGTGATATCGTATGGAAAGGAAAAGTGATCAAGGTCTCTCCAAATAAGATTATGACACAAAGCCGGAGAGTTGATATACCCCTAAGGTAAGAAAGTAAAGGTATATTGATGGCCCTGCCAGCTAAAGGCAAATTTCTTCTGGTGGGCCTTATGGACAAGAATGGAGAAAAAGGCATTTGCCAAATCAGTGGCTGTATACCAGGTACCAGAAGATGTGCTAATTTGCTCAAGCAGTGGAACCATATCTGGTGCAGCAGCTGCAATTGGAGTCACCACTTGGTTAAGCTTACAATAATCCACTGTCATTCTCCAAGATCCATCTGTCTTCTACACAGGCAAAATGGGAGACTGGAATGGGGGTGTGGTGGGAATCACCACCCCTGCGTCTTTCAAGTCCTTGATGGTGGCACTAATTGCTGCAATCCCTCCAGGGATGCAACATCATTTTTTATTTACATTTTTCTAGGTAGAGGCAGCTCTAATGGTTTCCATTTTGCCTTTCCCACCATAATATCCTTCACCCAACCAGTCAGGGAGCCAATGTAGGGGTGCTGCCAGCTGCTAAGTATATCTATGCCAGTTATGTATTCTAACACTGAGGAAATGACCACAGGATGAGTCCAAGGACACACTGGACCCACTGTAAGTCAGACCTGAACTAAAACTCCATCAATTACCTGACCTCCATAAGCCCCTACTTTAACTAGAGGACCATAATGACATTGTGGGTCCCCTGGAATCAACGTCACCTCAGAGCCAGTATCCAGTAGTCTCTGAGAGGTCTGATCATTTCCCTTTCTCCAATGCACAGTTACTCTGGCCGGTCTCCTTGGGGAAGGATGGGACAAAGATTCACTGCATAAATTGTCAGTAATATAGTGGGGCACTTCCTCAAGGGGAATCAGCCTCCTCTTCATTCAGGGGCTTCTAGGTCTGTAAACTGGCTCAAGTCTGGAAATTGATTGAGAAGCCATGATTCTCTGTTTTCATAATTCAAATTAGTCTTTTGTCCATTCGACCTAGAAGTTTTCTCCTTATATAAATTAAGTAGGAATGCAGTAGGCTTCCTATCAATTTCACCTCTAGGAACAATGCAATTAATTAGCCAATGTCAGAGCTCTACATGAGTCAGACTATTCTGATTGTTGCTTTGTCTCTGCTGTCCATTATGGTGGCTATGCCCACCTTGCCTTTGACAGTTGAGTGCCTCCACTTGGCCCCTGCCACCTCGAGATCCAATTATTCCCACTGTATTTAAATTTTGTAGTTGAGTGACTGCAGTTCCCACCTTAGATCCAACATACAGAGAAGAGCAATTACAGGGCTCTTCAAAGATGCAGGTGCTGCCCTCAGAAATCTATTTTGCAAGGCATCAGTCAAGGGTATATCTTCTGGACCCTCCCAGCTGGAATAAGTGGGTCTAAAGTGACTAATGCACTCCACTATTCTAATCTCCCTAAGCCTTTGGATCACTTCCTCTATATTAAACCAAGGGAGATCAGGCATTTCCAGCTCACTCATGGTGGGCCATCTTTTAATCCAAATTTCAGCTAAACAAGCAAATAAACTATTAGAGCCTTTTTTTTAACTCCCTGAGCTGCAACATTAAATGCAGAGTCCCTACTTAGTTGGCCCAGATCAATAAATTCAGCTTGATCCAACTCTATGTTCTTCCACCATTGTCCCATATCCTTAATATCCATTCCCATGCCTGTTCTCCAGACTTCTGTTTATATAAATTAGAGAACTCAAGCAGTTCAAGTGTAGTGCACCTCCTCATGGATCCTACTCTCAACCTCACCTCTAGGGGCCCACTGGGACTTTAGTCTAGTTATAGGTCTAGAAGCAAACAGGAGTGTTGCAGGTGGCTCCTGAGGAGAATCAACATTATCTTGCCTGGCAACTGCCTCAGGGGAGGCCATCACTTTTGCCTCAGGCAGCACAGGGTTTATCTCCTCAGACAAAGGTGGAAAGGCTGATGGCAACATCGGTCAGGGAGGGAATGTTGCCACCACTGGGGATGGGGAAGCTGTTCCTTCTGGCAAAAAAAGGTTCATAGAGTTTACAAACTCAGTGTCCCCAGCTGCAAGAGGATCCTGCCACATGTGCCCATTCCAACTTGCAGAGTACCATTCTTTTCCAATCAATGCCCTCACTTTAACAATAGACACCTGGTGAGGCTGTGCATGTACCTTTTGTTGCAAGTCAGCCACTCGCATGATAAGAGTTTGTGTCTGTTTTTCCACAATTTCAGCTCTTTCTCTATAGGAGATAAGACTCCCACTCAGGGCAATCTTCGCAGATTTGAGGCTCAGTATCTGCTTCTGAAGCCAGGAGACAGAATCTCTGAGTTCATCATTTTCTTTCATCACTCTGTCCGCTGAACTTAGGAGCAACCAACCGGCTTCATATCGTTCCTTGGTTCTCCACATATGGTCAAAAGTATTATGTACAGAGGCACTAAACTCATTGCCTCTCACAAGCAGTGAATCAGGAACGTCAAGTGCATTTATTTTGCATAATTCTCTAAACAGTTCACACCAAGGACTATCAGTGTTCTCCATACTATTAGAACTAGAATCCTTAGCATTTTGGGATCTAATCATATTAAGCAGCCAACTCCAGAAAGCCCAAAACCAATCAAAGAACTCCATCCTTAATATTCTGTTCCTCTAGAACCACTCCTGGTACCAAAATCTTTATTAGTCAGGGTTCCCTAGAGGGACAGAACTAACAGGATATATATGGGAGTTTATTAAATATTAACTTACATGATTACAAGGTCCAACAATAGGCTGTATGCAAGCTTGAGGAGCAAGGAGAGCCAGTCCAAGTATCAAAACTGAAGAACTTGGAGTCCGAAGTTTGAGGGCAGGAAGCATCCAGCACAGGAGAAAGATGTAGGCTGGGAGGCTACGCCAGTCTCACCTTTTCACGTTTTTCTGCCTGTTTTATATTCACTGGCAGTTGATTAGATTGTGCTCACCAGATTAAGGGTGGGTCTGCCTTCACCGACCCACTGACTCAAATGTTAATCTCCCTTGGCAACAACCTCACAGACACACCCAGGAGGTAGCAGGCCCTTCAGGTAAACATGTGAGAAAAAAGAAATTATGTATAGTTGCATCCTTCAGTCCAACCAAGTTGACACTCAGTATTAACCATCACGGTGTCTATCAACAGATAAATGGATAGTGAAAATATGGTACTTATACACAATTTAGTACTATTCAATCATAAAAAAGAATGAGACTCTGTCATTTGCAACATCACGGATGGAACTGGAGGTCATTATGTTAAATGAAATAAGCCAGGCAGAGAAAGACAAGCATCACACGTTCTCACTTATTTTGGGACATGAAAATAAAAACAATTGAAATGGAGACAGACAGTAGAAGGATGGTTACCAGAGGGTGAGAAGAGTAGTGAGGGGATGATGGGGAAGTAGGGACGATTAATGGGTACCAAAAAAATTGTTAGAAATAAGACATAGTATTTGATAGCATAACAGAGTGACAATAGTCAATAATTTAATTGTACATTTACCAATAAATAAGAGTATAATTAGATTGTTAATAACACAAAGGATAAATGCCTGAGGGAATGGATACCCCATTTTACATGAGGTGGTTACTATGCACTGTATGCCTGCATGAAAATATCTCATGTACTCCATAAATATATATACCTACTCTGCACCCACAAAAATTAAAAATTAAAAATAACATATTCATATCCTCAGGGAAACTGAGGAAAACCTTATAACACAGTTATTTACTATACCTCAATAGAGAATTTTATCTCCTCAGTTCTATTATTGGTTATTGTAATAAATTAACTCCTCAGTTCTATTATTCGTTATTGTAATAAATTAACCACAATCATTCAGTCTTTGTCAACTATACATATTTTCTTTTTTCCCACATGCTTGCCTGAAGGGCCTGCTACAAGCTAGAATTTGTGTATTCAACATATAGAGTATTCTCAGAACTTTATGGCAAATACTCTACCAGGTATTCTAAATATTGCTAATTGAAAGAACAGTCCTAATTATGAGCTTCCATGCTGACATCTCTTGAATTACTTTCAGACCACACCAGTGGACAGAGTCAGGATTTCCAACACATTTTAAATCTGGTGAGTTTCTGAAAGAAAACAGCTGATATAAGACCCAGTGAAATAAAAATGAATTACATAGGACCAAATAAACTAATAAGGGGGATTTAATTATGAATGTTAGTCTGAAATAGTGTTGGTATTATTTTTAACTCTCCATTTGTATAGATGTATGACTTTGTCTTTCTTCTTAATCACTTTAAACCCTCAACTATACTATTTTAAACTGAAATAAAACATTTTTAATGATATCTGATTTCACTGACCTTTGAAAATTTATAAAGAAATACTTTTATTAATTCTCTTTGATTTGTTGTTGCTATAGTTATTTGCATAGATTCAATAATAATTTGTTCTCTTTTTTAAAAGGATGTCATTGGATAAATCAATTGTGCTGTCAAGACCATTCCTGGAGTGTCATATTTGAGACTAAGCCTCTTGTAAATATGTATGACAAGCCTTATACATGGAATCAATGTCAACAAAGCCCTCCCAGGAAAACAGAACTAGTATCTGACTTAATGATTCCCAGTGGTGTTACCCTCTATCAAGCCAAGGACCTTAGCAAATTGGTGGACCTTGAAAATAAAATAATTCAATTGACTTTATAGATTTTGCAGGAAAATTTAGTGAGGAATGTTTTTTGGGCTTGGTTTTCTACCTCAGAGTAGTGGGGCAAGTAATAGAGGCTTTGAAAAATCCAATCCAAAATTCCTTTAAAAACTTGGATAAAGAAATTAACTCTCTAGCTTTATCAGTACTTTAGAGCCTTAAAGTATTAAGCAAATTTCAATCCCAGTTTCTGAATACTTTAGGGCTCTAAAGTACTATCATTTGAAAATGAGTTCACTGTACATGTGTGGGTTTGTTTCTGGGTTCTCTGTTCTCTTCCATTTGTCCAAGTGTCTGTTTTTATGCCAGTACCATGCTGTTTGGGTTACTATAGCTCTGTGGTATAATTTGAAGTCAAGTAATGTGATTCCTCCACCTTTGTTCTCCTTCCTCAGGATAGCTTTGGCTACTCTGGGTCTCTTGTGATGCCATATAAATTTCAGAATTCTTTTTTCTATTTCTGTGAAGAGTATCACTTGCATTTTGATAGGGATTGCATTGAATCTGTAGATTGCTTTGGGTAGTATAAATATTTTGACAATAACAATTTTTCAAATCCATGAACACAGAATATCTTTCCATCTTTTGATGTCCTCGTCAAGTTCTTTCAACAGTGTTTTAAAGTTTTCATTATAGAAATCTTTCACTTCTTTGGTTAATTTCTAGGTACTTAATTTTTTAGCTATTGTAAATAGAACTCTTTTAAAGTTCTTTTTTTTCCAGATTGTTTGCTGTTAGCATGTAGAAATGCTACTGACTTTTTTGTACTTTGGTTTTGTACCTTGTAACTTTAGTTAATTCGTTTATTAATTCTAACAGGTTTTTTTGTGTGTGGAGTCTTTACATTCCTCTGAATATAAGAACATATTATCTGCAAACATGGACAATTTGACTCTTTCCTTTACAATTTGGATTCCCTTTCTTTCTCTTGTCTAATTGCTTTAGCTATGACTTCCGGTACTGTGTTGAATAACAGTGGTAAAAGTGGGCATCTTTTTCATGTTCCAAAACTTAGATGAAAGGCATTTGGATTTTTTTCCCATTTGGTATGATACTAGCTGTGGGTCTGTTGTATATAGCTTTATTATGTTGAGGTAGGTTTCTTCTATATTCATTAATTTGAGAGCTTTTATCATGAAGGGATGGTGAATTTTATCAAATGCTTTTTCAACATCAATTGAAATAATATGGTTTTTGTCCTTCATTCTGTTGATATGATGTATTGCATTGATTGATTTGTGTATGTTGAAACATCCTTGAATCCCTGGGATAAATCCCACCTGGTCATAATGAATGATCTTTTTTGTGTACTGTTGAATTCTGTTTGCTGGCCTTTTGTTAAGGATTATTGCATCGATATTCATCAGAGATATTGGCCTGTAGCTTTCTTTTTTTTGCTGTGTCATTGTCTGGTTTTGGTATCAGGGTAATACTGCCCTCATACAATCATTATGGAAGTATTCCTTCCTCCTCTATTTTTCAGAATAGTTTGCATAGGATTGGTATTAGTTCTTTTTTAAAGAATTCTCAGAATTCAGGAGTGAATGAAGCCTTTGGGTCCTGGGCCTTTCTTTACAGGGAGACTTTTTATTATGGCTTTGATCTCCTTATTTGTTACTGTTCTATTCAGGTTTTGAATTTCTTCCTGGTTCAATCTTGGTAGGTTTTATGTGTCTAAGAATTTTTCCATTTTGCTAGATTTTCCTATTTATTGGAATATAGTTGCTCATAGTAGCCACTAATGATCTTTTGAATTTGTGTATTATCTTTTGTAATGTCTCATTTTTGATCTCTGATTTTATATGAATCTTCTCTTTTTCCTTTGTCTGGATAAAGGTTTGTCAAATTTTTTATTTTTTAAAAAAACAACTTTTTTGTTTCATTGATTTTCATTTCAATGAAATGTTTTTGTTTCAATGAAATGTTATTGTTTTTCATTTCAATTTCATTTATTTCTGCTCTGATCTTTATTATTTCTTTTCTTCTACTAATTTTGCTCTTGCTCTTCTAATTCTTTAAGATGCATCATTAGGTTGTTTATTTGAAGTTTTTCTTCTTCTTTGATATAAGTACTTACAGTTATAAAATTCCCTCTTAGTACTGCTTTTGCTGTATCCCATAAGTTTTGGTATGTTGTGTTTTCATTCTTTGTTTCAAGAAACTTTTCAATTTCCTTCTGACTTTCTTCACTGACCCACTAGTCATTCAGGAGCATATTGTTTAATTTCCTTGTATTCATATAGTTTCCAAAATTCTTCTTGTTATTGATTTCTGGTTTTATTCCATTATGGTCAGAGAAGATGTTTATTTCAATTATTTTGAATGTTTTAAGACTGCTTTGTGACCCAACATATTGTCTATCTTTGAGAATGATTGGTGTTCTGAGAAAAATAATGTGTATTCTGCAGACTTTGGATGAAATGTTCTTAGAACATTAGGTCCATTTGGTCTATAGCAGTCTCCAACCTTTTTGGCACCAGGGACTGCTTTCGTGGAAGACAGTTTTTTCATGTATCGGGGAGTGGTTTTGGAATGAAACTGTTCTACCTCAGATCATGAGACATTAGTTAGATTCCCATAAGGAACACACAACCTAGATCCCTCACATGTGCAGTTCACAATACGATTCATGCTCCTAGGAGAATCTAATGCCACCAATCTAACAGGAGGTGGAGCTCAGTTAGTAATGCTTACTTGCCCACTCA
Organism: Homo sapiens; assembly: GCF_000001405.40. Lineage (NCBI taxonomy): Eukaryota > Metazoa > Chordata > Mammalia > Primates > Hominidae > Homo > Homo sapiens. Next base: position 39,888,936 of record NC_000014.9, on the reverse strand, counting down.
CCTCCTGCTGGGTGGCCCAGTTTCTAATAGGCCATGAAGCAGTACCAGTCCATGGCCCAGGGGTTGCAGACCCCTGGTCTATAGTGAAGATTAAGTCTGATGTTTCTTTGTTGTTTTTTCTGTCTGGAAGATTTGTCCAATGTTTAAAGTGAGGTGTTGAAATCTCCAGCTATTATTATATTTTGGCCTATGCCTCTCTTTAGTTCTAATAATACTTGCTTTATATATCTGGGTGCTCCAGCATTGGGTGCATATATATTTAAAATTGTTATATTATCTTATTGAATTGACCCCTTTATCATTATATAGTGACCTTTCTTCCTTCTTATAGTTTTTGTCTTGAAATCTATTTTGTCTGATATGATTATGGCTTTTTCTCTTTTTTGCTTTATATTGGTATAAAATATCTTTTTCCATTGTTTTATTTTCAGTCTATGTGTATCTTGTCGGCAACAGATCAAGGGGTCTTGGTTTTTCATCCATTCAGCCTTTCTATGTCTTTTGATTGGAGCATTTAGTCTGTTTATATTCAATGTTATTCTTGATAAGGAGTGACTCCTGCCATTTCATTATTTGTTTTCCGGTTATTTTCTGGTCTTCTCTTCCTTCTTTTCTCCTTCCTCTCTTCCTTTAAATGAAGGTAATTTTCTCTGGTGATATGATTTATTTTCTGCTTATTTTCTTATTATTTGCATATCTGGTATGTTTTTTGGTCTGAGGTTACCATGAGGCTTGCAAGTGCTATATTATAATCCATTATTTTAAGCTGCTAACAACTTAACACTGTTTGCATAAACAAATAAGAAAAACAAAAACTAATAAAGATTTGACACCTATAATTTTGTCTCCATGATTTCTAACTTTTTGCTATTTCTATTTTATTGTATTGTCTATTGTCTTGAAAAGTTATTAATTTTGTCTGGTTCATCATTTAGTTTTCTACTTAAGAATAGTTTGCACACCACAGTTTTAGTGTTATAATATTCTGTGCTTTTCTGTGTACTTATTATTACCAGCAAGTTTTATACCTTCAGGTGATTACTTATGGCTCATTAATGTCCTTTTCTTTCTGATTGAAGTACTCCCTTTAGCATTACTTACAGAACAAGCCTGGGGTTGATAAAATCCCTAAACTTTTATTTGTCTGGGAAAGTCTTCATTTGTCCTACATGTGAAGGATATTTTCACCAGATATACTATTTTAGGGTAAAACTTTTCCCTTCAGCACTTACTAATATGTCATGCCACTCTCATCTGGCATATAAGGTTTCCACTGAAAAGTCTGCTGTCAGATGTATTGGAGCTTCATTATATGTTATTTGTTTCTTTTCTCTTGCTGTTTTTTTGGGGGGATCCTTCCTTTGTCCTTGACCTTTGAGAGTTCAATTATTAAATGCTGTGTTGTAGCCTTTTTTGGGTAAAATCTGCTTGATGTTCTATAACTTTCTTGTACTTGGGGATATTGGTATCTTTCTCTAGGTTTAGGAAGTTCTCTGTTATTATCCCTCTGAATAAAATTTCTATTCCTATTTCTTTCTCAACCTCCTCTGTAAAGCCAATAACTCTTTTAAATTCCCTTTTGAGACTATTTTCTAGATCCTGTAGGTGTGCTTCATTGTGTTTTTTGGTCTCCTATGACTGTATATGTTCAAATAGACTATCTTTGAGCTCACTAATTCTTTCTTCTTCTTAAGCTATTCTGCTGTTAAAAGACTCTGATGCATTCTTCAGTGTGTCAATTGCATTTTTCAGCTCCATATTTTCTGCTTGATTTTTAATTATTTCAATCTCTTTGTTAAATCTGTCTGATACAATTCTGAAGTCCTTCTCTGTGTTATCTTGAATTTCAGCTTCCTCAGTTTTTTTGAATTATCTGTCTGAAAGGTCACATATCTCTTTTTCTCCAGAATTGGTCTCTGGTGCCTTATTTAGTTCATTTGGTGAACTGGATGTTCTTAATATTTGTATATATTCCTCTGTGTCTGGACATTGAAGAGTTAAGTATTTATTGTAGCCTTCCCAGTCTGAGCCTATCATACCCATCCATCTTGAAAAGGCTTTCAAGGCACTCAAAATGACTTGGGTGTTGTTGTCTAAGCTGTATCTGCTTTAGGGGACACCCTAAGTCCAGTAATGCTGTGGTTCTTGAAGACTCACAGAAGTACCAACTTGATGGTCTTGAACAACATCCAGATGAATTCTCTGGACTACCAGGCAGAGACTCTTCTCTTCCCTTACTTTCTCCAAAACAAATGGAATCTCTGTTCTGAGCCAACTAAAGCTGAAGGTGGAGTGATACAAGCACCCCTGTGGCTGACACCACTATTACTGTGCTGGGTCAGACCTAAAGCCAGCACAGCACTGGGTCTTTCCCAAGGCCCTCTGTAACCACTGCCTGGCTACTGCCTATGTTAACTCAAGGCCCTGGGGCTCTACTATCAGTAAGTGGCAAATCCAGCCAGTCCTGTGCCCTTCCCTTTAGGGTGGCCAGTTCCCCTATGCCCTGGTGGATCCAGAGCTGCTGACCAGGAGCCAGAGCCTAGAGTCAAAAACCTTAGAAGTCTACCTGGTATTGTATTGTACTGCAACTGAGCTGGCACTGAAACCACAAGATGCAGTTCTTCCCTCCCCTTTCCCAAGGCAGAGAAGCCTCACCTATGGCCACTGCCACCATGGGCCCATAAGGAATACTTCCAGACTATCGCTGATGTTTCCTTAGGGCCCAAGGGCTCTTCAGTCCACTTGTGGTGATTGCTGCCTGGCCTGGAACTCATCCTTCAGGGAAGTGGGCTTCCCTCTGGCCCAGGGTAGGTCCAGAAATGCCATGCAAGAGCCAAGTCTTAGAATCAGGGACCCCAAGAGCCAGCTTGGTGCTCTACCCCTCTATGGCTGTGCTGGTACCTAAAATGTAAGACAGAGTCCCCTTTATTTTTCCCTCCACTTTTCTCAAGTAGAAAGAGTCTCACCTGTAGCAACCACAGCTGAGAATGTACTGAGTCTCACCTGAAGCTATAAAGTTTCAAGAGTCTTGCCCAAGGCCCTCAATGTAGCACCTGTGTATTGCTCTGGTTATTCAGTGCCCAGGGCCTCTTCAGTTAGCAGGTCATGAATGCTGCCAGGACTGGGTGCTTCCTTCAGGGCAGTGGGCTCCCTTCTGGCTGAGGGTGTGCCTAGAAATGTTATCCAGGAGCCAGTGACTGAAAAGGGGCCTCATGACTCTTTCTGGTGCCCTATCCTCTGTGGCTGAGCTCATATCTAAGATGCAAGACAAAGTCCTCTACACTCTTCCCTCTCTTCTCCTCAAGCACAGGGAAGGGGACTCTTTTGGAGTTGCAAGTTTTACAGCCTGGAGTTACAGGGGAATGTGAGAACTCCCTTTGCCACCCCAGCTGGTGTCTCAGCAGGTCACATGCTCCCCTAGTCCACTGACTGTGGGCCCAGTTCAGCACCAGGACTCACCTAGGAGTTGCAGTCCTTGTGGCCTAGACTGCCTTTCAAGTTTATTTAGCGTCCTATAGTACTTTAGCCCACGGTGGTGAGGCTTGTGGGAACTCAACTTTTGACCACCGGGATCAGCGATTCCTCTCTGGCTAGGGCTGGTTTAAATGATCCTTCTTTGGGTGGATGTCAAATGGTTTTGGTATAGTTTTGCTTTCCATTAAAACAGGGCAACACTGAGTTCAATGCCTCACAATTACTGTGCTCTCCCTCTCCTCAGAACACAGAAGCATTCTCTATACCACACCTCCACTTGTGGGGCAAAGAGTAGTGGTAATGTCAGTGATTCAAGACTATCTTTCTTCTTTATTCAGTGCCTTTCAGTGATATGAAGTCAAAACCAGGTACTGTGAGTATTCGCCTGATTTTTGGTTCTTATGAAGGTGCTTTTGTGTGTGTGTAGATAGTTGTTAAATTGGTGTCCTGGCAGGGGAGATGATTAGTGAAGCCTCTATTTCACCATCTTGTTCCACCCCCTCCCTATTTAACCTTTAACTTGGATTTTTTAAAGGCCAAATATTTAATTATTTAATATTAATAAGTTGTAATATTTTTAAACTATGTAAAATCTAGCAACATCTATAATATCTAAAAATCAAATTTATCAATTGATGTTATTTTTCACCTCTAATGGCTCATCTAACACCTGCATTCTCTCAAGCCTGCATTCTCTCAAGCCTACTACTGATGTCACATAGCTCTCACTTGTCACATCAAACATCTTCACATTCATGGGGATTCATCTCTGAGCTAAGAGGCTCAATTTTGGTAAGTTTTATCACTGGTTCCTCTCTCTGGCCTTTTCTCTTCAGTTCCCATCCCACCTGCACTGCCTTTAACAGGCAATGTGCCACACAGTATTCCAGGATATGCCTCTGAATCATGGCACCTGTGGTTAGATCTCAGAGTTGGCATCAGATATGCCAGATACAATACTTCGTTGCAATCCCCATGTCCACTGTTGACCCTTTTGAACTCACTCATGCTGGGCCTTTTTGGAATGTTGCTTAGATATAAGCTATCAAGAGCTCATCTGTAGACAGCCTGGCATCCCTCACATGTCTGACTGGATTGTGTACACAGCCTACCTGGTCTGGCTAAACTCACAACCTCCAGAGCCCAAGCAGTGACATCCACTGCCTCAGGCAAACATCATCATGTCACTTCAAATAGAGAACAATTTCTGAATCTGAAGTACATGACATTTCAAAGCTGGCATTGTTCTGCAAATATACTTCACAATAAAGCAAAAGGACATTGTGAAAGGGAAAGGCAATTTTCTCCAACCAAAGGGAAAAGTAACTTCTCACTGATAAAATTGCTGACATCTAAAACTATTAATGCAAAAAAAAAAAAAAGAATTAAAGTCAGAGTAGAAGAATGAGGGTTTAGTCCTTATTCTGCCCCTTGCCAGCCATGAAATGTCAGGCAATCATTTAACCTCACTGAGTCTCAGTTTCATTATGTGCCTAAGAAGTCAGCTGGGAGAATTTTTGAATAAGATAATATATGTGAAAATATAGGTATAAAAGTTAATGTGTCAAATTAGTGTAAAGTATTACACATTAACACAATTATTGTTAGACCTCTCAGGAAAGAAAATTCATGATTTGCAAAATTTGCTCTAAGAATTTGAAAAGTTGGCCACTTATTAAACAAATTCTTACATTTACTGCGCATTTAAAATTAGAATAACATTTAGCCAAAAATACGCATTTCTTCCCTCTATATCTTCAAACCATCCCCAGCTTAAGGTGTGAAATATCAGGGTTAGAATAGGCAATAGAAGAGATACTCTGACCATAATTCATGCACATTTTAGAATGAAATGATTAGGAGGGACAGGTGATTTGATCCAGTAACCCAGGTTAACCTTGAATTTTAAATCTCCTCTGCAATGTCAAAGTTGTCATTTAGTCTGAACTTGACCATAGTTAACAGGTAATTCATTACCTCCACAAGGGATACTCTATGTTTTCCTTAATTTGAGATGAACTATAATAAAAAGTTGTTCCGATGTATATGAGTGGGTGGTAAGAGAGGAGGGATGGAGAAATATCTGGCCAAGAAAATCAGTAATAACATATACTTTTAAGTTATATGGATGTGTTAATGAAAAGAAGCCCAAATGGGTATTGTAGAGACTGAGAAAAGCGATGCTATGATGGCATCATACAGGTGATGCATAATTTCGTGTAGCAGTTCAACAATGTGCTACGAAGGGGATACTTAACCCTGAAGTGTGTGTATTGTGTTTTTTCTAATGTCATAGCATAAATTAACATTTTTAAAAAGCCACTCTAAGTCCTCAAGTTAATTTGTTTCCAATGTCTCCTTTTCCCCAACTTCAACATCTTACAATTTCAAATATTCCTTTTGCGATATATTTTTTTAATTTATTTTGCAATTTCAGCCACTATTCTTTGGGAACACTTCAGATTATCTCTGTCACTTAAATTGTGGTGTTCAGCATGTAACAAAACACTTCAAGATTAATATAACTAGTAAATACTTTGATTTTCCACCTTAGGTAGCCAAACATTTTTGTTAATGCAGCCTAGGGTTGTATTAAGTGCCTGTTTGTGTCTACACCACACTTTTAACTCATTTCTTTCTGGCAATTAAAACTCAGTCTTTCTCACATATCATTTTTATATATCCTGTATACAGTAGTTGGTCATTTGAGTGTTGAGATATGTATTCAGGGCCTTAAATGCATTCTTGATGATATTTCACTTTGTCAGATATCGTCCTATCTTTGAACAGCACAGATGCTGGGGTTTAAAGAGAAGGAAAGGAGTGCAAGTGTGGCCATGCTCCATTGGTCATTTAATAGCTGTTCTTTTTCTTCTATCTTATTCTATTCACAAGTTTCATGACTTGGAATTTTATACCCATATCCAAGTAGTTAGCAATTATAGCTACATTTTTGAGCATTTACCACATACTAGTGCTTTGTTAACTGCTTTACCTGATTTGTCCCACTAATTGTATTAGGTAGATATATTTATTTACTATAGCCATTTTAAAGATGAGGAAACTGAGACAGATTCAGTACCTTGCCCAAAGTCATACTCTAATAAGTGGTAGAAGGATTTGAGCCCAAATAGTCTGAGACCAGCACTCTAATCATGGCAACTATATTATACCATGTTGCCTTTGTCAGTCATTAGAAAATAAACAAAATGGCCAGGCGTGGTGACTCACGCCTGTAATCCCAACACTTTGGGAGGCCTGTAACCCCAGAACTTTGGGATCACAAGATCAGGATTTCGAGACCAGCTTGGCCAACTTAGTGAAACCCCGTCTCTACTAAAAATACAAAAAATTAGCCAGACATGCTGGCGGGCACCTGTAATCCTGGCTACTCGGGAGGCTGAGGCAGGAGAATCACTTGAACCCAGGAGGCAGAGGTTGCAGTGAGCCAAGATTGTGCCACTGCACTCCAGCCTGGGTGACACAGTGAGACTCCATCTCAAAAAAATAAATAAATAAAATAAAATAAAGAAAATAAGATTAAGGACAGAGTCCTAAGGAATACCTTTATGGAAACTGCCCAACGACACTGATGTACTAATTATCTCTAGGTATTGTTTTTCACTCACTCACCTAATATCACTAACACTTAGCTAATCAGCCACCATCTTAACCCAAAGCTATCTTGAAATATTTGGTCAATGCCTTGCTTTTGCCTAAATACACTGTTTAGTGCATTCCTCTGATCTAATGATCTAATAACCCCATCAGAGAAGGAAAGTTGATTCCTTTCATGTTTTTTCTTAGTAAACACATACCAGCCCTAGGAATTATTGCCTCCATTGCTAGCTGCTCACTAACCATTTCTTTCATCATTAATTTAAAAATATTATCTAAAGTAACTTATTTTCCAAGACTACACTTTATGGGAAACTTGTTATTCCTTAAGAAAAATTAAGGAGAATTCACCTGTCTTCATTCTTCCAATATTGCTCTCATTCTTCACAATGAAGAATTTTGAAGAAAAGATCAAAAGGTCTAACCAGTCTGTCTCAATTTTTTTGTGTGTGTGTGCTTTAGAGCGCTAAGTGCTGGGGCATGTGGCTAATTTTGTGTCAGCAGTACATAAATTGTCTTTTGAAGTGATAAATATATGGCAATAAAAACTATAGAGTTAATGTTTATAAAATAATGAAAAGTAAATTGTTCCTCCATCTGAAGTAAATTGACGAAATGCCTTTCTATAAAACCTGTGCTTGAAAGTAAGTGCTTATGGCACATTCCAACTATTGATTTCTGTAAGTTAATAATTTCTAGCAGTGGTATGCCATCCTTAGATGGCTGGTAAAACATCTGTCAACCTGTGTCATGTTTTAAAAAGTCAGTCAGTAGGTCAATAAAATTTGTGAATGTCTTTGGTGTGCAGACCATTCTAGAGGGTACAGTGGGGAAACATAAAATAAATAAATGTATGAATTCATTCAGAGACCAGTGAATCTCAATGACAGTTCTCTACTGCAGGAAAATAGAAAGTAAAATTTAGGGCAATTTAATGCCCCTTTTGGAACAGATACAAAGTTTTCCTGAAATGGCAAGTTATTTTAAATCTATATATTTGCATTCTATATTTAGGGATATTTAATTCTAGATCCCTGCTAATGGAAAAAACATGTTTTTTAAAATGTTGGATTTTATGGTAGTGATATATCCCATACCTGATGAGCTTTAAGCTCCCTCTTCAGGCATGAGGGTGTTTATTAGATAACCCAAGGAGTAGCAAGATGTCCATGAAATCTTAGAATGAAGTAGACCTTACCCTTCCAGTCATCCCAGAAGAGTAGAGTAGGTAGGTTACCCAGTACAATACTTGAGGTACTCAGCTCAGAAGCAGAGGCAGGGAGAGGAAGAGAGGCCACTCCTAAAGCAACATTTGGTAGCAGGATCCTAAGAATGCAAGGAATCATGGTCACTGTTATTTAAAGGCAATCCCTAGTAAACACAGTATCCCTCCACAGACAGATGTAAAAAAGAACTGTGAAACTGCAGCCTTTGAACAATGTAAGGAAGGAGATCAAGATCTGAATACAGCAGCCCATTCTCTGAACCAGACCTGAATGAGTGGTCTGAGTTAAATTATTCTCAACGTAACAAACTATTCTCTGAATGGAATCTTGAGAAGAAAAAATTGGATGTGAGTCATTGGAATCCAGTTTGTAAAGTTTTTAACATAGCTTCTGGTTGTTTTCATGTTTTTAAAAAATCCTTCAGATGTAGAACAAGAAAACATGAATCAGGTGGCTACAACTATTACTATAGTGCTCTGGGTCCTAATAGAATATTGCTGGCTTAAGGTAACTTTTTTCTCTCTTTGTGGAGATTACAGGCCCAAAGACACCAAGATAGAATATAAACACCAGGGGTATTCTAACTTTTGCACTTCATATGCATACCTTTTAGTAGAACCTCCATAGTACTAAATGAATTAATAAGTGAATGAACAGATAATTAGACATAAGTATTTTCATACTCTAACTCAGCTTTTACATTACCTCTACCAAGGGAACTTGTTAAAAATGCATTAGACCCCAGATCTAGACCTAGCAAAACAGGATTTCCAAGTAACAGCCCAGGAATCCACATTTGAATCAGGTTTTTCAAATGGCTCTCACATACACTGAAGTTTAAAAAAAAAAAACAAAAAACTTCAGAAAAAGCAAATATGAGATCCTAGGCAAATAATTCTCTGGATTCAAACTAAGTTCTGCTATGTACTTGCCCTGTGACCTTGGGCAAGTCTTACTACCTCTCTAAGCCTCAGCTCTCTCATCCACAAAGCAATGTGCAGAGTGGTAAAATCATGAGGGTGCTGTGAAGATCGCATTAGATCATGTGCATGAAGCACACAGAACCATGCCTGCCACCTGCTTAGTGCAAAGGAAATAAGAGCATTATAATTAGCAAATGCCACATAGAGTTAATGACAGAGGAGAGAATATTTTGACACTTTTTTTCCCATCAAGAAATGATAATCACCAATCGCAACCATTAACAGTTAAACATTGTTATTATTAAATACTAACTATGTGCTAAACAGAGGCCAGAATAGGTACTTTACATGGGATAATATATTTGCAATGAATTTAGCATTGTATCTCTTGCATAGAGAAGAAAACTGTAGCTCAACATGTAACATGTTGTAAACTCCTCAAATCTTCATAGGTGGAGAATGCCAGAGTTCTCCTTTACACTCAGTTCTGAGGCTGTAAGCCAATGACCTGCCTCTGAATCCCAAACCTTTGCTGTGTAATAAGTATCCTAGTTTTAAAAATACATTATATTTTTTTCATGTGAAGAATAAAAGGGATTTTTCCCTTAAAACTCTCAAGGGTGAGATTTTTGAGTGTGACAACCAATTTTAAAATGGGTACTTCTTATCTTTTAACACTCTTATTTATAGTCAGGGAGAACATCTTGAACAGGAAGCTCACTATCAATGCTGTCTTGATTAAGATCTTATAAAGACTATTCAAGATAAAAGACTTGTTAGCAACTGAAATTTATTACCTGGGAATTTCCTTTACAGGCTATTTTTCATAAACAAGATCATCAGGCCAATATGCCGGTCAATAATACTTACTGAGCATCTGTTAAATGGCAGTGTCTGGGAAGACATGTCTGTTCAGTATTTTGTAGTTAGATTTCACAGTCCTGTTGATCCAGTAAAAAGCTTTTCTCACTTAATAACATAGCATTTGTTTACAAAACTCTCTTTATTTCAAGTCCAGTAGTCTGCACTTTCTATGATTACTTTTGTTTCTTCTCTTTTCATCCATAAGGCAGTAAGCGACTCCCAATTTGCAATCTTCCAGTTTTCTGTCATGTTAGTATTCGTAACTTTTCTTTATTACTTTGAATTTTTAAAATTTGTTTTTGTTGGTTTAGGGTTCAAAATATTTAAATAATAAAAAGAAATCGATACTCTTGGTGGACAAATGAAGGCTACCAATCTAAACAAGTGGCTTCTTCATACATCAGTCCTCTCCAGGATAAGAGAATCACTTCATGCAATTTCAGATTTGAATCACTCTATATGTATTTTAGGGCTCTTGATAGTATACCCAGTTTCCAGTTCTTTGTCTTAAAAATTCTGGTTGAATGATTTCTTGGGAAAAGAGAGTTCTATTTTGTTTCTCCCATTAGCTTAATTGGTTCCAAGAAAAATACTGAATATGTAATAGGGTTGGAATTAGCTGGAATGTGTGAGTTGGCATCAAGGACATCACTCAACAATGGGGTCCCCAGGTGGGAACATCATTAGCAAGCAGCATGACTTCCCTATGACATAAGTTGACTGAAGATGGCACAGAAAGGGTTCAGAATGAACGCTGGTGCTGCTTCCCTTTGTGACATCTCCTTTACCCAGCTTTTCTTGCTGGGCACAATGCAGTAGTCAGAGCCTTTCTCATTGAAGACACAGTTTAAGAATGGAGCTAAGCATGCTGCCTGACGGACCTGCTGTTCTGGAGCCTCAAGGTTTCCTTTTAGCTTTCAATTTCTTTCCTATTAGATGTGAATGCTGAAGCAACAACTCAGGAGCTATGGCTCTCATTAGAATGTGCCAAAGAGCAGCAGTAAAAAAAAGAGCTTTCATTTGAACTTCCAACCTGACAAATCTAATTTGCAAAACAAGTGAACCTAAGGGATGCAGAGCCTCACTGGTCAGAATGCATGTTCCACCCGAGTCATTATTTCAGGTTACAGCCTGACAGCCCGTGAAAGCCTTAACAAGGCAAACTAACCTTTAGTAATCAGTTTATATTCTGAAAGTACCTCTGCTAAAGTGGTTTGCTCTGGAAGAATAACACATGATTTTATGTTTTACTAATTCAAAATTTCATCCATTCATGCTACACATATTTATTGAGAACCTACATTATATCAGGCAGAGCTGTATGAAGCATTGTAGGGCAAAGGTAGGGCAAACCTCATGGTGATAGATGACCATAAACCTGCCCTCAGAATTGACACATTTCATGGGAAAGACAAATCACCTACGCTACAAGTTACAACAGCAAAATATGATGACTTTTACAACAGGAAAGTGTAGGAGACCATGAGTGTATACTGGAGGGATCTCATTGTAGCATCAGGGATGACTTCCTGGAGAAACTGATATTTGAACTGATCTCTGTGAGGTAAGTAGAGGTTACCCAACATGTTAGACCCTCTTCTGCATCATTTCAGATGCTCTCAGCCTCACCCTGCTCTTGTTTCAGCTGCCACAATATTAACCAGCTCTTGGTGGGTTCTGACCAACTTCATACAGTCACAACTTTAAACCTTGCATGTCTCTCACCTCCCACCCTGGGGCTGCCCTGCTCATCCCTCAGAACTCACTCGGTGACCACATGTGTACCACCTGAAGTGGGGGGATTCAGTAGCACATGGATTGAACCTTTGACCAGTGAGAGAGGAGGGACTGATAAAGTCATCATTTACATTATAATAGAAACCATGGTGAAGGAAGAGAAAGACCCTCTCATATTATTTTATATTGTTTTATACTCAGTACCTGTTTTAAGAAAAAACAACGAGGAAGTAAAACCAAAGACAGGCAGCCCGGCGCCAGGCCCGAAACCAGGCCTGGGCCTGCCTGGCCTAAACCCAGTAGTTAAAAATCAACTCTTAACTTAGAAACCGATGTTATTCATAGATTCCAGACATTGTATAGAAGAACATTGTGAAACTCCCTGCCCTGTTCTGTTTCTCTCTGACCACCAGTGCATGCAGCCCCTGTCACGTACCCCCTGCTTGCTCAAATCAATCATGACCCTTTCATGTGAAATATTTAGTGTTGTGAGCCCTTAAAAGGGACAGATATTGTGCACTCGGGGAGCTCGGATTTTAAGGCAGTAGCTTGCCAATGCTCCCAGCTGAATAAAGCCCTTCCTTCTACAGCTTGGTGTCTGAGAGGTTTTGTCTGAGGTTCGTCCTGCTACAATGGGAGTGTAAGTGACGTCCCAGAGACAGCACATAGAGGGGGAGAAAAGAAGAACATTCCACGTCCTCATTTGCACTGGAACCTAGCTCTCTGTGAAGTACTGTCCCTATAGTGCCATCGAGGAGAGGCCATTGGTCCCACACATCCCTGCACCTTGGGGTCCAGCAGAGATTCAGCATCATCCATGTTCCTTGTTTCCTCTTCTAGACTATTAACACTCCTACCTTTTATTAAAATTCCTGTTACTCTAAGTCTTTTTGTTGTTGTTGTTTACTATAACATGCTATAGCCCTCCTTATTGCTGTCTTCTACTCATGCCCTGGGCTTTTCCCCTCATTTACCGAAAAGTTTCCAGTTAGGTTCTCTCCAGCTATCCTCCTTCCATGCCAATTCTGATATTATCCTCAGAGACTTTAAGGCACAACACCATGACTGCTTGGTTTCTTGACAGGCACAATGAGAGGTGTTGTACCTCTCATTCCCATAAGTCTACCATGAATCTGGCTATCATCTGCAAAATTATGGATTCAAGAATTTCTCTGAAGTTTTCTATATTTCTCTCTTTCCTTAGCTACCTTTCCCCTTGAATCACATTTGCACTTTCTCTTTCTTCCTGTCATTCTGCCTACTCCTATTTTTTATTCCTTTCCTTATCCTGTTTGTATTTCATCATTTTCAATACCCTCAACTCTCTCGACCTTTTATTCTTTTCCCAAACATATCTAGTAAAAATCCAAAACCATATGAATTCAGACTGGCATCTCATGCTTGCCTGCCCTCAATACTGCTGGAGGAAACCACGAAACAGATTGTGGAGTAAAATGAAGTCACTATTAATTTGTGGTCACCAACTCACCTGAGCACTCAACACTGTCTTTAAATCTGACTACATACATCTCTTTAGGTATCATTTTTCCCATCATCCTCAGTGCCATCAAATCTCAAGTTTTCCTACCTCTCACTTTAATCTCAGCAGCAAATGATCTCTTTAGTCTCAGCAAATGATCTCTCACGCTTCCTCACAGAGAAAATATACACTGTCATATAAACTCTCTCAGCTTCCCATCATTAAACAGAACATCTGCAAGTCTTAGAGCAATCAGGTAGAAGAAAGAAATGAAAGGCATTCAAATAAGAAAAGTCAAAGTTAAACTATCTCTCTTAACCTACTATACCTAGAAAACTCTAAAGATGCTGGCAGCCAAAACACTCCTGAAACTAATAAATGACTTCAGTAAGTTTCAGGATACAAAATCAGTGTACAAAAATCAGTAGCATTTCTATATACCAATAACGTGCAAGCTGAAAGCCAAAAAGAATATCTTAAGAGCATTCGTACATAGTGATTTGAGAACAAAGGTTCTGCTCTCCTAGCTAAGACACATCCCTCCCAACATACTGTACATCCTTGCTCCTCCAACTTTTCTCAGAACTATTTTAGTCCATTCAGGCTACTATAACAAAATACCATAGACTGGGTGGCTTATAAATAACAGAAATTTCTTTCTCATCATTCTGGAGATTGAGGAGTTCAAGATCAGGGCACCATCAGATTTGGTGTCTTGTGAGAACCTGCATTCTGGCTCATAGATGGCACTTTGGAACTGTGTTCCTTACCAGGTGGAAGGGCTGAGAAGAGGTCTCACGGGGGTCTCTTTTGAGCAAAGGAGTTAAGGGCACAATCTCATTCAAGAGGATTCACTTTTGCAACATAATCGTCTGGAAAAGGCCCCTTTTTAAATACCATCACCTTTGGGGTTAACATTTCCACATATGAATTTGTGGGCAACAAACATTCACACCAGAGCAAGAATATATACTATAAATAATTCCTGTGATATCCTCTATCTGCCACCTGTACCTCTAATAAATCCTTGTCAGGAGCCTTTAAACATCCTTAAGTATTTCACATCTTTAAAACAAAACAAAACAATACCTTTCTCAAAGAATCTCCTTATTTGTCTTCTTAGAAAGGCTTAGGCTTTCTGTTTCTTCATTTCCTATTAGCTTTTAACTCACCAGCCACTAACCGAAAACCTGATGTATGCCCTGAATACTCCAAAACCCCTGTGTAAACAAACACTTCTGCTCTCTACATGGGCATGTTATCTTCAAACATGGTATTCTTTTATCTGATTGCCTTTTTCATTGTATCAATTTTCTTCTATTGTGTTTTTCACTAAATATGTGAGAAATTTTATCATGACTTTGACTTTTACTTATTTATTCCTGATCAGCAGGAAGCACAGGGTTATCCATGCCAAAAGCAAACAGGTTAAATGGATTTTTTCCAGTTGGTGTTGTTATGCCCCCATACCAGTCCCCTGCACTAGACCTTCAGGTGAAACCCTGAACAATAATGTTAGCCAATTAAAAAGGTGGCAGTTAAGTTAAAAACCACTGAGCTGAGTGACTAAGAAGAACTAGAAAAACCAATTCACCTTTGACAGAGTAGCGGCAACCAGCCTTGCCCTAGGGCAATTCAAGCCTTTATTTCCTCAGGTTTCAACAGCTCTTTATGAGGACAGATAGCTTTTACTGCTTAGTCTTTGACTTGCCAACAATTTAACATTAACTCATGACCTACCAAAAAGAAGCAATAGGAAACTTCACCTAGGTAGAAGGTCCCCTTGATAAAACAACTCAGGTCAAATATCTCTGAAACTCCCATTCTTAAGATATAATAGAGGCACTTTTTCTAGTTTCCCTTTGTCATCAGCCCACTACAATATAATGCCATATTTAATAAATAGATCTCTCACTCTGCTCTAAGGAACTGCCCCACTGGGAACACTATTCCATCTTACTTAAAATGCTACAGTCATTCCTCTTTGTTGATTCTTAACCAGGGATATATTGAGAATCTCTTGAGGAAGTTTTTAAAATATGAATGACTAGGCACTGCGTCTAAATATTTTGTTTCAGTAGGACTGGGATGAAGTCTGAGTTATATGTATTCTACAAGGTTTCCCAAGGGATTCTGCTAGAAATATTGCAAGTTTTTATTTGAGTGCTTCAACTGTGCCAGGTGCAGTGTGAAAAGCTTTTCACACATTTTCTTTTTTTCACAGAAATTTTATTTGTGGCCAGCACTGTTGATTCATTAAACAATATACTTTCTCACCCTTCTTTTTAAGCAAAGCTCTGACTTTATTCAGGTATTCATCCTCTACCATAAAGCCATGTAATAAGGTTCTTAATGATCTAACATAAAAATTGTAGTCTCTTTCTCCTGGCCAGTGATTAGTGATTGTGTACTGCCATGAGATGTTATTCTAGCCCATAGGGGTAAGGGAAGACCTGCTAGGAGACTTGAGGTAAAGGGGCCTCCATTCCTAAGAGTGAAACATATATAGGTGATTTCTTCTCCCTGGCTGTTATGTCTGCCTCTAATTCCTGCAAAAACTGCAGCTATCGTGAGGTCAAGAGTGAAGCTTGCCTGAGGTCAATGCCACCACAAAAGATGGCAGAATGGAAAGTGTGTACAGGTGTTCCTGGACTTATGATAGGGTTATGTCTCAATAAAACCATAAAAAAGTCAAAAAATTTTAAGTTGAATTATCATAAGAGTTAATCAGGGTTCTTAGTTTCAAGCAACATAAAACAATTCCAGCTAGATTAAGAACAAAGATAATTTGTTAAAACCATTTAAAATGAGGCTTGAAGGCCAGGCGCGGTGACTCATGCCTGTAATCCCAGCACTTTGGGAGGCCGAGGAGGGCAGATCACGAGGTCAGGAGTTCGAGACCAGCCTGGCCAACATGGTAAAACCCCGTCTCTACTATAAACACAAAAATTAGCCAGGGGTAGTGGCACATGCCTGTAATCTCAGCTACTCAGGAGGCTGAGGCAGGAGAACTGCTTGAAACTGGGAGGAAGAGATTGCAGTGAGCCAAGATCACACCACTGCACTCCAGCCTGGGCGACAGAGTGAGACTCTGTCTCAAAAAAAAAAAGAAAAAGAAAAAGAAAATTAGGCTTGAAGCTATACAACTAGTAACAAAATTCCAAACCACACAGCAGAACTGAAGTATGGAGTAAATTGCTGCTACTATCTCTGAGAAACTCAACCTTGCTACAGTTACCTCTGCTGCCACTTCAGGGCTGGGAACTTCATTTGCAACCACCATCCCTTTGCTTCTATCACTGATTCTGAAGAATGGCATAGTGCATCTATTTGGCAATGTCTAGGTCTTCAGTCTGTAGCCCAGCAGCAAGGAATGTTTTGAAGGCAAGTTACTAAGAATTTCAGCCTTCAGCTTTGCTACTGGTCTCTACCCCAACCAAGAACTCATCAGATGCTAAATTCCTCAAAACATAGCCAGGGGTTTCAGATGCTGAGAAGTCAGAAATAATGATGAATACCCACTACAAGTGAGAAGAAGCTGAGTCTTAGGAGATGTTTTTAAATCAACAGAAGAAAATTCATTATACTCTACTATTTTTATATATGATCAAAATGTTATTTAATGTAAGTGAATAAATTCATTCAAAATTGAAAACTAACCAATTGTTAATCCCATTCTCAGGTGTGTTTGTTTTCTATTGTTGCTGTAACAAATTACCTGAAAGTAGTGGTTTTAAACAACACAGATTTATTATCTACAGTTCTGGAGGTCAGTTCTAAAACTAAGTTACTGGCATTCCTCCTGCAGGCTCTAAGGGACATTTCATTGCCTTGCCTCTTCCAGCTTCTAGAGGCTTGCCTGCACGACTTGGCTCATGGCCCCTTCCAGCAATGGCATTGCTCTGTCCTCTGCATCTATTGTTCCATCTCCTTCTCAAACTCTCACCCTCCAGCCTTCCCCTTATCAAACTCTTGAGCTTGCATTGGGCCTATCTGGCTAATCCAGGATAATCTTTTCTTGGCAAGACTGTTAATTTAATCAATTCCACAAAGTCCTTTTTTACCATATAAGGTAAGATTCACAGGTTCTGGGGATTAGTACCCAGACATCTTTGGGGTCTATTAATCAGCCTACTATACCTGGTAATAGCACTAACTCCTTCCCATAGTACGACTCATGCAAATCAATGTCTCATTAGAGGAACCGGCTTCTCTGAGTAACAGTCATCCTTTTTTCATCTCACTTTGTCCAATAATGGTACCAGCAGGAACAGATGACACACTCAAATAGAGCAATTTGAGGAGAGCTTAGTAAAGGGACTATTTATGAAATCTGGGACCAGGTGTAAGGACTACAAGAGAAAATGCTGTGCCAAGGACTAGTACACCAGCTTGCTGTGGACTCCCTAGGCCTGCAGGTAAACTGTTATCAGAACTGAAGCAAAGACAAACAAAGCAACTGACAAGAGGTGTTCTAATATTGAGTAGTGCAGCCAGTGTCTTTGATCTAATTGGCCAAGAGAAAAGACTTCAATGTCACTTGGCTCCAGGAGATCTGGACACAGGAAAATATCTAAGACTTTAGGTTCTCTTCTCTACTGGGCATTTGCCTACTTCACACTGGCTTTTAGACTTTTCTGTCTCTTGCATGACCTGAGGCCCTTCCAGAGATCAGCAGTCTCCCAATACATCCTTGTCACCTTCCTCAATCCCAAATCACTTTCAGTTATTACCTATGGAAAAAACCATTAATGAAACTTTCAAAAACAGGTAGATATTAGGCCTGATAATTTGGATGTGGTAAATGTATCACATAATATTATTCAAAGCCTATAGCTGATAATATAATTTTGGCTTATCTACAAACCAAAGAAATTTAGAGCCAGAAGAAAACTAAGACATCATGCTATCTAATGCATTATTTTAGACCTAAATAATTAGAGACCCAAGAGTATATGGTTATTTGGTACACAACCCATGCTTCCTGCCACTCTGTCCTTGCCCTGTCCCACTTCTCTCAGCATCTTTGTATTTTGTTACTGGATTAAACTGAAGGTTGAAAAAGGTATGGAATATAAGGCCAAGAGAAAAATCACTGGCAAAGCCACAGTTCCTGACATCAATAGATAACAAGCAGAAGGCAACATTTTACTCACTGCAATATCCATGATGATAACTCAAAGAGAACAGTGAACGTTTATGCTCATCACTGAATTGCTATTTTGACATCATTTGTACCTTGCAAAACTATCCTTAGGAGACATGCAAAATGTAATGTCAGTCCTCTTGGGTGTTTATTTAAAAATCATATATATCTTCTATTCAGAAGCCCTACTATGTAAATATAAACGCACAATGGAATATTATTTGGCCACTAAATGGAAGGAAATTCTGACATAAGCTACAAAATGGATGAATCTTGAGGACATTATGATAAGTCAAATAAGCCACTCACAAAAAGACAAATATTAAATGATTATACTTATAAGAGGTAGAGTAGTCAAAATCATAGATAATGGGATAGTGTTTGCCAGGGGGTGGGGCAAGGGGAAATTAGTTATTGTTTAATAGGTATAGCATTCAGTTTTACAAAACGAAAAGCATTATTACAGACACAGATGGTAGTGATGGTTGCTCAACAATATAAATGTATTTAATACCACTAAACTGCATACTTTAAAACGGTTAATATGATAAATTTTATGTTATTTGTATATTAACACAATTTTTAAAATTGGGAAAAAAGTAATTCATCTAGAAGTTTATGAACTTGTTATGAATTTATAAATTTGTGTGTGAACTCAATGACAGGAAATGTGCTCAAGAAATGTAAACTCTTGTAAAAAGTAACCATTTTTTCTTAACTATAGATTCAGTAATCATATAATACTTTATCTTAAATTGTGATTAGTAACAAGTAGCAGGCACATCACAGCAGTTTCAAAATTCATTAGATATAAGAAAAAGAGATGTTAACCTCCTCTCTACTATTTTCTAATTACACCATATTCCAGGCCATTTCCTCATCATCCTTTTGATCTTTTCCTGGAAGTTAGCCTTTCCCACTATAATAGGACAAATAAATTTAGATACTTACTGGTTAAAAAGCATGTGCTATAGTCATATTATTTAGAGAGACAGTTTGCTGACAATAGAAGCAATTTTGAAGACATCTAAATTCAGTGGTTCTCAACCCAATCAGACTAAATACTTATTTTTATATCAAATATTTAGAAATTACCCCTTTATTATCCCAAAATTTAAATTCAAAGATAATATAACCAACCTGCACACAATATCAAATAGGTATGTATAATTCCATAATGTAATGAAAAGGAGAATGACAAATCAACTTTAAGTAAAATAATATGTATCCAAAAGTGTAGATGCTTGTGTACAACTATACTGGGAAATATAACAAAGTAGTCAGACTTAAGCTCTGCATAAATTACCATAACTGCCACTGCTACAAATGCAGACTGCACAAGAGTATTAGCTATTCGAATTCCATGAGGAGTACACTGTTGGAACATCATTTCCTGGATGGTGAACAACTCTTTGAGAGTCCCAAAGAAAACAAATTAAAATTTTCTCCCAAGATACACATATGGAATCCTGTAAAATATAACATCTGTTAAATTTTGTACCTGATTTCTTAATGTGATACAGAAAATACTTTGTTGGATATGTGAAAGGAGTTAGATCCTATGCTCAGAAAATTACAAACAGGTTTTGTTTTGCCTATATAAATGTTCACTGGGATAGTCAAATGTCATGTCAGATAAAGGACAATTTTTGGTTGTGCAGGACCCATTTTAAGACGTTAGGCATTTCTGTTTCCACCCTATAAATGTGAGTTGAGTTTCCCCAATCATTTTGACAGTTGAAAACATCCACACAGATTTCTAAAATGTCCCAGAGACATTAAAACTTTTAATATAGACTAGCCCTCACTTAACAGACAAGGAACTTGAGGCTCAGAGAGTTTGCACTTTCCCATGGTTACAAAGCTAGTTGAAAGCACAGACTAATGTAAGAATGACAGAAGTCTCCTCTTACTGTGCTGTGCCACATCTCTTCCATCCTTCAGTACTTGGTATTCAATATGCAAATTAGAATGCCCATGCTCCATCAGCGCTAAATAACAAAAACTGCTGCTTCTCTCAAAAACTTTGTTTATCTTCTCCCTTGAGATCCATTAGCTGTAAGCGCTAAATGCATTCTTTCTAGCATTCCCTGTGAATCAGCTTTTGGCCCACTCTCCTATTACTTCCCGCCTATGTTAGCCCCAAGTCAAGTCTGATAAAATACTCAGGGATTCTCACCTAAAACTAAAAATAAGTTAGGATTATTTTAAACCAATTATCTGTAAGCACTCTATATGGCCTTTTCTTTACGAGGGAAAAGCAGGTCAAGATCTATCAAGGTTTCGGTTGACATTCTCTGAACACGATGGTTTTATGTTCTTTCATCCCACAATGCAAAATTAATTCTAAATCTGGCAGAAAGTTGAAAAGAAAGGAGAGTGTAGGAGGAGCTATGAGGATTGCCTCAGAGCTGACAATAACCCAAGTTAACATATCACTTCTGCCATAGACATGAATGTGATTTTTAGCACACAGCCATCCGAGCCACTCTTAGTACCTACTGTAAGAAATGCAATGTGTAAGACCATAATGTTTTTGATATTGTAATTGTTTTTGATATTTGTAATTAGTTATCCAACTAACCTCATATTGATGGAAATGTTTATCAAAGAAGTGCATGCTTTTCTTACATCACATACCTTTTACAAATGTTCTATCGTTGGGTGAGAGAAAGCTATGTGTATATCTGTTTCTTTCTATGACTTTTTGGTATTAAATTACAGTTCTTTATGCATAAAGAAATCAATTCTGGTGAAATTCTTTGCATTGACAGAATCCCTAAACAACCTGTCAAAATGAAAACGGCTTTTATCTCCAGTGATTCTGTAGACTCCCTCAGATAAGTTAGACACAAATCCTGTCCTACATAAAGGATGATTAAAAATATCTAATTTAAGGTTCATTAAGTTATTCCTGAAATAATGTCTCATCATATGAAATGTAATACATTTCTCAGAGAAAGTCTGGCTATATTTAAAGCCCATCAAAGTTATGACTTCTTAGGTATTCCAGTTAGATGACTCTTAATCAAAAGTCAATTCCAATTTTAAGAAGGATTAATATTCAGTGAAAAGATTCAACAGGCATTCTATTCAACAAAGAATAAGTGCTTCAGAGGTATTAGAGAATGAGAAATTAGATGATTAATTTCCTTTAAGATATAGACTTTTGAACTAAACAATGAACAAAACACTAGATTCTATCTTTTGAACTAGAGAGTATGTTTATATATTTATCAATCTTAAAATTAGGAGAAAATATTTTTGTGAGACACATAACAAATCCTTTTCTTTCTCCTTCCTTTTTTATTTTGTTTCATATGTCTTCTACTACTACTACAACTACCACTACTGTACAATACACATACAACCTAAAACAAGCATAGCATAAGCCCAACCCAACTCTATCTCTAAAACAAATGTTCCTCAAGCATTTTCCTACTGGATGGAAGAAATATCTAAGAATTCAAGAAAGATATACTTGGCTATATACAGTATTCAAGAGCTATGTGCTACGCATTGGGAATAACAAAATATGTCATATATAATTCTTCCCCTAGCAAAATTCAATAATAACCAAAATTATAATGGATGAAGACACACCCTAAGGTAGGTCACTGACTTATTTTCATTGGGTGATTTCACCTCAGTCATAGCCACCTCCACCTAGGCCTCCGGCAGGCACACATCAACCTGATCCCCACCGTGGGCTTTCTCCCATATCCAGATCCAATCCACCACGACAGCAGCTTTCCAGTCACCAGCTGTAAAGCCTGCACATACAAGCTCCCTTCTTCCTCCTGCTCTCCCTCCTGCTAGGGATTAGAAAGGAAAATGAGACACAGCCCCAGCCCACACGAACCTCTAACACTGTAGAGGAGAGTTTCACCTACTGAGTGGCATTTATAATTTAGTTACCATGGGTATTATGGAAGAAGTGAGAAAAACTGGAAGCAAAAACAACTTTAAACTAGTAGAAGCCCTTATCCCTATTTCTGACTAGCTTTTTAAAAAGTATTTAATATATTTTTTAAACTGACAATATAAACCTCACCAAATTTTCATTATGATCATCTGCAATTAATGTTTTCCATGGTTTACTGTGAACACATACAGTACCATCCATGGTACTCTTCTTTTTTTTGAGACGGAGTCTTGCTCTGTCGCCCAGGCTGGAGTGCAGTGGCGGGATCTCGGCTCACTGCAACCACCGCCTCCCGGGTTCACGCCATTCTCCTGCCTCAGCCTCCCAAGTAGCTGGGACTACAGGTGCCCGCCACCACGCCCGGCTAATTTTTTGTATTTTTATTAGAGATGGGGTTTCACCGTGTTAGCCAGGATGGTCTCGATCTCCTGACCTCGTGATCCGCCCGCCTCGGCCTCCCAAAGTGCTGGGATTACAGGAGTGAGCCACCGCGCCCGGCCCCCATGGTACTCTTTAACCAACAACACTATTGGTTAAAAGTCCCGGGAACAGCTCTCCTCCTAACTTCTGGCTTGTCTGCAGTGCTCAAGATAACAAATGTCTTACCTTTCTCTACTGAAAAAAATCTCACTGTCCCAATGTCCTTCTCCAGAGTGTCTTTCCACCTTTCATGAAGTCCAGGGGGCACCATAATATGATGCTCTTGTCCAAAGGTTGATCTCTTAATTATTACTTGACTCTCTAATGGATCATCCAGCAGGGTTCTTTATGTATCATGCTTGGGGATATTCTGCTAATAAAATGCACCCTCTTGTAAAATATCAGAAATAAAAAACTCAACCACTAATTTTATTAATTAGCCATGCTTACAAAATTGTGCTGCGGTACATACAAACTATGAAATTCCAAACTCAGCTGATTAGGAAGAAACTATTCTTTAAAACAAAAGGAAGAAGTAAAAATGAAATACTCACAAAGCAGTATTTAGAACAGAAAGTACTATTTGTGGCCCAGCGTGGTGGCTCACGCCTATAATCCCAGCACTTTGGGAGGCCAAGGCGGGTGGATCACTTGAAGTCAGGAGTTCGAGACCATCCTGGCCAACATGGTGAAACCCCATCTCTACTAAAAATACAAAAATTAGCCAGGCATGGTGGTGCATGTCCACAGTCCCAGCTACTGAGGAGGCTGATGCAGGAGAATCACTTGAACCTGGGAGATGGAGGTTGCAGTGAGCTGAGATCGTGCCACTGCACTCCAGCCTGGTGACAGAGCAAGACTCTGCCTCAAGAAAAAAAAAAAAAAAAAAAAGGACAATTTGCTTAACTAGAAAATAGATATCACTTGTAATCATGAAAGTATATATATATATATATATATATTTTAAACTAATAAAGTACAACATTTATCCTGGAAAGTGTTTTTAAGTATACTGCTAAACTGCATTGGGCTGTTAAATAAGCACTTGTATACTGACTGTGTTAAGTAACTCTAACAGTGTAAAATCAGT
Organism: Homo sapiens; assembly: GCF_000001405.40. Classification (NCBI taxonomy): domain Eukaryota; kingdom Metazoa; phylum Chordata; class Mammalia; order Primates; family Hominidae; genus Homo; species Homo sapiens. The sequence continues at coordinate 39,865,033 of NC_000014.9, read as the reverse complement.
TAATGAAGCTTAAAAAAAATTGACGTGGGAATACCACAAAAAGGCAAAGAAAACAAGCTGTTTTTCATCTACTTAAACAATTCAGTGACTGCGCTTGATTGCCAAGTCAAAGTTACTACAGCATTTCCCTGGAACCTGATTAGCCTGGAGCTTATTTGGTAAAAACATGGAATTTCTTTTCATTGTTGCTATTAAAACTTTATAAAACAGCTAATAATAGAAACTCCACTCTGCATTCAATGAAAAGAATGATCTTGGTTTACCAAAATAAAATAAAAATTAGGAGAAATAGATACCCACTTGATCTTCTTAGGTGAACACCAGCAGATTACATTAATACTATTCCAGGTACCCGTGTGTTCCACAGCTCTAAAGTCAGAAATCTGCATATGGCAACATTTTTATTCTAAGGTTTGTTTATTTGTCCTTTTCACCTGCCCACCTTACAACCCTAAGATGAGAAATCATCTACTCATAGCCACTTTTAATTCTAAGATTTATTTGCTTGTTTGGTAACCTTCCCAACTCATACACTAACTCTTTACTTTATTGGCTCTCTTAAATTCTGTCAGTGTTCTATCATTTCTTTCCTAGGAGTTGAGAACTACACAAAGAAAATTATATTAGCCAGCAATATGTCTGAGCAATTTTCCATAAGAAAACATTCAAAAACTATGTATCATAGATTCATAAAATCTCAGGAATAGAAGGAACTTTAAATCTTATTTAATCCAGCTACCCTACTAGTCCCAAGCATATAACCTTAAAACACCTGCAATGACATTAGTTGATTACTTCTCAACCACAGCCCATTCAATTTTTAGCTGATTCTGACTATCAGGACAAAAACGCTATTTCCAAATCTTCTACCCAATGATCAGTTATATATCTTGGAACCTTCCCCACCCAAGAAAAATAATCAGCTTATTCCTTCTCATCAGGCCTTCAAATATTTGAAGATAGCAATTTTATCTATAGTTAGTATTCTCTCCATTATGCTAAGAATGTCCAGTTAATTCCTTATTTTCTTATATGACATGACTTTAAGTGCTTCCATCAAAACACCCACCTTTTTAGGAACCACATAAGATTTAGAATCCGGACTGGGTCAAGGAGAAGTAACCTACCTGAGGTGGCTATACATAAGGCCTTTTAGAGCCAAATCCTTGAAGAAAAACTAAGAATCTAAGCCCATGACAACCAATACTAGTAACTGTAGAATAGCAGGAATGTGATTAACAACAAGAATCAGAGCACAGAGTGTATGGCCAGGCAGACACAGGAGCAGACTGGAGACACCCAGGAGGATGATCTGGAATGCACGTGACTGGTGGTGTTCATCTTTATCAACTAATTGCTCTGTGGGCATGTGAAGGGCTAGCTCAAAAGCTACACATAACAACAGCTACACATCCCAGGGCCTCCCTATATGGTTCAAAAGGTCCCTTTCACAACCAATTGCCCAATATCCCAAAGGTGACAAATATATATATAATTATCTGGTCTGCAATAGGACATGAAACCTGATAATACATGAGTAAGCAAAACAAGTCATTTAGAAGATGAATCTTAGGCTACAGATTATCTTCCACAACAATGTAAAAATTGTAAAGTTTTAAACAAAAATAAAACCCCGAAACAAACATAAAGTAGAATATGTCCCATGGAGAGAACCAATACATCACCAGACTGTGCCATAACAACTTAAGTTGTAATAGCCAAAAACTAGAAACAATCTGCATGACCATAAACAGTAAATGAACTGACAAATTGTGCTATAACCATGCAATGTAATACTATTCAGCAAAAAGGGGGGAGGTGAATTATTGATACACAAAACAACATGGTTGAATCTCAAAAATATTATAGTTAGCAAAAGAAGGTATATATAAAAGAGTACATATTGTATGTTTCCAATTGTAAGAAATTTCAGAAAAGGCTAATCTATCGTGACAGAAAGTAGATCAATGGTTGTCTAGGGCTAGGGATGCGGTGATGAATTAACCTCATGGGGGCATGAGGGAATTTCTTAGATTGATTAAAATATATATTGACTATAATGGAGTTCATGTGTGTATCCATTTGTCAAAACTCATTGAACTGTAATAAAATAGGTTCATTTTGTCATATGTTGATTTTTTAAAGTATCAGAAAATCTCAATAAAGTTAATTAAAAAAAAAAAAAAAAAAAAAGGTGGGAGGGGGTCCCTGAAGAAACTCCAGCCAGACTGCCCACTGAGGTGGAGACTTGGGAAGTTCACGCCCTTTGCAGTGGGGAGTGAGCCTGGCCCCTCCTCTCCCTGTGTGGAACCTGGGATTCAAACGGCAGGTGGGAAACGCTCTAGCAGGGACTCTGGCCTTGCATAGGATCCCTGTTTCCCTCTTTTTTCCCTTTTCACCCAATAAAACCCTGCTTTACTCACCCTTTAAACTGTCTGTGAGCCTAAATTTTCACAGTCATGGGACAGACAGGAATCCCACCTTTAGCTGAACTAAGGAAAAGTCCTGCAACAGTAATATTTGAAAACCAGTTAGACCCTTACACTTACATTAAGGATATATATAAAACGTCAAGAGTGAAAATAGTTTTTGAAAAAAAAAATTGTTTGGGCTTTTTTTTTTTTTTTTGAAATGAGTCTCGCTCTGTTGCCCAGGCTGGAGTACAATGGCGTGATCTCAGCTCACTGCAACCTCCACCTCCCAGGTTCAAGCAATTCTCCTGCCTCAGTTTCCTGAGTAGCTAGGACTATAGGCGGCACCACCACAGCTGCCTAATTTTTGTATTTTTAGTAGAGGCAGGGTTTCACCGTGTTGGCCAGGCTGGTCTCGAACTCTTGACCTCAGGTGATCCGCCCACCTCAGCTTCCCAAAGTGCTGAGATTATAGACTTGAGCCACCATGTCCAGCCAAGGATGCTGTGGACCCCAATCTTCCCAAAAAGGGAGGGAAGGTGTGTCATTCCTTACCTCAAATCTAGTGAAAAAGCTTCAATAGCACTACTCAGAAAACCTAATAACTGCTATTTCAGAGTGGGGGAGAGACTGAATTATCTGATTCAAAGTTGAGAAATCTAAGAGCAGAAACTAGCCAGCCACTTTATGGCAGAGCAAAGGTGAGACAGCAATTTGATTATTATCCTGCCCTCCTAGAACGCATCAGAACAAAGAATTCTAGAGGGTTTTCTGTGAGCCACGTGCAAGAGAGCACTAAAGTGGAGTCATTTTAGGTCTTGTCCAAGAGAGTAGGCTGGAAAGCTGAAAGGTCCTCAGCAGAAAGTAACTAGATATGAATGACTGAATTCTCAGGAGACAAGGAAGCAGGTACATGAGATGAGATGTAATAAAAGAACATCCTCCCTTTTCAAGGATACTCCAGAATAAGGGATCTCCAGAGACTGGAGAATCTCTTAAAAAAAAATTTAAAAAAAAACTGCAAATGAGTCCCACAATAGTCAGTCATACACATCCACCAAGCTCAGAGAAAATGAGGGCAGTGTTTGCAGTACCAGTGAAGGAAAAAACTTTCCTGCCCTCTCTGGTATCTCCACTACACCCTCCACCCAGCTCTAATGCCAGGAGAGTTGGAAATCATGGTTAGCAGGCGTGGAGAGAAGAACACGCGAGGTATAGAAAGGAAGAAGCAGCTGTCAATACGCTCCCTAACTGCAGGCAGACAGCCCATAGAAATTTCAGCTCAGAGACAGATGTTTTCACTTTAAATCAAGTGTGAAGTTTGACAATCCTATGGGGTTAGGCAATTTAACTTCTGGACCAGTACTATTTGTATTACCTATGAATAACCAGAAAAGTAGAGCATCTTACTGAATTTTTTAACTGTTGGAGGAAAATAAACATTCCCACCGAATGAATATTAACGAAAGAAGACAAAAGTAAAATTGCTTTCTGATTCTGTTCCACGATTGTGCCTGTTCAAAACAACAGCTGTAGCACTCATTAGTGCGGATCATGAGGGAACAGGGGCAGTCCTAGGAAGTGCCGCTGACAACAGGGTTCAGACACAGAGACACAGTGTGAAAGCCACCCCTGGATTTGGGCAGCACAGCAGCCCTGATGCCAGGAGCTTTACATACATGACCTCTGATGGTTCATTTTATGTGTCAACCTCTCTGAGCCACACGGTGCCCAAATTAAATGTTCTTTCAGAGTGTGTTTGTGAGGGTGTTTCAGTATGAGATTAGCATTTGAATCAGCGAACTCAGTAGATTATCCTCCCCAGTATGAGTGGATATCACCCAATCCATTGAGGGCCTGAATAGAACAAACGGTGAAGGAAGAAAGAATTTGCTTTATTAAAATTTATCTCCCTGAGTGAGCTGGGACATCTCATTTTATCTTATCCTGCTTTTGGACTGGGATTTGCATCATTGGCTGCCCTGGTTCTCAGGCCTTAGGACTTGGACTTAATTATACCACCAGCTTTTCTGGGTCTTCAGTTTGCAGACAGCAGACTTCTCAAACTCTTCAGCCTCCATAAACATATAAGCCAGGTCCTCATAACAAATCTCCTTTTATTCATATATATGCCTATATAGGTTTGTGTATGTATGTGTGTGTGTGTGTGTGTATATATATATATATATATATCTCACAAATATAAACACAAATGTTTGTGTGTATATACAATCTCTCCACAACTTGTGAAGAGATTAAGAGCACACAGCTACGCCCCCATTTAATCTCTCACAAAGTCAACACTAAGCACTAGGTTTCCCACTTCTCAGATGTGTGTCCTGTTACATTAGTTTAACCTGGTCATTTCTACTTTCTAAAAGTCAAAAGGCTTTTGTCTTCTCACATAAAAATTGTTCAGCAACTAATTGTTGAACAACATGATGAATGAATCAATCTAATCAAATGATGCCAAGCTCTAATGTCAACATTCAACTAACACAATGTCACCATTTTTCTACCTCCTGCGATTTTTATTCAATTTTATTTATTTTTTTATGGCTAAACCTGAGTGACTAGATATAATAGGGTCATATTTGTCAATCATTAAGCATCAGTGTTTTTGCAGATGTCATTTTTTTGTTTTTTAAGAATCTGTCCTCATTTTGCCTATCAAAAGAGAAATACTCAGCAATGTTCATTTATGCATTTAACAAAAATTTATTGATTGTCCCCTTTATACCAATGTCTCAGAACTCAGTTCTATTCATCTAACACACAGTGGCTTAAGCCAAAAGTGAAATAATTGACTCAAATGATTGAAAGATCCTTGTATAAAAAGGTTTTAGTCCTGGCTTATTGAAACCACCAGGTCCCAAGTATCTCTTTCCATCTTGCTGAGTTCTGCTTCCTCTGGATTAGGTCCATTCTCACACAGCCTCTCCACTCATGGTAGTAATGTGGCCACAGCAGTTCACTTAGCTATCTCCTTTCAAGCTTAAAATCTAGTGGCAAAAAAAAGAACCTGCTTCCCTAATAACATGCTTTTAAAGTCTTAGAATTTAGTATCTATAGATAAAGGGTTAACAGAACCATTTTCCCTGCTGCATGAGAATCTGACCTTTGTTCAACCATTTAGCTCTGCTCCTCTGGCCATCTGATAAGAGTCAAGAGTCAGGATATCACTAGATAATATTGCTTACCATAAATTGCTTACCTAAAATAGGACCCTTGATTAGTAAATTGCATCTGGACTTGGAGGAACTATAAATCAACTAAACAACTGATGGGGCTGCCATGGTTTGGACTTCCTTGAGTTCAGTGACTCTTCCAAATGACGTTTCTCACAGAGACCCTTCAAGTTAAGCCTAAAGATCTGTTACAAATGATATTGGTTATTGGAGATGATGATTTCCTCACCTGTGCAACGCAGATTATGTTTTTTTGTACCTTAGCTTTATTGCTAGGCTGGACTGCTGCAAGGACTCTTGCAAGAAATAATGTCTAATTCCATTCTACTGGAAAGCTGTGTTTTCTCTCCTATGACCTTCCTTGTACAGTGGTATCAAGGATGATGTATGGAAGTGAGCTTAAATGTTTAGTTTAGCTGTGAAGACAACTAGTCAGTGTTGCAGTGCCTATCTCTGAACCAATAACTATAACCAGGGGAAAAGAAAAGAAATGACTGATTGGAATAATCTTAGCTTCATGTTCTGCCTGTGGAAGAAGGGAATGCTGAGCTGCTTCACTGAAACTTCCGGGGCTGACAATGGGGCAGGAGTGGTTGCCTAAAACCCAATCAGAGTTCTTACCAAAAGGAAGAAGAATCAAAAGCCCAGCAACCAAAACAGCAAATATTTACTATGCAATTAACTTCTTTCCACATACTGCATCAAAGCACATGGAATTCTAATTCTTTCCTCAACCAAATGATAATTACATATGAATAAATTATTAATATACATGCGAATCATAAAAACTGCACACATTTAAATTTCAAATACAAAAAAATCTACAATAAGTTATTGGTGGTACCTATTTAGAAATGACAATCTACAACTAGACTTTGGCTTACTTATTAGGGGTTCCATGAAAGGATTCAGCAATAAATCTTCAGATGTCTGTTAAAATTTTGATTTCCTTGCAAATGGTTTAAAGTGAAATATTGAAATTAATTTGTCTAAGAGAAAGTTAAGAGTATAGACTCTAAAAGAAAAATACAGATGTGAGGCCTGCTCTCTCTAACTAGCAGTTGATTTTAGACAAAGTCATTAAATCTCGATTTCTCAATTCATTATGAGAATGATACCTACCTTACTGTATTATTTTGAGAAGTAAATAAATACATATAAAACACATGAGTGCCTGGCAAAAAGGAAACAGCACACATTTCCAAATCAACCATTATCATCATCATCATAGGAATTTTAAAATTTGATGTATACAATCCACATCTCAACTTGACATTTTTTTTTTCCTACTTGTAGTCACTTCCATAATGTGGTAAGATTTTGTGACTTTGGGGGAAAACAGGCATCAAGTAAGAGAGAAAGCTTTATTTAATCAAACTTTTAAAAATGGCTAATGTAAAGCAAGATATACAGAAATGTGATTATATACAAAGTTGATTACTTGTGCAAATATTCCTAGGCTTTGAAATTTAGGGATTTGCGGAAGGGAGTCCCCAAAATCTATACCTGGCAAACACCTAGAATCTGGCAAAACTGCTGCAAAAATGGGCCCGATGCAATAACGAACCTGTGTTACACTGACTAAGTTCCATGTCATTTCAGGAAATAACAACGCGGGGCTCATTATGTGTTACGCAGTGTCCTTGAAAAGCTCACAGTCTAGTGGGTAAAAAAGACCCATAAATAAGTAAATGCAATGCAATGTGCTAAGTGCTGTGTGAAGCCATGCACTGGGTGTTCTTTTCCCATAGCAGATGGGGTTAAAATTTGAGATACCTTTTAGTCAGATTATATTCATTCCACTGCATTTCAGGGGCTCCTCTGTGCCTGTCTGTAAGAGCACATAATCGTAAAATACCAGCCCTTCCCACTCCCTAGACAGGCCCATGTGAACATCAGTGAATTAATGTACATTAAATCATTGAGCTTTTCTAAAATAAATTGCTGTTTTAAAAAATAAATACCCAAGGGACTGTCAGTGAGATGATCACAGCATCCTGCAATCTGCTTTTATCTTTATCAAAAGAAACTGAGCACAAACACAGCATTGACATTATTTCAAAAGCATAAAGAAGATGACAACCACCCAGATACATAATAGTCCCAAAAATGCAGACCTATGCTTTATCTGATGAGAGAAAGAGAGACAGAGAGAGACAGACAGAGAGAGAGAGAGGAGAGAGAGAGAGAGAGAGAGAGAGAAAGAGAGAGAGGAGAGATGCCAGGGTGAAGACAAAAGAATTGCCTCCAAAAAATTCTGCAAGGACTTTATGTTTCTAAAAAGGAAGGAAATAGGAAATAGAGGAATACAAAAGAATTTTAAACTAGAAGTGAGTTTAAAGATTATCTAATACACTCATTTATTTTACGAAGACCTAAAGAGATTAAGCAGCTAGTCTAAATTAATAGAGGAGCCAGAAATAGAAATCAAGTCTAAAACTCTCCCCGCTATGGAATTATTTTAAGGTCTATCATCATATTGATAATAGTGTAGTACCTGCATCAGATTCTCAGCAAGTTAAATAGGCTTTTGTTTCCAAGACTAAGATCTACCATTTTTGACATTGCTTTTGTGAAAAATAATAAAAAAAAAACAACTGAACTTTCTAAATTTCAATAAAACTTGCAAACAAAAAGAAACCTCCCTAATATGCCCATTTTTCGTTTCATTCTTATGCATTAATAATACAGACTTCCTCATGTTCCTGCCAATTGATGACTTCCTCTCATTTTTGCCCTCATTTGAAACAGTATCTACTTTATTACCTTTTAATTTTTTCCTAATTTATTATCATGAATATAAATATCAGAAGCCTGATAGTGTCAGCACAAATTTGATTTTGAATGAGAACTGCCCTGAGGAAGGGATCATAAAGTAAGAATGTCAAAATGCTTATACATTGTACAATTTCAGGTTTCCCTCCTAAAACCCATCATACTCTATGCTTTCACCAATTGACATTAAACTTGACTCTTCTCTTTGAAACAAAAGTGCTTAAGTTTTTTAAATACGTGATGGTTCATCCCACTAAAAGTGCTGAAGTATTTAACTGTTGAAAAGGCACAGCTTGAAATGCATCATAAACTAAAACCATCATCGGAGTATTCACTCTCATATTTTCTTCACCTACCTTCATGGCAAAAGCTTTTGACACTTAGTAATATGTTTAGCTGTCTAATGGAAAATAACAAAATGAAAAACAGGAACAGTCATAAGTCACCTTGCAAAGTTACATCCCTGAACTTGAACTGAGATTCAGTAAAGATAACCACAATATAGATCCATCGAGTATGTAATTTTAGGTTCTGTTTTAATCTAGCTTTGAGAAAGTATTAATTGTTTTCACTTTGTAAACTTAAAATGCTTTTGGCCCATTACCCAGGTAGATGTTAGACAGAAAAGTGCCTCTTATATTTACTGCTAGCATTATAATAAACATTTTATTGTGACCATTATCTGAGGCCTATTTCAGTTTTCATTGCTGTGGTGCTTGCTACCTCTCCAAAATATTTTACAAGTAAGAAGTCTGAACTAGGGAGATGGCCTGAAGCTACTAAAATTGGAAATCATCATTTTTAATGTTTTCATCAACAAGGTCATTCGATGTTCTCCACATTTGTTAGAAAGCCTGCTAACAGGAAGAGAGAAAACAAGTAGTAGATAATCCAGAGTTACGAGTGTCAAGCAAGTATAACAGAAGGAATAGGGGCAAAGGCATTGACACTGGTGAGGAGAAAGTGGCTGGGCCTTAGCCTGACAGGGAAGGGAGTGAAGCCAGGAAGGAAAGATAGGCCAGGAAAGTAAGGTGTTTGAGGTTCAAGTCAGACTTAATTTCAAAGATTATTTAGTCTCCGTGAGGAAGAAAGAAAGGTACAATATTTGGGTCAGAGTTTGACATTTCAGAGTTTGAAGATTTTATACAAAGAGCACTTCTAGATGAGGGCAAGGTCAAGCAGAGAGTGATGAGGAGGAGGAGGAAGGTAAAACAAAAATGAAAATGAAGGGCACTGCTGTGAGCAGGTCATGGAATGTGAAGCCATGTATAGGATGAGACATCCATGGAGACAATTCTTCATGGGTGTCTCGCATTTCCACACATATGATTGTGAGCTACGTACTAACTACTCTTTATTCTGGACTATATTTTTTAGGATATTTGTATTGTGAACAGCCTTGGAAGACAGAAAGCATCTCCCTCTGGAGTAAAGGGCAAACATGCTAACTCTGCCCATTATAGAGATTCAGGCACCTTAAGTTCAGGGTTTCTCTCCTAAAATGCAAACTACTGAATTATTGAGGCACCATCCAGCCCTCTTCTCTATGAAAATTGGAAAACGGGCTCATATTCTGGTTACTGCTATTACTGTGAGAAATAAACAATATAAGCAGTTCTTTACCTCTGAATCAGGAGCCTCATAGCTTCTACCAGCATACATGAAACTATGCCAGGTTAACTTGTTGCCTTGCAAGTAGGGCACAATCTCAGACCCTTTATGTTCTTGACAGTTTTGACAGTGAGGATGGAGTGCTGGAAAATATATGGGTTTCTGCAAGAGGAAAGATGAGGACATTTAACAAAATATGAGAAAAGTCTATGAGAACTGGTAGTAAACATGTTAATCAAACGGTATGGTCTATGGATAACAAATAGTCCCCCAGTGCATTTTTTCAGTAAAGAGAGAAAAAAATGGGAAGGTGATTACAGGCCTACTACTAGAAAGTGGATTCAAAGACAAAATCAGTTGTTGCTGACTCTCCTTTGTGTAGGATGACTTCCTTGCCAATCAATCAGCCTCTGTTCTTCCCTCTTGCAACAACTAGTGTCAATATTCATCCTGGTTCCATGGGGAAACTGAATCTTTTATAATGGGCAGTGACCATGCCTGCTTACACCCTTGAAAAGATGATCTTGAACAAAGAAACATCTGTAACTAAGGAACTTTCAGAACGAAGAGCATCACTCTTAATACATGCAGAAAAGCAAGAGACACATGGAGAACTGTCTCACAACAATCTCCATACCTCATTTCTACACCACCTTGGCATCTCGTGAATTGTACCACGCATACACCATTCTCTCAGTGACTAATTCATGTTGGGACGTAATCCATTCAATTTGCCTAATATAGCATTTAATTATAGGTACTATCAATAGAACTGTAAGCAGTATTATCTCAACCATGCCCTGCTCACGGTCCCAGACACAGTCAGCTGAACAAGTCTGATAAACCACCAGATGGCTTTCTCCTTAGGTCTCTGCATTGATCTTTCTGCTTGCCTCAAGGCATTCATTCATATACAGCAGGATGTATTAGTGACTGCACAAACTCTGCCTTGGCCCACAAGGAAGAAGCCAAGTAAACTTTTATCATCCAAAACATCTCTTGTGGAAGTATGTTTCTTTCAACCATCACTGGAATATTTAATGAATACAGATAACAAAATAACCCAGGCCAGTGAGTTCAAGCTGGTTTGAATGGCTTATAGAACCAAGATGTTGTTATTGATCACTTTAGCTAATGTCAGAGACAAATTTATTATCAGTTTTTTTTAAGTGGATAACCCATGTTGCAGGTAAAACCACCCACAGTAGGGACATAAATAATGTCAGTTGTTCCTCCACAAAGCTGTCTAAAGTAACTAAGGGTAGTTTCATTTAAGAGATCTCCACAATTGTCTGAGAATTACATGAGCCATAGTGTTTCCTTAAACATGTGCAGGTCTCTTATTACCGCCCATAAGGAGCAGGTCACTGTGTTTAGGGAGGGAAGCACTACCACAGATTAATGTTGCTTGTCCTAGACCATAATTGTCATAATGTACTCAAACAGTATGTACTCCCTTGTGTAATTCTTTCACTTAGCATAATGTTTTTGAGGTTCATGCATGTTGCAGTAGCTTGTTCCTTTTTATTGCTAAGTAGTAATCTGTCATATGACTATACATCAGTTTATCTATTTTCTTGATTGATAAACATCTGTATTTTTTCCAGTTTTTGGACATTGTAAACAGGACTGCTATAAACATTTATGCAAAGTCTTTTTGTGGACATAAGTTTTCATTTCTCTTGGGTAAACACCTAGAAGTGGAATTGCCAGGTCATAGTAGAGGTGTATGTTTACCTTTAAAAAGAAATTGTCAGACCTTTTCCAAAGTGGTTGTACCATTTCCACTCTCGCCAAAAAAGTATTAGAGTTTTGGTTACTCCAAATCCTTGCCAGCATTTGGTGTTGTCAGTCTTTCCAGTTGTAGCTATTCTGGTAATTTTGAGGTAGTATCTTATTAGTATTTTTTCCTATGTATTTTAAAGTTTGTTCCTTTCAACCATCACTGAAATATTTAGTGAATATAGAGAATATAAAAAGAATAGGAAATTAATGGAAAAATGTTGCTAGATGTATAAGCCCTTTCCTCAAATACTACAATCCCATGTGATGTTCAGAGAGCAGGGTGATGAGCAAGGAACATCTGGAATCCAGGCAGAATAACATTCAAATCCCAGATTTGTGACTTAGTAACCTGGGGTTCTTTTGTATATTACATAAAATCTCTTATTTTCAGTTTCCTGATAAAATTATGGAGAAAAAATGCTTAAAATTATGTTCAGCATTAAACACAAAATTATAGTTACAGTTTTGATATGAGACAGCCTGAGCCCATTAGCTGTGACTGTAAATTTTGCTTAACTTTTTTACATGTCTGTTTCTTCACTTATAAACTGGGAAAATAAGTCTAAACAGAGTATGCTTGGCATGGCTTCAAAGATATATAATAGTAACCAACTTCTATGATTTGAATGTGTCCCCCAAAGTTCATGTGTTGGAAATTTAATTCCCAGTGCAACAGTGTTAGGAGGTGGGGCCTAATAATAGGTGATTAGATCATGAGGGTTCTGCCCTCATGAATTAATTACTGTTGTTATCATGGTAGCAGGTTACTATAAAAGTTAGTTCAGCTTCCTTATTCTCTCTTGCTCTCATGGTCTCTGCCCTTCTGCCTTCCCCCATAGGATGACATAGCATGAAGGCTGTCACCAGGTGCTGATGTCATATTCTTGGACTTTCCAGTTCCCAGAACCATGAAGCAAATAAACTTCTATTGTTTATAAATTACCTAGTCTGTGGTATTCTGTATTGGTATTCTGTAATAGCAACACAAAACAGATGAAGACACCAACATTTCTAGAAAACTTACTACGTACTATGTTTAGCAATATACATGGATCATTTCATTCAAATCTCACAAGTTCCACAAGCTTAAAAGGCGGGTGCATCATTATCTCCATTTTGCAAGGGCTTTGCAAAATCTTGTGACTTGCCTCAGCTTTCACAGCAAGTAGCCATACTCTGAAACCTGTGAATACATTATCTCCACTAAAAAAAAAAATGAAAAAGCTAATTCTGCTTATCGCTTATTACAGTGATAGTCTCTGTTTCCTTTTATTACCCTTTTTCTAACACATTTTTAAAAGCTAAAAACACTGTTGAATTCAAAGACTAGGCGGCTGTTTGGAATAAAATCAAATAAAATATATTTGATTAATTACTTGATCAATTATTGTGCTAGACAAACTTCTAGCAGTATTTCTGCCCTATTATATCAGTCAACAAACATAAAACAAAATGCTATAATACAACAAGTTGGTGAAACAAATGTTGCAAGCTGAGAGTTGGCCATAGGTTGGCTAGTGAGCATCAATGGCAACCTGGGGTTCTCTATATGGTTCCATGGGCCTGCAAGTAGTAAAGGGTAAAAGGGCCTTGAACTATTTATTCCTTAACTGAGTTCTTCAGCCTTCCTTTTGGAAATGCATACAAACAGATCATCATCTTCTATCCCATGCCTATCACTACTGGACAAGAATGTAATTTTTATCAGAAGGCACCATCTGCCTTGTGCAGCTCATCTAGGGTATTTCTCATCATATCTCATAAAATTAATCACCAAACAGCACCTAAGCAAGAGTGAAATGCGAGGCAAAATGCACAGTTCACCACAGTGCAAAATCATCTAATCCCTTAAGAAAAAATTGCAAGTTCATTGCTTGTTCTGTAATCCATCAGCAAGGTCTGCAAACCATTTAAGCTCAGTCATGCACAAGTGATTACAGAAAGAACCATACACAAAATAGGTTTTCATATTAAATGGCTATTGGAAAGTTATGTCCCAGCTATATTCCTGTGTTTTGAAAAGGAAAATGGTCACATGAAACATCAATCAACAGCTTGAGCTCAGTGAAATGACTGAAATAAGCATTTATAAATAAATGAATCCAACTGGCTAAAAATGAAGAAGTAACTTATTTAAAGTTCCAAGGTCTTTACTTATGAGAGTATGATCAAGCTGTGACCAATGATATGAAAAGATCTGCAGATTGTATATTATCATAGAAATGAAGATGTCACTCCAAGGTTAGCCCCATTTGAATTTATTGATGATGATAGTCTTTAACGCACAAGGCTAAAATGCTTGAATGCTTTAATTGAGTTACAACCTTATGAGTAAAAAGCATATGATGAAACACTGAATATATAAAGGAGAATTGTAATAAAATAAGAAAAGGAATACAGCTGCTAAAGAATTGTTGCCCTTGCCTTGACTTGAACAACAATAACAAAAAGTTCTACTATTTGAAGAGCATTAGAAACATCTTTCACTGAACCAAAACAACAATTTGGAAAACACTCACTCATCCGGGGCTGAAGCTTCAGGTCAAAGAACACACAGAGAGCCATTTGGGAAACATTTTCCATCTTAGTCTCCCTAGGATGAATTAGGTGGCATCCCCTAGGAGGCCTTCCCTTCAAAGACTCAACAGCACCATACTCTGAGGTTAACAGGTGAGACCTGCTAGCAGGAGGTATAATATGTTTCATTTGAAATGATTCTTCTGTTACCTGTTGAGGTCTTAGCCTACTCCCCCAGAAGCCTCCATTAGCACACCAGGATAGTACTGCTATAGTTCAGAGGTCCAAATTATATCAAAGAAATTAAAAAGTAGCACCTTCCAATGTTGAAAAAAAAAATGTGTCCTAATGTATGGTGTTGTAAATCCCCACTGATTTTTCTTTTTTGAAATATGTTCTACAATACAGTGTGTATCCACAAATATGCCAATTGCTTATGAATGAGACATTTTTTGAAGAGTTTGATGGTAGCATTCTGATACTGCTTAGAAGCTTTGAAGAATTCTAAATGTATTAGGGTCCATACAGTATCTCTCTACATTTTCCTATTTAATGAGAGGATCAGATAAGAAATTAAGTCACTACAGGAACAGTAGGGTAGGTCTTAATAGCTGAGAAACAGTTCAGTCTGCAAATAATGCCACTTGGGTCTAAGAGTCAAATTTGGGTTTGGATTCTGCTAGCAGTATGATCTTGGGTAAGTTATTTAATCGTTTATACCTCTGTTTCCTCATCTGCAAGCTGGAGATAAGTAAAAATATCAGTTAAATTGGTTAACTGTGAAGATTAAATGAGATAACAATCATAAAACACTTAGGGCAGTGGCTGGCACATAGTACATACTCAGTCAATCTTAGCTATTATTGTTATCATCTCAGGTATCACTATTATTTGCAAAAGAAAAAGAGAACTTTTGCATGAAAATAAAATCACTCAGCTAGATAGAAGGCTCTTAAAGAGATGAGATTTATGCCAAAGATTCTTTTTTATTATTATTATTATACTTTAAGTTTTAGGGTACTTGAGGTCATTTCTTGTCCTTCAAAACAGAACAGAAACCTAAAAAGTGTATCCTCCTGTGAACCCAAAAGTATCTGAGACAGGTCTCAATTAATTTAGAAAGTTCATTTTGCAAAAGTTAAGGACACACCTGGGACACAGCCTCAGAAGTTCCTGACAACATGTTTCCAAGGTGGTTGAGGTATAGCTTGCTTTTATACATTTTAGGGAGACATCAAAACATCAAGTAATACATGGAAGATTTACACCAGTTTGATCTGGAAGGGTGAGACAACTAGAAGTGGGGGCTTCCAGGTCATAGGTAGATTTAAAATTTTTCTGATTGGCAATTAGTTGAAAGAGTTATTATCAATAGAAAAGAATGTCTGAGTGAGAACAGACTATAAGTGTTTCTTATCAGACTTAAGGTCTGTGTTGATGTTAATGCTGAAGGGTATAAAGAGGCAGGTCTGACCCCCTCTTCCATCATAAACTAGTTTTTCAGGTTAACTCTGGAATGCCCTTGGCAGAGAGAAGGGGTCCATTCAGATGGTTAGGGGAACCTTAGAATTTTATCTTTGGTTTACACTTCCTTCCATTACAATGTTTATCAAACTTTAATAGGCAAATGAATCCTCCGGGGATCTTGTCAAAATGAAGGTTCTGATTTAATAGGTCTAGGTGGGGACTGAGATTCTGCATTTCTAATGAGCTCCCTACTGATGTCAGTACTGCTGGGCCACACTTGGACTAACAAGGTTCTACAAGGCAAGTTCTCTCTCTCTCCTTTGCACATTACCAAATACCTAGCAAGTGATAAGACTTGAATCTAGGGGATCCTGGCAGGTCTTCAACGTATAGCTGAGTGGACCAATACCTCCACTGTTTCCTCCATATCCTTTCTAAGTACCATGTTCTGACCAGGAACTAATGAAAATTTTCCTTCTCCTGGCCAGGTGTGGTGGCTCATGCCTATAATCCCAACATTTTGGGAGGCCTACGCAGGTGGATCACTTGAGGTCAGGAGTTTGAGACCAGCCTGGCCAACATGGTAAAACCCATCTCTATTTAAAATACAAAAATTAGCCCAGTGTGGTGGCAGGTGCCTGTAATCCCAGCTACTCAGGAGGCTGAGGCAGGGAAATCACTTGAACACAGAAGGCAGAGGTTGCAGTGAGCCAAGATCATGCCAGTGCACTCCAGCCTGTGCAACAGAGTGAGATTCCATTTCAAAAACAAAACAAAAAAAATTTTCCTTCTCCCTTACCCCATTAAAAGAAAGTGTTCTAAAGTTTCCAAGCTTAACCACTGTATACTTTCTGTTAAAGTAGACTATTTTCCAAAATAGTAATCCATAAATAATTCAAACTATTTTCCAAAATAATTTATAGCATAGAAAGTAGTCAACTTTCACAGCAACAAAATTGGGTTGTTGGTTTCCAGCTAAACAGTACAGCTATTTCTTAATTCCTTTACCTCTTGCTCCAATCCCGAATACAAATAATTAACCAACCAGCTTTTGCTTGAACTACTTCACCAAATAATAGAAAATAGCATGTTGGCCAGGATGGTCTCAATCTCTTGACCTTGTGATCCGCCCACCTCAGCCTCCCAAAGTGCTATGATTACAGACGTGAGCCACCGTGCCCAGCCGAAAATAGCTCTCTAAATGTGATAAAATAGTACTTACAACAGTATACATATTGATGTAAGCTATTAATAAACTGCCTGATATGGGAACAAAAATAGATAACCTACTGAGAAACATTTAGTGGTTAGGAGTATGAGTTCCGGAGAAAGACTACCTGGATTCAAGTTCTGGAGCCACTACTCCTTGTGTACATGACAATGACCAAGTTACCTTATATCTCTGTCCCTCAACTTCTTCATCTGTAAACTGAGAACAGTAATAGTAGCTAACTCTTGGGAATGTTATAAGTGTTAAGTCAGTTAATCGGTTAATTTATGTAAGGTGCACAGTATTCTACCAGATAAGTTCTAAATGTTTAAATTATTAAGCAGTTTAAGTATGCATTTATTTAAACAGTAAGAGTATTTTAGAAAATAACACATATTTAGTAAAGATTTCACTGGAACATAAACCCACTGGCTTATATTGTTTATCATATTTATTACAAAACTCTATCGTTTTCCCACTTAAGACTCTTAGCTTTTCCCAGTGCCTCAGGAGATGGCTTTTCTGCATTTTTTTCTTAGCTTCTATATTTCCTAGTTAATATACTTTGAGTTTAAAACCCTAGATCACACAGTCTCATCAGAACAAAGAGGTTTCATTAAACAGAGGTGGAAAAATGACTCACTCTTCCATGTTCCTAATAATATTGAACATAGTCATGGGCTTTTACTGTGTTTGGGGCACAGGCATTTAAGAGCTCAACAAAGTAGAATGAATCATTTTATAAACACATAGGAAGTTCTTCAAAGGTTTCAGTGCATAATCAGGAGTCACTCCAGATTGGAACTCTTAAGAAAAAAAATATCTTGAGTAAATCTTGAAGAATCTTCAAAAAATACTGTTATTCAAGCTTGCTATTTTTCTCTTTCCAATGCTCATGAAGATTATTGCCCTTCAATATGTCATTGTAACAAGACTTCCCTTTAAGGAAGGAAACTTTGGGAGTGCTAGAGAACACAGAAAAGACAGAACCATTCTAGTTTGCTCACATTTAAGAGATTGTATTAGTACGTACTTGTACGTTCCTATGTAAGGTCATGGAGGACTCCAATCACCTATAAAAGCTGTACATCTTGACTACATTACATTGGGGGAAGAAGTTCTCCCATTGTAAGTTTTCACAATCCTCTTCATGTTTTAGTTCTACAGTGTCAGCATCACAAAACTCAAATACTATGACAAATAGCAGAAACATAATCAAGAGATTTGTTAAAAATAATAGTAATCTTCCCTTCCCCCATGTCATCCTGGATTGAAAGATCCCTAGTCTGCCTTCTTATTAGCTTTCAAGATCTTGTGGCATCTAGCATCCATGCATGAACAAAGAACAGTGTCCGGATGGATGGAAGTTTTACTTGACATCTTCCAACCAACAGTATTGATTATTGATCTCTCTCATTTCTGCCACCAAAAAATATATAACATGTCCAAGTATGGGAAAAGTGAAGACTACATATCCTAAGACAGAGGAATGCACAACTTTCTCTTTTGGTAGCCCTATTTAATAGGTAGGAAAACAAAGATGAGAAAGAATGATGATAGTATAATCTATAAAACCAAAAAAAAATTCTACTCCAGGCATATTTGTCTTCAGCATTCCTAACATTTAAGAAATGAATGCTGATTAAAACCTACTCTACATGATTGCCCAGTTGTTTGTTAGACACTCTCCCTTTTTCTTAGATGCTGTCAATTTCCCTTACATTGAAATCCACAAAACTCCTCCAAAAAGGCATAGTCTGTTTTGTTTTGTGTTTTGTTCAGGGATTAAACAAATTACAAGTGCTTAAAACATTGCCTTGGTTCTATAGACATGCAACCAAGGTGAAATAAATGAATAAATCCTATTTCTTCGGTGTTTGGGGAAAAATTGATGTGATATGCATTCAAGAGTTTGGAGAGAAAGTACGTGGCACATTATGAACATGAGCATCAGACAGTAGTCTTTTACTTTTGGCAAAAACATCTTAGAAGTGGTGCCAGGGCACACAGGTGCAGGTAATTTTTATTGGTAACAAGTTCTACACTCAATGGCTCATCTTGCTTTCCCTGCTGAGATGCAGGCTAATATCATAT
This sequence comes from Homo sapiens, assembly GCF_000001405.40. NCBI lineage: Eukaryota > Metazoa > Chordata > Mammalia > Primates > Hominidae > Homo > Homo sapiens. Next base: position 39,845,975 of record NC_000014.9, on the reverse strand, counting down.
AGTAGCATATGGGCTCTGGGAGCACACAGAGGTTTGAATTGTGGCTTTACCACTCACTATCTGTGCTAGCTTAAGCAGAAGAATTACCCTAAGATCCAATTTCTTCATCTATGATATAGAGATAATGGTAGTTCTTACCTTTCAGGGTTACTGTGAGGATTAAGCAAAATAAAACTGATAGAGGTCTTAGTGCCTACCCATAGAAAGCACTAAATGAACATTAGCTCTAATTAATATTAACTCCCTAGAAGGAAAACTAGATGGGTCCAGAACACTCAATAGAGGCCTCTCTATAACTGGACATACAGAAATGGGGAAAAGAAGAGTAAGAAAAAGATATCACTTTTTAAGGTATTATCAAATTGTAATTACATTTAAAACAAGGCTTTTTCAACACTCACAACCAAACATAAAAATAATATAGCACATAAATGTAACAAGTGCTCCCTGGTGTACCTGCAGAAAGACATAGCTAAAATTTTCTCACATACAAAATACAGAAAATCATTTACACACAATACAATCAATACAACAGTAGTTGCATAGCATTGACAACTTTGCATTATCTCACAAAATTTGTGTCTTTGTGGATTATCAATTATGTTATGTTCAGGGTTTTGTACGCTAGCTGTATTTCACAGTCTTAGCTCAAACACAGAGACCTATTTTGATATAATTACCTCTACACAGGGAGTGATTCTTGGGGCAGCATCTGCTAATGCAATGGATTAAAGCCTGAATTATATTCCTAGGTGACTCTGCCTCCCCAGAACTCCTTCCTAATTTCCCTCATTAATATCTTATTGTATACATTAAGTCTCTTTGTGCTCTCCCTAAGAATGAATACTACTACTACTGCTACTATTTATGAAGGATTTACATTTACTAGGCACTAGGCAAAGCTTTTTTTGTACATTGCCTCATTCATTGTGGAAAGAGAATATACGTTATTTAGCTAGGTGTTACACAGTCAATAAGTACTGATGGTGGGATTTAAAAATAGATTAAATGATTCCAAAGACTCAACTTTTAACCATCATGTTATATTAAGACAATATTCCAGAAACTGCTACCCAAAAAAAACCCTATGCAGTTTTGGATAATTAAAAACTAAGTCAATATTTTATTCACATATAAAATTTCAGAAGTTTTTAGAATCATTCTGATGAAATAATTTATGTTTTTTCTTATAGGAAATTCAATTGAGTAATTTTCTGTGGCTGATTTTTTTCCCCAGAGAATTTAAATGAAATAATGCTATTTATTCAACTTGAATGTGTAAAACGAGTATTCCTTACACAGCAACCTTTGAATATCATTGATACGGGAACTTTATGTCATAAAATTATAACATGTCATTAAATGTTACGGATAATTAGAGTAAAACAAAATTCAGATTAAACCATGAAATTTATGATTAATATTATTCATGAAAGAAATAGACAAATTTCACTCTATTGTTTTAATCCTTGCTCATAATATTTCTTGTATTCTATAATAATGATTCTAAACATCTGGGATAGTCACAAGCCCCATTTAAATATCAGAGGAAGGCTATGGGTCCTCTCTTTTAAAACATATGTATATACACATACCACAATGTTCTATATAATTTTAAGGAGAGTTTGTTGGGGTGATCAGACCCAACACCAGGTCATGGGGGTGACAAAGTCCAGCAGAGCCAAAGGATTGAGAAAAAGACAGTTTGAGAGAGAAAGGTGGGACCTCAGGGGGCCATCGCGATCGTGGAGGCTATGAAGGCCCTGAGCTCTGGGAGCCCACGCTGTTTATTGGTAATCCAACAAAGAAACAGGTGGTGAGAATGTGGAGGTCTAAAGGGCACATTGCATTAAGCACATGATTTACAGCTGTGATGGTTTAGCATTTGCTCTGCTACTTGAGAATAATGGAGAGCAGGTTCTTTTAACTAAAGATACAATCGATCCTGGGAGAGCAAGGAGCAAGGAGTCAGCAAGTCTAGACACACTCCAGAGCCATGAGCCCTGGATTCTATACAATCCATGAGGGGTTTTATGGCCTGGGCTCAGATTATGGTGTATCAGGGTATTCTTCCACCCTTTAGCACAGAGCTTGGCGCTCCAAAGGCCACAGGAGGTTTTAGACCCTGGACCCCAGACATGTTCCAGGACTCTTTTACATTATGTCAGACATGCAAGCCCTGCCTCAGCTTCTCCCAACACTCAGCTTTTCCCAAAAGAGTTGATAAGAATCTCTTTTCTAGATCATTTTCAATGAGTTTGTATTGGTAGAAAATACTAGTATCTAGATTTATTCTGTATTCCAGTTGTCCATGAAGAAGACAAATGACACCTGGCTGTAGAACTTAACAAGATATGTTGTCCATTAAGTGAAAAGTGCCCAGCTTTCAGGCATGAGATACAAGAATAAAGCTTCTTCAACAAGATTACTTCAGCACAGCATGTGTCAAATAAGCTAAACCACTCTATTACCTCTCAGAAATTATAGCTGCATTATCAATATCCAAAGAACTTGTCTACAATTTACATTTCCAGAACTGGGCATACAATAGAGATAATTTCAAACAAAGATGTCTTTATTTTCCCTGGGATAGACATGAAGATGAAGTAGAAAAGATTCTACTGCACACATATTTTTAAATGACTAAATAAGTCCACATATCTGCGAAAGACATTTCTAATTTCTTTATCATAGATAAAGAAATTTCTAATTTCTAATATCATAGATTCTCTCAGGTTGCAAGGGAGATACCTACACACCTTAGGTAATATTCTTTGCGTGTGTGTGTGTGTGAGGAAATAGATACTTAAAACTGTAAGCCCAAAGTCACAGCTAGATTTCACAGAACTTAAATGTCATCCCACTTTCCATACTCTCTCAGTGGTTTCACACAGCTTCAACAGTTTCTTATACCAAAGTTACTGTTACAACTACAGAAAATGCTTTAAAAGAACAGGAGGAACAGATGTGTGTTTAATCCTTTTATTTCTCATGCCTAAACTCACATTCTTTTCAATTCTCTAGGTTATTTTCCATTAGTTTAACTTACCGAAAAGTGATTTGGGATGAAGAGACAATTAAACTAATCCAAGTTGAAAGAAGGTGATCTAATTATGAACCATGGAGCCTCATTCTCATAAAGAAGATTCTAAAAATGGGTGAATATTTAGATAATTTTAAAATAATTATATACTTAGAGTATATAATGGAAGGTTGATTATCTAATGACCATCAATAGTGAGCAAATTATTAGATTATACATATGCTAACATTTCTTTTCTTAAACTGAAGTTCTGTTTATTTCCATTGATTAATATTATTCCATCAGTGCAGTATTTAAGAACCTAACAATTAAGAGAAAGCAGGAAAGGGGAGAGAAGCAGTCAAATGGGAAGTAAATACAAAAGCAATCTCTCACGTTGACAATGTTCTCATGTATTAACAGAGACCTAAGATGTGTAGCCATTAGTTCAATAAACAATTATGATTAAAACATAACTATCAGCATAGGTCAAAATTTCCAAACTTCGATGATAGTAAATTTTAGCCTAGAGATGTTTAGAATTACTATTTGTCAGCTTCAGAAATACTATTTAATATGACCATTACTTATGTACATGGATACATTAAAATCTAGAGCCATATGTTTTTGCCAGTATGCACAAAATATATTCTTTGTGAAACTATATTGTGCCTGAGGCTTCCTGTGGCACACCATTTCTGATTGTGAAATGTCAGTTGTTTCCCTGTGACTTGTTTTCAAATTGCTTTCCTATCACATTGTTGAAAGCTTCAGTCTCTTCATCATTTCAGCTGATTTTCACCTCAATAATTCTATGTCTTTTACTTCCTCCAATTCATCCAACTTACTCTAAAGTAATAGGGTAAACTTTTGCTCAAATCCTTCATTGGCTTCCCAGTTGGTACTCAGTGTAGATGTGGTATAGCTTTCTGTATTAACTAGTCTTCTCAATATAACATTGTGAAATGAGTGGTTACCTTGTATTTCAACTATTGCCAGAAGTCATGAGAAACAAAGAATCTATCAATGTTTCATGAAATTGATTATATGGAGGAGCTCATAAAATTTGGCAAGTTTGGATGCACTGCATTTGGGGGGATTGCACATGGTGTGACTTTCATATAAGACTTGTGTGGAACAGAGTCTACGACCTAAAATGACAGCAGATATATGTAAACAAAATTGAGATTGGTGCCAGCTGTGTACAAACTGAATATATTGCAATTAAATCAGTTAACCTAATACAAAAATGGCAAGAAATAAACCTCTGGAATTCACATGCATGTTCCTTCTGTCAAATATATATATATATAATTTGAATATTTGATGCTAGGGGCATATTAACATAAAATATCTTACTGGGGACTAAGTAGTCTGCTATGCCCCAACCTCATCCACTTAGAAAGCAGCCACCATGTTAAGAATATTGTGGAAATGTTAATGCTAGTTTATTTATGCTCTGTGGTAAAGGAAAAATTTTAGGTAAATTTGACAGTTTATTTGGGCAAAGAATGATTCATGAGTCAGGCAGCAATCAGAACCACAAGAGGTTCAGAGAGCTCCACCCAGCAGAATGAGCAACAAGTTGGTATAGGCCACACATGGAAGCAAAGCAGAGAAATTACTTAATAGGCCACAGCTAGGCATCTGCCTTATTTGAGAATGAGCTGATCAGTTGGCTGCCTGTGACTGGCTGAAGTATAGCTGTTTGTGATTGCCTGAAACTCAGCTGTTGGTTACTAAATATACTCCTAAATTAGGTTTCAGAGGTTTACATACTAAGTTAGGTTGTGGTTTGTTATATAGGAACTCAGACTAATGGCCTCCTGCTTATTTTGCTTTAAAACCTGCCAGAAATCATTTTAAAAGCAAGTTGCCCAAGTTCATACATAATGATACTGTATGTTTCTACCCCACCCCACTACAGAGACATCCTTAGCCTCCCTTCAGTTATGCTATAAAATATGCCAAGAACATGAGGCCAAGGCAAAAGACAAGCTGATCCAGATGTGTGTCTTGCAGAATGCCAGTAATGCTGGCTGCTATAACAACTTACCATAGACTGAGTGGCTTATAAACAATAGAAATGTATTTCTCACAGTTCTGGAAGCTAGAAGTCTAAGATTGGGGTGCTAAAATGGCCAGGTTCTGGCAAGAGCCCTCTTTCAGGTTTCAGACTGCCAACTTCTTCCTGTGCCCTCACATAGTGGAAGGGACAAGGATCGTTCCAGGGTCTCTTTTATAAGTTCACTAACCCCATTCCCAAAAGCCCCACCTCCTAATACAATCAGCTTGAGGGTTAGGATTTCAACATATAAATTTTGGAGGCCCATAAACATTCAGACCATAGCATACAAATATAAAATTTCTGCTATTTTCACTTTATTCCTATTCCTTGAATGAATCTATCCACACTCATAGTTTTGATTAACCACTGCATGCTAAAAATTCCCAAATCTGTATGTCAAGCACTTTTCAATCTCTGATTTTTCTAACTTCTTTATCCAACTATCCACAGGATATTTCCAGCCAAATGTCTCTCAGTCATACCAAACTTAGTATTTCTGTAACTGATCTTGTGTTTCATCATACCCATGTCCAAATGCTACTTATGTCAGTTTGGGTCCTCCAAGAAGTAGAAGCCACATTGAGATTAGAGGTGCAAGAGATCTGGAGGGAGAAACACCTGTGAAGGACAAAGTGGGAGGGAGCTGGATAGCCAATGAGACCCTTCAGACTACAATGTGGATCTGATGCCTGTGAAAGGAGAGGGTAGACAGGACAAAGCGGGAGGGAGCTGGATAGCCAATGAGACCCTTCAGACCACAATGTGGATCTGATGCCTGTGAAAGGAGAGGGTAGAGGCAGGGTTGGCTAGAAAGGGCCTGATACTGCACTGCAGTTCTGAGTCCTAGCCACAACAATGGGAAATCTTTGAGCAAAATTGCCCATGGAAGAATCCCACACCAGGCAGGAATGGCCTGACTCTGGGGCTACCATAGTGATCAGGCATTGCTCATAGCAGCTCAGGGATCCCTTGCCATGGTAGATCCAAAGGCACCATAGTTGAGGCTGTCAGTCGCTACATTCCCTGCCATGGGTATGCTTGAGAGGGTACATAGGTGACACATCAGCACTGCCCTCACACTCGTCATTCTCTCTCATCTGGTGGTCCCACCATCCTTCCAATTTACCCACATTAGTAACCCAGCAGTCATCCTTAACTCTTTTTCTCTACTTCCACCTAAATCCAATAAATTAAATTTAATTTTATTAAATTTATCGAGGCCATCTTCTCCTCCCATCTCCTACTCCACCTGTCCCTGCTCAACCCCCATCCCCTCCCACCTGCAATACTAACTCCCTAACTCATCTTATTTTCCTCAAATCCACCCTACACATAAGGTCTGCCAGAGAGACCCATGTGCTTAAAACCAAATCCTGCTATGGCTCCCCATTTCCAACATAAATATATTTATGCTCTTACAGACAGAAGTGAGGCCCCACTACATATGACTCTTGCCTTTCTTTCCAGCGTGATCTCCCCCTTTTATTCTGTGACCCAGTAACACTAAATGCTGTTTTACCACTCTCATGTGGTTGCTCTCATTCTCCCTTCTGCCTAGTGTTCCCTTCTCATATTCCTATCCCTGACTCATTCTTAGGAGTATTAATTCTTTAAGATTCAGCTCAGACATTATCTAATTTAGGAACAATCCCCACCCCGATCACACCTGGTCATATGTATACTCTCTGGTCTCACATAAAACTCCGTGTGCTTTCTAGATTACATTATAAATGTTCGCATCTCACTTCTCTAAGAGGCTGTTTCCTCAAGGCATAGTTTTATTCATACTGATGCTCCCCACATTTAGAAAAGTGCCTGGTACATAGGCCAATAATCAAGAAATTTGGTTAAACAATTATTGGGAGGAGAAAGAGAAAGAAATAAACAAAAAAGACTGTTGGATGCAAAGTCTGTGTCAAGTGCTACAAATATTTACCCCCTTTAATTTTTACAACAACCCTGTAAAGTTAGATGCTATATCTCCACTTCAAAGACTAGGAAATTTCAGCTCAGAGAGGTCAAATAAGGTTCTGTGATAGAAACCCAGTTATTGGACTCCAAAGCCTCTTTGCCATGCTGCCCTTCTTCATGGTCCAGTTGAATTCCACTGAGTAAATCTCCTGGTATAGATATCTCAGATTATACTCAACAACACAACAGGCCATACTGAGAAAAGTAGGGACTTTAGAGTTAGTCAGACCCAGTTTTCCACCTACCAGCTGTAGGTATTGGACAAATTATATAAACTTTCTGAAGTTCAGTTGTTTTTCTGTTTGAAAAAAGAAAAGGTGTATCAATACCTACTATGCAGAGATCTTTGTAAGGATTAGAACAGATATCTATGACCTAGCATGATGCCTGGTGAAGATTAAGCATTTAATAGTTAGCAGTGGTAGAATGAATTATTTCATCCAGACACAGCCAAGATACTCACAATTAGAGAAATGACCCATCATATGATAGTCCTGCCCTGTCCCCTCCTCAGAGAGTTGTGGTAAGAAAGGACTACAAACAGTAAGTCAACAGAGGGAAGGGAATGTTTAAAAAGAAAGACTTTTATAACCATTAATGGGCTGTCCTAGCCTGCTTGGGCTGCTGTAACAAAATATCATAGACTAGGTGCCTTAAACAACAGAAATATATTTTCTCACAGTTGTAGAGACTGGGAACTCCAAGATTAGGGTGGCAGCATTGTCGGTTTCTATCAAGGGCCCTCTACCTAGCTTGCAGATGGTTGACTTTTTGCTGTGTCTTTATATGGTGGTGAGAAAGAAAAATCTTCTTTCTTCTTCTTATAAAATCATGAATCCTAGCAAGTTAGGACCCCTACCTTATTATCTCATTTAACCTTAGTTACTTAAAAGCCCACCTTTAAATACAGTAGTCACATTGGTGGTTAGAGTTTCAACATATGAATTTGGGGTTGGGGGAACACAATTCAGTCCATTGCACAGGGTAATTAAATCTTGGAAAATTGGTAAATAAAAATACAGCTTAAAATGACTATCTGAAGAAAAATGTATTCTTTGTGGGTATGTTAGACAACTCAAACAACCATAAACAATTTTGTTTCTCTTCTGTGTATGTCTACAATAGGAAAAGCATCTTTTGAAAAAGAAAGGGATCTCCTTGGGAAGATATTATTTGATATTTGGAGGCAACAAAAATGCTGCAATATGGAAGAATTCTGTTGAGTGTTTTTTATTTACATCATAAACTAAAAACTATTCTGACTGGGTTACCTGTATATTGACTAAAGGTATAAGGCTTGGAAAATGTCTTCTTTCTTGATGCCTTCTTCCTTCTTGTAGCAGCCGGTTGCACTGTGAAAATGCAAAGTCTTTCAGCAGTCCGTCAAGGTGGCTGAAAAACTCAGAATTCTTGCTATACCCCATTTGTTTTTTATTACCCTATTCATTTGTTCTGTTGGGCAAAGAATTTGAAGCTAATTTATACCTCATCTTAATCTAAATCTTGACATCTTCAAAATTTTACCAGATCTTTCAGAGCAATTTAAAATCAATTTGAAAGCAAGTCCACACTGAAAAAGCAAATCTGGACCTGCCCAATTATTCAGTGATCGTTAAAACAATGGAAAGGTGATGGGAAGGCAAGCCAAGAATGAAGGCAATTTGTGCATGTTCAAGAGTACTAGTAATGCTCTGTTCAATCGCAGAACTAAAGTAGGAACCTGGATGTTTCTGTGAACATTTCTAACTATTTCTGTCATTTTGTTAATAAAATTCTAAATAAATTATTTGCATTTTTGTCAAAGCTTAAGAAGATGGGTTATGGGTAATGAAAATTTTGGAAACAGTTAACCTACTGTTCTTTTCTTGTATATAAGATTTATAGGATTATTTATCCTGAAGTGTTACTGAAAGTATTAAAAAACTAACCTGCTCTAAAATGCTTCTATTTAAAATAATTACTGTCCATGTAAATAACTTTTTCGATATGTAGAGTTTCAAAATATTTGCTAAAGTGAGATGTGGTGATGGCATGTTTTCTACAGCTCACCCTGGCCCAATTTGGGCTATCCGGACAGAAGTTGTCATTGGTAGTCAAAATGACATGACAAAAGTGGTGCTGACCATTTAAGAGTTGGGCAGTTCTTTCTATTTGTATATTTTGGTGGATAGCAATTGTTTTAGAGCTTGACTTGCCTTGCAATTAGACAAATATATACCAACTCTAAGGTAAGAGAGCATTTTGTTCAAATACAAGACAAGATTTTCTCTTGAAATTGATAGGTATTTCTAACTCAGTGCTGAAAGTATTTCAGAAGTGACTACCCAATGGGCATCACAAGGTTGAGAACCAGCCATCTATCCATTGATTAAGTCACCTTTCTGAGACAGTTTAATTTATGGACACCAACCAATTTTTAGCCATTCTCCAGAGCTATATCAGATTCAGATATGGTACTCTACTGTTCCCTCAGCAAACAATGGTATCTTTCTCATCATGCTATTCACCTTTTCATTAGCTTTAAAGTGTTCTTTACTAGACTGAGGAGCCACACTGCCTATAACTGGCACACTAGGATGACAAAAATAAGATCTGACTTACTAGAATATATCTGTCTTTAATAATATTAAAGAGAAGCTATGCTTTCCTGTTAAATAATTTCTCATAATATATTTCAATGAAAATTGAGGACATAGAATAGTACATTTCCCAAGACAACAGCATTATCAAACATAAGCAAGAAAAATAGAATAGTTACTATTGAATGGAAATCTATATTTATGTAGTCTAATTACGGCATAGTATTTACAGCAATAAAAGAAGGCTCACTAATGACCAGTCTTCCTGCTGAAAACATGAATTTTTTAATTTCTGTAGCACTACAGTCTGAATTTTTGTGTCTCCCCAGAATTCATATGTTGAAATCCTAGCCCCCAAAATGCTGATATTAAAAAGTGGGGTCTTTCAGAAGGTGATTAGGTCATGAGAGTAGAGATCTCATGAACGGTATTAGAAATCTTATCAAAGAGGCCCCAAAGAGCTGCCTCACCCTTTCTACCATGAGGACACAGCTAGAAGGCACCATCTATGAGGAATGAGCCTTCACCAGACACCAAATCTGCAAGCACTTGATCTTAGACTTCCCAGCCTCCAGAGTTATAAGAAATAAATGTTTTTTGTTTATAAGCCACCCAGTCTATGACATCCTGTTACAGCAGCCCCAATGGACTAAGACATATAGCCAGGGTCCTCTTATCATTGAGTTATATAAAGTCAGAAGCACAATTCATCACAATATAAAAGTCCAAGGTGCCTTAACATAAGCAAGACAGAATGTCACGGCATGTCTAACTGTCCGTTTTGAGACACAATGGCCAGCAAAGCCCAAGTGAGATCAGCAAAACTTCCCAACTGACCTGTAAACTCATAAAGAAAAAATGCTCATTGTTTGAAGGCACTGAGTTGCAGGTTTGTTCGTTATGCAGCATTCTTGCCGCAATAGTCAACTGATACAGAAACATTCATTATTATAAGACATATCACATGCCATGCTGCAGAGTTTGAACTTTTATATTGAAGCTAATGAAGAGTCATTGAATGACTTAGCAGGAGACATTTATGAACAGTTTTAAGAAAAATTATTCTGGCAGCAATGTGACAGAGGGATCACAGCGGGGCAAACCTGGAGTTGTAACTGTAGAGATGAAAAGAACCAGATGTCAGAGTTGCTACTGGCTATCTTTACTCAGTAACAGAGAGTTGAGAGCAATGAAAAGATATCCAACCTTTGATGGGAAAAAATAGGTTTTACAAATTACATTCTATAAGTGTGATATTGATATCCTCCACTGCAAAATTCTAAAAGATTAAATTCACTAAGATCACTTTACACTCAATTAACCTTTCTTTTTTTAACAGGATTAATACAATGGTAAAATCACAGTTGATGACATAAACACAGTATATCTTAATTCAAGCCAAGGTCAGATGGCCATCTTTTGAAGTGATATGGAAAAACTTCAGTGAATGAGGAAATAACTTCTAAATTCCATTTCAACTCTTTTTTTCTAGGTTTCTATTGGGAAGAGACGGTAGAATATTTGAAACTGCAGTGCACTCATTTTTTTATAAGAGCCTACCACCACTGCTATCATCAAATTTAGAAGACTACCTTTGTTTTCTGAAACAAGCAAGAAACAAATTACAGAAACTAATCTGAAAGCCTTACTCACATATACCCATACAGAACACTATGTGATATATACAAATTCAACCAGTACCTCATTGTCCACATTTTACAGAAAAGGCAGAGAATATGAGTCCCAAGGTTTCTAGTGAACAAATTAGAATAGAAAATAGAACGAAAGTCATCTGTATGATTTTTTGTTTTTTGAGATGGAGTTTCGCTCTTGTTGCCCAAGCTGGAGTGCAATGGCAAGATCTCGGCTCACTACAACCTCTGCCTCCCAGGTTCAAGCGATTCTCCTGCCTCCGCCTCCCGAGTAGCTGGAATTACAGGCACATGCCACCACGCCAGGCTAATTTTTTGTATTTTTAGTAGAAAGAGGGTTTCACCATGTTAGCCAGGCTGGTCTCGAACTCCTGATCTCAGGTGATCCCCCCGCCTCAGCCTCCCAAAGTGCGGGGATTACAGGCGTGAGCCACTGTGCCCAGCCCTGTATGATTTTTTTCCCACCAAGTATCTATGCCTGCCTCTTGCTCCAATACACTAAGTCACAGTATTCTTTTAGTTTTAGGCAAGAATCATTTAACCTTTATTCACATTGCAATGACTATTTTTGAGCCCTTTTTGTTCCCAGATAGATTTTTTTTTTTTATTTCGCTTTGCTATCCAGGCCAAGTCTCACTTTAATCTCTTTAGAGTTTTTGCCTTCTTGTAAGCTTCTCCTGCTTTCTGCTTCTCGGGCTTATTCAAAATGTGAATCTCTTCCTTTTTCTATCCAATTCCCAAACCTAGCATTCAAAGTGAGTTTCTATATGGAACACAAACCTCAGACATCTGAGTGCCTTTAAAATTTCAGTATGCAATCAGAAATAATTTCTCCACACATTTGGTCTGTTTCAGTGCTTTGAAAATGATTACAATAAATCTGTGAATTATGTCTAGAACGTCTTTTTTTTCAGCCCATGGTTTCTTTTATTACTTTCAAAGTCTTGGATAATTTACTGCTCACCCCCTTCCAACTACCTTCATCTCTCATGGTAGCAGGTGACACAAGCCGTACAGATAATACAACACACACTTCCACCATGGGCAATAAGCTCCTTTTGTGTAAAGCTTCTCATGAATTAATCTTTTCTAAAGGGTAAGGGTGTTTTTTTCATTTTTCAAAACAAAAATTTATAAAGAATTCATAGATTACATTGTCTTCAAAGTATTTCCTACTCTGCACCCTTGCTCTCCTTAAAGTTTATAGCTGAAAATAAAATATATTCAACATCTGCAAGATTCAGAAATGTTCTTTGCCAGTTATTAATACAGTAATCAACCTTATTAACAGCTACTTAAGATCATGAAAATAACACACAAAGAGGTAGAGATCTATAACATAAAGAATGTAGAATATAGTGTAGTTATTATGTGCCTTGTTTAAAGCTTATAAAATGGAAAATATGAAAGTAAATGTTTATTGTTTTATATTCACAATACAGAGAGAAGTCGTGAAAATAGATCAGAAAGGCTAATGACACTACTAACATGTTACTAATTATTTTTCTAGTCTTTTTCAAGAAATACATTTACATAACTGATTGTGCCATATATCTGCTTTATAACTTTATGTAAAATTATAGCTTTAAGTATTGCCCCATTTTGAGTATAAGTTTATTAAAACAACATATATTGAGTATTTATAACATGCCAGGTTCTCAGCCAGACTCAGAGAAGTAGCTTCATTTAATCATCACCATTACCTTTTAAGGTAATTATTGGATTGTCCTAATTTTACAAAATTTAAGGTAATTATCCTTCTAATTTTACAAATAGAGAAACTACAGCACGGAGATATTACCATCTGCTAGTGTTCTTTAAAACATGTTTTGTGGAAGAATTGACTAGGGTGCTTATTAAAATGCAAATTCATATACCTGTACTCCAACCCTTCTGAATTGAAATATCTGAGGAAATATACAAATTCAACCAGCACCCCAAGTGATTTTTCTTTTCTACTGAAATGTAAGAACTATTGCCTCTTTGTAACTACTGCTAGATTGCCTCATCCAGCTATAACCAACGGCATACTTACATCATTCTTTTTTTTAAGTTATTTACTTTGAACCATGTGTAGGAGCATTAGAGTGAGTCTTACGTATGACAAGGTTAAGAAGATCTAAACTTTGGATTTGAACAAAAGGCATCCTGGGGGAGAAAATTAGTCTACTGTTTCCACCGGGGATACTCACAAAGTGGTCAAATTGTACTGTAATCCTTCTAGTGTCCCCATTATCATGTCTTTTAGCTCAACTTCCAAAATAATTTCAAAAACAATTGTCTTCTACCTAAGTTCTTTAATTTTACCTAGTTGATGTGTCTATTTGATTATTTAAATTAAAGTAGTTTACAAGCAAAGAAGTGGCCATGGAGACTTTGCTCATCAGCCATTTAGACCATGCCTACATTTCTCAAGAGAGAAGTTTAGGAGATCTAGTAGTGTTTTGGTCCAGCGCATGTCACATCTGGAGTTTGTTGTGTGTGCATGCGTGTGTGTGCAGCATACCCCAATATTTGCCACACTGTCCACATATTGTAGAGGTGGAGTCTATAGACAAACACTTGAAAGTGATACTATTTCATAATACATATCTCTGAGAATATTCAAACATGGTGATTTTAATAGATCAAACTCAGATCAATACCCAATAGATCTTGTGATGAGACTGAGGCATTGATCACAGCTCAGTTTGGAAGTTGTTGCTGGTTTGATTTGCTACTAGAAGTCAGCTGGCCATCTCAGCTCCTTGGGGACTGGAGCTATAGGGTTGGACATTTAATTCTTGATGATACAACTCAAGCCTTGTGGTAATATTTCAACCCTACCAGACAACCCAAAAGTAATAGAACTACTCAAATTCTGTGGTACCTGTCTCCTGAGATGCTCATCATCAGGCAACTGGCCACTTGGCTATTACTGAATATGTCCAGTAGAGCACAGCCCTTTTAGTCATATTTCTCTCACCTTGATTCTTAATTTTGGGTTCTCTCTCACTTGACAGAAAAGCTTATTCAAAAAATATTTCTAAGATAAATACAGCAGACCCTCAAATAATGTTTTGTTCAATGCCATTTCCTTATAATGTTGATGAGAAAAACATAGATTCCTGGCCAGGGCCATCATCTGTGTGGAGTCTGCATGTTCTCTACATGTCTGTGTGGGTTTTCCCCAGGTACCCCAGTTGCCTCCCACATCCCAAAACCGTGCTCATTAGGTGAATTGGTGTGTCTAAATTGTCCCAGTGTGAGTGAGTGGGTGAGTGTGTGTGTGTGAGTAGTCCTGCAATAGGATGGCATCCTGTCCAGGGTTAGCTCCCGCCTTGTACCCTGAGCTACCAGGATGGGCTCCAGCCACCTGTAACCCTGAATTGGAATAAGTAGGTTGGAAAATAAATGAATGAATATAAATTATTGTAAAATAAAAATTCATAAAGTTTCTGATAATAATATAAATGCATGACAATAAACAAAGCAGTACAAAAGCACTCAGTGAGCCCTCCATGTCTGTTATTATTTGAACTGAGAGGTGCTAGGTGCCCCTTACCATCTCACTTTGCAAACATTTATTCCTTGATTTAATCCACCACAACTATGACCACTGTCACTCACTGATTCACCAAAAAATGGGTAATTATCTCACTCGGTTTTATTGATCTTTCTTAAATGTATTTAAGATCCTTCTTAAATGTATTAAGATCTTTGTTAATACATTTAAGAATGTATTAACATTCTTAATGTTAATGTAATAAGATCTTTCTTAAATGTATTAAGATCTTTCTTAAATGCATTAAGATCTTTCTTAAATGTGTAAGATCTTTCTTAAATGTATTAAGATCTTTCTTAAATTGTATTTCTTAAATAAAAGCTCACATTTATTGCACTGTTTCATTTAGAATTCTGTTGGGTCTTTATTTAGAAGTGTGGTGATTTTTTGTGACTAGAAATATGCTGCAGGAACTTAATTCTTGTTTATATCAATTCGCCTAAGGTAAAATTGGCTTCGTTAATGTCGTTTTGCCTAAAGTTGCAGTTTTCAAGAACCTATCAACAACATTAATGAGGATTTATTTTACTTAGATATTTTACTTTTTGAGCCCTTGTGTGATTGAGTATGCTGTTACAGTGAAGCCAATCAGATTCTTGTTTCTTGGCCCACAGTTTTTCTATGATAGTAAAATTGTCTCCATAATTTTGTAATTTAAATATTTTGCTATTATACTACTAAGTATAAATAACCTAGATTTTGCCTAAAATTTAATAAGCAGTTCCACTATGTAAGTCAAATTTGTTTTATTCAGTTTTTGTTGTTTGGGCTGAGAAAAGCTTTCTTCCACTATGTGTTAATTATTGTCTCTATTATGACTGGGTTTTTTCCCTATGTCACCAACACCATTTAATTCTAGGAAAGATTTTGCATTCTTTACCCTACTATCTGTCATCTTTTAGTTCTATTATAGCTGATAAATACACTTTCAGAATCAGTGCTCCTTTTATAACTCCAGCATTTAAAATTTAGGAGTATGTAACATAAGCATGACAATTTCAAAAGAGTTATCAAAGTAACTGAAAAAATGTGGACTTGGGATTTTTGAGCACATAAGCAAGGTCACTAGGAATTCATTTAAGTAATGTTGATAAATATGAGATTTACCTCTCAGTATGTTAAAGTTTCTATATTAAATAGCTTAATAGCATTGTCACTATTAATGGCCACTTAGGTTATCAACACAGAGCAATTTGATACTTTGATCAAAATCTGTAATTTAT
The DNA here is from genome assembly GCF_000001405.40 of Homo sapiens. Classification (NCBI taxonomy): domain Eukaryota; kingdom Metazoa; phylum Chordata; class Mammalia; order Primates; family Hominidae; genus Homo; species Homo sapiens. The sequence continues at coordinate 39,829,916 of NC_000014.9, read as the reverse complement.
GATCTAGCTAGGTTTGATAAACATCTCTTATTATAGAATAAATTATTTTATCAGTCAAAGAGGGAGTAATTTACTATATAGGTGAATTTTTAATTCCTGCTAAGAAAATCTAAGTAATAAATGTCTTTGCAAATATTGTCAGTCTTGATATATATAGTTATGAGTTTGGCAGTAAAACAAGTTAGCAGAGTCTCTCAGTTCACATCTGCTAACAAGAAGTTTATAGTTCTCAATTTATTTTGCTTTCAAAAAGGAATAACTTATGAGAGACTATATTTATATCCCTATAATTCTTGGGTGTGTTCATTTTCCCTGGCTCTTAGAGCTATGTAGTAAAAAGTAGTTCAAGATATTCTTTAGAGCTAAAGACTAAAGTAGACAATCGATTCAATATCCAAATGGCAATTTAAGGTCCTAGATTTTGACTAGAATAAAATAAATATTCCTCACCACAAACAGGAAAAATCAATGGTAATACAATAAGGAGTTAAAGGTGACATTCTTCAGTGTTCTATTCTTTTTGAACTAAGGCAGTATTTTTGGAAATTCACTTTGCAAAAAATAAAAACATCCAGTTTTGAGAGACAATGGATAAACTACAAAAGAAGCAAAGCAGACTTCAGGGTGGTAAAATATATTTGTTAAACAATGCTATATCTCATACTCAAAAATATTAGAATTATTAAAGAAATACTAGATTATTAAAGGCTCTAAAATATACCGAGCAAAATAGTACCAAACAAGGTTTACTTTATAGTTATCACCACAGTTATATCAGCTGATAATTGGCAAGAGAGAGCTGGATAGATTTTGCCCTGTATGGTTTGCATAAGTCCTGAGTACCAGCTTTCACAGAAACTGAAATTAATTCTTTTTTCACTGCCTCATCCAACACTATTCCCAATTAACTTCAAAACAAAATAAGATTTCCAGTAAAAGACTTGATGATACAACCTGACTTTGGGTGGCATTATAAATTAATTCCTCTTCCCTGATTATGAGTAGACCAAACTCTGAATGAGCCATTCTGGATTATTGAACTTAATGAACCAAAGAAATAAAAATATGCCTGTGGAGATAAAAGTTCATTCTCCTGAGATCTTTCTATATTTGTATCCTGTGTGATAGTTCTCAGATCAATCCTTAAAAGAGTTTCAAAAAGAGTAGGAAATGTTTTGCCTAAAATATATTTCCTTCAACTAAGAGTTTTCTCTTTAGGCTGCTGGTCGTCTCTGTCTTGATCATCAAATAGCATAAAATCTTAGGGCACCAATACATAATACTTTTCAATAAACAATATTTTGAAGAAATGTACACCAGAGAACCTTTCAAACTCATAAGCCCATTTGCATTGTAGCTCTGCTCGCATGGCAGAGACTGTTTTTGCCTCATAGCCCTTCTGCACTCTCCAGTATTTTCCCCACACAGTGAGATCATTTTCTTCACATCTTGGTATAGGTATTACTCTTCTCCTACCATCCCCCTTCATCCTGTGTACCATTTTATTTCTCTCTGTCAGTACATTTAGCATATCAATACAGCATTTATCCACATTTCTGACTCCCTGACTAGACTGAGACACCTTAATCTCAGGAACTATATCCAATATATCTTTGTAATCCCAGAAAGCAATACCTGAATATATGATAAACAGAACTGGGCTTTATTATAACTAGCAACCATTTGAAATAATATTCAACTTAGATTTTTCTAGTCCTAATCCCACTAACAAATTTTTACCCCTAAGCAATCGAGAGTGGTAGAACTGAAAGAGAATTAGAGTATGAAACTAAGTAGTTCTGAGTCATAAATGTTTCAAGACTGAAATAAACTTCACCTCTACCCCAGGCTAGTGTCCTGCATATTGGACTCAAAATTTCCCTTCTAATAGACTTTCTCAGCCTATTGCTCATTTCAACTCTGATCCTCATTCCAGCCAACACATCTACTTGAACCTCAGATGTACTAGTATGACCCTAAAACTAAAGGATTTTACTTATTTTTAAAAACTACATCTTCCAGTGTTGACCAAAACGAAGTAAACCCACTAAAGCGTCTCTCTCCCACTGATTACAGATAAAATCTGCAGTCAAAATATATGAGGCAACTACATGAGAATTCTGAAAAGTAAATCATAGTAGGTAGATTGAAAAAAGTAGTTAAAACTTGAAGAAGTGACTAGTGTAGTGCTGAGCAACCTGTCTCCCTTCACTCCCCTATAGGCTTTGGATTGAACTATATCCCCACAAAAATATGTTGGGGTCCTAACTCCCTGTGCCACCTCATCATGTGATGTTATTTGGAGATAAGGCCTTTACTTACAGAGGTAATCAAATTAAAACAAGGTGATTAGGGTGGCCCCTAATCCAATATGACTGGTCACCTTATAAAAAGAGAAAATTTGTATACAAAAGCAGACATGGTCACTGAAGGAACACTATGTGAAGATCGAAGTTATGCTGCCACAATCAAGGAGCTACCAGAAGCTAGAAGAGGGGCCTGGAACAAATCTTTCCCCACCGCCATCAAAGGAGAATAGCCAGTAATTGATCTCGGATTCCTAGCTTCTAGAACTGTGAGACAATACATTTTTATTGTTTAAGCTACTCACTTTATAGTACTTTGCTATGATAACCCTTGCAAACTAATGTATCATCTTTTCTCTCCTAGCTTTGACCTGAGAGTGGCCCCTTTTGTGGAACTATGCAATAGGCACAGGCAGCACAAATCCCAAAGAGAAGTCTTGTCTTTCTGGCAAGAGAACCAAGGAAAGGGAATCTTAGAAGCCAAGGAGTGTGGGAGGGATTTCTGTACAGAGTTGGAGATGGGAATTTTCTAATTCTGTCTATGATTCAGAACAAGTTCCAGGCTCACCTGCTGCATGCACAACACAAACCCAAATTAACATAGCAAAGGTTATGAAAAGCGAACTACAGTATAATACACATTCCATTTGCCAAAATAAGCCCTGAGAGGCGCATGCACAAAACTTAGTCAAAATAGCCAAGTGAAGCCTTTGAAAACTGAATTGACATTGGAAACCCTACCCACAGAAGGTGGGATAAAACTGATGGTCTGAACTGATGGTTGTAGATTGATTGCCTACAAAAATTTAAGAGGAAAAAAAGTCAGCATTATCTGGAGGACTAAGAAATACAGAATGTAACATTCAAAATATTACTACAATAAAAAATTCATGAAAACAAAATATAACATTTTCTGGGATTTTCAATGTATGTAGATATAACATGTATGACAACTCTAACACATAGAAGGAAAGGTAAAGGGGCCTATTGTATGGTTGCAAGGCTTCTACATTTTATTTAAGTGATAAAATATTAACTCTATACAGACTATGAAAGATTACTTGTATATATCTTATTCCCTAGTACAACTTATAAAGCAGTATATCCAAAAAGCAAGTATACATATATATACACACACACATATACACATATATACATATATACACACATATATACATATGTACACACAAATATATACACATATATACATATATACACATATATACATATATGCATACATATACATACACACATACACATATATACGTGTGTGTGTGTATATATATATGAAAATGGTATAGTAAAAAAATTTAAACAATCCAAAAGAAGGCAGGAAAATGGAACAGAGGAAAATCAAAGTGGACAAACAAAAAAACATATTTAAATGATATATCTAAATTCAATCATATTGATAATTACATTCAATGAAAACCACGTAAACACCATTTCCGTTCCAAGATGGCCAAATGGGAACAGCTCTGGTCTGGAGCTCCCAGTGTGATCGATGCAGAAGACGGGTGATTTCTATATTTCCAACTGAGGTACATGGTTCATCTCATTAGGAGTGACTGGACAGTGGGTGCAGCCCACGGAGGGCGAGACAAAGCAGGGCGGGGCATCACCTCACCTGGGAAGTGCAAGGGGTCAAGGGATTTCCCTTTCCTAGCCAAGGGAAGCCGTGACAGACTGTACTGGGACACTTCCACTCAAATACTGTGTTTTTCCCATGGTCTTAGCAACTGGTAGACCAGGAGATTCTCCACCGTGCCTGGCTTAGCGGGTCCCACACCCATGGAGCCTTGCTCACTGCCAGCACAGCAGTGTGAGATCCACCTGCGAGGCTGCAACCTGGCTGGGGCAGGGGCATCCGCCATTGCTGAGGCTTGAGTAGGTAAACAAAGCTGCTGGGAAGCTCGAACTGGGCGGAGCCCACTGCAGCTCAGCAAGGCCTACTGCCTCTATAGAATCCACCTCTGTGGGCACAGCATAGCTGAACAAAAGGCAGCAGAAACTTCTGCAGAGTTAAACATCCCTGTCTGACAACTTTGAATAGAGCAATGGTTATCACAGCATGGCATTTGAGCTCTGAGAACAAACAGACTGCCTCCTCAAGCAGGTGCCAGACCCCCATGTAGCCTAACTGGGAGACACCTCCCAGTAGGGTCCAACAGACACCTCTGTTGGTGGGTGCCCCTCTAGGACAAAGTTTCCAGAAGAAGGATCAGGCAGCAATATTTGCTGTTCTGTAATCTACGCTGGTGATACCCAGGCAAACAGCTTCTGGAGTAGACCTCTAGCAGACTCCAACAGACTTGCAACCGAGGGACCTGACTGTTAGAAGGAAGACTAACACACAGAAAGGAATAGCATCAACATCAACAAAAAGGACATCTACACCAAAACCCCATCTGTAGGTCACCAACTTCAAAGACCAAAGGTAGATAAAAACCACAAAGATGGGGAGAAACCAGAGCAGAAAAGCTGAAAATTCTAAAAACCAGAGTGCCTCTTCTCCTCCAAAGGATTGCAGCTCCTCGCCAGCTATGGAACAAAGCTGGATGGAGAATGACTTTGACGAGTTGACAGAAGTAGGCTTCAGAAGGTCAGTAATAACAAACTTCTCCAAGCTAAAGGAGCATGTTCTAACCCATCGCGAGGAAGCTAAAAACCTTCAAAAAAGGTTAGACAAATGGCTAATTAGAATAAACAGTGTAGAGAAGACATTAAATGACCTGATGGAGCTGAAAACCATGGCACGAAAACTTCATGATGCATGCACAAGCTTCAGTAGCCGATTTGATCAAGAGGAAGAAAGGGTATCAGTGATTGAAGATCAAATTAATGAAAAAAAAAAGCAAGAAGACAAGTTTAGAGAAAAAAGTAAAAAGAAACAAACAATGCCTCCAAGAAATATGGGACTATGTGAAAAGACCAAACTACATTTGATTGGTGTACCTGAAAGTGACAGGAAGAATGGAACCAAGTTAGAAAACACTCTTCAGGATATTATCCAGGAGAATTTCCCCAACCTAGCAAGACAGCCCAACATTCAAATTCAGGAAATACAGAGAACACCACAAAGATACTCCTCGAGAAGAACAACCCAAAGACACATAATTGACAAATTCACCAAGGTTGAAATGAAGGAAAAAATGTTAAGGGCAGCCAGAGGAAGGTCGGGTTACCCACAAAGGGAAGCCCATCAGACTAACAGCAGAACTCTCAGCGGAAACTCTACAAGCCAGAAGAGAGTGGGGAACAACATTCAACATTCTAAAAAAAAAAATTTTCAATCCACAATTTCATAACCAGCCAAACTAAGCTTCATACGTGAAAGAGAAATAAAATCTTTTACAAACAAGCAAATGCTGAGAGATTTTGTCACTACCAGGCCTGCCTTACAAGAGCTCCTGAAGGAAGCACTAAACATGGAAAGGAACAACCGGTACCAGCCACTGCAAAAACATGCCAAATTGTAAAGACCATCGATGCTAGGAAGAAACTGCATCAACTAACGAGCAAAATAACCAGCTAGCATCATAATCACAGCATCAAATTCACACATAACAATATTAACCTTAAATGTAAATAGGCTAAATACCCCAATTAAAAGACAGAGACTGGCAAGTTGGATAAAGATTTAAGACCCATCTGTGTGCTGTATTCAGGAGACCCATCTCATGTGCAGACACACATATAGGCTCAAAATAAAGGGATGGAGGAAGATCTACCAAGCAAATTGAAAGCAAAAAAAAAAAAAAGCAGGGATTGCAATCCTAGTCTCTGATAAAACAGACTTTAAACCAACAAAGATCAAAAGAGACAAAGAAGGCCATTACATAATGGTAAAGGGATCAATTCAACAAGAAGAGCTAACTATCCTAAATATATATGCACCCAATACAGGAGCACCCAGATTCATAAAGCAAGTCCTTAGAGACCTACAAAGAGACTTAGACTCCCACACAATAATAATGGGACACTTTAACACCCCACTGTCAATATCAGACAGATCAACGAGACAGAAGGTTAACAAGGATATCCAGGAATTGAACTCAGCTCTGCACCAAGTGTACCTAACAGACATCTACAGAACTCTCCACCCCAAATCAACAGAATATACATTCTTCTCAGCAATGCATTGCACTTATTCTAAAATTGACCAAATAATTGGAAGTAAAGCACTCCTCAGCAAATGTAAAAGAACGGAAATCACAACAAAGTGTCTCTCAGACCACAGGGCAATCAAACTAGAACTCAGGATTAAGAAACTCACTCAAAACCGCTCAACTACATAGAAAATGAACAACCTGCTCCTGAATGACTACTGGGTAAATAACAAAATGAAGGCAGAATTAAAGATGTTCTTTGAAACCAATGAGAACAAAGACACAATGTACCAGAATTTCTGGGACACATTTAAAGCAGTGTGTACAGTGAAATTTATAGCACTAAATGCCCACAAGAGAAAGCAAGAAAGATCTAAAATTGACACCCTAACATCACAATTAACAGAACTAGCGAAGCAAGAGCAAACACATTCAAAAGCTAGAAGAAGGCAAGAAATAACTAAGATCAGAGCAGAACTGAAGGAGATAGAGACACAAAACCCCTTCAAAAAAACCAATGAATCCAAGAGCTGATTTTGAAAAGATCAACAAAATTGATAGACCACTAGCAAGACTAATAAAAAGAGAGAAGAATCAAATAGATGCAATAAAAAATGATAAAGGGGTTATCACCACTGATCCCACAGAAATACAAACTACCATCAGAGAATACTATAAACACCTCTGTGCAAAAAAACTAAAAACTCTAGAAGAAATGGATAAATTCCTGAATGAATAAAACCCTCCCAAGACTAAACCAGGAAGAAGTTGAATCTCTGAATACACCAATTACAGGCTCTGAAATTGAGGCATTAATTAATAGCCTACCAAACAAAAAAAGTCCAGACCAGACGGATTCACAGACTAATTCTACCAGAGGTACAAAGAGGAGCTGGTACCATTCCTTCTGACACTATTCCAATCAATAGAAAAAGAGGGAATCCTCCCTAACTCGTTTTATGAGGCCAGCATCATCCTGATACCAAAGCCGGGCAGAGACACAACAAAAAAAAAGAGAATTTTTGACCAATATCCCAGATGAACATTGATACAAAAATCCTCAATAAAATACTTGCAAACCTAATCCAGCAGCACATCAAAAAGCTTATCCACCATAATTAAGTGGGCTTCATCCCTGGGATGCAAGGCTGGTTCAACATATGCAAATCAGTAAACATAATCCATCACATAAACAAAACCAATGACAAAAACCATGATTATCTCAATAGGTGCAGAAAAGGCCTTTGACAAAAGTTAACAGCCCTTCATGCTAAAAACTCTCAATAAACTAGGTATTGATGGAATGTATCTCAAAATAGTAAGAGGTATTTATGACAAACCAACAGCATATATCATACTGAATGGGCAAAAACTGGAAGCATTCCCTTTGAAAACTGGCACAAGACAACAATGCCCTCTCTCACCAGTCCTATTCAACATAGTGTTGGAAGCTCTGGCCAGGGCAATCAGGCAACAGAAAGAAATAAAGGGTATTCAATTAGGAAAAGAGGAAGTCAAATTTTCCCTGTTTGCAGATGACAAGATTGTATATTTAAAAAACCCCATCATCTCAGCCCAAAATCTCTTTAAGCTGGTAAGCAACTTCAGCAAAGTCTCAAGATACAAAATCAATGTGCAAAAATCACAAGCATTCCTGTACACCAATAACAGACAAAGAGAGAGCCAAATCATGAGTGAACTTCCAGTACAATTGCTACAAAGAGAATAAAATACCTAGGAATCCAACTTACAAGGGATGGGAAGGACCTCTTCAAGGAGAACTACAAACCACTGCTCAATCAAATAAAAGAGGACATAAACAAATGGAAGAACATTCCATGCTCATGGATAGGAAGAATTAATATTGTGAAAATGGCCATATTTCCCAAGGTAATTTATAGATTCAATGCCATCCCCATCAAGCTACCAACGACTTCCTTAACAGAATTGGAAAAAACTACTTTAAAGTTCATATGCAACCATGAAAACACCTGCATTGCCAAGACAATCCTAAGCCAAAAGAACAAAGCTGGAGGCATCACGCTACCTGACTTCAAACTATACTACAAGGTTACAGTAACCAAAACAGCATAGTACTTGTACCAAAACAGATATATAGACCAATGGAACAGAACAGAGGCCTCAGAAATAACAGCACACATCTACAACCATCTGATCTTTGACAAACCTGAGAAAAACAAGAAATGAAGGCAAGGATTCCCTATTTAATAAATGGTGCTGGGAAAACTGGCTAGCCATAGGTAGAAAGCTGAAACTGGATCCCTTCCTTACACTTTATACAAAAATTAATTCAAGATGGATTAAAGACTTAAATGTTAGACCTAAAACCATAAAAACCCTAGAAGAAAACCTAGGCATTACCATTCAGGACATAGGCATGGTCAAGCACTTCATGACTATGACACCAAAAGCAATGGCAACAAAAGCCAAAATAGACAAATGGGATCTAACTAAACTAAAGAGCTTCTGCACAGCAAAAGAAACTACCATCAGAGTGAACAGGCAACCTGCAGAATGAGAGAAAATTTTTGCAATCTACCCATCTGACAAAGGGCTAATATCTAGATTCTACACAGAACTTAAACAAATTTACAAGAAAAAAACAACCCCATCAAAAAGTGGGCAAAAGATATGAACAGAGACTTCTCAAAAGAAGACATTTATGTAGCCAACAGACACATGAAAAAATGCTCCTCACTGGTCATCAGAGAAATGCAAATCAAGACCACAATGAGATGCCATCTCACACCAGTTAGAATGGCGATCATTAAAAAGTCAGGAAACAACAGATGCTTGAGAGTATGTGGAGAAATAGGAATGCTTTTACACTGTTGGTGGGAGTATAAATTAGTTCAACCATTGTGAAAGACAGTGTGGCGATTCCTGAAGGATCTAGAACTAGAAATACCATTTGACCCTGTGATCCCAGTACTGGGTATATACCCAAAGGATTATAAATCATTCTATTATAAAGACACATGCACACATATGTTTATTGCAGCACTATTCACAATAGCAAAGATTTGGAACCAACTCAAATGTCCATCAATGATAGACTGGATTAAGAAAATGTGGCACATATATACCATGGAATATTATGCAGCCATAAAAAAGGATGAGTTCATGTCCTTTGCAGGGACATGGATGAAGCTGGAAACCATCATTCTCAGCAAACTAACACAAGGACAGAAAACCAAAAACCGCATATTCTCACTCATAGGTGGGAACTGAACAATGAGAACACTTGGACACAGGGCGGGGAACACAATGGGGTTTGTCAGGGGGTAGGGAGGTGGGAGAGGGATAACATTAGGAAAAACACCTAATGTAAATGACGAGTTGATAGGTGCAGCACACCAACATGGCACATGTATACCTATGTAACAAACCTGCACGTTGTGCACATGTACCCTAGAACTTAAAAGTATAATTTTAAAAATAAAGAAAATAAACAAGAAAAAGAAGAACAAGTTAAATCCAAAGCAAGCAGAAGGAAGGAAATAAAAGAAAAATAATGAAATTGAAAACATAGAGAAAAAAATTAATGATACCTACAACTAGTTAATTGAAAAAATAAAATTGACAGACCTCTAGTCAAACCAACCAATACAAAAAAGGAAGGAAGACACAAATTACAAATATCAATAAAGAAAAGGGATGTCAGGGTATGGTGGCTCATGCCTGTAATCCTAGCACTTTGGGAGGCCAAGGTGGGCAAATCATTTGAGGTCAGGAGTTCAAGATCAGCCTGACCAACAGGGTGTAATCCCGTCTCTTCTAAAAAAAACAAAAAAATTAGCCAGACATGGTGGCACACACCAGTAATCTCAGCTACTCAGGAGGCTGAGGCAGGAGAATCACTTCAACCCAAGAGACAGAGTTTGCAGTGAGCAGAGATCATGCCACTGTACTCCAGCCTGGGGGACAGAATGAGACTCTGTCTCAAAAAGAAAAAAAAAGAAAAAGTAGACATCACTATAGACTCTACAATCATTAAAAAGTATACTAAGAAAATACTGCAAGAAGACATTATATCAACCTATTTGACAACTTAAAAAATATACAAGTTCCTGGAAATACACAAGTACAAAAAAAAAATAACTCACTCAAGGATAAAGTAGTCCTATATCTGTTTTTAAAAATGTAATTCATTGTTGAAAACCTTCCAACAAAGAAAACACGAGAGTCAGACAGTTTCATGGGCTAATTCTACCAAATATCTTAGGAAGAAAAGAGAACAGTATTTCTCATGAAAATAGGCCTAATTCTTCTAATTCTTTAAAAAAAAAATAGAAAACTGAAGTAGGCAACATATCAAGAGGATAGTGTACCACAAACTAGTGAGGTTTAGCCTGGCAATACAAGACTGGCTTAACATTAAAAAATAAATAATATAATTAGCTATAAATCATTATTTCAAAGAAAAAATATCTAATCATCCCAACAGATGACAAAAAAAATCCGTGTGGCAAAATTCAACACACATCCATGATAAAAGACAACTACAAAGAAACACACACAAAAAATTGTTAAATCCTAAAGCTCATGTCATTATTAATGGCGTAAGATAATGTTTGACCATAAGATTAGGAATGACTCAAGAATGTCTGTTCTCACCACTCAGATTTAGCATCATATTGTAAATCATAGCCACTGCAATAAGAAAAAATAATAAAATAGTGTGTATAAAAAAGGAATAAGTAAAACTGTTGCTGTTCAGAGATGACATGATTGTTGTCAGGGGCCAAACTGTGTCTCCTCCAGAATTTATATGAAGTCTTAATCCCCAGTCTCTCAGAATGTGAGAATGTGACTGCATTTGGAAATAAGGTCTTTAAAGAGGTAATTAAATGAGATCATTAGATTAGGCCCTAATCCAATATAACTGGTATTCTTAGGAGAAAAGGAGATTAGGACATAGATACACACTGAGGAAAGATCACATGAAGATACAAGAAAATGGCCATCTCCAAGCCAGAGAGGCCTTAGAAGAAACCAATTCTGCCAATACCTTGATGTTGAACTTCTTTTCCTCTAGAATCATGAGAAAATGAATTTCTTTTTATGTAAGCCACCCCATCTGTGGTATTTTTTTATGGCAACCCTAACAAACTAATGCAATTGGCTATGTAGAAAGATGTCCTAAAACCAATACATAAATTTTAAAAGGTCACAGGATACAAGGTTCAATATAGAAAATTCAACTCTGCTTCTATTAGCCATGAACAACTGGAAATTAAAATTTTAGAGCAATATAATGCATAATAGCATCAAACCCCACAAAACATGTATACATAAACCTAACAAATTAGACGCTTATATGTTGAAAGCTATACAACTGATAAGAGAAATGAAAAACTCAAATATAGAGATACACCATGTTCATGAATTGGAAGATTTGATACTCTTAATATTACAATAGTCATCAAACTTATTCATAGATTTAGCATAATCCCAATCAAAATATCAGGTAATTCTATGTAGCAACTGACAAGCTAATTCAAAAATATATAGAAAGGCAGATAACTAAAATAGCCAAAACAATTCTGCAGAAGAACACATACTAATTAACTTCAAACATTACTGCAAAATCAGTGTGGTATTGGCAAAATAATAGGCACATTGCTCAATGCAGCAGAATAATCCAGAAATTTTTCACCCACACAAATATGGACAACTTAATTTTGATAAAGGTGCAAAGACAGTTCAATGGGAAAATAATAGCCTTTTCAAAAAATGGTGCCGGAACAATTGGTCCCTATATGCAAAAAAGTACTTCAACCCATATACAAAATTTAAAATGTATCACAGACCTAAAGTTAAAACCTAAAACTATAAAACTTCTGGAACAAATGTAGGAGAAATATTTGTGATCTTGAATTAGGCAATGTTTTTCAATATGACACTCAAATCATTATTCATAAAAGACAAAAATTCTTAAATTGAACTTCATTAAAACCAAAACTTTTGCTCTGTAAAGGATACTGTTAAGAGAACGAAAAGATAAGCCATGGACTGGGAGAAAATATTTGTAAATCACCTGACAAATGACTTATCCAGAATATAAGAGCCTTCCAAACTCAATAACAAAAAAATACGAAAAATGGGCAAAACATTTGAACAAATACTTCCATCAAAAAAGACAGGCAGATGGCAAATAAGTACATGGAAAAAAGCTCGACATCACTATTCATCAGAGAAACGCAAATTAAAACAAGATACGAATACATATCGTCTAAAAAGCAACATTTTTTAAAAAAAATCAACAATACCAAATGTTGGTGAAAACGCAGAACTGGAATATTCACACATTACAAGTGGGAATGAAAAATGGCACATTCATTTTAAAAACCAGTTCGTCAATTTTCTGTACAGTTAAAAATATATTACTATATAGCACAGTGATCCCATTTCTAGGTGTTTATCCAAGAAAAATGAAAACTGTGGTCACACCAAAATTTGTATGCAAGAGCTTATAGTGATTTATTCACAATCACTCAAAACTGAGAACAACCCTAATGAATGGAAAGACAAACAGTAGCACAACAGCAATAAAAAGGAACAAATTATTAATACATACATCATAGATAAATCTGAAATATATTAAGTGAAAAAAGCCAGGCTCAAAAAGCTATAAATAGTACTATTTCTCATTTATTTGACACTCTGAACAAGGCAAAACTATATGGATGGAGAACAGACAGATCATTGTTGACAGAGGTTGAAGTGGGAGGAAGGGTTAAGTAGGGTGAGCATGGAAAAATAATTTCAGACAATTGGTCTTCTCTGTATCTTGGTGGTGGTAGTGGTCACATGATTCCATTTATTTGTTAAAATTCTTAAACCTGTGCATCCAAAAGAGTGAAGTTTATTGTAAGTAAATTAAAAAGTGAATATAAAATTTAAAAACATTTTTAAAGTTAAATTTTCAGAGTTTTCCATTGCTCTCATAAGACAGGTAACAGAATTATTAGGATAACAACATGTGATCTCCACAATTATCTATGCCCTAAGAATGAGAAAAAGTATATTAAGACTCTTGGACATTTTGTTAATAATTTAAATAGGTTTTCTGTATTAAATTCTGACAGCAAGCCAAGTCTAGATTTTGCCACTAAATACTGTTCTTTCCTACCTTAAGACAATTTGGAAAGGCAGCTGGCAAATTCTAGAGCTGCAAGACTCCTGTGTTCTTATAAAAAGGCAATAATGAAAATAGAACTATAAAAGTCCTACTTTTTTTCAGAATGAAAGTTCTTTCTGCTTGTCTGTATTTATTCAAAATCTCTAAAGAATTGCTCAACTGTTAATTTTCTCTGTTCTCCTAATTAGTATCCTGTTTTAACAAAAACACCAAAATGGGAAATGGTGAATTCTGCTTGCCCTAAGGATGAATCCATTTCCTCTCTCCTTCCCCCCTTCCCGTGAAAAAGACAAAATGGAACAGTAGATTTGTAGGCCCCATGTATAAGCAGAAAAACACAGTCTTATTTTGATGGCTGAAGGAAAATCGCCTATGGTTAAGCAGTTTTTTTTCAAAACATTCAGCTGTTTAGATTCAACTAAATGAGTTCTGTAAATAGTGGCAGCCCCAGTGTTTATTATTACAATATGAGTGTTTACTATTGTGAATTATAATTGTCCTCTCATTTGAATAAAATAATTAAAAATTATCTCTATTGGGATAGCAAAATTAATTAGGATAATAAATGCAGTTGTGATTCTGGCTCTGATGTGTGCTGGTTCCATATTAGTTCAATATTGATCTGAAGAGTCTTAAACATGATGAGTGAATGCAAATCAGCATTGTTTGTACTACCTGAAAGTTGAAATTAGAAAGATTATTCTATTACATGAAGATGTAAGAAGGAAGACAGCAATTGCCTATTTTAGTATCTGATCATATAGCAATAGGAACATTGCACTATACAAGGCTTAATTTTTGACTATGAAGTTGCTTCTTAGGAGTAGTAGACCACATAATGCAACAGAAAATAAGCTATATTGTCAATATTTATTGAAACTTACATTTTCATGTTTAGACAAAATGATGGTGGTTGATCCAGCAAAACCTTGCCATAAGGCTATGAGTAGAGTCAAAACACACACACACACACACACACACACACACACACACACACACACAGGTAAAATATAGGATTCCATTCTTGCAAAGTTAATGAAATATGAGATTGATCCAAGTCCATCCGGTCTAGCTACAGCCTGGCACCCTGGCGTCATTTTCCTGTTACAATTTAAATATCAAGAGAACTTTAAAAAAACAAGAATTCCAGGGATATGATTGTTGGGGGACAAAGAAGGGTCAATTTCACCAGCCTGAACCAAAGAGGATGGGTCAGGAGGCTACTTGGAGAACACTGGGAACAAATGTCTCTAATTTCTACTCTGCTGCTTTTGAGGAAGGGAATTACCTGGTAGTTGAAGTTTCCTCACAGGGCCCACACTCCTGTCTACATTTCCCGAGGCTCACCACTACCACCACCACGATTTTTTTTTTTTTTTTTTTTTTTGAGACGGAGTCTCGCTCTGTCGGCCAGGCTGGAGTGCAGTGGCGCGATCTCGGCTCACTGCAAACTCCGCCTCCCGGGTTCATGCCATTCTCCTGCCTCAGCCTCCCCAGCAGCTGGGACTACAGGCGCCTGCCACCATGCCTGGCTACCACCACCACGACTTCTGCTGCCACCAAAGGATGATAACTTTAGCTTACCACTCACCCCCGCTACCTGGCTGTTTAATATCAGGGGCTGGGCAGAGGATGGGGGTAGGAGGCAATTGCCAAATGTTTATGATACTCAAATTCACATTATTGTTGTGTTGTCCTATATTTGAAAGACTGACAGAATGCAAGCTTTTTTTGAGAAAGACAGATAATCTGATAAGGAAAGTATAGGACCTATTGCAGATATCTTAAACTTCCATGTAAGAATGCTAAATTTTATTTCTTTACTATATTTTTAACAAATTACTAAATAAAATATGCAGTAATTATGATCTTCCACCTAATTGATGCTACAAACACTGCACAAGTATCCACCAAACACAAACTGAAACACTGATGCACACACTCCCCTTAAAAAGCAACTGCTTTAGAATGAAGTTTGAATGCCAATATTTGGTCACGGAAGTGGGTAACATTCAAAATGTCGTATTTCCCTTTCCATTGTATACATATCCTTAGTGATTAAATCATTCAACAAATTCTCAGTGACCACCCACCATGCACCAAGCACTGAACTAAACACTAGAGAGGAGTTCAAAATCTATCAGAAGAGAAGATCCTCGACAAATAATTACACACGCGTCTTACTGAGTTATAGTTGTGACCATCCTAAAGCACAGTGTGTAATGCACTTTGGCTTTCATCCCATCACATGAAAGTGGATTTTTTTTCTTACGTACGGTCAGTCTAGACCCATAAAGCACGGGCAGGGGAAAAAACTCTATGGCTTCAGATATTTCGCCAACAACTGTCTTATAAAAGCATAAATGTCCCATGGGTTCAACAGTAAGCATTTGAACTTTTGCTCAAGGCTCCCTTTTATTTAAGAGCAGACTGCTTCTGTTGAGTGACTATGGCAGGGATATGAGAACAAACCCTCTAGCTCTTATGGACTCCTTCTAGGCTTATTCTTGGAAATGTCTCTCTCTGCCCCTTATTAAGTAGAGATGCAGTCTTCCGTCCCAAATAACAGGATTGGAGTAATACATTTCTAAGGTTTACTCTTATGATCTAGTTTGAGAGTTCATCTAACCCCTAGATTGAGAACTAAGAAACTCCCCCCCAAAAAAATAGTCTGGCATCTGAGAGTTCATTTGAGTTTCTGAAAGTGTGCCTATTGCCCAGAGCCCCTAAGTGTATCTATAGAATATCAATATAGCCATTAAACCCAAGAGCTAAAAGTGCCACATAGCAACATGGAAGAGGAGTCCTCCTAGAAAATATAAACTAGGTCTTCTTTAAATAACTCCCTGAATTTTGCAAATAAGGCTTTCTGAACTCCAGAACTTTTTGTCAGTGGCTATCTCAATTTTTCTTTCTTTTCCTTCAGGCATATCAACACATTGAGAGAGTGTTACGGTCAACATTTCTGTTAACCAAGCCAGAAGCTGCAATTCAGAAAAACATACCTAACTAAAAGATACTGCATTTTTACATAATTACTTAAGGGTTTTGTAATGGTATACGTTTTATGATTTCCATCTTACAGATTTATATTGCTACATGGTGTGTCATTTTGAATTATTGTTAGCTTAATAAAACCACAAGACCAGGTTTAAGTGGAAGGTTTATGAAAAGTGTTTATGACAGGATCAGTCAGGCTTCAGGCAGGATTAAACTTAAACTTTTTATGGTTTGGGATTGAATTGCTTAATGAACCAATCAGCACTTTATTTTCTGCCTTCAGCTACACATTTTTTTAAATGATGCTCTACTATTAATCATCAGTTTAGACTCTCATAGTTACTAAATATGAAAGTACTTATGAATCCTAATCCCCCACGAAGGAAGGCCGTATATACTGTGTGTCTCAGGGGAAAAAGATGTGAGAAAAACATCAGCCTAACTCTTCAAGCATGTTCATGGGGATTAGAAGAATTGTTTTCTCTATGATAAATTTTAGGACCAAAAACTCAAGTTTGCTCATAAGAATGTTCATATCCCCAAAGATAAAACTTGAGCTGCTACTTGCTTTCTTTAAGGTAAATCAAAAGCAATTAGCAGGATATTCCCTAATCAGCACTTTTGGAAATATATTGATTGTTTCTGGTAACTAAAGTTCTCAAATGGTAGAGAGGAATAAAACTTTATTACAAGTATTTGAGGGCCTCATAACAAAGAATCTTTTTAAAGGTACCTACCATACTAAGGAACTTAACTAATCTCTAGAATCCAAAGGAGAGCATAAGAGTAGTTTTTAAAGATCTTTTAAATAATAATACATAAGATATGGCAGAACTATAATGTGCCTTCTCATTACATGGATTCAGATAAACAACAGGATAAATAATGTTCCTTAAAGTAAGTAAGCTGCCTACTGTAAAAGGGTTTCACAGCAAAACCATCTTATATGAAAGTACGTGAAACCTATCTGACATCAGTTGTATTCGGTCAGTGCAAAAGTAATTGTGGTTTTTGCCATTACTTTCAATAGCAAAAGCCACGATTACTTTTGTACCAACCTAATATAAAGCATTCCTTAAATATTTTAATATGATGTATGTGAAAATTATCAAAATTTAAAGTGTTATTTTGTAAATATTAAATCAACATCTTACAATTGATGGAATGCTGTTATACTTTTAGAGAATTTTCCTTTTCTCAGTGGCTTCACTATATCATATATTTTTATCTTCATGAAAAGATGATGAGGGAATTAAAGCTCAACAAGGTTAAGTGACCTCATTCAAGGCTCCAAAGGTAGTAAATGCAGAGCTGAGACTTAAGCATATTATCTTTGGACTAAAAATTCTTAGGAATTTTCTACTACATTCAGTATCTTGTATTGTTTAGAGCTTATAGCCTTGTTACTTAGGTTTTGCCTAGCCTCAGTTGCTAATAAATGAGTATGTTTTATCTCTCTGGATGCCTATGTGAGAAAGAGAACCCTGGGATTTGGAGGAAAAACTTATACAAAGTAAGATCCTATTACTACTTTACTACTCATGGGAAAATCACTTTGCCTTTCCAAACTTTTATTTTATTTTATTTTATTTTATTATTTTTTGGAGACAGAGTCTTGCTCTGTCGCCCAGGCTGGAGTGCAGTGTGATCTCAGCTCACTGCAACCTCCAACTCCTGGGTTCAAGCAATTCTCCTGCCTCAGCCTCCCGAGCAGCTGGGATTACAGGCATGTGTCACCATGCCCAGCTAATTTTTATATTTTTAGTAGAGATGGGGTTTCACCATGTTGGCCAGGCTGGCCTTGAACTCCTGACCTCAGGTGATCCACCTTTCCAAACATATATATATATATAAATGTCATATATGCAGAATGTATGCTATGACTGGTTAGCAAGAGAAGAGCGGTCTGGAAAGTTAATAAATGATTGACTTGATTCTTTTGGGGAACTATAAATAAAAATAGAATTTCCTCCCCACCTAGATGAATATATATATATTCATCTATGAAATGAAATAAATTCATAAAATTTGCTATGAGTCAAATCAGATAATAAATGTTAAAGATGGTAGCAAAATGCTAGAAATATTACACTTATATTCTTTGTACCTAATTCATCTCCACTTCCTCAAATGCATTTAACATCATGCTTTGTTTGCAACTGGTACTCAATAAATTATTTATAATTGGTACTGAATCTTCTAAGTAAGCCAGAGTTTCCACACACAAAAGCATCTGAGCTACTTAATACATATAAACAACTCGGTATTTTTAATAATGGTTGATTTCAATTACCATTTTGCTGTTTGTATGTGTAAAGGTACTGACTACCATTTTACTGTTTTGAGTCAAAATATACCGACTATAGTAACATAAATGAGGTAAGAAGCTCCTCATTTATTTAACATGCACTAAGAGGTTGAAGAGAAAACCTGGGCTGTTCAGAGACTTAAACAATTTTCTCTATGGGAGCATTTTTTAAAGCCCCGAAAGAAGAACACCAAAATAGGAATTCAAGGTATAAAACCATGAGACAAAACATGAATTTGAGAGGGGTCAAAAAGCTGAGGAGCCAAAAAAATGTATAATATCCACAGCAGAAGTAAACATTTAAGGGTTTACTTTGTACCAGGCAATCTGCTAAGCCAGTTTCAATCATGATCTGATTTAAAGCTCACATAATCCCTGTAGAATAAGTACTATTATGATGATTGCCATTCCACAGCTGATGCTTCCAGAGGTAAAACGATTTGCTGATGGGCACACAGCTAGAGGGGGCAGAGTTTATACCAAACCCATTCTATCTATCTTGCACTAGAGAAGACAGTTTCCTTCCATTTGCTTAAATATTTTCTGCCCCTTGCTGTCCCCATCCCTCTCTCTCTAGTCCTCTACTTCTCTGACCCTAGATTCCTAAGATATTCTAGCTTTACAGTTTCTTCAACCTATCCTTTTCTTTAGAAATTGTTTTAATTACTGTATCCTAATCCAACATTATCAACATTATTCAGACCTTTTGGTCTCATGCAGTTAAGGGATGAGTAGAGTGTTAGAGAAATAAAAAGGCAGTTGTCCCTGCCCCAGTCTAGATAAATATCCTCATTTCACCACGATTTAAGAGAAAAGTACATGACAACTCATTATTCATTCATGAACTGAATAACTAAGCTCCATTTATCCAATTACACTGTTAGCCAGATACAGACCCATTTAGATTGCTGGGAAAGCCTGCACAGACACACCCACTACCCACACCTGCACTTAGTTTCTCAAACATGCAACTTCTTCTTTCTCAAGACCCTTGACTCTACTGGAAACTTTTCTCTTCAAAGTCTTGGCCTCGTTTTAAATATTACAACCTCAGAAAGGTGTTCCTTGACAGTGTCATCTAAAGAATTTCCCAATGATTTTCTCTCTCAGCCCAATGCTCTCATTATAAACTTTCATGATTTGTAACTGCTTCCAATATTTACTTCTTCACTTGTTAGTGTTCCATACGAGATTCTGAAGGACTAAAAAGTTTCCATTCAAAATGCTGTATAACCTCCACTTAGTTCCAAAACCGTTTCATCACCTCAAAGTTACTCTTACCAGTTAAGCAGTTTCTCTGCATTCTTCCTTTCTCCTAGCCCCTGACAAACACCAATATGCATTGTCTCTACAGAATGATCTATTATGGACATTTCATATAAATAGAGTCATACAATATCTGACTTTTTGCATCTACCTGCTTCCACTTAGCATCAAGTTCTGGGGGTTCATTCACCTTGTAGCACATATCAGTACTTCATTTTATGGCTAAATAATATTCCATTGTATGTATGTTCCACAATTTATCCATTTATTCATTAATGGACATTTGTGCTTTTTCCACCTTTTGGCTATTGTGAATAGTTATGTTTTTTTTTAATAATATGTTAGAAATACATATTGAAGTGTTTCCAGATTAAATGATACACCTAAATTTTGTATTAAAACACCACAGCCAAAAAACAAAAATAAAAGTGGATATAGATGAAATAAGATTGGAGAAATCTTGATAATTGCTGAAGCTGGAAGATAAGTAAAGGGGTGTTATACTATTGTCTCTACTTTTATATATAGAAACTGAAGATCTGAATTAGGATGTTTCATTTTTATAAGATTAATAATATATTCTCTAGCATATAATATATTCTGTATATTCTCTCTAATCTTCATTCACTCTCAAAAAATGTCATATATGCAGAATGTATGCTATGACTGGTTAGCAAGAGAAGAGTGGTCTGGAAAGTTAATAAATGATTGACTTGATTCTTTTGGGGAGCTATAAATAAAAATAGAATTTCCTCCCCACCTAGAAAACTTCTCCACAAAGGTAGAAAAGAAAAAAGATAATTTTATTATTGAATAATCATTAAACTAGATCGTGATGCCCATCACAGGCAATCTGCCAAGAGAATGCAAAGACAAAGAAATCTCACCCTTTTATATAGTCAAGCAGACTAGACCCATTACATACTTGTTCTCAAGGTAATAACTAGTCTTCAGCTAAGAGGAGTTGACAGCATTGTTTGTCACATACAGTTTGTTCTAAATTCAGTAGATAGTTGACATAACCTTCTGTGTTAGCTAGTTGGCTTTATCCATAAACTTTTTACAGCTTTATGACAAAAGGTAGTTCTGAAATTTAGAGAGAGAGAGGGGCTCACCAAAGTTAAGGTCCTACCTCCCCCCAGAAACTGGGAGACAGGGGCATTATCTTCCTTGATCATATCTCAAAGAGATGGTTCTTGTATCCTTGAGAAAGACATTCCTTGTTCATAAGCTGGCTAGAGTTGTATTTAGGTTTTTAAAAGTTTTACATATGTTTCAGAGACAGAGAAAGATGTTACAATTTTTTTGAAGGAAATGTTCTAAGAAAAGAAAACAAGAGTCTCTTATATTCACCAGGGAGAATTAAGCATCTTGTCATTTTGTATTTACCACCATAAGCCTTTGTAGCGGAAAAAAAAACATAGGAACAGATGACCTCATTATAAATTACCACTACACTGTTTTGTTTCCAAAATCTGTGTGATATCAGCTTATTTTAATGGAATATATTCAAGAGTCAGGAATAAATCTGTAGTTTGGGTGACATGCACATTGTGGGGGTTAATCCTCAGTGTTAACTTGACTGGATTGAAGGATGCAAAGTATTGATCCTGGGTGTGTCTGTGAGGGTGTTGCCAAAGGAGATTAACATTTGACTCAGTGGCCTGGGACAAGCAGACCCACCATTAATCTAGGTGGGCACCATCTAATCAGCTGCCAGTGTGGCGAAAATATAAAGCAGACAGAAAAACCTGAAAAGACTAGACTGGCCTAGCCTACCAGCCTACATCTTTCTCCCGTGCTGGATGCTTCTTGCCCTCAAATATTGGACTCCAAGTTCTTCAGTTTTTGGAGTTGGACTGGCTTATCCTTGCTCCTCAGTTTGCAGATGACCTATTGTGAGACATTGTGATCGTGTGAGTTAATACTTAACAAGCTTCCCTTTATCTGCACTCCAGCCTGGCAGCAGAGTGAGGCTGTCTCAAAATAAATAAACAAACAAACTTCCATATATCTATTACATATTCTATTAGTTCTGTCCCTCTAGAGAACCCTGACTAATACACACATTAAAAAGTCCACTAAGGCAAACCTTCTCAAACTTTAATGCACATTTGAGTCACCTGGAGATCTTGTTAAAACAGATTCTGGCTCTTTAGTCTGGGGCGGAGCCTGAGATTCTGTACTTCTAACAAGCTCCTAGGCAAGGCCCACACGGCTGATCCACTACCACACACTGAGCATCCAGGCTCTATCTCAGTTACTTTCAAAGTTTAGTCCCCAAATCAGCAGCATCAGCAATATCAGGGAACTTGTTTAAAATGCAAATTCCTGGGCCTGCCTTTAGGCTATTGAATTAGAAGCTATTTTAACTTTTAATAAATCCTCCTGGTATTCTGATGCATGCTAAAATGTGATAACCCCTGCTATACGTTAATGGTCTCAAATTTTAGATGCACTTTGAAATCACCTCAGAAATTTCCAAAGACATACTGATGCCTGTGTTGACCACCTCCATTATGATTCCATTGGCACAAGGCAAAACCTAGCCATCAGTAGACTTAAAATCTCCCCCAAGCAATTCTAATATGCAGCAGTTTGAGGACCCCTGAACTAGAATGTAAGCTCCACACAAGCAGGAATTTGGTCATTGCTGAATCCCAAGTGCCTAGAAAAATGTCAGGCACTAGTTGACATCCCATAAATATTTATTTAATGAATGAATAAATAAGAGAATGAGAAGAAAAACAAACCCCTCAGTTACTCTAAAAACAGTTGCATGATGATATTACAGAAGAAATATCATATTTGTCATCTTTCTCTCTTATGGGAAATCTGTTTTCAGCTCAGAATACAATGTGGACATAACTGTTCCCACCAAAATATATTTGAAATACCCCTCATCATCACAGCAATTTCTCGGGGCAAGAAAATACAGAATCAAAGCTGGCAGATCTTAAAAAAAAGAGAACTAAAACTAAATACAGCTATTAAATATAATAAAATGAATAAACAAAGCATGAAATTGGCAAGTTATAGAGAGTATAGAAGGAAATGTATAGAAGTATAGAAGGAAATGTAATGTTATATAAACGAATAAAGGCTTAAGACCTGCAACTTTGAATAGTTGCATTGGCACAGAAGGACAGGACTATAGACCAAAGCAAGATAGAAAGTATCTTTTGGCCACCCTAATTAAAAGTTCCTAAGTGGAAAAAAAATTGCTGTGAAAACCCATGGCACAGTATTCATAGTTGTTGTAAGTAAGCATGTATTGAGTTAGTGTATAGCAAAATGTAATTCTATAGGGAAGATTTAATCATACTACCTCTCTGGATAGAATATTACTGTAACTTTAACTTTTCATTGTATTATATGAAAAGAATATACATCCATTTTTGTTGGCTTACAAAATAAAACAAAGCAGGCAAGGGATATGCATACTTTAGGACACAGTCATTTGTTGCTGTCAAATTTCTCCATGCAAACTCATCACTCTTCATGTTCTCCAGTCATATCACCTCAGAAGCATAAACACTGAATTAAAAGAACTCGCCTCTGAAGTCACAGTTTCTCAGAAAGTGTCTAGTTCGATATTTAAACCAGCAAGGGGTTAACAGAAGACTGACTCCACAATCCCATAATATTTACAGGAATAAAGCTGGCCTAAATATAGGGAATGAGCTGCTGAGGCCCAGAAATTAGGCCCAGGAAGTTAATCCCAGAGAAATCAGTGCACTGGGAAGGAAATGAGAAATAGGGATTCATTTTCTGGAAAAAGAGCTTAATATGGGGCATTGTGATATAGAAAAATAAAAGCCAATGTCCAGGTTTTAGGATTAAGGTAAAAAAAATACAGTAAAATAAGCCAAAAGGATAAAAATGCTGAGTTACTACACTTGAATTTCTTGAATTTCTCCTTATTAAGAGCTCTATTGTTCACAGGGCTGGAGGATGTAGAGATTGAATTTTCCATTTAAAGGTAAGAGGTCACAGCTGTGAGGTCCATGTAGGACCAAGAAGCCACAGGACACATTGTTGAGTTTTTTGCAGCTTTGGAGTAATATAAAATGGTCAAAAAAGGTCCAAAGGATCTTTACAAGAAAATTAAATGTAACAAAATTAGAGGCTGTAAAATGGTTCACTGTAAATATGTTAGAATTCCTTATACACAGAGGTAATATCATATATTTTATTTATGATGCAATATTAGAAAAATCCAAAAACCAACATAATAACTTTTAGGGCTTTTCAACTAGGAAATTCCCAGAAAACAGAGAAACATTTATTACATTTATTTTTTTCCATTCATTGTTTAGTTTTTGAAATGAATTTTTCTGTTTAACTTATCTCCTTTGCAACTCAATATACAAAGATAAAATGTAAGAAGTCACAATTCCTGCAATATCTTATCAAAAATACCTTAAAGAAAATACAAGCTCTGTGATTCAGAAATGAGATTCAAGTCCCGAAGTTCTGTAGAAAAAAGTAGGGCCAGACAAGAACACTTTCCCAATCAGCAGCTATATTTGGTGTTTAAGTGTCCAAACCAGATTAAAAAGGAATAGAATGGATTTCCAAGACAGGCAGGCAGGAAGGAAGGTCTGAGGTTTCATTGTAGGAAAGAGGCTTTCTACACTTAGCCGGACTATGTGCACCCTGCTTAGAGCAGGCAGACCCATGCAGGGAGGACTAGAGTCCAGTGAACAGTATCAAATCATTGAGTGCAGCAAAGGCAAGTTGCTTGGTGGTCTGCAGAGCTCCAACAGTTACAACAGTAACTCAGTCAAATAGTAAAACTTGAAAGAATGGAATATTTACATTCTTCTTAGAAAAAAGAACACAAATTCATTATTCAGAGATGTAGTCCAACAGTGTATTTGATAAACTCCAGAAAGAACATGATATGGGCATATATACCCATTCTGCCCCAGGTCTCACTGACTCCTCCCTTCTCCCCACTCTCAACCTCCCATCCCCAGAAACAAACTTAAATATAAAAATAGGATAAAGGGTATGTCAACTCTAAACTCCAGAGAAGAATGTGTTTATATGTCACAAAACTTTTCAATGATTCTACTGAAGAAGTTTCAGATACACCAACAGAAAGTTGAAACTTGTTGCAGACACCATGTGCCCACCTACTGTTACGTAATTCTCTTCTTCACCCTCACCTACAGACTCTAGATGGTGGTGTACTCAGCTCAAAAATGAACAATGATAAAACCCTTATATATTTCCCAGATACCCTCTCTTGTAGTCAAGAGAAGCAACATTACCCATTCTGGCCAACAGATTGAAGCAAAAGCCTACTGGAAATTTCTGGAAAATTCTTGCTTTCCTGACAGGGCCTCTACTCCCTCCTCCTTGACTCCATCCTCTCTGGCCTGAAGTATATTTTTGTGACTGCAGTGGACCCAGCCCTAAGATCCTTGAGTGGCACATACTACAGAGCATTTACGAGATATTAGTTCATATTTTTATTGCTAAGAAAATATAGGGAGAAAGCTTAATAACACTGGATTTGGTAATGATCTCCTGGACATCACACCAAAAGCACAGACAACAAAAGAAAAAAATAGATGAATTACACTTTATCAAGGTTAAAAACATTTGTGCAAAGGACACGATCAACCGAGTAGAAAGGCAACCCACAGAATGGGAGAGAATATTTCCAAGTCATATATTTGATGAAGGATAAATATCCAGAATATGCAAAGAAATCCTACAACTCAACAAAACAACAACAAAAACTAATTTAAAGACAAACAAAGCACTTGAATAAACATTTCTCCAAACAAGATATACGAATGGCCAATAAGCACATGAAAAGATGCTCAGCATCACTAATCATTAGGAAATGCAAATCAAAACCTCAATGAGACACCACTTCACATATTACATAACAAGAGTTGGCAAAATGCGGAGAAATTGAAACCCTCGTACATGGCTGGTGGGAATGTAAAATTGTGAAAAACAGCACGGTGGGGAGGTTCCTCAAAAAAATAAATATATAATTACCACATGATCTGCCAATTTACTTTTTTTATATAGTCCAAAGAATATTTAACTGAGAATGAGTCCCTCCAAAGGGACTCAAACAGATATTTATACACCAATGTTCATAGAAGCATTATTCACAATAGCCAAAATGTGAAATAACCAAAATGTCCATGGATGGATGAATGAATAAACCAAATGTTCTACACATACAACATCTGTATATACAACAATGGTATATACATACAATATGATATTATTCAGCCTTATAAAGGATAGAATTCTGCTACATGATACAATACAGATGAAACCTAAAGATATGCTATGTGAAATAAGCCAGACAGAAAATAGGACAAATATTATGATTCTACTTATATGAGGTACTTAAAATAGTCAAATTCATTGAGACAGAAAAAAGAATAGTGGTTACTAGGGGCTGGGGGGCTGGGGGAAGGAGAAGTTACTGTTTAATGGATACAGAGTTTCAGTTTGGGATAAGGAAACAGTTCTGGATGGACCGTTGTGAGGGATGCACAACAAGGTGAATACACTTAATGCCACTAATATGTGCTAATATGTGCAATTTAAAGAGGGTTAAAATTATAAATTTTGTGTTATGCCTACTTTACCACAACAAAAAATAATTTTGATTGTCTGTACTAGACCTTAGTAGGACACATTGTAATGTCCCAAATTTTATTCCTACTTACGCTTTAATTTTGTCCTGGGCCGGCTGAGGTATGCTAGCATCTTAGATTCATTTCGCTTAAATACAGGCTCTTAAGTGTTACTGGACACCAAGTAGTCTCATATTAACTCTGAGTTTGTTCATTGCATAGGTTTTTTTTCTGGCTTTGCACTTCAGAAACCAATATTTCATTTAACCCTGGGTAGATTATATTGATAAATAAGGAATGAATATTTGAAAAAGAATATATCACCTGTTGAGGGTGAATAAAAAATTCAAAAGCCCAAAAATGCAATTAAAAATGGTAGTTCTTGGACCTCAAAAGCTCTGTTGCTTTGGAGTCATATCAGCTAAGAAACCAAAGAGGAACTGGACTGATGTAAAACTGGGCTTTAGTCTTGCTATCATAACAGGAACACTGGTAAAATAAAAAGAAAAAAAACAGGAGGAGAGAGATTGGTTGGAAAAAAATAGATTTCCTTAAAGGAAAGAAAGTCTAAACAGAAGCTAAAGGGAAAATGAGATGCTGAAGGCAACAGGCAGCGATAAAGGGTAAAGAAGATGTACCAGTCATAACCATTTTGAGAGTGGCCATCAGAGAAGAGGACGGATGCTTTAGTTGCTTTCAGATCAGAAATGATGAGTAGGGCTCCAAAGCCATGTATCAGGGGATGAGCAGTAGGACCTCAGCAAACAGATGATCAGTTGCACACCCTCCTCCAGGTTTGTGAAAGCTAAAGAACAGATTGCATAAAATATAAACAGATTTGAAAGGAGAACACTGAAAAGATGACTGTATAATTTTCAAAGAATTATTGGATGGGTTTTCAGATGACAGTCTGTTCTCTTAGAGAATATGCATGCTCAGGAATTAGAAATATAATAAAAGGCACAAAAAATAGAAGACATTAAAGGAGAGCCAGGCAGGACAAGCCTGACATAGATATTTGTCTGATGGGAGACTATCTTTTAGGTGGGATTATCTAACTCAGAATGGTGAGAGTGGACAAGTTTGCTAAAACAATCATCACATTTAGCAGGCATAGAATCTTTTAATTTCATCTCTCTCACAATGGAAGACCCCCAAAACCAAAATTTAAAATTTTGCAAAATAAATGCCTAGGCCAAAAAGCAAAAGGGAATGTAAAGGAAAGACAATACACAGATGCAGTGAAGAATGTTCACCCTATATAAACTAAAGAAAAGGGATCAGCCTAGAGAGAATAATAAAAGGGAGGAGCATGGAAGAACTGAGGGAAACCAAATAAAGAACTGAGGGAAACCCAAAACCCACTACTTGAGAAAAAGATATGGGAGAAAGAAATGCCATTCAAGTCTGGAACTTCTAAAAGCCGAGGAAAGGCAGTGCAGCCTCCAGGAGACCATGACACAGGTCTTGGCTCTCACCAGGCTCCTCCGGGCACAGGCTTCAGAGCACCAACAGAGCTACATTTGTGGAATCAGCTGAGGATAATTCTCCAGCTTGAATAAATGTGTAGACCAGGGGAAAGTATCTCCTAGAAAACGGGTTACCCAAACCACAGCAATTCTACCAGAAGCAGTGGTCTCAGGCAAATGACCCAGTACTCAAAATGCCTGTTCACAAGAGAATGTGGGAGCAATGTCATTGCACTCAGTGTAGAACTAGAACACTAGAATCCCAGCATTTAGAAGGAAAATAGAAATTAAGAAACTTTTAATATGCCGAAAAGGTTTCTGTAATAACACCAATGACAGTGGCTGTGACTATTCTAAATTTCTATTATAAGAAAAAGGTCTCCAATAAGAGATGACAACAAGCAAAAACAGATCCCTCTCCTGCAAGAGCCCACCTCCCCTGACAAATATGGAAGCCAGTGCTATAGTTAATTCCCTAAACTGACATACCAGCAGAGAACCACACACGGCCACACACAAACACATACACACTGCTTGGGTTTACGTTCATACATTGTGGAGTATTTAAAGCTGACACAAACTGACTCAGGGGAAACCAGATTTTTCTCTACCTGTCCACTTTCTCTTAGGTACCAATGAGTTTCAATAATAAAATAGGTTTGAGCCATAGTAGGAGCTGTGTTTTTCTGAGACTAGATATTTTGTTTTCCAAATTTTATGGGAGGAGAGGGGCATTGTCATATAAGGTGGGTAACTTCTGGGTCTCCACCTATCATGAACCAGGGTCCCAGACAAATTCCCTATCATGTGAATTTAGAAACAGATGAATAATAAAGGAGATACTAACATAGACCAAGAACCAAGAGGAACACAGAAGGTTTGGGCCCTCAACTTCCCATCACCACATGGGGAGGCACAACAGGAATTGGGCCTATAATGTAACTCTGCATTCCAGTGGAGGAACTCTTCTCCCTTCCCTGCCACCCCATGAGTCTTCCCCCCTTGCCAGTGGGAGAATACAGAGGCTGCTTGGTATCAACCAGTCTGGATCCGTGGACCCAGTTGCTTATAGAAGTCCACTGGAAATACCTAACACCCAGCAGCTACAGGCCTTGAGCCCTCATCAGGGGTGAGACAATGTTGACCCATGGGAAGCCAAGTTGTGTGTAGACCCTCTCACAGAAAGTAGATTCTAGAATTTTTGTTCATTGCACTGCACAGATATGATCATCTTATAGCTCCAGAGTATCTATGATTTTTTAAAAAGACAGAAGAGAATGATTCTTCTTCTGAAGTTCTGAAACAGCTACATGCAATCAAATGGAAGATAGTCTGGTCTAAAGCTGCTAAAAGAACTTCACAACTTCCCAGCCATCTCAAATGTCTCGGCTAAGATTCATCAAGAAATAAGAAACTGAGAGCATGAAACTTTAATTTCTTTGGAATTTTAGCCCACATAAACAAGAAAATTTTATTTTCTATTTTAATTCCTTCAGATTTAACTTCTTTGGACTTTAATTTGCAGCTTTTCTGGTACCTTATAGAATTTAACTCTTTTCTGTTTCTTTCTATGAATATCTGAGCAAGCCTTAGGCAAGCACTTAGCCATTGATTTAGAAACATTTTCATCAAAAATGTTTTAGCATTTATAATAGAATCCAAAATGTCTTCAGAAGTAACAAAGTTTTCGCACTTTCTGAAACTCAAAGATATAGAGACCAAAAGAGAACTTTGAGATGATTAAACTTAAGCTCTGTATTTATGAATTCCCTCAGCTCCTTTTACTAAAAGACTTGCTAGCTATGTCATAACTATCAGTAGTAGTTCTACCATGTATCAATTAGGCAGGAAGAAGAGAAGTGTAGGCCAGAGGAAAAAGAAAAATTGGTAAAATATTTAGGTTACCTTAATGCAGCTAAATTCCCCAAGTATCAAAATGTCTTATCTCCAAATCAGCACTAGAAAAGAATAATGTACAGATTTTCTAAACAGTTTTGATTATATTGCAAAGTAAAATGTGACTTTTAAATAAAATTATTCACTACTTCTCTTTTTTCAATTAATATAGGTAACACCCATTAAAATTGCACTTAATTGTGTAAGAAATGTATGTAAACTCAACTAAATGTGCCCATGCATATATGCGTATGTATGTGTGTATACATACTATTCATTCAGGAGACTAGACATATACTAATGTTTTCACAAGTAGATGGAACAGCCATAAAAAATTTGATACGTTAAAAAAAGCACTTTGTAATCCCTTCTAAGAATATACAGAAGCCTTGTAATTGATTATGATCACTCATATTTAAGGATTCATTTTAAGTTCTCAGTGTGATTATAGTAATAATTGAATTTTTTCTTCTGCAGCATAACCAAAAACATACTTAGACTTAGATCTCATAGATTTAATTAAATTGATAAGCAAGATATTGTATTCTCATTAATAGGAAATGCCAATGCTCTGTTAGACTTTCTCATAAAAAGTAGTCTTGTCTTTGTTTTCCATTTTTAAATAACAATATGAGGAACAAAGAAATCATCTAACACATTTTCACTGAGAGGTTTGGTAAAAGACTAGAACTGTCAGAAACTATTACCACAAATGGAGCCTGGCATTTCAAAGAAAGAAAAAGGTTTAATTTGATTTCAAAAGATAAATTGAAATAGAAACCATGGAGATGGAAACCTTGTAATCCTACTGAGACACAGAAAAGGCTTTTTATAGTAATTATTTTCATTTTTAATGTACTGCATTTTGAAGGAAAATCATTATCCATACACCTAGCAAATGTGAGAAAAGGGGAACCAGTATTCAACTATGAAAGATGATAGAGAAATTCACACGAACTATTTCAATAACTGGAAAAAAATGCTTTCTTTGATGTCTCTGAAAATGTAATTCTAAAGAGTCAGTTTTACTTTAAATTTTTAAAAATTCTAGGATCATAATAGACATAAATGCTTACATAAATTCCTCCAAGACTTTCTTCCTTTCCTCTATATTTCTTGGGGACACTCCTGGGGAATTTTTTCCTTAAAAGCAGCTGACTTCACTGGGATACTAGAAACAGTCACAGTCAAAAGTCAGAGTTATTCTCTGGCCTGGTTGCTCCGTTAACTTGAAAAGGAGAATTACGTTAAGTGAAGTTTTACACTGTCCTTTTTGCCAGTCAACTTTGGAAGAGGTAGGTCTGGAGAAAAGAATATCAGAAGAAATATTTTGTTCAAAAGAAGCATGAGGATGACAACACAAGTAGGGTATTTGCAAGGGAGCAGAAAGATGATTTCATCTGTGACTCTAACATCACCATGGAAGTATTGAGGTTTTCCTAAATCAGAGGTATATTATCTTTTTAAATTCCCAAAACACCAATTTTTGAGACACAATTAAAAGGGAACTAAAAGACACCCTATAATCTAGACACAGGAAAGTACATGAAGCTGAAAATCGTACTAATTGTTTACAATATTTGTCTTTAGAAACCAAATATTCAAACATATTTAATATTTTTCTTCTTCTGATTACCTAGAATGAGAGATAACACAGCAAGTAGAGAATCATAGATAGGAGAACATCCTGATATTTTATTGCATAGGAGAATGTGAGCAAATCACTTATTTTAAGAAGGCAGGGACATGGTTACATCAGTCATACCCTGTGCCATATTATATCAAGTCTATATATCAAGTCCTAAAGTGAAAAAATGTAATGATATCTACATTTTGTTGTGATTGAAATGGCTAACCAGTAAAATGCAGGAAGCACAACGTCCAGGAAAATCTTAGAGGTACTTGAACAAGAAACACACAGTCATTGAGGAAGCGTGCAGAAGCTCATAAGGGAAGACACACACAATTTAATGCTGTGTTGGAGGGAAACAAAACTTCCATCAAAAGACAATTGTATGGGTGCCTGTAATCCCAGCTACTTGGGAGGCTGAGGAAGGAGAATCGCTTGAACCTGGAAGGCAGAGGTTGCATGGAGCCAAGGTTGCACCACAGCACCAGCCTGGGTGACAAGAGCGAAACTCTGTCCCGGGGGAAAAAAAAAAAAGACAATTGTAGGCAGAGGCAGGAGGATTGCTTGAATCCACGAGTTTGAGACTAGCCTGTGCAACATAGTGAGACTCCATCTCTACAAAATACTTTCAAAAACTTAGCAGGGCCTGGTGGTGTACACTTGTGTTCCTAGCTACTAAGGAGGCTGAGTGGGGAGGACTGCTTGAACCTAGAAGTTCAAGGTTGCAGTGAGCAATGATCACGCTTCTGCACTCTAGCCTGGGTGACAGAGTAAGACTGTCTCAAAAAAAAAAATGACAACAACAACAACAAACAATTGCATAAATACTGTCCTGATAAACAGAGGTGAAATATGTCCCAAAGCAGAATAGCACAGGGCAAAAACAGTAAGGCCACTGGGAAGATGATCAGCATAATATGAAAATAAATGGGGTGCTCCCCAACCAGACCACTGCGATCCATATTCTATACCTAGTGTGCAATATTGGGTATTTAAATTCATTTAATAGCCACCCTTTAATAATAGTAAAAGCCCATTAATATTAATAGCCACCATGTGGCTAATGAATTCATAATTATTGAATGTCTACCATGTGTCAGACACTGTTCTAAGTGCTTTGTACATTTCTTCCTTTAATCCTCAAAACTATCCTACAGTGTAAATATTATTAGATAGATGAAGACACTGAGGTTTGAAGTGCTTAAGAAATTCTCTATCAAGTAGTGGTATCACTATTTAGACTCAGTGGTTCTAACTGACTGCAACATGCTGAATTCTTCCATGATGCCATGCTATGTTTTAGAGACAAGCACCATAGCAACATTGATCCTAAAGAGTTATGAGACATGTTGTTCCACTTCCACATTTTAAAATTCATCAGGCATATTTCTTCTCTTGAATAAAGTAGTTGTGACACTTCAACGACACCACTGCAAAATAAAAATTTCCTCTATTTCAGAATTTTTATATTAATATCCTCCCAATCAAGGGGAAGAAATCCCTCCCTGAAAAGTATTTAAGAAATAGAAAAGAGACAAAATCGTTTTTCTACTCCCTTTGAGAAGCTTGAGGTAGACTCCCTGCTTCTCCTCCTTCCACTCACCTTCTCTAACACCATTATTGGTCAAAGTGAGAATTACAGACATCAGAAAATAGAATGCATGCCAATTTTATTTTTCCCTTGAAAACTTCTCCAGCAAAACACACACAAAAATAATTTCCTGGCCATGCGCAATGGCTCATGCCTGTAATCCCAGCAATTTGGGAGGCCAAGGCGGGCAGATCACCTGAGGTCAGGAGTTTGAGGCCAGCCTGACCAACATGGAGAAACCCCCTCTCTACTAAAAATACAAAATTAGCGGCTCATGGTGGCACATGCCTGTAATCTCAGCTACTCAAGAGGCTGAGGCAGGAGAATCGCTTGAACCTGGGAGGCAGAGGTTGCAGTGAGCAGAGATCACGCCATTGCACTCCAGCCTGGGAAACAAGAGCGAAACCCTGTCTCAAAAAATAATAACAATAATAATTTCCTGATGACCTGTTAATAGAATTTTTTTTAAGAATTTGAAAACAAGTTTTGACCAACAAAAATTGAAAAATAAGTCATATTTTCTGAAAGAAAATAAGCCTGATTTGGTTTATTGGCAGACAATGCTTTTCTCAATTAGGTTAATAGCAAACACAGATTACTTAACTTTGCTAATATAAGATCAAAACATATTTAAAGTACAGTTACAAGAAAGGCATTTTGTTTAAAATGTGGTAGTGGCAATGGTGTATTGAAATTAATATTCTCAATGCTTTTAAATGTGGACAATAAACAAGGTACCACTATAAATAGCTATAATAGCCATTTAATTAGTCTTAATAATTGTATTTGTAATAATACCTGCCAGAAATTTTGAAAGTGAATGGTACTAATGACTGAGTAGCAAATCGTTTTGTAAGTTGGGGTTTGTTTCCCCAATTCTTAGATTTCAAAAAGAAAAAAAAAACTGAAGCAAAATCTAACCAAGTTTTCAGCCAATTGCCAATTTGAAAAATAGTTTATAATGACGGATCACTGTGTCCAGGGTCTAGTTAAAAAGCAGAACCCAAACTAGATATTTCAAACTAAGAGATTTAATGTAGGGAATTGGTTTCACAGTTGTTAAAACTGTAAGAGTGAAAAAGGAACTTCAAGTCACCCAGGGATAACTACAGGAAGCAGCTACAACCTCAAGGGTTGGGGGAATAAAGGATTTCGTGTCCTTAGGGGGTCAGAACTACTTTATTCAAGAGAAGAAATATGCCTAATGAATTTTAAAATGTGAAAATGGAACATGTCTCACAACTCTACAGGATCAATGTTGCAATAGTGCTGGTCTCTGAAACATAGCATTGCATCATGGTACCAAAAGAGACCTCTGGAAAATGAGGGTACTCCAACACTGTGGGACCTCTAAGGAGTAAGGGAGCCACAGGTCTAGTTCTGACAGTACCAGAAGTTAAGAGGATCAACCAATTGTGCTGGCGTGTCACAGATAAGTACAGATGAAACATAAAGGAGTTCCCTTTTTCCTCTTCTCCTGCCATCATGTCTCCCCTTAGAAAGCAGAAGGGCTGGGATATGCATTTTGTTGAATCCCAGCCCCTGAATCCCACAAAAGACTAGAGAAGGGTGAGTTTAGGAGTAAGAAAAAACAGTAAACAGTACATACTGATATAATAAAACTCTATTTCAATTTACTTTTTTAAATGAACAAGGTTTTGGTTGTCCAATCTACAGAAATGAAAAAATAGATATTAGTATTGACCTGTTCCTCATTCTATAAGGAGAGAAACAAACAGCTCATCTCACCAAGAGATACATTCTCAATTTTAAAAATTTGATAACAATTATTTACTAAAATCGGTAAGTTATATGCTACTTTGATCAATTGTAAAATAATTTAATAATTGACAATGAATAAAAAGATTTATCATTTAAAGACCTATTGACACTATAAATTTAATTTCAACTTACATATACATATTTTGCTTGCAGGAAATTATGAAGGAAAAATCATTGAAAGATTCCCAAGCATAAAAGTATATTACATTAAGAAAAAAATTTATGGGCAAAAATGGAATGGAGTACAAGTTCAAAAGGAAAAAAAATGAAAAGCTTTTGACTATTGAAAATATACTTGCTTATATATTCTTTATATTTAAGAAATAACTGTATTTAAATGTCTTAGATACACTTAAAACATTCATTGGTGATATGGTTTGGCTATGTCCCCACCCAAATCTCAACTCAAATTGTAGTTCCCATAATCCTCATATGTTGTGGGAGAGACCCAGTGGGAGGTAATTAAATCATGGGGGCAATTACCCCCATGCTGCTGTTCTCATAATAGTGAGTTCTCATGAGACCTGATGATTTTATAATGGGCTTTTCCCCCTTTTGCTCAGCACTTCTCCTTTCTGTCATCATGGAAGAAAGACCTGTTTGCTTCCCCTTCCACCATGCTTGTAAGTTTCCTGAGGCGTCCCCAGCCACATGGAACTGTGGCTTTCCTTTATAAATTACCTAGTCTCAAGCAGTCCTTTACAGCAGTGTGAGAATGGACTAACACAATTGGAAACATATAAATATTAACATTGTCAATATTTATATTATTATGAAAATATATCACTTCCAGCTACTTAAAATCATAATTTAAAAAGTTAAATGTCAAGCTAAAACTGTATGAGAGACTACATAGGTTGTTTTTGTTTTGAAATTATTTTAAGAAATAATATAGCAAAAAGATTGAAAGACCACAGAAATAAACTGTTTGTAATTCATCTCATATCCCTTGTTTAACTTTATATCCCTTACCTTGCACTCTCTCCAGAGATCTCCTTTCTTTCTATGCCAATTTCTCCTATTCTAAGTCTTTTTATTTAAAAAAAACGTCTTATTTTGCCTACCTTCCTTACTTTTTCCCCAGTGAGTCTTCAATGAGTGCAATTTGTCATCTCATCAGTTGAGAAACTCTATTAAGTTGTGTAACTCATTTACTTGGTGTCCCATCTTACACCAAAGTTTTTGACCTCGGCAATTGATACATTATAATTCCATAAGTGAATTTATCCCAAGACAAGAAAGTAAAATGCTAAAACAAGTGCCGTACGTATATGAACACTTTAATGTCCTTGTAAGGCCAGGATCTTTCAAACACTTTCTCCAGAAAATGAGATAATGAAATTTAATCCTACAAGAATGAATTAGTGGTTATAGAATAATCAGGAGGAGAACGGAGTTGTTCTATCAAGTAACTTGGCAGTTAATTAGCTTCAGTATCTGCCTAATTTTATTCACCAAAGCCTGCCAAATGAGAATTGTCTAAGGAAAGTAAGAAGACATATGATTTCTAGAACCTCTTCACCCAAGAGGCAACCATATTTTACAATGGGTAAAAGCTCTTTACAGTAAGAAATTTAAACATAGTTCTTTAACTCTCATTTATGTCCAAATGGCCTATTCAATAGAATTTTACTCTTAAACATTAGGCTGGTATGACATAGTTATCATGTATATCAATTCAATTGTTGATTTCTAAACTGTTTGCTGGGAAAACAACTCAAAACGATATATAAGAGTATAAACATTTATATCTATCTTCCTAAACTTTCTTTAAAAAAAAAAAAGACTATGCTACTTTAAAAGCCAGGCAGACAATTCTTTCTCTGCAGGTAGCTGTACCTTGAAGGAAGCAGGATAACACTTCATACCGTATCTTATATACATGATGTCAGTCTCAAAGATTCATCTTGTGATAGCACAACAGATAATTTCTCAATCAGATTTTCTCTTCGCCTCATCCAAATAGAGAGATTAGAAATAAGCATCAAATGCTTTGATGCTGAGACTATACAATCTTCACCGGGAGGCAAAGGTGAAATGGTCCAGGGGTCTGCAATTCATTTCGTTATAATTACATTTCATTGCCTGCAGCTTCTCCAATAATTAAAAGCACAGTGTCGGTATTAAACAAGATCTATGAGAAAATGTCAGATCCCTCACCAAAGAGACATCAAATTAGACTAGGAAAGACTGACAAAGGTTTGCTCCCTGAGTGAATACTGAAATATTTGGAGGAATACATACACATCTAAAGTTGTAAAATTTAATCGTTTGTGCCAAGATTTTCAAATTGTGTTCATTTTAGGTCAGATGGGAATATTTTAAAAGTCTTTGTCAGACACATCTCCAGTTGTTAGTGTTTCAATATTTGAATAAATAAATCAAGAGAAATTGATCCAAATTAGACAAAAATAGTGATATCTGAGTCAGATTGGCATGCTTGCAGAAGTAAAACACTTCCATGTATTTGAAACAGAACCCATTTTCGAGTTAATACCAGCACCTTGTTTCTATGAGACTATATTTTGCTCACATTACTACTAAACTTCAACCAGTGGAGGTACTAATTTTAAAAAGCCCACAGCAGAGATATCCAATAATTCTTTCTTAGGGGCAGCAGAAGGTTGGCAAAAAGGAATACTCAGAAGAGACAGGGAAATATTAGCCACTGAGAAACACTGGCAGTAAGAAAATAAAAGAATTTCCCCCAGAAAACATTCTGTTAACAGCTAAACAATATCTGTAACAATAAAAATCACTTGCTTCCTAAAAGTTAAATGTCATCTCACTAAACATCCCACAAGCAATATACTCTTCTATTCGTTTTCACACTTCTCTAATTCATAGAAAGCAAGCATGGAGTGCTTTGATTTGTATCTAGCTGAATGTAATAGTAAATAACTAATCTGTACCCTGCTTGGACTATTGAAGTGATTTATTCTCCAACATTTCCAAAAACATCTTACTAGACTATGTACTAAATTGAAGTCTATTGGTTTAAACTTATTTAACCAGTGCTATCAAATATAATGAATGGGTAAACTTGCAGGTCAGTGGTTACATTTTTAAAATGATTTTCCCTTATTTAAAATTGTTGCATTGTCTGATTTAAATTAAACACAAAACAGTTTGGTTAAGATTTTAATTAGGTTTTCAAGAGGCAATACAAGTTTAAGAATTTATTATATTAAAAGCTCTCACTGTGGTACTAAGCACCCCAAATATCCTATGTTGTCTATGTACTGGAGGTACCATTATCACATTTTGCTTATGAAAATTTAATAAGTAAATGATATTGTCCTCCGTATTTGAAGGCTGAAGCAGACGCTATGCGGTGCTGCACAAATACCCTGCTTTCCTTCACAATCAAGACACTTATTTACCCAACTGCTGGGAGTGTCACCTGTTGACAAGTCACAGCTCACAGCTGAATCTCCCAAAGAATTACACTCATCCAAAGGTCTTTCCTTGCCCATGGTCATGCTCACTCCCTGACACAAATTTGCACCAAATAACTGAATAATGAGGGGTACAGAGACCCCACCTCATTGCCTCAATTTGGGACATCTTGGAAGGACCATCCAGAGCTTCCAGTCCAACTTCTCCCTCCACCCAATTTTCTCACAGGTATTGTGAGGAGAGTGCTCTCCAGAAAATTTCCCTCATACAATCTCAGAATTTGTTTCCTGAGAAACCAGATCAAAAATAGGTGGTGTCTGTAATGATCTGAGGAAGCAGACTCTGAAATTAGGATTTCAAATCTGAACCACCCACCAGCAAGCTGGCCATGAGGATGCCATGTATGATAGTAGGTAGAAAATGGATAGTACATGGCATGCTCTAGTGGTGCAACTGTTAAAACGTTCACCAGTGTGAACTGGGAAGGGACACCATTAGAAAAGAAGGCAGTAGTCAATTAACATTTCATGAGTTTCAGAGGTTTAAGAAGTAGTAATTAATTATATGGATAATAGTATCAGATGGCTGTTGCTAGTGCTATTGATGAGCTAGATAAACATAAAGACTAAGGGTGATTCATCACCAAAGTAAGGCAAAATATGAAAGTGAGAAAGCTCCCTTGGCAGCAGTTTATATAGACTTGACTCCTGCAGCCAAAGAATAGGATAGACTGAAGGCCAGGCCCAGAACATAACTTTAAAGACCGTGGGAGCTCCAAAAAGGTTCAAAGCTCAGTCTCAGCAAAGTTTGCTGTGCCAAGATTAAGGCCTTGTTTGGGGAAGGTAGGACCTTGAGATTTAAGATCAGGACTTCAGGATCCACGCATTCAAAAATCTTTAAAGCCCAGATTCCCCTGAAACTAATAAACTTGCAGAATTTTCCCTCCCCTCCCTGTCAAAGGATGATGTTTCCTCTTGCCTAAGTATAATGTAGCAGCCAGTGCCAAGTGGGCCTGTTAAAGAAGGAAAAGAACTATATGCTAAAAGATTTGCAAGATCTAACCAAAATGTAGCAGCAGCAGCCAAAAGAGTATGTATGGGGATGGATATTTAGGATGCTGGATCAAGCAAGAGGAGTAGAACATAAAGGTTTTTTTTTTTGTTTTGTGTGTGTGTGTGTGTGTGTGTGTGTGTGTGTGTGTGTGTGTGTGTGTTTTGAGATGGAGTCTCACTCTGCCACCCAGGCTGGAATGTAGTGGCGCAATCTTGGCTCACTGCAACCTCCGCCTCCTGGGTTCCAGCAATTCTCCTCCCAACTGGGACTCAGCCTCCCAAGCAGCTGGGACTACAGGCTTGTGCCACCATGCCCAGCTAATTTTTGTATTTTTTTTTTAGTAGAGATGGGGTTTCACCATATTGGCCAGGGTGGTCTCAAAACTCCTGACCTCGTGATCCACCTGCCTCGGCCTCCCAGAGTGCTAGGATTATAGGTGTGAGCCACCGTGCCCGGCCAAGAACATAAAGTTTAATAAGGGAAGCTCTATCACAGAGTACTGTCCCATGACACAGAATTTAACACTCTGACAAAAAAACCTGGCTGATGGTGCTTACATCATCCTTGGATAGCTCTGGGAGGCAGAAAAAAAATCTATGCTCCATGCTATCTGATGTAGAATCCCTACAATTCTCATGGTAGATGAAAAAAAAAAAGGCTGAAAGTGATTCATCACCAACTTAAGGAAAAATATAAAGGTTCAGAGAAATAGGTATGGTAGTGTGAATATGCCACAAAAGTTTGAAAAACCCACCAGCCAACTATGTATCTGCAAGGGGTGCTGAAAGATATTCCATTCACCAAAGCAATCAG
The DNA here is from genome assembly GCF_000001405.40 of Homo sapiens. NCBI lineage: Eukaryota > Metazoa > Chordata > Mammalia > Primates > Hominidae > Homo > Homo sapiens. Next base: position 39,789,512 of record NC_000014.9, on the reverse strand, counting down.
GAATGTGCTGGTGAAAGCGGCACCTGCATCACTGAGAAGCTGTCTTCTCCATAAGCCAGGACTAATGGTGGACAATGCTATTATAGAACTGGTTCCTTGGTAACAGTGGGGATAATAATAGGATCCTGAAACAACAGGAGCTGAGTAAATGGCATTTACTTGGGTGAAGCTGTGGAGTGCTAGCCCACATTTGGTCAGAGAGGTTCCACTGGCTCCACAGACCCACCAAATGGCCATTTCCCAGGTTCTCAGATGTATAATTGAAATAAACATACCTGGTAATTGGCAGGATACTCACAATGACATTTGGGTAAGAGCCATTATAGTGGGGAAATAACTAGACAAGATAGTAAGTCAAAAACAATATCCAACATCCCAGAAGAAATGACAGATTAGTGCTATGCTTAAAAACATAAAGGATACATAGTATCCTTGTATTCTATCTCCACTTTATAACCCAGTCTGGCAAAAACCACGCAGATACTGGATGATGACAGTGGACTTCTGAAAACTTGACCAATTATTAGCAGTTATAATATGATAGCAATTATATCAGATGTGGTATGTTTGCTAGAGTAAATGAATATGGCCATGAGTACATGGTATGCAGCTGTTGATATCTATAATAAAGGAGGATTAGGCACATTCTCATTCACTTGGAATAAATAACTGTATGCATTTATGTTTATACCTGAGGCTCTATTAATTCTGCCTCCCTCTATCATAATATAGTCTGAGGAAACCTGGATCATGAGAACATTCTGTAGAAAAACAAATGGGCCCACTATATTGATGGCATCATGTTCATTGGACCCAATGGGAAAGAAGTTGCAAATAAATTGGAAATCTTAATGAGACTAATGTACTCATGAAGCTAGAATACAAAACCTACAAAAATTTAGGAACCTACACATCAGTGAAGGTTTTAGGAATCCTGTACTCTGAGTTATGGTAGAACATCATCTCCAAAGTAAAATATAAACAATTGCATCTTGCATCTCCCACCTGGTAGGCCTCACTCGATTCTGAAGGCAGCATGTTAACACTTGGGAATCATCCTTTGTACCTAGAGATACAGAAAGCCTCCAGCTTTGGAAGGACTCAAATCAGGAAAGGTTTCTGCAGCAAGTCCAGGCTGTAATTCAAGTTACACGTAGCAAACCTATAGTAATAGAGTTATCTGTGTTAGGAAAAGATAACCTGTAGAGTTTAAGGCCCAATAGGTGAATTGCAACATAGACCTCTGGTGTCCTGGATTAAGACCATGCCCTGGTAAAGAATGTAGAACTCTACATTCTACAGACCTGTAGGTCCTGCGTCCACCAGGGAACACAGCAGGAGTTCCACTAAATTTTAAGCTACATCTGCAACCCAGTCATTTGTGGTTCTTTTGCCAAAACATCTATAGGCAAAGAAAGGAGCCACCATCCTGGTAGGAGTAACTTACTCTGATCATGAAAGATGAAATTACAGAATAGAGGCAAGGAAGAATACATTCGGCATACAAATAATCTACTGGGATGCCTATTGGTACTCCCTTGCCTAATTTTGTCAGAAAATGAGCAAGCGAAGTAGCCACTCTCTGAGAAAAGAACCTCAGAGGTGGTCTGGATTACTCCACCACACAAGCCAGCTGACCAGTCAAGGTGGTAGCTGAAGATTTATGTATTTATTCATTTATTTATTTTGAGATAAAGTCTCACTCTGTCACCCATGCTGGAGTGCAGTGGTGCGATCTCGGCTCACTGCAACCTCCACCTCCCTGATTGAAGCGATTCTTGTGCCTCAGCTTCTCGAGTAGCTAGGATTGTAGGTGCCTGCTACTACACTCGGCTTTTTTTTTTTTTTTTTTTTTTTTTTTCCAGTAGACACAGGGTTTCACCATGTTGGCCAGGCTGGTCCCAAACTCCTGATCTCAGGTGATCCACCCGCCTGGGCCTCCCAAAGTGCTGGGATCACAGACGTGAGCCACCGTGCCTGGCCTAGCTGAAGATTTTTTTAAATCTAGAAGGATAACTTTTGGCATAGTCCTGAGACCAGCCGCATCAGGAAGGGATATAGTACATCTCCTAAACCTCCTTTTATAAACTTCCTCAGTAAAAGAGATCAACTAGAATTCAGGAGCAGGTCTCAGATGAGGTAAACTTACACAGATCAAATAATTTGAGTAGTGCATTGTGATGGATACTCTGGTACAGCATCAAAATCCTCCCTTCAGGACCCAGCCACGCATTCCCCCAGCTGCTGGTAGTGTTTTCCAGTGAGGGTTCACAGCTGAGTCCTTCCCTAGGAATTTTTATCTACCCACAATCCCACAGAAACTGCTTAATCCAACAGTACCCATCCTCCTCAATGGCAGCCCACATCTAATGACAAGCTGATCAGAGGTACAAAGGTCTGGCTCCCTTACCTCATTTCAGTGCAACTCTAAAGACCATACAGTGCTCCCCTGTAATTGGCTGAAAGCTTTGTTGCAACTGCCTCACTGTTCAATTTCTTCCTCTGCTCAATCTTGGTCTCTTCATTCTCTCACAAAACCTATTACTAAGAGCATTTCAAAACAGATGGTCTGTATACAAATCTCCATCTCAAGGGTTTTTCAGGGGAGTATGATGACTATAATACCATATAGCTTGCATTTTACAGTTTCCAGAACATTTATTACCTCATTACGTTCTCATCACAATTCCAGGAGATAAGATGAATAGTTACTATTCCTACTTTGTAAATGATAAAACTGAGTTTCAGCTGATTAAATTAATTTCTCAGTAACACGGGAAATATTTTTAAATTAGTATAATTCCATGTCATTTAAGAAAAATATGAAAGGAGCCCAGATTTATGAAAGAATAGTTAGAGATAAAATGTGGGTCTTTTAAATACACGTATTCTGATTTATACTTCAGGCATCAAAAAAATAACAACGAGCATGCGTGGCGGCATGCATCTATAGTCCTAACTATTCAGAGGCTGAGGCAAGAGGATCACTTGAGCCCAGGAGTTCGAGGCTGCAGTGAGCTATGATGGCCACTGCACTCTGGCCTGGGTAACAGGAGACTCTGTCTCAAAAATTAAAAAATAAAACAAAACATAGAATAGCTTCATGACCTTGAATTGAGCAAAGATTTCTTAGATTTAACATAAAATACGATCCATAGAAGAAAAATCGAATAAATTGGACTTAATCAAATATTTTTAAATTAGAAAATTTAAAAAATAATGATAGTACAATTTGCATGATAGAACTGATCAGTTATGTTATTTGTATGGTTAAGATATTTGTTCAATTACATAATAACTAAAGTGAAAGTCACTTAGAATTACAGTTGACACTTGAACACAGGTTTGAACTGTGAAGATCCACTTATATGCAGATTTTTTTCCTCCTCTGCCACCGAGACACCAAGACCAACTCCTTCTGCTCACCCTATTCAACATGAAGATGCAGATGAAGACCTCTGTGATGATCTACTTCCATTTAATAAATAATAAATATATTTTCTCTTCCTTATGATTTCTTAATATCTTTTTTTTTTTTCTTGAGACAGTGCCTTGCTCTGTCACCCAGGCTGGAGTGCAGTGGCACAGTCTCAGCTCACTGCAACCTCTGCCTCCCGGGTTCAAGTGATTCTTCTGCCTCAGCCTCCAGAGAAGCTGGGATTACAGGCACGTACCACCATGTCCAGCTAATTTTTGTATTTTTAGTAGAGATGGGGTTTCGCCATGTTGGCCAGGCTGGTCTTGACCTACCAAACTCAGGTGATCTGCCACCTCGGCCTCCCAAAGTGCTGGGATTGCAGGCTGAGCCACCGTGCCTGGTGGAGCTTCCTTTATTGTAAGAATATAGCATGTGATACAAATAACGTAGAAAATGTGTTAATCATTTATGTTATTGGTAAGGGTTCCAGTTAACAGTAGCCTATTAGTAATTAAGTTTTAGGGGAGTCCAAAGTTATACATGGATTTTCTACTCCATAGGAGGGGACTGGCATCACTAACCTCATGTTGTTCAAGGGTCAACTGCATTTATCCTTTTTTCAAGAAGGAGCCAATAAATTGAAATGAGCTAGCACTGCACTCAATTTAAAAATCTTACTTTGAAAGTGGCCTCTTCACATTGCTCTAGGAATATTAACCATCCTTAAACGTATAAATCACCCTGAAACCCAACCTGGGATTGCCACTTACACGAGGCCAGATGATCACAATCATCAGCCATCTGGACAAAGTCTGCCCACATCTCACCCCTAACCTGAAGTTGCCCAGAGTGAATTCCCTGTATGTCTAACCAGCATTTTTAGTCAGGCCATTTCAAGCATAAAATCTAAATGTAGTGAAAACCTGTTAGTCTTTTTATGTAATGAAGTAAAATATAAATAGAATGAGTTTGAATTTATGTAGATACTACCCTTAAAGGAGAACTTTCTGGACCTCTGTCATTATAAGAGTCACCTTTTTGCTTGACAAGCATAGGAAAAGCATGGCTGCGTACAGGAGTGCTATCCCTCTCACTCCTCAGTTTAGAGGGCTGTGCATTCCTCCCAGTGCCTTTGCTGTAGCAAAAACTGGTATAGAACTACTCTCCTGGAATGCCTGCAGAACCCAAAGTGCATTTTTAAAAGTTGTAGCACATTTTTAATTTTGTAATGAATCCCCATTCTTTAAGTTTGAATTAGATTTTTGAAAACAGACAAAAGCTATTTTGAGCCAAGTTCGAATAAGGCAAAAGTACTAGCATAATGTGGCCAGAAAGTCCTGTGAGGAAATTCTCAAAATTGCCAATTCTGTGTGAAGCCTTAGAATAGAAGTCACACTGTCCAGAAGTCTTCAGAAAGGAACATTATTCCCTTCATGCAAAGAGAACCTTAGCCTGCCAAAATTCTGTCTTCAAAGGAAAGCTTCTTTCTTCTCTCCTCTCTGAATCCTGAATGATATTTACTGTAAATCAAGGGGAAAGGAGTGAGAGTTATTTAGTTCCCTCACTATACTCAGAAATATAAATTAAGGGCAGACACTCAATAAGAGTTCTGGCTACTCTCTTATAATGGAATCTGTAAGGACTTTACAAAGTGCTGCAACATTTTTTGTCACTTCTCCCTGTTTATTATTTGTATTATTCCCTGCCTACTTTCCTAAAGCTTAGAGAATGGCAGTAGAAGAACAGCAGAGGGAAGCAGCATTTGTGGAAAGAGAAATATCAGGAATAAGACTGGGTGGTAGCAGCAACCAAAAGATGGATCAACAGGCTTAGAAGCAGAGTCTGGTACATGCAAAGCAAATAAGGGGGCGGGGGGAATGGAAGAAGGGAGTCAATCAGTCATTATTTATATTCCTCCAGCCCAGAGGTAGCTTATCCTTTACATGCCCTATCTTCTTATGCAATTAAAATATTTTTGAAAACAAGGTCTGTATCTATGAATTCACATTGATCTTCTCTCTACACCCAGAAGCAGGCTCTGCAAATACTGGACACTCGATATTTTTGTGTGACTTAAAATTTAACCCTAGAAATGTACATTTACTGTCTCTAAAACTATTATCCATTTTTCATCTATGTAGCTAAAGTCAGATGTCTGTTAATTAGAACACATTTTTCACAAATTTCTGTGATTTTTATCTTCAAGCTCATCCATTAGAAGATGCCATGCAGCCCCTTTGGAAGTTTTATCAAACTTGCGTGCTTTTTTTTCAGTGCTCTAGCAAATCATTCAATAGGTGAGTGAGGGAGTCCACTGAGCTTTTGGTTGTAACATATTCTAAAAGTAACTTAGGCATATCCAATGTACTGTCATAAAAATTACTTGTAACTCCTGTTCCATAGAGTTTCTACGTATTAAACAGAGTTGTGCATCAGAGATGAGGTTTGGAACAGATGTACATGTTCACCAGAGGTTTGACGATCCAGGATAATGGTCCCTGTATTGAAGTGCAACTAAATGTTGCAGATGCTAAATTACCTACTTCACATACTTTTAACCTGCTATGTCAAGGCAAGTAGGCAAAAAGACACAATATACCTCTTTTCTGAAACAATTCTGTTTTTCTTTTTATTATAACATCTCAGTTGTCTCCCCTTCTGTAATTTTGTTAAGAAACAAACTGACAGATGGCTATTTCCAACCACAATTTAGGGCAAAAATACAATTATGAAAATTTGAGCCATTATATTTATTACATTTTGAAATAAGTCTCCAATATCACCCATATCAATTTCTTTATCATTTCCCTCTATTTTACTAATTTTAATAGTTTATGTTTAAATCTGACTTCCAAGACTCCAGAGGGGAAAAGAAACCTCAGTAAACAATAAAAATATTAACACAATTTCCAATGAATAGGGTGAAAAGTTCCTTAATACTTTATTCTTCCACAATATCAGGACCAAATGAAAGAGGTACACAAGTGGTTTTCAATTATCTCAATAAACATCAGTATTTTGTCAAATTCCTTTAATCCCTAGAACATAAGAAACATGTTTTTTTCTTATATCATTAGATTTTTCAATCCACAGAAAAATAAGTGGCACTTAAGTAAATCTTAACTCTTAGGTTCTTTCCAGAAAATTTTGTAGAAATTATCGGAAATACTTTAAAGATTTTAGTCACTGTTTAAATTCTCTGGGGTTTAAATCCTATTTATTAAAACTATTCTAATTCTACTGCATCCCCAAGGCTCAAGTTTACCAAATCACATTCACGTTTGGATGTGTATTTTGTTATGTTAGCTTATTTATCCCCTAAGTAAATGCTGCAATTCAGTAATGCAATTTGTCTATTCAATGATGAGAATACTGTACTTCAAATTTCAGATATATTGTTCATAGATAATCCCTCTCTTGGTCTTTGAGATGGATAGTTATCATCTGGGGAGAGGCAACACAAACTCCTTTCCTATTTCTGGGGAATTCTCAATTGGTTACAACACCAGTGGAATAAGGTATCTCACCTCCAACCATGGAAGCTAAAGAGAGGAGGTGGTACTTTTCCCCACTCCATCCCTGAGATCTGGGACGCAGGCAGGAGAAGTAGCTTTAGCCAATCAGACATCTTATATTTTCCCCCAAGACTTTGAATCTTGAGGGAGGAATGCAAAGACACAGGACAAGTTTAGAAATCAGTCACTGTGAAGCGGGCAGTAGGAAGAGGCCATCAGAAGTAGATGTGGTCCCAGCTGCAGCATCCTAACAAGACTATTCCAGCAGCATAAGTCGACTCAGGCAGTGGTTGCTGGTGTCTTTGGCCACTACCTGTTTTTTGCTGTCTGAGTGATTCTGTGAGCTATCTCATATATTTCTAACAAAATTATTTTCAGCTTTAAGTTACCCAGTCAGTTTCTATTACTAGCAATCAAGAACCCTGATAAACATGGTCGTAGAAAATAAGACTTCTTTCTCTAAGTCATCTTTAGTGTGCTTTTTTTTTTTTGCATGTTGAAATATTTTGCATCTTGGTTTGCTTAAGTCTCTACCCCACTGGCATTGGTAACATATGCTTTGAACTCTGGGTTTTCTATTTTAAGTACCCAAATATCTCTTCATTCTTACTTTTATTTTATAAAATGTGGTAGTTACATATACTGTATATGAGAAGCATATGTGTACAGACCCTCTGAAGGAAGAGGACTGCTCCTGCAGGACCCAGGAGACACCCCAAATATTGTTGAGTGCCCCAACTGCGGAAGTGGGAAAGGGAGAATCTTCTCTCCCGAACACACACCCCCCACTGGAGAGACTGAAGGTCTGTTTGCAGGAGAAGTTTCCAACCCTACCTGGAGCTGAGTCAAGTTAGAGAGCAGAGCAAAATACAGGGTACAGCAAGCAGTGGGAAAGGCCCTGGGAGCTCGCTGCGTTCCCAAGCAGGCCATTCCTGCCTGGCACCACGGGGATCCACTGGGAGGGCAGTCAGAGGAGCAGGGGGAAAACACAGGGAGAAGGAAATCTCCAGCTAGACTTTGTAACAATTTAAATGGAGCAAGAAGCCTCCTGGCCAGAACTCAAGGGAGGGAACAAATCCAGTGTGCAGACCACAGGCTGGGGAAGAACCAAGCCCTTTTCTTTCACAGCTGGGAGGTGAGCAGCCTGGCACAAGTTCTCAAGCCCAGCTCGCCCCAGCACCTGGAAACAGACTCAGGGCTTTTGAGGGGCACGGTGGGAGTGAGACAGGCCCTTCAGTTTGCATGGGAGCTGAGCGAGGCCTGTGACTGCCAACTTTCCCCCACTTCCCTGACAACTTGCACGACTCAGCACAGGCAGCCATAATCCTCCTAGATGCACAACTCCATTGACCTGCAAAACTCACCCCCATCCCCCGCAGCAGCCATAGCAAGACCCACCCAAGGAGAGTCTGAGCTCAGACACTAGCCCTGCCCCCATCTGATGGGCCTTCTCTATCAACCCTGGTAGCTGAAGACAAAGGGCATATAATCTTGAGAGTTCTAGGGCCCCACCCACTGCCGGTTCCTCTACATACTACCACAGCTGATGCTCTCTGGAAAATGCCACCTCCCAGCAGGAGGCCAACCAGCACAAAAACACAGCATTAAACCACCAAAGTTAAGAACCCTCATGGAGTCCATTTCACACCCCTGCCACCTCCACTGCAACAGGCAATGGCATTTATAGCTAAGAGACCTATAGATGGTCCACATCACAGGATTCTGTGCAGACAATCTCAGTACAAGCCCGGAGCTGGATAGACTTGCTGGGTGGCTAGACCCAGAAGAGAGACAACAATCACTGCAGTTTCACTCACAGGAAGCCACATCCATAGGGAAAAGGGAAGAGTACTACATCAAGGGAACACCTCGTGGGACAAAAGAGTGTGAACAATTGCCTCCAGTCCTAGAACTGAAGCTGCTCTAGGGTTGATGAAGCCGACCCAAATTAGAAAAAGCCAGAAAACCAACTCTGGTAATATGACAAAACAAGGTTCTTTAACAACCCCGTACCCCCTCAAAAAAAAAAAAAATCACACTAGTTCACCAGCAATGGATCCAAGCCAAAAAGAAATCCCTGCTTTACCTGAAAAAGAATTCAGGAGGTTAGTTATTAAGCCCATCAGGAAGGCACCAGAATAAGGCATGCCCAATGCAAAGAATGATACAAGAAGTAAAGGGAGAAATATTCAAGGAAATAGATAGCATAAAGAAAAAACATTCAAATCTTCAGAAAACATCGGACACATTTACAGAAATACAAAATGCTCTGGAAAGTCTCAGCAACAGAATTGAACAAGTAGAAGAAAAAATTCAGAGCTTGAAGACAAGGTCTTTGAATTAATCCAATCCAGCATAGACAAAGGAAAAAGAATAAGAAAATATGAACAAAGCCTCCAAGGAGTCTGGAATTATGTTAAATGACCAAACCTAAGAATAATCAGTGTTCTGGGGAAGAAGAAAAATCTAAAAGCTTAAAAAACATACTTGGGGAAATAATCAAGGAAAACTTCCTTGGCCTTGCTAGAGACCTAGACATCCCAATACAAGAATCGCAAAGAATATCTGGGAAATTTATCACAAAAAGATCATCACCTAGGCACATTGTCATCAGGTTATCTAAAGTGAAGATGAAGGAAAGAATCTTAAGAGCTGTGAGACAAAAGCACAAGGTAATCTATAAAGGAAAACCTATCAGCTTCACAGCAGATTTCTCAGCAGAAACCCTTCAAGTTAGAAGGGGTTGGGGACCTATCTTCAGCCTCCTCAAACAAAAGAATTATCAGTAAAGAATTTTGTATCTGGTGAAACTAAGTATCATTCATAGATGAAGGAAAGATACAGTCTTTTTCAGACAAACAAATGCTGAGAGAATTCACCACTATTAACCCACCACTACAAGAACTGCTAAAAGGAGCTCTAAATCTTGAAACAAATCTTGGAAACACATCAAAACAGAAGCTCTTTAAAACCTAAATCACACAGTACCTATAAAACAAAAATACAAGTTAAAAAGCAAAACAAAAACAAAACAAAACAAAAACAAAGTACACAGGCAACAAATAACATGATAAATGCAAGGGTACCTCAAACCTCAATACCCACATTAAATGTAGATGGTCTAAGTACTCCACTTAAAAGACACAGAACTGCAGAATGGATAAGAACTCACCAACCAACTATCTGCTGCATTCAGGAGACTCACCTAACACATAAGGACTCACATAAACTTAAAGTAAAGGGGTGGGAAAAAGGCATTTCATGCAAATCAACACCTAAAGCAAGCAGAGATAGCTATTCTTATATCAGACAAAACAAACTTTAAAGCAACAGCAGTTAAGAGACAAAGAGGGACATTATATAATGGTAAAAGGCCATGTCCAACCAGAAAATATCACAATCGTAAACATATATGCACCTAACACTGGAGCTCCCAGATTTATAAAACAATTACTAATAGGCCTAAGAAATTAGATAGACAGCAACACAATAATAGTGGGGGACTTCAATACTCCACTGACAGCACTGGACAGGTTAGCAACACAGAAAGTCAACAAAGAAACAATGGATTTAAACTATAACTTGGAACAAATGGACTTAACAGATATATACAGAACATTCCATCCAACAACTGCAGAATACACATTCTTTCAACAACACATGGAACTTTCTCCAAGATAGACCATATGATAGGTCATGAGTCTCAATAAATTTAAGAAAATTGAAATTATATCAAGAACCCTGTCAGACCACAGTGGAATAAAACTGGAAATCAACTCCAAAAGGAACCTTCAAAACCATGCAAATACACGGAAATTAAATAACTTGCTCCTGAATGAGTATTGCGTCAAAAATGATATCAAGATGGAAATTAAAACATTCTTCAAACTGGATGACAATAACGACACAACCTATCAAAACCTGTGGGATACAGCAAAGGCAGTACTAAGAGGAAAGTTCACAGACCTAAACACCTACATCAAAAAGACTGAAAGAGCATGAATTGACATTCCAAGGTCACACCTCAAGGAACTAGAGAAACAAGAACAAACAAGAGAGCTTGGCTATTTATTTCCTTCTTCCAGCAGAAGAATGGAAATAACCAAGATCAGAGCAGAACTAAATGAAATTGAAACAAAAAAAATACAAAAGATAAACAGCTAGTTGATTGAAAAGATAAATAAAATTGATAGAACATTAGCAAGATTAACCAAGAAAAGAAGAGAGAAAATGCAAATAATCTCATTAAGAAATGAAACAAGAGGTATTACAACAAACACCACTGAAATACAAAAGATCATTCAAGGCTACTATGAACACCTTTATGCACATAAACTAGAACACCTAGAAGAAATGGATAAATTCCTGGAAAAATAACAACCCTACTAGCTTAAATCAGGAAGAATTACATACCCTGAACAGACCAGTAAAAAGCAGCAAGACTAAAATGGTAATTAAACAATTTCAACAAAAAAAAATGTCCAGGACCAGGCAAATTCACAGCGGAATTCTACCAGACATTCAAAGAATTGGTACCAATCCTTTTGACACTATTCGACAGGTAGAGACAGAAGGAATCCTCCCTAATTCATGCTATGAAGCCAGCATCACCCTAATACCAAATCCAGGAAAGGATACAACCAAAAGAGAAAACTACAGACCAATATCCATGATGAACATAGATGCTAAAATCCTTAACAAAATACTAGCTAACCAAATCCAACAACATATCAAAAAGATAATCCACCATGATCAAGTGGATTTCATACCAGGAATGCAGGGATGGTTTAAAATATGCAAGACAATAAATGTGATACACCAAATAAACAGAAATTAAAACAAAAATTACATGATCATCTCAATAGATGCAGAAAAAGCATTTGACAAAATCCAGCATCGCGTTATGATTAAAACTCTCAGCAAAACTGGCATACAAGGGACATACCTCAATGTACTCAAAGCCATCTATGACAAACCCACAGCCAACATAATACTGAATGGGGAAAAGTTGAAGGCATTCCCGCTGAGAAAGGGATCAAGACAAGGATGCCCACTCTCACCACTCCTCTGCAACATAGTACTGGAAGTCCTAGCCAGAGCTAGGACAAGAGAAAGAAATAAAGGGCATCCAAATCGGTAAAGAGGAAGTCAAACGGTCACTGTTTGTGGATGATATGATTGTTTACCTTGAAAACCCTAAAGCTTCCTCCATAAAGTTCCTAGAACTGATAAAAGAATTCAGCAAAGTTTCCAGATACAAGATTAATGTACACAAATCAGTAGCTCTTCTATACACTAACAGCAACCAAGCAGAAAATCAAATCAAGTACTCAGCCCCTTTTACAATAGCTGCAAAAAAAAAATAAAATACTTAGGAATACACTGAACAAAGGAGTCAAAAGACCTCTACAAGGAAAACTACAAAACACTGCTGAAATAAATCACAGACGACACAAACAAATGGAAACACATCCCCATGCTCATGGATGGATAGAATCAATATTGTGAAAATGACCATACTGCCAAAAGCAACCTAAAAATTCAATGCAATCTCCATCAAAATAGCACCATCATTCTTCACAGAATCAGAAAAAAACAATTCTAAAATTCATATGAAACCAAAAAAGACCCCACAAAGTCAAAGCAAGACTTAGCAAAAAGAACAAATCTAGAGGCATCACACTACCTGATTTCAAACTATACTATAAGGCCATAGTCACCAAAACAGCATGGTACTGGTATAAAAACACACACATAGACCAATGAAACAGAATAGAGAACCCAGAAATATAACCAAATATTTACAATGAACTTTGGGACTTGAGGAGAAGGGTTGGGGTGGGGAGGGCATGAGATAAAAGACTCCAAATAGGGTGCAGTATATACTGCTTGGGTGATGGGTGCACCAAAATGTCACAAATCACCACTGAAGAACTTACTCATGTAACCAAATACTACCTGTACCCCAATAACTTATGAAAAAATAAAAGAAGCATATATGTGTTTGTTTTTTATGTATTTTAATTTTTCACACTTTAATAGAAAAACATCTTTAAGACTGTCCACTTCTATATTCCAGAAATTGTGTTTCCTTAATAATAATGTTTCTACATTCCACTGTTGCTCCCTGGTTTGTTCCCTCAATATTTTTTTCATGAATATTGCAGTGGATTTCTTCTTAATTGATCTTAATGATCTTTACCACACTTCTTCATTTAAGATAATTGCCATTAAAATAGCATTTCCTAAGTCATTTTCCACAGAAGTTTCCATAAATAAGTGTGATAAACATCAAGTTAACAAAACAGCAAAAAAGTTATGTTCTCTGCAGCCCTTCTCAGAGCCTTTAATATGCCAATCTTCTCTATGAATTTCTGAGAGAGGAAACAAAATAGAAAAATGTTTGTGATTCATCACATAAACAGACCTAAAGACAAAAAACACTTGATTATCTCAATAGATGCAGAAAATTCTTTCAATAAAATTCAATACCCCTTCATGTTAAAAACTCTCAATATACTAGGTATTAAAGGAACATGCTTCCAAATAATAAGATTCATCTATGACAAACCCACAGCCAATATCATATTGAATGGCCAAAAGCTGGAAGCATTCCTTTTGAAAACTGGCACAAGACAAGTCTGACCTCTCTCACTGCTTCTAGTCAACACAGTATTGGAAGTCCTGAGAAAAAAATAAAGGGCACCCAGATAAGAAGAGAGGAAGTCAAACTATCCCTATTTACAAACAACATGATCCTGTATCTAGAAAATTTAAACAACATAATCCTGTATCTAGAAAACTCCACAGTCTTGGCCCAAAAGCTCCTTCAGCTGATAACGACTTCAGCACAATCTCAGGATACAAAATCAACATATAAAAATCACTAGCATTGTGACATACCAACAACAGTCAAGCTTAGAGCCAACTCAGGAACGTAATCCCGTTCACAACTGCCACAAAAAGAATAAAATATTTAGAAATACAGCTAACCAGGGAGGTGAAAGATGTCTACAATGAAAACTACAGAAGAATGCTCAAAGGAATCAGAGGTGATACAAACAAATAGAAAAACATTCCATGCTTATGCATAGGAAGAATTAACATCGTTAAAATGGTCATACAGCCCAAAGCAACTTATAGATTCAATGCTATTCCTATCAAACTAACAATGACATACTTAAAGAACTAGAAACAACTATTTTAAAATTCATACAGAAACACAAAAGAGGCTGGGTGTGGTGGCTCACGCCTGTAATCCCAGCACATTGGGAGGCTGAGGTGGGCAGATCACTTGAGGTCAGGAGTTCAAGACCAGCCTGGCCAAATGGAGAAGCCCCATCTCTACTAAATATACAAAAATTAGCTGGGTATTGTGGTACACGTCTATAATCCCACCTACTCAGGAGGCTGAGGCAGGAAAATTGCTTGAACCTGGGAGGCAGGAAGTTGCAAGTGAGCTGAGATCACGCCACTGCACTCTAGCCTGGGTGACAGAGCAGGACTTCATCTGCTCTGTCAAAAAAAGCTATTAAGAAATCATAAGGAAAAGACAATATATTTATTATTTATTAGGTGGAAGTTAGATCATCATGAAGGTCTTCATCTGCATCTGCTCCAGTGATGGGCACACCAAAATCTCACAAATCACCACTAAAGAACTTACTCATGTAACCAAACACCACCTGTACCCCAGTAACTTATGGAAAAAAAATTTAAAAATGCCGCACCAAAAAGAACGTGTTGAATGCAAATACAATCATATCTCCTTCCTGATTAAAAATCTTCAATTGTTAATGATAGTTCAATAATGATAGTTCGTCGGTAACAGTAGCAGGGATCAGAAAACAATGGCCCATGATGGACCAAATCATACCTGCAGTTTGTCTTAGTTTAGTCTTCAGACTATGAATTGTTTTTATATGTTTTAATGTTGTAAAAAATCAAAAGAAGAACACTACTATTTCATGACATGTAGACATTATATAAAATTTGAATTACAGTGTCCATAAAATAAAGTTGTAGTGGAATATACCCATGCTCCATTCACATGGTTCATGTCTGCTTTCATGCTACAACGACAGAGTTGAGTCATTGTGACAGACTCAAATTTGGTTTATTTGTAAACCAAAATGTCAGTTTACTAGTAATGGGAGATATTAAAGTGTGTGGCCCACAAAGCCCAAAATGTTTACTACATAGAAAAAAATAAAAATAAAAATAAAAAATTTACTACTGGGCTTATTGTAGAAAAAGCGTGCCAACCCATATGCTATAGAACAAGGTCTAACTCCCTTACCAAACAAAAGAAAGCCTTTTAAAATCTATCCCATGCCTAGCTATCCAGGCCAATCTCCCATATCTCCCACCTGTGTTTAAAAAACAACAACAAAAAACCTGTTTGAAGTTGCACTATCTCACGTGCAAATTACGTTAACCAGTTTTTAACAAATTTGCAAAACAAAAATTTTTAAGAGATACTGGATATTCAAAGAAAATTAGAGACTTTTTTTTTCTGTAATAACAGCAAAAGCATCTTAATTCTATTTCAAAAGAGATTTTTCATGGCTTACCAACCTCAAAAGCACTGTATTTTGGCTTTTCTCAAAGAAACCACTTCACCAGATGTTTGAGGTTTTTTGTGTACACATTTGTGCCTTTGGAGATAAATTTATTGACTGCATTTACTGGAAGACAGCCCTTTCACAAAGGGAATGTAAATTTTATGCTGAAAAATTTATCACACATTTTTTTCCCTGAGGAATTTTAGTACTAAATTAATTCTTTATTGATTAAAGTAGCAAAGCTTTTTTGGCATAGTTTCTAAATATCCCTTACCTAAAAGACCATTTTGATAAAGCCAAAATATAAAACTTAGGCCAAGCAACCACTACCACAATGCCCCAAATTGTGCATAAGTGGATGGAAACCACTCAGTATTTCTGCATGACTATGCACGGCCTGCCCGCTTGGTATGCATTGCTCCACAGAGGCATTTTAAGACTCAAAGGCTCTTAGCCCAGTGATAGCCTCTCTGTGGCATGTTTTCCAGATCTTGGGAATGAGCAGGAATATTTACAGGCAAGTCATAGCATAACATGGCAATAAAAAAACATACTTAATGGAAAAATACCAAACACACATCTGGCATCTTCTAAACCTGTTTTCCTGACAGAAAACTCAAACACAGTAATTTTTAGTTAAAAATCAGACATTTACAAACCCCAAATTTATAAACCAACATGTCATTTTACTAATAACAGGAGATACTAAAATGTCAAAATACTTCCCACATCTGAATTATACCTTCCCTAAACTAGGAAGTAGTACTCCCAGATGTTTGTTTGCATAAAGAGACCCAGAGAAGGATGCAAAGCACAAAAGTCCATTATTTCTTCTGAGAATTAAATATATGAAAAGACTTAGTAAACTAACTTGCCCTTAACTTAAAAACACATTGTTTGCCTTTCTCATATCATTGAGGCTTCTCATTTGCAAAATTATGGAAATGTAATTACAGAAGACAGAATTTTCAAAGAAAGTAGTGTGGCGCAGACCAGCTCCTAGAGGATGCTTAATAAGAAGTATATGTGGCTGTTTGGGGGTGGATATGTCCATCTTTCTCCAGACTGGACATCTGTCTATGCTCAATTTGTATGGCTATGGCATTCTTTTCACATGAGAGGTGGAGTTCCACAGCTCTCATAAGTGATAAAACACTTCTATGCTTGCTGTTTCATTTGTTCAACAAATGTATCTGAGTGCTTTCAATAAATACTAGTCTGAGTCATTGCTAAGACAGGCAAATTGTATTCCTTGTAAAATACACTTATCCAGAACCTTAAAAAAAGACCATACATAAGTAGCAATATCCATATTATACCGAGGTCAAGCAAAAAAACAACAGTAAACTTTCAGGAAATCACCAGTCACTTTTTCCACCAGCAGTCTCTGGTTCGACAGACAAGATGGAGTGCACAGTCCATCCCACCACTTGAAAGTACTTCTTCATTAGTGGTGATGGCAGGGGCAATGGAGCAGGCACAGTTAGATGCCAGCGCAATAATGAAAAACAATGAATCATCACTAGAACTTTGCATAGAAACATATTTTGCAATTAAACCAATTCTGTTAAGCAGAAAAGAACATCAGGATTAAGTTGCTGTGCTTTAGAATACATGCAAAATAGTCTTCCGTAATAAAATCACAAAACAGATAATACATTACAAAGAAGGTTTCTGCATAACAAAAATACTATGTATTCACATACTAACAGCTCATTTATTTAGTTAATAAATACTTATTGGTTATTATCCTGCACAAGCATTCTTCAATGCACACAACAATTACACTGTAATTCCTTCTTTCAAGGAGTGATAGTCTAGAAAAATGTAGTGTGGCACAGTAGAGCTACAGTTAAAATTTTTTGCCATCAGGAAGAAATGGAAATGAGAGTATCGGAGGAAAAAAAGAATGAAAGTAAAAGGGTATAAAGAGTATGCATATTATTTCATGCAAACTTGAGAAGTCTCAAGACTTAGAACTAAAATGACAGGCAGAGAGGAAGAGAGAAAGGGAATTACTCTTTCCATTTACTATTCTCATATCGCTTTCTCGTATTTGTTAATCCTCCACAGAGAACCTGGACAAATTTTATCCATCTACATTTCCTTTGGACAGGCAATATGATTTCTAGCAGTACCGTCAAATATAATAAAATATTCACCAACAAAGACAACAATCAATTTATCATAAAGAGATTTTACTTTTATCTGTAAAGCATTACAGTAAAATGAATTCAATGAGAACGCATGGCCACCAAGAGAATAGACTGATTCACTCCAGCTTAAATCCATAAGTTGCACATTTTTGCTCTAATATTTAAAAAGAGGTTTTCTTGTTTATTCTACTTATAACAGCAAAGTACATTTTCCAAAATTCTGAATATTGTCAGAAAACAGACCCATGGAAACCTAACACTGTCACATTGCATGGGACAGTGGTCCCATAAGATTATTGCAGAGCTGAAAAATCCCTATCACTTAGTGACACTGTAGCCATTGTAATGTCATAGATGTAACACATTATTTACCTTTGTGGTGATGCTAGTGTAAACAAGTAGACTGCACTGCCAGTCACTACAAATATAGCACATACAATTAGGTACGGTACAAACTACTTGATAATAATAAAAATCTATCTTATTTATATATTTACTATACTTTTATCATTATTTTAGAGTGTATTCCTTCTACCTATAAAAAAAAGTTAATCAAAAAACAGCCTCAGGCAAGTTCCTTAGGAAGTATTCCAGAAGAAGGCATTGTTATCATAGGAGATGACAGCTCCATGCATGTTATTATCCCTGACGAGCTTCCAGGGGAACAAGAGATGGAGGCAGAAAACAGTAATATTGATGATCCTAACCCCTATGTAAGCTCCAGCTAATGTGTATCTTTGTATCTTAGTTTTCAACAAAAAAGTTTAAAAAGTAAAAAATTTAAAAATAGAGAAAAGGTTATAAAATATAAAGAAAATATTTTTGTACAGCTGTACAATGTGTGTGTTTTAAGCTTATTATGACAAAAGAGTCAAAAAATTTAAAAAAAGTTACAGTAAGCTAAGGTTAATTTTTTTACCAAAGAAAAATACTTTTAATAAATTTAGTGTAGCCTAATTGTACAGTGTTTATAAAGTGTACAGTCAAGTAGTTATGCCCTAGGCCTTCACATCAACTCCCCACTCACTCACTGACATACCTAGAGCAATTCCCAGTCCTGCAAGCTCCATTCATGGTAAGCACTCTATACAGGTGTGCCATTTTTATCTCTTATATTGTATTTTTACTGTACCTTTTCTATGTTTAGCTACACAAATAACCATTTTTGTTACAACTGCAGAAGATGTAGGAGATGTTGGGATCCAAGGATCCCCAATCAGTGCCATCTCTTTCTGATGAGTTCTGAAGCAATTAAAAAATAAGAAAAGTGTATGAGGCAAGCTCAAGTCCAAAATGTCATCCTTGTCACTGATAAATACAGCAGAGAGCTACTTCAAGATTAAACATTGCATCTAGAGATGCTCTATTGCACAGATACTCTTTCCACTGATGGAAAGCACCACCAAGGGTGGTGCTGTAGGGGAAGAGAGATGTTTAAAATGGCAAATGTTTAAAATTGAGCATTTGGATCTGGTAAATTTTGAAATCATCCCACTGAAGATACTTTCCTTCCAAGCTCAATAAACAAGCTAACAGATATTTTGTAACCCAAATGCTTTCCTCAGTGCCATCCTCACTGTGTCAATGGTATCTAGCTAGAGATGGAAGAATATTATCTGTGAAGTACATAGTCATAGGTATTTCATGGTCCATTAGCTAAACTCTATTCTGGCTGTTGTGGAGTGCTTAAATGGCTTTAGAAATCTCTATGGAGATACAGTATATTTTAAGAAGTAATCAAGCATGCAAATTCTAGCATTTCATTTCAAAGTCTAAGTCAAAATTCTATAACACTATTAATGGTTTAATTGCTAAGTTGTTTTGTTGGCCATGGGGTTCAGGTAGAACAATCTTTATAGTTCCCTGAAAGATAGAGTGAATTCTAATTAAGGTAACTTGATATTAAAAATAGATACAGTCATGTCATTGATTAACAACAGGTATACCTCCTGAGGAATGTGTCATTAGGTGATTTCATTGTTGTGCAAACATCAGAGTGTATTCACACAAGCCTAGACAGTATAACCTACTACACACCTAGGCTGTAAGGTATAGCCTATTGCTCCTAGACTATAAACCTGTACAGTATGTTACTATACTGGCTCACTGTCCAAACCACCCAAAGTCAGGTCACAGGGCCACTGTTTAAGAATTCCACTTGTCACAAATTCCCTTATTAAGAAGTATGTAAAAGAGAGAAAGTTATAAATTTTTCCTATTATAAATTTCAGATATTCTGAAATAGAAGTGAGTTATGCAAATGTTTAAAAGACACTTGATGGAATAGCAATTAATAGGAATACCTACTCTTTTTTTAAAACATTTTGACGAATTGAGCCTTATATCATAGTACAGTTCTGAATTCAATGGATCTTTAAGAAAAACTTAGTAAGGTGACTACTAAATTATTTAGTTGCACCAAAATAATTTTTATTATAATTTCATGCTAGTCATCGATTTCTGACTTATGTCATTATCTCACAACGTTTCCAAGTCTTTTGGAAAGTGACAAGATAATGCTTTCTTATCAATAAAAATTCATTTCTGAATTTTTATAATGAATTGTTCTACATACATGAAGAAACTTAACCTCAATGAATTGGTAGATTCAACTCAGCACTAACTGAATTGGTAGACAACTTTCTGGGGGGAAATAAGACAATGTGGGAGTACTCAGGGGAAAAGAGGCAAGTTTGAAATGGGGAGATCTTAACCCTTTCAGGACAATATAGTCCTTCAACGGAGAGAGAAAAATTTGGCACCTCTTCAGATAAAAATTCTCTAGCATGCGGTCTAATACAGATGTGCTCCAAAAACGATACACATAATACTAGAAATTTCCTATTCGTGAATGGTGGGCACTCATTGACTAACAGTGAATTGCCATTATTACTGCTCAGTGGAAACACATTTCAACAGTTTAACAAGTTCTTCAGTTAATTAATTCTCCAATCATTTAACATAGTACCAGCTGCCAAAGCAGGCTCACGGTTGAGTAAACCATGAAGCTCATTCACTTTCACACAACAATGAACTGCTAAGGCTCTCTTATATGATCATAAGTAATGTCATTCATACATCTATGCAATTATGAAAACCAGAAAACCACAGAGCAGGGTGACCCAGAAATGCCAGTTCCTCTAAGAGAAATTCAAAGCAACTTCTGATGTCACTCTATCACCCTTATTTTCTGTTTTTTTTTAACCTTTTTTTTTTCCTTATCATACTTTCATTGCCATTCTTTTCCCTCCACTTTGTTTTCTTCTCCCTCTTACCCATTCTCTATATCTGTCAAGGATTCCGGAGGCATCGACTTCTGTAAGAGGAAAAAACTAACAGTGTCAACATCTCCTTCACTATAATAGGGAAAAAATGATGGTCTAAAAGAGGGCCTGTGAAACCCTTCCAAAAAGGGAGGATATGGAAAAAGACACTCAGAGGGGCAGAAGAAGAAACTGGGTGCATGGGTGGGACCTGCTCTCCACTTCTACCAGCAGTGCCGACCGGACTGGGGGAAACCAGGAAGAATTTCCAGGTCACTGATCCATAAAGAGCCCCAGCCTGCTGCATATCAAAATAAATATGGTCTAAGTATTTTATTAGCAGTGTCCCCCTGCTTCAAACAGGCAAAATCACACACTCTGGGCCCCAAAATCCCCTGCGTGGCTCTGGCTCCCTCTGCTAAAGACAGAAGAGTAGCACAGTGTTCCTGGTGTCAGCGTCAGCTCACCAAGCAAAACGTTCACATGGTATTTAAAATTCAGGAAAACGTTCAGAATCACTGCATCTTTTAAACGTTTTCAACAAACGGAGCCTTATATCATAGTACAGTTTTAGATTCAATGCATCTTTAAGAAAGCTTAGTAGAGTTACTTCTAAATTATTTAGTTACACTGATATAATTTTAATATAATTTCATGCTGGCCATTGATTTGTGACTTATTGTCTAACAATGTTTCAAAGACTCTTGAAACAACTAGAAGGTAAGAGATGTCTTTAACAATAGTGTGTGTGTGTATATACATATATAAGCAAATTTATTTGTACTTTAAGAATTCTTACCTTTCTATGCATATCAGGAGCTGCATAAACAGTGATTGTAGCATAAAAGTATAAAAAATAAATCTTTTAAAACTTTTTTGAAATCTTCACCTTATACTACACTACTTAAAAGATATACAGCATTCTTGAAGAAATGCGTATTTCACATCTCTTTTCCTGAACGTTTGTGTTTTTCAATTATATTGAAATTATTTTATAGCAGAATCTAGGACATTCCGACTTTGCATATATCCCTTAAGTTCCATACGGAAGCATGAAAATTGTCCCTCTTTGAAGGACATGAAGCCTCCCTCAGACCTTAATATATCAAAGGCAACCAGTATGAACCAAGCTTAGAGATTCCTCTCAGATGTTCTGCACTGTATTCGATTTTTGGAAATTCTGGATATGTGGACAGAAGTCCCAAAATATAATTGATATTTACTTTCTTATATCCTTCAAAAGTGGGAATTTAACTTCTGAATTAATTTGATTTAGAAACCTTGAATGCTGTGATAATTCTTAATGAATTATGAGTAAACTTTATAGACCTCATTTCAAAGATAATCATCAATACTAAAGAAGTTGTTAAATGCTTCCTTGTCATAAAAATTATATAGTCAATCATCTGTGTCCTGAGGTTTAACTCAATTTAGACTATTAAACATTTCATATGGTTTCTAATTATAAAGGTATCAGTCATACCAAAGGATAAATAAAGTTAGCAGTTCATACAATGCCTATAGTATCATTTTTTGGCATACAAGTGTTGACAGATTAATCGAACAATCTGAATTTAGTGGAGTCCAAACATGGAATGGCTTTATTGTCTTCAATAACAAAACCTTTGAATCTCCATTTCCATCTCTTAAAAAAATCTGAGCCAGAATCTAAGATGCTTTCTGGATATTTCGAGCTACTGAAGTTCCCAATCTTGCCCAAACTTAAAACTTCAATTTCATACCCAAGAAACACTCCTCTAACCTAACTTAGGCTCCCTGTGCTTCTCCTTCCCACTTCCCTTTTCTTGTTCTAGCTTTTCCTTTGTTGAAGCAGAAAGTAGAGCTTAGAGAAAAGTGCCAAAAACATCGTTTACCTTCCTTGTGCAGTTACAGTCTTCCCTTAGCCAAAGACAATCTCTGTATGGTGTGCGTAGAAAGGCTCGTGTTGTGTGTGTGTTTTTTTTTAAGACACCACAGGTGAGGTCCATTGGATGCCCCCTTGAGGCAGCCTCTCCGTGCTACAGGTGTACCTTCTGATGTGGTACACCTGCTCTGGCTCAGGACTTCAGTCCCTGCTTCAAATGCTATCACCAATGATCAAGCACACCTGGCTCCCTTGCACCGGTAGCCCAGTGTAAAATTCCACCTCCCTGTTCCCTAAACAATGGATGATGCACAAGCTCCTCACTTCTCGTCTCTCTGCCTTGTGGTTACTCTCAGTTTGCCCCACAAAGTTTGCTTACATCATTGTGGAGCAGGTTGGCAAGGCTGCTATGGGAACAGACATCTAATACAGGCTTGAGATACCAATATCATCCTCTTCCAAGCATGCCAGTTCCTATGAGGGATTCTCTTAGACCCCATTTCCTTGCTTTATGAGGGGAGGACTATGAGGGGGTAAAACCATAACTCAAAGCCACAGTGAACATCCTCGAATTCCTTAACTTTTTCTTATACCCACTGGGAGTAACGATCAGACTAGCAGGTTTAATTTGACTATCTCTTTTCATTTAATTTGTTTTGTTTTTAATTTTTTATACCTTTAAAATTGATTTTTGTTTATGCTATCATACAGATAGAATACAAAGGGAAGGTGTATTCGTCCATTTTCATACTACAATGAATAAATACCCAAGACTGGGTAATTTATAAAGAAAAGGAGATTTAATGTACTCACAGTTCCACATGGCTGGGGCACGTCTTACATGGCAGCAGGCAAGAGACCATGTGCAGGGGAACTGCCCTTATAAAACCATCAGGTCTCATGAGACTTATGTACTATCATGAGAACAGCACAGGAAAAACCTGCCCCCATGGTTCAATTACCTCCCACCAGATCCCTCCCATGACACATGGGGATTATAAGTACTACAATTCAAGATGAGATTTGGGTGAAGGCATAGCCAAACCATATCAGAGGGATCCCACAGCTCAGTGATGGCTCTCTGCAGAATATGAAAGCATTCATTAGTTTTGTTTTGAAGTTTTAGCAAAAATTCCAAAACAGGAGAAGTCTCATTCCCCATCCTGTTACCCACTGTTAACCAAAATTTGAGGAGTATAATAAATTTTTCAGGCTGTACTTATCCCACAATTACTACTTTCCTTTATAAGGCCAGAGAGATTTATAAAACAATTTCATCAGTGCGTTGAAAAAGACATTTCTAGAAGCCATTGGCAGTTAGGAGTCGCTTCTGTTAAGAGCCACACTTTAATCTTTTCCATTTTATTCAAGGCTGTGAAAGCCAACAGAAATAATTTTGTGACTGTAGAATTGGCCTCCTCTTTGAAAGGACAAACATGAAATCAAATATAGGAACTCATTTTTGAGAAATGTTTGTAACTCCTTTTTTCCTTTAGTCATCTTCTGCACTCACTGCGATTATTTCAAACCTTTACTCTACCTCTTAAGTTCAATTTTAAGTTTTTTCTCATTCCTTGCAGCTTCTAAGCTGTTTATTAGATAGTAAGGGTGTTGTTTTGGTTCTCAATTTGTTTTCTTATTCCAGTCATCCCCATTTTTATCCCACTCTTCTCTTAAATCATCTCATCTTTGAGTCTTGTTTTAACAAATTTATGTTTTCAGTAAGTTTCTCTACAGAGTAAATTTTAAAAATATATGCTTTCTGGATAATGTTTTCTTTTATACTGGGTTCACTCTCACTTTGTATATCGGGCTTCTTCCCTCTTTTCCCCTTGGTATGTGTGCATAGGTTTTTGTGTGTTTGGTTTCAGTTGTTTCCTACAGTTATATTTTGATTTTGCCTAATGTGAGACGCTCTATCCAGACCATGTGTTTGCCCTGACATTATGTGTGTGAGAATTGTTCTGATTTCCCTTCTACCAAATCTGGGACAGTGGGTCTTATAAGCTCTAACCACTTTTATACTGCCTAAGATCATGGGACTAGTAGAGGGGTTGTCTTGACCAAGACCAAGTGCACTTCTGGCTAGGAGACTCCAGGCTCTTGATCGCCCTGATATCTAGTACCCATGGGTTGCTCACTCCCCAGGCTTGGGCTTGTTATCCCTACTCAGCACAGCTGTCTAAAATTGCCCCTCTGAAGGGCAATTCTTGCCCCTTCAGAGGTACTGTGATGCCATATAGGGGCTTCCACTCTCAACATTTTTTTCTTAATTTCCCCCAGAAAGAACTTTGGTGTAACTATTTGGGATGTACCTTCCCTAAAACAAAAATTCCTTCCTGGTGCCTGAATTCTGGCTCTTCTCTTGTAGAATCTTCACCTCCATTACAACTCCTTCTCCCTCAGACTCTAGGACCAGTTGTATAAGGAGAGTGGAAAAAGAAGGATTCAAAAATACTATAAGAACTTGTAATGGGCTGGGTGCATTGTATATCATTATAGGTAATTTAATTTTCATTATACTCCAAATTTTTTACATAAGAAACTAGAAAATTTAAGGAGGTTTTATAAGTTGTCACGACTCCGAGAAGCAGAATTCTATCCTAGTTCTAGCCAACCTCAAAGCTATGTTCTCTACGCTACACCTGTGGGGTGCTGATAAATGTTTAACAGCCAGTTCTGGAGGTGAGAGAGAAGGGGAAGGCCTGATATGTGACATTTGTGATCCCATGGTGTAAATAATCCCACCATGATCAATTTCAAGTTCTCCATCAATGAGCTCACAAATGTCTTTAAAATGTTATCAGCTCTCCCCAGTCATGGCAAGCTTGTTCTAACACACGAATTACACTCCATATTAATACCTAGTTCTCTAGTTTCAACCATCACACTTACTCCTTCTCTGATTCTTCTCCTTAGTTTTATTAACCATGCCAAATTTCCAAATTCTCTGGGCTCTTCTTGACCCCAGGTATGTAACTGGATATTCTTACTAATCCCTGTGCTCTACTCCCTAAGAGGCTATCCTGGCACCCACATGAGCCTGGAACCTTGCTTTGCCTTTGCTAGATTCTTAGCCAGGGTCTGGACACCAGTATAGAGCTCTGACTACCTATACATAGATGATAAAAACCACATGATCTACCTAAATTTCTGAGTGTCATCTGCTCAGGGTTTGCCCACTGCTATCCATGTACCACCTGTCTATCACCGCAGAGTGTATAGATCCTTCCTTCCAAGACTCAAAGGTCTGTTTCCCAGGAACATTTTCAAACATTGTGGGAAGGTCTAATTTCAGGTTCCCAATCTTCACAGTTGTCCTTTATCTGCTGCTGAGAGAAGAGAGACAGACCCTCTCATATTGCTTTATATTGTTTTATACCCAGAAAAGGAAAGAGAAGTGAAACTAAAGGCAGGTAGCCCGGCGCCTAGGAACCAGACCTGAAACCAGGCCTGGGCCTGCCTGACCTAAGCCTGGTGGTTAAAATTCGACCCCTGACCTAGCAACCGATGTTATCTATAGATTCCAGACATTGTATGGAAAGACATTGTGAAACTTCCTGGTCTGTTCTGTTTCACTCTGACCACCGGTGCATGCAGCCCCTGTCACGTACCCCCTGGCTTGCTCAATCAATCACGACCCTTTCACGTGAAACCCTTAGCGTTGTGAGCCCTTAAAAGGGACAGAAACTGTGCACCTGACAAGCTTGGATTTTAAGACGCTAGTCTGCCGATGCTTCCAGCTCATTAAAGCCACTCCCTTCACTATCTCGGTGTCTGAGGGGTTTTGTCTACGGCTCGTCCTGCTACACTGCAATTAACCACATTTTGCTGATGTATCCCCAGTGTATGATGTGGAACCAAGAGCATGCCCACAAAAGAGGAAAATGAGTAAGCTTCTGTGGCACATCAGTGGTGAAGTACCACCTTCCCTCCCGTTAGATGTAGAACAGTCACTGTTGCCACTGCCACCACTACCACTACTCACAGCCCATCAGAACAGAAATCAACACTCCAACATCTCCCATTTGAAAGACTATCTGCTGTAACCCTGGATTTCCCCACTTCTCAATTGTTTCGTAATTTGCTGAATGTTTGGGAAATCTGTGTTCTCTATCCTGAAGCTGTGGAACACAAACTATTCACTGTATTTAGTGTCGAACAGAACTGCAATTTCTAAAGCTACTTAAAAGAGTGGGGGGAGGCATTTCCCTAACTTTCAATATTCTGCAGAAATAATTTGAAATGAGTAAGCTGAATCCATTCATTATTATTGCATAAATCAAAGACAAAATTATTTTTCTGAGTAAAGAAAAAAGGGGAAGTTGGATTCAAACTAAATTTAAGAGCACAAATTAAATAACATACAAAATGTTAAATTAAAATGTTAGTATATTCAAATTGTATAATTTAGAAATTAACTTGATTCGGAACTTCTAAGATTCAAAAATCACTGAACAAGGATTAGGGCTTAATCATTCACATCTTCAAAGAAAGGTCTTATTAGCACTTGATAAGGTGTTAACTGAATTCAATGACACTTCTGAGGAATAAAAGGTAATTTGACTGTCTTATCTTTGCTCGACAATGTCTGTGTTTAACCTGACAACCCAAAATAATCTTCCTTTTAGATCAGGTACACATCAACATATTGTAATTAACTACAGGTGATTTAACAACAAATAATTTAACTGTTACAGCTTTGAGTCTGTAAACAGTCTCTATAGTTCTCACAATTGTTCGTTTTGCATTAAAGAGTTTAATGACTATCTCTTTTTTTTTTTTTTTTTTTTTGAGACAGTCTTACCCTGTTGCCAGGTTGGAGTGCAGTGGCGCAATCTCGGCTCACTGCAACCTCCGCCTCCCAGGTTCAAGTGATTCTCCTGCCTCAGCCTTCTGAGTAGCTGGGACTACAGGCGTGCGCCACCACTCCCAGCTAATTTTTGTGTTTTTAGTAGAGACGGGGTTTCACCATGTTGGCCAGGATGGTCTTGATCTCTTGACGTCGTGATCTGCCCGAGCAACCGTGTCCGGCGTCTATCTCATTTTTAAACACATTGCAACAATTTCTGCAAAAACATATTGAAAGGCTAATTCCAATGTAGATAAGTGTGACTGTAACATCCTATTAACACATTTCTATCAATGAAATAATGAGTCAGTTAATGCTATATATTAGCCTGACAGATTGTCAACATATAATGTAAATCAAATGACTAAGAAAAAAGTTTAACATGTAAAAACTTATAATACAGCTTTAAAGAATTAATCACAAAGGATTTATCCTAAAGGTTGTTTATACAGATTCAGAATCTTGAAGCCCTGTGTTTTGTTTGTTTGTTTGTTTGTTCATTTGTTTGAGATGGAGTCTCCCTGTGTTGCCCAGGCTGGAGTGCAGTGGTACGATCTCGGCTCAATGTAACCTCCACCTCCCAAGTTCAAGTGACCCTCCTGTCTCAGCCTCCCAAGCAGCTTGGATTACAGGCAGGGTTTTGCTATGTTGGCCAGGCTGGTCTCGAACTCCAGACCTCGTGATCTGCCAGCCTTGGCCTCTCAAAGTGCTGGGATTACAGGCATGAGACTGTAAGTGTCTTTGAGATTACTAAATAAACTAAAGTGATGCAACAAACCATTCAGATAGAAGGGAAATCTCAGAAAGAGAGTTTTAAAGGAAATTTACTTCACTGATTTTTCCCACTCCTCACACCAGAATTTTGATTGTAATATTGCAATAGGGTCGACATAAGTTATTCATAAATAAATAACAATGTTTATGGGGTTTCTTTACCAAGGGACTTTATGAAAATGACAAACATGCTTGCTTGCAAACAACTGAACATACTCTTTAAAAGAGTTATACATTCTTAATTCATATAACAATGATTTTAACTGAGTTACAAACACATATGTAAACATAAATGACACTAGAGTTCGGATACCAAGTTTCAAATGCACTAAGAAATCAGTAAGAATCTCCACCAGATTCTTGGTGAGACCCAAATGGTATTCATCCTACAGGCCCTAGAACCTCTACTCCACTGCACGTTGTCGTAATACCCCATAATGGTAGCAACTATTACGCATCCCCTAATGGCATAAAATCATGGATTTTACTTGTTAATCACTACACAACCATTTTCATGTGGGCTCCATGAGGTTGTCAACACACAGGCTCAGACTCCATCAGTTACCTGCTGCTGGCTCAGGAAGTCAATGACAAAGGATTGACACTCCCCTATCTTTTATAATATTTATTACCATAAAATTTCAGTACAACAACAAAAATGTAATTTCCCATGGAGGAGCTGGTATGAGATTTGACCTGTGACTTGGTTATTTAGATACGAATTATTAAATTTGCTAATTACACCTAATCTCTTGCTGCTGTCACTGCTGCTACTCCTCCTTTCTTCTCTCCTCTTTGCTAATTTTATTGGCATTATTTGCATTTTCCACAGCAGGTATGGAAGAGAAAATAAAAGTAATGAAACGCAAGCAAATACATTCTTCAAAATATAAGGCAAACATTTCTACTGAAGGAAAAAATTAAGAGCATTGGCTAATTGTGATTGAATTAATAATTTAAATTTTCTAAGCAATCCTTCCTGTGTAAACCCAAGTGAAAAGGATTAATAAAAATATTACATTTTTATTGAAAAGAATCTTCGAAGTATAAGTTTGCTATATAAAAAGTAATTTAAGCAGGGACATTCAAAAGCTGTTGTCACCAAAAAAATGTAGTGCTATATTCAATGATTCTAACTCCCTTGAAAGTGTGCATCATGGTAATAACTACAATGATCTCATTTGACTATATTATAAATATGATATCTAACTTTGGAATTGTTATACTTTCAGATTCCTATAATTTTCCAGAGAGATTACTATTAAAAAATAAAGTTGGGGTAAGAACAACCAGTCTAGTTTTCATCTTCTCTTGAAAAAACAAAGTCTTAAGAGAACCACAAAAAATTACTAACAGAAATTGCCACTGGACACATCTCTTTCCTCTCTTTTCAATCACGGCTATTTAAAATGCAAACCCACTTACCACAGTCCTGACCTATTCTCTCCAATTTCTGAATGTCAAACACTTAGAGTAATTGTTGGCTGTCAGAGTCAGAAGTCTGTGGAAGCAGAGAACCTAGACATTTGGCATTTTAACTTTCTGGAACAAGTGATTTAATTATTTAATTAGTGTAAGAGAAAAGTATCTACACCAAGATCCAGGCATACACTGTCATCAAAAATGTCTCTGACACGGTAAAACACATATCAGAGAACTGGGAAAGGGGATTATATTTTATAAATTTGTATCTGTGCAAATTAACTCTTACATTTCAATGATAAATGGAAACCTGAAATATAAAAAATGATTTAATTACCATGAGTAAATCCACAACATTGCTGTTTGCTGAAGATGCTACTTATACATTTCTTATAAGGTTACTGAAAGTTTCTATTTTTGTTGCTCAAAACTAAAAAAAAAATCTGTTTGATCTTTAGTACTTATATAATTAAGATGCATCTAATTTCTTTACTTTTCAAATGTGCATTAAATGTTTCCTTCATAATTTATCATTCAGTGCTGCATCATCTTTAATGTATAAATAATGATAAATTTGGACATTAATTGAAAAAGTATCCATTAATGTTTTTGCTAGAATATCATTTCATCTGATCTTACTTCAATAAAAATATATATGTCTTGAACAATACATATCAATGTGTGAGGAGGTCAGCATTTTCCCGTGTGTTCCTTGGAAGCCCAGATCTAAGAATCTTTCTTTAAGGAAAGTTGTATTTTGATGTATCTGCTCTTTTTAGCATACTTTTTATTTTAGTATGGTCATGCATCCCTTAAATGATGAGGATACCTTCTGAGAAATGAGTCCTTAGGCAATGTTGTTGTTGTGCAAGTATCACAGAATGTATACCCCTAGATGGTATACACCTACTGCACCCCTAGGATATATGGTATAGACTATTGTTTCTAGGCTACAAGGCTATACAGCACGTTACTGTACTGAATAACACAGGCAACTGCCACGCAATGGTAAGTATTTGCGTATTTAAACATAAAAAGGTATTGTAAAAATATAGTATCATAATCTTATGTGACTACCGTATATGCAATCTGTCATTGATCAAAATGTCATATGTGGCACATAAGTTTATATCAAATGTTTAGGAAAATGCACAAATCATAAGTACATTACTCAATAAATTTCACAAATTGAAACCAACACACAGATGAAGAAAGATTACTAGCATCCCAGGATCTCCTATGAGTCCCCTTCCAGAGTAACCACTGCATTGATATCTAATACCAGAGATTAGTTTTGCCTGTTTATAAACTTTATGTAAACAAATCATCCATGCACTCTTTTTCATCTGTTATAACTCAAAATTATATTAG
The DNA here is from genome assembly GCF_000001405.40 of Homo sapiens. Taxonomy (NCBI): domain Eukaryota; kingdom Metazoa; phylum Chordata; class Mammalia; order Primates; family Hominidae; genus Homo; species Homo sapiens. The sequence continues at coordinate 39,758,313 of NC_000014.9, read as the reverse complement.
TGAGATTTATCCATGTTATGCATAGTTGAAGTTCATTCTCACTGATGTATGTTATTCCATTGTGTGAATTCATCACACTGTATCTATTCTACTGCTGATAAACATTTGGGTTGTCTTCATTTCAGGGAGACTCCATTATTCCTCAAAAATAATGCTGCCATGAACATTCTAGTACATGTCTTTTGGTGAACACATATATGCATTTTTGCTGTGTATGTAATCTAAGCATCCTATGATCCATGTTGTCATAAGAGAAGCATATATGCAGCTTTAGTCATTATTGCCAACCAGCTTTCCCAAGTGGTTATACTCATTTACACTGTCACCAACAGTTGATAAGAGTTGCCATTGGTACACATCCTTTACAACACTTGGAATTTTCTTTTATTTTAGGTCATTAGTTTATAATCACACTGTAGTTTTAATTTTCATTTGTCTTATAACTAATGAGTTTGAGTACTTTTTGTATCTTTTTTTTTTTTTTGAGACGGAGTCTCACTCACTCTATTACCCAGGCCAGAGTGCAGTGGTGCAATCTTGCCTCAACACAACCTCGGCCTCCAGGGTTCGAGTGATTCTCCTGCCTCAGTCTCCCGAGTAGCTGGGATTACAGGCACGCTCTACCACGCCCAGCTAATTTTTGTGTTTTAGTAGAGACGGGGTTTCACCATGTCAGCCAGGCTGGTCTCAAACTCCTGGCCTCAAGTGATCCTCCCACCTTGGCCTCCCAAACTGCTGAGATGACAGGCATGAGCCACTGTACTTGGCCAACTTTTTTATATCTCTTTTGGCTATTTGAATATCCTCTTTTGTGACATGACTGTTCAAATCTTTTGTCTATTTTTTCTATTGGATTGCGTCTCTTTAATACTTACTTGTAGCAGTTTTGTTGTATATTTTAAGAATAAGTCTTTTTTCATATATAGTACAAATATTTTTTTCCTAATCTGTGGCTTGGCTCTTTATTTTCTTAATGGTGTCTTTTGATGAAGAGAAATTCTTAATTTAAATGTGGGCCAATTTACCATTCTTTTTACTTTATGTGTTAATATAAGTTTGTTCTCCATGTCATAAAGATATTCTAATATATTTTCTTCTAAAGCCATGTTGTTTTACCTGTTATATTTAGATACATGGTAAGGATTGTTTTTTTTTTCTCCAATGGTATCCAATCGATCCCAGTACCTTTTATCAAAAAGAGCATACATTATCCACTGCAGTTCAGTGTCCTCTCGGTCAAATTACAATAAGGGTCTGTTACTGGACTCTCTATTCTATTCCATTGGCCTATTTTTATGCCAAGAAGATACTGCCATAATTACTAGTTCTATAAGGTCCTAAAAGGAGTGATGAGTATGTGTCTGTGTTGAGAGAGAGAGAGACATCATTAGGATAAATAGAAAACAAAGTTAAATAATTTTTTGTTGTTTTTGGTTTTCATTTACTATCTGAATTATCAGAAACCTTATTTTATACGTTAAAGTGTATTATAATTATCTAAGAGATAGATATATGCTATTTCCCAAAATTAAATTTAACTATGGAACATTTTTTTCCACGGAGTGTCTTATAGGACTAGTGTTCTAAGTAATGCACTTTGGGAAATAAATACATGTATGTTTTTAGGTAGTAAAAGCTGAGCCTCAGGCTAGATCCAAGTTGTTGATAGCTCTCAGCATGAGACTGCATTTCTAATTTTCTTCACAACCTGTATGAGGTCAATTACATTAAGCTCTCAACATCCAGGTGCTTAAAGGCAGACAGATCATCTATTTGTTGGAATGCAATTACAAAATTTAAAATCCTCTTTTATATCTTTCTTAGCACTCCTAGATCTTAAACATTTTTGGTGCCTCATCCTTGATTCAGAATGAGAAGATCTGACAGAATTAGTTATTTAAAGACAAGTTTTAGCCACTTGACCTTCTGAGATGTCCATAGTTATTCACTCAGTTCAGGTAAAGTAAGCACAGAAGAACCCATTACAGTCACCTGGATTCTCACAAGTTGTAAGCTTTGAAGCTCTACTTCTTATTATTAAAGATGGCAAAGAGTTCCAGAGATGAAAAGAGTTCATACTAAAAAGTCATGTGACCCTCTACTTAAAGTTTGTCTTATTTAAACCATAGTCAAGGCTTTGAGTGCTTTCATCACCTAATGTAAGGCCTGTCTTCTCCCCACCCCCATCATGATTATGTCTGATTAGAAAGGGAGTCTTGGACACATTTTATGTCATAGGATATTCAAAGCCATAAAGATGCCATAAATAGAGTTTTAAAATTTCCCAATATTTGCTCACATTCAAAACATCTTATGATTTCAATTTATGAAAAGAAACCAGTGTTATTGTATCTATATTTAACATTACAGCAACTCACTAGAATAAGTGTAAGTATTTTAGTCTAAGAAAGAAAAAATATTTTTAGTATTTTAGTAGTGTCTTTCAATCAGCCACATATCCTAAATAAACCACATCAAATGTGCTGGTTAAAGTGAGATTTGTGGCAATTACAAATATACCTGTAAATATATTAATAAGGCCCTTCCACAACACCCACATCCAGCCCTGTTAAACAGCATTTTACTGCTCCTACTGGTGGTTGCAGTCTTTTAAAGATTAATCTTATGCTAGTGAGAGATTCAGTGAGGCATGGTAGAAGGGAACCAAGCCAATAAATCTGAATTCAAACATGTGTCCCACTACTTGTGGTCTGTGTATCACTAGGCAAATTACTTAGACTTTTAGAACTTCATTTTCCTGATTTAAAAATTAATGCAGTAATACCACTTAGGTTTTGTCATGAGGATTATGTAAGGCATTTATGTAAAGCACTTGACAGATTACTTGTCATATAGGAAATGCTCAGTGATATGGTTTGGCTCTGTGTCCCCACCAGAATCTCATGTTGAACTGTGATCCCCATTGTTGGAGGTGGGGCTTGCTGGGGGGTGATTGGATCATGGGGGTGGTTTCTAATGGTTTAGCACTATCTCCCTATTGCTGTCTCATGACAGAGTTCTCAAGAGATCTGGCTGTTTGAAAGTGGGTAGCACTTCTCCCTTTGTTGTCTCTCTCCTTCTCCAGCCGTGTGAAGACTGTGCCTGCTTCACCTTCACCTTTTGCTATGATTGTAAGTTTCCTGAGGCCTCCTCAGCAATGCCTCCTGCACAGCCTGTGGAACTGTGAGTAAACTAAGTCTCTTTTCTTCATAAATTACCCAATCTCAGGTAGTTCTTTATAACAATGTGAGAACAGACTAATACACTCAGTAAATACTCATTCCCCTTCTTTAACACTTCCACCAATACCAGATGCTTGAGGATGTTATCAAAGAGTCATACATCTCAATGGTTACGTCAAGTTGACCACCTTCAGGTTGGAAATTCTGTGCACCTCTTGACTTCTCAATACTTCACAATAACCTGGATCTCTAAGACTGCAAATGTGGCATATACTATCAACAGAGGATGAACCTGGAATGACTTCCAGAAGAACAACATTCAGGTATCCAAGTGATAAAAGCAAAACACAAAATTGAAATTTCAGTGCCACCATCCTACTGCTACCATTATTTATCCAAGTGAGATACCACACATGGCATCACATGTTCTATTCTAACAGCAAAGCAGGAACTTCAAGCTTTCCTTTGACTATTCAAGGTTTTAATATTTTCTTCAGCCTAAGGCAGGTATAGCTGAATTACTTCAGGCTAAAAAATAGAATTATAAAGTACTTCCAAAATGGAACACAGTCGCAGGTACCAGTTCTCAGGGTACAACATTATGAATACAATTCAGAATCTTAACAGAAATATTTCAAGTTTAATATTGGAAGTGTTCTTAGCTGTAAAAGTCCAGAATGTAAAGGGATGAACATTGTTCAAGAATAATGTCACCTAGGGGTCAAAATCCAGCAGAAATTGACAATGGAGCCCCTTATGTTACTGCAAGAGTCACAACATCACACAGCTGACTCTGTTGCTAAGTACTTGAAATTTATGCTGGTCATTAGCCTCACTGGGGTTCTCTTTCTTATGATATCTTACATCATTCTTAATTATGACATTATCTATTCTATGCTGGAGTGTTTTGCTCAAAGATTATTCTTACATGTTAGTCTAATGCCCTGAGAGCAATACTAAACGTAAAAGCCCTGTAACTACATGCCCCTGAAAATCCCAGATTGTGTTGTTTCCTGTACTAGGAAACATTGATATTGGGAAAGAAAGGGGTTGGGGGAGAAATCTTCTGATCCAAATCTTCAGGCTAATGATATAGAAAAATTAACCTTATGTATTTCTCAGAAGTGTGCTTTTAAACTAGAGATGGAGAGAAGGAAAATACCAAATGTTGGTTTCCCCATTTAAGACCAACTGAAATATGTCCATGGGGGTGAGATCATAGACTTCTGAAAAAGGACTATAGCAGCAGAGGGCTGCCATCAACTTCCCACAGGCTTTCTGCTTTCTAGTTTCCTACACTCTGCTGTACTTTCCTGTTGGATGTAGTGACTCCTTCATGGGGTCTCAGTTTGTTTCCCATCCAGTATTCATAGCACCGTACTCCAATTTGTGGAGCAACCTCATTGCTACCAATCGTTACTATTACCTCTGCTATTTTCTCTCTTAGTGCCCTGTTTCCTATTTTTCAATTAACAATTCAGTGCTGACAAACTGGCAGGTTTTTCCTCCCAACAATACCAGAAGGGAAATTGCGTAAAAAATTCATGCTATTCACAAATCACCATCACCAAGAGTGGACTGCCATTAAAGACAGTGTCTTTAATGAGTAAATCCCAGCATTCAAATATCTTAGTCTTATTGCATGTATAATAAATCTAAGAATTATTTAAAAGAGATTTACAGCATTAGCTATAAACTACATCTGGAGGATAACATGATTTTGACTATAAAGAAAACTATGATGCCTTCTTACTCTATTCCATTTTCCCAAATAAAATGAATAGGAAAGTTGGATTTAAAACCATATTGATTAACAATAGGTAATGCCCAGAAATAATGCAGATTTCTACTGATGAAAGACTAGTTAAAAAGCCACTTTAAATTCATACAATGGAAAACTGTAGTCTTAAAAAGAAATGAGGAAATTCTTTATGTACTGCTGTGGAATGATTGCCAGAATATATAATTAAGAGAAAAAAAGCAAAATACAAAAGAGTGCATGGCATGTTACCTTTTCCATAATAATGAGGGGGAGGGCAGAATACAAATATTAATATTTACTTTTTAATATTTAAAAAGGAAAAGATAATCCCAAAACTCAGAAAGCATAGACACCTCTTGGGGAGGGGAAAAACAGAAATAAAGACGTGACTTCTCTAAGTGTATCTTGTTCATAGTTTTGACTTTTGAACTATGCAATGTTTCACATAATTAAAAACAGAATCAGACTTAAAGGATTAAGTTTCCAGTTGAGATTTCAAAAAAATATATATATGTTTCAACCTTTTTCTTCTACTGAATGCAGCTATAAAATCAAGACAGAATGCATGAGCACCTTTTTTAAGACTTTGTAAATAACAGCAGGTGTTACCAGAATTCTAAGTCCCATCGAATCCTGGAAGGTGAGTTTTAATGTTTTTTTCCTGTAGTATCCCCCTACTTGAACTCACCAAAGCCAGAAACCTGGAAGTGAGCACTGTGATACAGACAGAAAGCCAGGAGAAGCCTGCTAGCTTTAGTTTGAGGGTCCTAAAAAGGTACTCCTGATGCTCCAAAGAAATGCAGAAATCCCCTAGAGTCCCCACTCCCCTGACTGTCAGCCCACACTGCTCCTCCTCTAGTACCCCAGTCTTCAGGCAATTCTTTTTTTTTGAGACGGACTCTCGCTCTGTCGCCCAGGCTGGAGTGCAGTGGCGTGATCTCGGCTCACTGCAAGCTCCGCCTCCCGGGTTCACACCATTCCCTTGCCTCAGCCTCCCGAGTACCTGGGACTACAGGCGTCGGCCACCACGCCAGCTAATTTTTTGTATTTTTAGTAGAGACGGGGTTTCACCGTGTTAGCCAGGATGGTCTCCATCTCCTGACCTCGTGATCCGCCCGCCTAGGCCTCTCAAAGTGCTGGGATTACAGGCGTGAGCCACCGCGCCCGGCTCTTCAGGCAATTCTATGGAGCAGCAGCTCCCAGAATCCACAGGAGCCAGAACTCAGGGAGGTGACTCCTCCTCTCATAGGTGAAACCACAGTTCTTAAAGTGTTAGTAAAATCCGATTGCGCTCTTTTTCCTCTGTCTTCCCTCTGCTTGGGCCAAGACAGACTAAACTGCAGAAGTGAGTGACAGAACACAATAAGTAAGGTCATTAAAGAGCCACGAGTTTTTGGCCAAAGGACAAAAAAGAGAGTTCCAGAAACCAGGAAAGTACTTGGGGGAGATTAGAGAAAGTGAAGAGATCAAAAAAATAAACCCGTAAAATTATTTTTATGAATGCCAGGACTTACCCTCGAGCCACACACACGCATGGATCTCACCTGAATTAGCATACAAAAGATGCTGGGAACTGCACTCACAGATAGACCATGCCCAGGTTACAAATTGATCACTGGATGACACACTCCCAAGGCAGATCCAAAGAGCACTATAAAGGCTTTGAAAACTGAACTGACATCGAAATAGCTCACAAAAGTCAGATTGGAACTTGCAGCCTGACTTTAGTGGGTCGATGACTGCTAAAAAGAAAAATGACATTCTTCATAGAATTTAAACAAGCCACAGAGCCTCAAAATGTAATAATTCAGAGTATTTAGGATACAATCAAACATTACTTAGCATGTGAAGACCCACACAATTTCTAGTCACATGGAAAAATATAATATTCACCAACATCCATGTTATTAACATGGATGTTGGTAGTCAAAATCATAATAGATATATTAAAAGATACTAAAATAAGTTAAATAAATAAATTTGAGTCTAAAATATTAGTATAAACTCATAATTTATTTTTATCTTTACAAAATATACCTATTTCCTAGCTCTGTCCACTAAAAAGGCCTAAAAGCAATGACAACCCAAAGGCAATGAAGACCCTCAATGCCCAGATGTGGTCTCCTAATGCCATTACCCACTAAAAGAAATCAGGGAACTTGGAGAAATAGCTGATTTCAGGTCTGGAGCAAGAAATGTACAAAATAAGCCTATAATATCTTGCTTATGACTGAAAGTAAGAAAACCATGAAAAACTACCGGGGTCATGTTAAAAGAACATAGGTGCCAACTTGGAGTGGTTCCCACTAGCCAAAGATGGAACAATTTGAGCAGCAAAAAAAAAAAAAAGAAAGAAAAAGAAAAAGAACTCCAATAGATTGAAGCATAAAAATTTCATTCATAGGTATATAATATTTAATTATTTACAAGATAAATATATATTGCATTCATATATTTATATGTAATCATGAGTTCATGATATGCACAATAAATACATTTAATATAATATAAAATAAAAAATAAAAATGAATTGGTTATCTTAGATGTTGCTAAGGCATCAACTCATTATACTGATAATTAATCAACAAATGGAAAAAATCTGGCATTATTCCTGACTTCCCACATGAATCATACAGATAATTACTGAAAGAGCTTCTTTATGGAAGACTCACGACTAATAAATGCAAGAGAAATGGCAGTGTTAGAATTCAATCCCTAATGAGATAATGGATTTAAGAAAAAATCATCAATGGCTGCTAAAACCATTAGGTGAAAAACATTTGGGGAATTATAACAGAGGGATTAGGCTGATACCATCTGACCCTACTCATCAAACTTAGCATCATAGAGAGAAAATAAGATATATGTGCCTTCTTATGTTGTGCAGTAAGAAGTATACAGCACTATTTATGAAGTACATTTTTAAACAAGGAGGTAAAAATAAACAATTTAATCAAGCATCTCTATTTAACTTCATTTACAGAAAATTCAGGGAATATAGGAAGAGAAACATGTTAAATGATACCAGGAGGAACAATTAGCCGAAGCAAGAAAGTGGGAAATTCTACAGAACAAATGAGCCAGTATTTTCAATGAATAAATGAAAGGAAAAAAAGACGGGGAACAATTATAGATTAAAAAGAAAATAAAAAGGAGAGGAAATTTAAGAGATACAGCAAACAAATGCAATGTGTGGGTCTTGCTAACATCCTGATTCCAGCAAAGTATAAAAAGATATTTTTGAGATAATGAAGGACAATAGAACATAGACTGGGTGTTAGATGATACTGAGGAATAAATGTTAAATATGTTGGGTATGTTAACATTATTGTAATTATGCTTTTTAAAAAAATGTGTTAGAGAAACATAGTTTTTAATGTGTGAGATTATCTGAGGTCTGGAATTTGCTATAAAATCCTCCAGATGTATTCTGGCATTACTTATGCATTAAAATCCATTAAAAAGTAAAATTTGAAATTCCATATTGATTTTGTAGCAACTCTCAAAAAGAAGAGCTGTTTGGGCCAGGCGTGGTGACTCACACCTGTAATCTTAGCACTTTGGGAGGCCTGGGTGGATCACCTGAGGTCAGGAGGTTGAGACCACCCTGATCAACATGGTGAAACCCCACCTCTACTAAAAATACAAAATTAGCCAGGCCTGGTGGCAGGCACCTGTAATCCCAGCTACCACGGAGGCTGAGGCAGGAGAATCACTTGATCCGGGGAGGCGGACGTGCAGTGAGCCAGAGGTTGCAGTGAGCCAAGTTTGCATCATTTTACTCCAGCCTGGGCAACAAGAATGAAGCTCCGTCTTAAAAAAAAAAAAGAGAGCTGTTTGAAGTAAATAAGTACCTCATGGTGTTCCGATTCACATCAAATTTCAACTGGCTGCAGCTGATTCTGTACATGTTGTGCATAATACATGGCCTATGAGACATATTAGTTCTGAACTGCTAAGTTCAGATAGTTTTTGTTACAAAAACTATCTGAAATATCACCACTGCACCCCATCTTTTCCTTTTAGGCTGAAAAAGATGGTGTAGACCACTAGGGATACTCTTGTTTAAGTTTATTATAGCAAAGTCTCTGGTTGATTTTCCCATTATAGACCTTATCACCTTGTGGTCAACAGAGTTCAGCATGCTGAATTGCCAAGACTTTGTTGAATTTTCCTTACACAAGTTTGAGATAGCATATGGATCAGTGTGTCACTAAGAGATAATTCAGTCTTCCCTCTCAACCAATTTGACCACCATTGAGCCATCAAGTCCTTTCTCATAGCACCACAGCCTGCATGTTTCAGGCCAAGATCTCAAGATAGCCACAGAATGAAGAAAGCAATCCCTACCCTGTGGTGACTGCAACTCCAGGTCTATTTCCCTAGTATTTCTGAGCTGCTAGAAAAAGAATTCATAGTATTGGCTAAATAAGTACTGAGTTTCTACACTATTGGAGTTTGAAAGTAATTGTAATTTCTGTATTCGCCACAGAGATGTTAGAGAGATTACTGTTGCCATTTCTGAAAAGCCATCTGTTAGAAGCTTGATCATTTCTTGCCTAATTTTGTTCTTCTGCCCAGCACAACTGTTTGCTTTCCATGCACATCTCTTATGAGTTGGCAGGTGAGTGATCAAAAGAATCAGATAGTCCTTATATATCTGAAGAGGCTGTCTCTTAAGTTAGTAAAGTCATTCTCGGGTTGTCACACACCTTTGCTGTGATAGTTTTATATATAATGCTTTTGTTTAAATTCCACTTACTAAGGCCCCAAATAATAATGTAATTGAAAGCTTTGTTTTGTTCCCAGAATTATTTACCAAAACATTAAGAGCCTGAACCTATTCATGGTTAAGAAATTTACAATATTAACTTCCTCCACTTGAAAAAAATTACTGTTTAATTACTGATCCCGTACTCTGCATTGATTAAATTTAAAGCCACAGTTTCAGGAACTGAAAATCAATTGGATGTTGACTGGATATTCTAATATAAATCATATTTCAAAACATATCTGCCCTTAGTGATTTCAGGACAAAATTTATAGAGAATATTTTTGGTACATAGTGATATCATGAAGAAAAATTCAAACAATTTATCTTTCTTAACAGCTTTATTAATAAAATGTTGATTGTTGTAAGGTTCACAGTTTTGACAAGGCTTATATTCCCTTTAAAAAATCAATTCTTTATGAGTACTTCTTGGCATGTTTATTTAGATGTGTTATATTCACTCGTAAACCAACCATACCATCCCACCAAATAGTTCTGTAAATGTAAAACTACTTGGTCAGGCAAGCTTGTGTGGTTATTTTTATGTGAAAACAATTATGGAAGCAACGATTAGAAACTAGTCTATAAGAATTCTTTCCAACTCCATGATTCTATGCCTTACTTGTGCCTTTACAGGTAGTTATGGCTATCTAGTCAAGAAAGAAACTAAAGTCAACCATTTTCTTTTCTTTATGTACCCCATCTTTCTTGCTCCTCAGTTTTCAATATGTTAACTGAATATGAATCCAGTTAAAAACTTAAGTTGGTTTCCCTGGAATTCTAATCTTAAAGATGCAAATTCCTTTCCAAGAGCTGAAATCATAGAAAAAAACAGGTTTTACTGCAGGATAACCAGGATGGACCTATCTTATTTTCTCTCCCTTTTCCATGCCATTCTTCACTTTCCTCCAACTTAAAAACCAGATCTTTGTCTTACTCGATTTGTAATCATGAATAAAAAACAACAGCAATGCCTATAACTGCAAAATCAAAACAGACATTGCTTCTAGGTACATACTACCAAGAAATGAAATAGAATTATTCCTCAAATATAAACTTACATGTCACTCTGCATCTTTTATAATTTTCTCTTATGTTGTTTTTCTGCCTTTATCTCTTCCCATATTTGTTTTTCCTGCCTCTTTTCTCTCTGCATTTTATCTCCTTTTTCCGTTCCTGCTTCCTCCTTTAACTAGTCATTTCTAATACAGAACTCATTATTTCTCCTCCCTAAATGTTTTCCTATCCTGTATTTCCTGTTTGAAGTACATCACAGAGATATCCAGATCAGAAATCCAGGTGTCTTCAGAGACTTCTACTGCTCTCTCACACAACGCTTAGATCCAGTCACTGAGCCATATTTATTCTGCATCCTAAATAATATACAAATCTGAAATACCCTCTCTATTGCCACTGTGCATTGTTTAGACAATTGCAATACTCTCATTCATCTTTCTGTCTCGTTTTCATCGGGTAACCAGTGCAACCTAATCCATACTCATCTTCTCCAACCAGAGTCATCTCTTTAAAACGTGTATAAGTACAATTCTCTTCCATATTTAAAATCTTCCAGTGATTTTAAATCATCCATGTTCTTTAACAGTGAATATTATATTTATACTTGATCTGTGTCTACCCTTCAATCTACATTCCACACCACTAGCTTCAACCCCTCCTCTCCACTCTCCCCAACCGTAAGCAAACCTCTACACTCCAGGACTCTGAAGTCATAGTTTCCTCTTTTGTATCTCCATCTCTTTGCATATGCATATCCCCCTTGTGTTATAATGTTATCATTATACTTCGATAAACTAATAATACATAAGTCATCACAATGTATTATAATTATGCATTACTATGTGTCTATTAGACCAAAATTCTTGAAGAACCATAACTTAGATATCTTTATGTAACTGGCAACACTGTGTCTATCCTATTGTAGACACCTGATAGATACTTGTTGAATGCCTTCAAGATAGAGTTGTTCTAAACACTTTGTTACTTGTTAAGTTCAGTGGAATTCTAAATTTGAGTCTAGGCTGTGCCCACTGTGGGAATTCAGACTTTAGCTGGCAAGACAGGTTGAGAGAAGCCTATTTGCAAGAAAGAGGTCAGGTGTCTCCTGTGAAACAACTCAAGTTATGCCACTGCTAAGTCTGATATATATCTGGAAATGTCTCATAAACTTGAGGATAGACTGACAAGTATCTATTTGAAAGGGAAGTCTTTAGACACATCCTAGAATCAGATGGACACTAAGCAAAAACTTAAGCAAGTTCACTAAAAACACTGTAAATCACAGAAGCACAGCCATACTTTTCAGGACCCTGTAAGAGAGCTAAGACAAATGGGAGACACTATGCCTCCCCAACTTCTCCTCTGATCTAAGGGTCACCATCGGCCTTCTCAAGGCAGAGGAACCATTGTACCACCAAGCAGCACTCCAGTCTGCGCTACAGGACACTGTTGCCTGCCAACCCCATGACACCTACCACAGTTCCTACCAAGCAGTAGTAACACCTGGCAGAGGCATGAACCTGACAGAATAGTGGGGACTCTGGCTGAAAAGGCAGAGTTTCAGCAGGGCCCTGGATATGTCAACTTATTGCACCATTTATAAGAAATGTCCTAGGAATTCCTACATGTGCCTGAAGGAAAGGTACTTATCATCCAAACAGAGACAGAACTGAGAGTGTAGGGGGTTGTTATAAATAAGCAAATTTAAATAATTTTAAACTTTTTTATGGACAAATAAGTTGATTTTGTCATAGAGTTGTTCTTATAAAACAGATCAATTAAAAAATATTTCCAAAAGGAAAAGTTTTCTTAAAAAATATACATTCCTCAAGGTATATTGAACTAAAGAAAAAGTACTACTTTATTTTTATTATCTGAACATGAAAAAATAATGTAAGCAGATCAGCCTTTGAATATAGTCACAATCTTCTAATCAGCTTTTCAACTATATCTGTTTGTAATACCATGTCAATGGTATTTTACAGAACAATGTATATATTTAAAAAGAGCCTTATATATAAAATTATTTGCAATCATCTCAAAATTGCATTTTGTGATTAGTAAATTTGAAACTGTTGAGGCCTAAAATTTTTTCTGTATATTTTATTTTTATTTATTGATATATAATAGATGTACAGAAACCTAAAATTAACTCTTTTCTATAGACAATATTTTAACTGAGCAGAAATATACTCTCAATAGACACTGAGGCACCTAGAAAACCCACAGAAAAAAAATATTCCAGATATGGAATATTCTCAATTCCAATTTTGTTGTTTCAGTGTTTAAATATTTTACCCCAACTATTGCTACTGTCTTTTTGTCTCCATTGAGAATTTTCTTTTGTCTCCATTGAGAATTTTCTTCTAAAATGTTTGTTGAGAAAAGCTTTTCTCTATTTATGAGTCTTATGAAATTTCATTAGTTATGCATGCTGCAAAATCATAGGCTTTCTCCCTTTTATCTCATTCCCATAATTTTCTTCCCATAAATATTATTTTCCCATAAAATATTTTTCCCATAAAATATTATTCCCATAAATATCCCATTTAAATAGTTTAGGCCAAGTATTGCTACTGTCGTTTTGTCTCCATTGATAATTTTCTTTTGTCGCCATTGAGAATTTTCTTCTAAAATATTTGTTAAGAAAAGCTTTTCTCTATTTAAAAGTCTTACTAAATCTCATTAGTTGTGCATGCTGCAAAATCATAGGCTTTCTCCCTTTTATCTCATTCCCATAAAGAATATAAATTGATCTAATTAAACATTATAGCTCCATCAAAATGTTCTTCCCAGAAGTCAAGACACAATTATAAAATTTCAGAATTAAATTATGTACCTTATTTAAGCACTTGTTTAGTTTGGATTAGTTTTTTCCTTGCTTATGTAGGATAAATTTAATCTTCCTGTTGGGAAAAAAAAAAACTCTACAGGCCAGGAGATAACTGGTTAATATATCAAGTGCCAAATATTTTTCTGACCACCATCTCAAAGGCAAAATAGCCATCCTGTCCACAAAACATGATGTTATCACTCTTCACACTGTCCTTGAAAGAGAGGTATTACATTGAGTCTGGAAAGGGCTGTGAAGAGAGAATTATCATTAGTCATGCTTTCAGATATAAATGTGTATTAAAGTGAGAACTCTGTTATTGCATGTGACTCTCACACATTACCAGAAAAGAACAAGGCAGAAAGTGGGCATACCAAGAGGGTGTCTAGCAAATCCACACAGGTGTATTCTAATGCAAAGATAAATAATAATAAATTGTTAAAAAAAAAAACACAGAAATCTGGGACAAATGCAAAACAAGACAAGACACTGATATAACAAGCATAAATTTTGGCTACATTTTTCATCAGTCATGATAGTCATCCTACTCAGAGAAGAATTTTCAGAAAGCTTGATGCCCTAAATTAGCAAGTGAGAGTGGTAAAAATAGAGCCAGAAATTTTTGAAATATTGTTTTCTAATCTTATCTGTGACTGGCAAGGTTAGGGACAGCTTGAATTGAAGTATATTAATGAAATATTTTCTAGTTATGCCTGAAAAATAAGCACTAAATTAAGTTAAAGTGCATTCTTAAAAAATTCTCCCTAAAGATAATAGCTCTCCAAAGAAGCAAATTTTCTAATCCAACATTTGCAGAATAGTTATATAATGCTTGGGGTGCTGTTGTAAATTTCCTAATACTGTGGTAATCAGGATCTGCACAAATCCTCCTCTCTCTGAGTATGGATATAAACTGAATCATTTTCCACCCACCCAGAAGAAAAAATATAAATCTAGTACAGAGAGATGCAACTATTGCCCCAGAATCAGCAAACAGCTTTTGGGGCTGGTGCTCTTGTCCTAACCCTCTTGCTTCTCTTGGCTTTAGTAATTCTATTGAACTTGGAGTATGCAAACAAGGACCTTGATGCATAGAGTTCCCATGAACTCCCACCCACCTGCCAATAGGCAGTTATTTCCCTAAAAATAGTCATGTTCTTCCCAACATATTCAACAACTTACTCATCTTGAAAGGTTTCCTTGCAAGATGAGAGGGTCTGTAGCTGCTCTTCCTTCATCAGACTCCCCTTCAGCCTCTTCTGGAGACTCTGGACCACAGGCAGCCATATGCTCAATGGGCATCTGTATTATCTCCACAACTAGGCTATAAACTCTTATAGATAGTTCCAATGTCTTCTACTTTGTCCTCTCTTCTGTCACCCAATCCTTTCCCCTTAAGCAAAGCGAGTACTCAATAAATTCTCTTGAGTGCAGTTAATCATTTGAAGAATCTTGCTAAGGAATTGAAGCTTAATCTCACTTTAAAAGAAGAAATGAAAATAATTTGGTGGTATATTTTTTATCTGAAGTTAAAGGGATATAATACCATAAAATAACAATAAAGTCAAACTACAGGAAAGAAGAAAGGAAGAAAAGACCGCAAAACAACCAGAAAACAAATAACAAAATGGCAATAGTAAGTCCTTACTTATAAATAATCATGTTGAATGTAAATGGACTAACCTCTCCAATCAAAAGATGTAGAGTGGCTGAATGGATTACAAAACAAGACCCAACAATATGTTGCCTATAAGAAACACACATCACCTATAAAGACACACATATACTGAAAATAAAGGGATGGAAAAAAATATTCCATGCCAAAGGAAACCAAAAAAGAGAGGAGTAACTATACTTATATAAGACAAAACAGATTTCAAGACAAAAACTATAAAAAAAGACAAAGAAGGTTATAACACAATGATAAAGGGGTCAATTCAGCAAGAGGATATAACAAGGAATTAATAACTATAATATATAATGAGTTCAAAAAACTTAATAGGGAAAAATCTAATAACACAATTTTTAAATGGGCAAAAGATATGATAGATATTTCTCAAAAGAAGACATATGAAAAGCAAACAAGTATATGAAAAGATGCTCAAAATAATTGATCATCAGAGATATGCAAATCAAAACCATGATGAGATATCATCTTACCCCAGTTAAAATGGCTTTTATCCAAAAGACAGGTAATAACAAGTGCTGGTGAGAATATGGAGTAAAGGGAAACCTCATACATTGTTGGTGGGAATATAAATTAGTAAGCCACTATGGAGAGAAGTATGAAGGTTCTTTTAAAAACTAAAACTAAAGCTATCATATGATCCAGCGATCCCAGTGCTGGGTATATACCCATAAGAAAGGAAATCAGTATACCAACTAGTTATCTATACTCCCATGCTTATTGCAGCACTTCACAATAGCCAAGATTTGGAAGCAACCTAAGTGTCCATCAACAGATGAGTGGATAAAGAAAATGTGGTACATTGTATTAGTCCATTCTAATGCTGCTGATAAAGATATACTTGAGACTGGGTAATTTATAAAGAAAAAGATTTAATGGACTCATAGTTCCACGTGGCTGGGGAGGCCTCACAATCATGGCAGAAGATGAAAGGCATGTCTTACATGATGGCAGGAAAGACAGAAGGAAAGCCAAGTGAAAGGGGAAACTCCTTATAAAAACTATCAGATCTTGTGAGACTTATTCACTACCATGAGAACAGTAAGGTGAAAACTGCCTCCCATGATTCAATTATCTCCCAGTGGGTCCCTCCTACAACATATAGGAATTATGGGAGCTACAATTCAAGATGAGATTTGGGTGGGGACACAACCAAACCATATCATGCATATACACAATGGAGTACTATTGAACCATAAAAAGAATGGGATCCTGTTATTTGCAACATGGATGCAAGTGGAGGTCATGGTGTTAAGTGAAGTGAGGTACAGAAAGACAACTTTCACATGTTTTCACTCACTTGTGGGGACTAATTAAAACAATTGAACTTATGGAGATAGAAAGTGGAATGATGTTTACCAGAGGCTGGGAAGGCCAGCAGGGGAGGAGGTGAAAGTGGGGATGGTTAATGGGTGCAAAATACAGTTACACAGAATGAATGGAATCTAGTGTTTCATAGTACAATGGATGACTATAGTCAAAAATAATTGTATATTTTAAAATAACTAAAAGAGTATAATTGGAATGTTTGTAACACAAAGAAATGATAAATGCTTGAGGTGATGGATACCTCATTTATCCTGAAATGATTATTATGCATTGTATGCCTGCATCAAAATATCTCATGTACCCCATAAATATTTACTACTATGTACCCATGAAAATTAAAGATAAAAATTAAAAAAAAAAATAAAATAAAATAACATGAAGAATAATAAAGTCTTTTCTAATCCAAAATAAATCAAATTAAAATAGCTCTGTGCATTTCTAAATAAAAAGAAAAAGATCTGCTTTTGGCAGAAGATCTAGATTAAGGAGTTCCAGTGGGAAAAACTACAATCTCTTCAAAGATGTTTTCTTTCATGTTACTGGAACTTATCTATTTTATTTTCAAATTATACTTCATTTAATTATTTGTTTTAATTTGTACTTTTTGTTGTTACATAGTAGGTATATGTATTTATAGGGTAAATAAGATATTTTGATACAGGCATAGATGCATAATAATCACATCAGTGTAAATGGGGTATCCATCACAACTTCTATGTTCACTCACATTCCTGGGGCTCTACCATCATCAGGTGGTAAGGTCAGCCAGGCTAGTGTCCTTCCCTTTCGAACAGCAAGTTCCCCAGTCCTGGGTGGATCCAGAGACACCATCTGGGAGCCAGGGCCTGGAGTCAGAAACCTTAAGAAACTACCTGGTGCTCTATTTTACTGCAGCTGTGCTAGCACCTAAGCCATAAGACAAAGTCCTTCCCACTCTTCCCTCCTCTTTCCACAAGAGGTGAATCCCCATGGCCCCTACCACTTCAGGCCCTCAGCAAGTACTTGCCTAACTACTGCCAATGTTCATTCAAGCCACAAGGGCTCTTCAGTCAGCTACAGGTAAATGCTTCCAGGCCTGGGACTCTCCCTGCAAGGTAATGGGCTCCCCTCTGGATCAGGGCAGGTCCAGTAATGCTTCTCAAGAGCCAAGGCCTGAAATCAGAGATCCCAAAATCCCCATTGGTGCTCTACCCCACTGTAGCCAAGCTGGTACCTGGTACCTAGGCTGCAAGACAAAATCCCCTTTATTCTTCCTTATCCTTTTCTCAAAAAGAAGTCCCTCCCTCTAGGCACCACAGCTGGGAACATGCAGTGTCACACCGGAAACCAACACATATCTGAGTCTCACCCAGGGCCAAGGCAAGTATTGCCTGGATACCATCACTGATTATTCAGGGCCCAAGGGCTCTTTAGTAAGCAGTTGATGAATCCTGCTAGGACTGGGTCCTTCCCTTCAAGGCAGTGGGTTTCCTTCTGTCCCAGGGTGTGTCTAGAATGTCATTTGGGAGCTAGGGCCTAGAATGGGGGCCTCAGGACTCTGCCTGTTACCCTATCCTACTGTAGCTGAGCTGGTACCCCAGCTGCAAGACAAAGTCCTCTTTATTCTGTCCTTTCCCCTCCTCAAACAGAGAGAAGGAGTATCTCCTGGAGCTGAGAGCTGTGCTGCCTGAAGTTGGAGGAAGGGTGGTGCAAGCACTCACTTGGCCACTCCAGCTGGCATCTCACTAGGTCCTGTGCCCTCCAAGTCCACTGGCTGCAAGCCCAGCACAGCCCCAGGACTTGCCCAGGAATTGCAGTACTTGTGGCCTAGACTGTTTTTCAAGTTTATTTAGAACTCCAGAGCACTTTAGCCCGCAGTGGCAAGGCTTGACAGAACTCAGGTTCTTACAGTTGGGATAGGCGAGTCCCCTGTATCTAGGGCTGGTCTAAATCTCCTTCCATGGGCACCAGCTGAGCTCTGTCTAGGGTTGGTTCCACTATGACAGGGCAGCACTGAGTTCCAATGCAAAGTCCCATCATCACTTTGCTCTTTCTCCCCAAAGCACACAGATTCTTTCTGTGCACTACGTGGCCATTACCAGAGGATGGGGAAAGGATGGCATCAGCAATTCAAGACTGTCTTTCCTATCCCCTTCAGTGCCTCCTTCTATAATATGAAGTTAAAACCAGGTGGCCGGGCACAGTGGCTCACGCCTGTAATCCCAGCACTTTGAGAGGCCGAGGCAGGAAGATCATGAGGTCAGGATATCGAGACCATCCTGGCTAACACAGCGAAACCCCATCTCCATTAAAAATACAAAAAAATTAGCCAGGCATGTTGGCGGGCGCCTGTAGTCCCAGCTACTCGGGAGGCTGAGGCAGGAGAATGGCATGAACCCGGGAGGCGGAGCCTGCAGTGAGCCGAGATCGCGCTACTGCACTTCAGCCTAGGCAACAGGAGACTCCGTCTCAAAAAAAAAAAAAAAAGAAAAGAAAAGAGAAAAACAGGTACTGTAATCATTCACCTGATTTTTGTTCTGATGAAGGTGCTTTTTGGTGCAGATAGTTGTTTAATTGGTGTTCTTTCAGGGAGAATGATCTGTGGAGGCTTTTATTCAGCCATCTGTTCTACCTTTGGATCAGGTAATCATACCTCATTTAATTTAAAAGTAACATTCCACTTTAAAAAGATTTTCATATCATAAATTATATTTCAAAACTATATTCTTAATTTAATTCTGCTATATCCTTATAGAAAATTAATATAAATATAATTAGGATGTAAATGAGAGAACTCAGACCCACACATCAAAAGATGACTGCCTTGATCGACTACTGAAATGCTAAAACATAGTCAAATGCAATTGTGTAGGAGATATTCCTTACTCTGGTAGAAATATAATAGTATTCCAGACACCTGATCTGAATTCTGGTATTGATTTGAGATACTAAGTCAATTTACCCAGAAAGAGTAAACATCTTCTGAGGCCAGAAAATACAATATACTTATCACAACTTATTTGTATTGATTACTTGTAAGCCTGCTCTCAAGTTCTAAACTTCTCATGCCTGCTTATTGTCAAATACAACTGCTAAGAAAGTTTGAACTATGAGCATTTCTTGCTAGGAAAGCTCTCCTCTGGTTAATAAACAATCACTATAATCACAGCTTCAGATAGTGCTCATATCTTAGAGATCCTTAGAAGTTAATTTTCTCAATTTGTTCACTCATTCATTTAAATATATTTAGTTTAAGTAAACAAACATGACTTAATCTTAGATTTTGCACTTGGGCTATTTATAAACTAGTTTGATGAAAAGTAGATCTAAGTAGATATTAACATAAAGTGTAAAGTGGTAATTATAAATTTAACACTTTCAGCAACGATAACCAACTTTTGATTAGATTATGCTGTATTTAACTAATTCTTCTCAAAGCATCAAATTACTCTTCAAATTTTTATTGTTATTACTATAGTCTAATTTAAGAAATTAGTCTCAGTAGCATCAAAATCATACTAGTTTAGCAAATGATTTCTATAATGCCCTATTATTATGGTTGCAATTCAGTGAGTTCAATGTAAGTAGTGCTTTGCCAGAACTGGAACCACTGTGCTTTTTAATAATTTCGGAAACTCAGGTAAGCTATCATTATAATTTTTGTTTTGTTTTGTTGCTTTGATCTTTCAACAAAAAACAATCATTCAAAGTTTAGAAATTAAGATTGAGATACATCATAAACATTGATAATAAAAGTTCAAATGAGTAATAGTGTCAAAAACCAAGCTATATTTAAACATTTATTTTATTTATTATTTAATTATTTAAAGTAAATAAATAATACACAATTGCATTTCTTTACTAAGAAAAATGAAACCATACAGATGGAACTATGTTTCCTCTTACCACCACTAAAACCTAGTACTCATCCCATACCTATGAGATTTAACAAAAGTTATAGTACAGGTCACTGCAGCACCTTCACTAATCATTACGACATTTCTGTAATAGTGAAAAAATGAAAACATTGCTTCTAAACTTAAGAACTGAAAATCAAAATACATAATACTCATCCTGGGCATGCTCTATAGCAAAGGCATTGATTGAGAAAGGTTTATGCTAATATGATGGAAAACACCCATAATTTCCATTGTAAAATTTTAAACATCAGTTGGACGGTAGGTACTATAATAGGCTGAATAATGGTTCTAAATATAAATATTCCTAATCCCTGAAGCCTCTAAATATTACCTTGTTTGAAAAAAAGCTTTTGGCATATGTGCTTACTTAAGTGTCAAGAGATGGAGAGATTATCCTGGATCGTCTGGGAGGTATTAAATAAAGTCATAAGTATCATTATATGAGAGAGGAGAGGGAGATTTTGACACAGACACGCAGAAGAGAAAGCAATGTGAAGACAGAGAGATTTGAAGGTGCTATTCTTGCAGACTGAAGTGATGTGGCCATAACCCAAGGAATATTAGCAGCCACCAAAAGCCAGAAGAGACAAGGAATGGATTCTTCTATAGAGCCTTCAGAGAACAATGTGCTGCTGACACCTTGGTTTCAGCCCAGTGATACCCATTTTGAACTTCTGGCCCCCAAAACTGGGAGGAAATAATTATTTCTTGTTTTAAGCTACCAAGTTTGTGGTAATTTGTTATAGTGGCCATAGGAAACTGATACAGGTACATATGATACCATTTATATTAAAATATACACAAAGACCAATACCGTATATTTATATTTCCTACAGAGCTACTGCAATTTAAACTTTCAGTGAGCTTAAACTTCAGCAAGTTAGGAAGTTGTAAGGTTACTTTCTATTTTGAAAGTTTAAAGTATTTTATGTAAAATGTCTAAAATTGTGGCCATAATTGCTTCTGATAATTTTTTTCTTTAAGAAATAAAATGCTATAGAGAGAACTGAAGCTCTCAACATAACCCAATTCAATCTCATTCTCTTTTCTTCCCCCTACACTAACGCTGCTATCTTAAAATAAAAGTTGGTATAATTCCTATGCATAATTTTATTCATGAAGATATAGCATTGTGTAAATGTATTACATTACCTATTTTATTCTGGAACTTGTATTTTTTCCTTGACATTGGTATTTTATTGTATAAATACTCCATAATATACTTTCATTCATTCTCCTTTTGATGAATGTTTCTCCTTTCCCCAACCTTTTGCTACTAGTAATGTTACAATGAATTTTGTTGCACATATCTCCTGGTGCACAGGTGCAATAATTTCCCTAGAGTATATATTTAGAAATAGAATGTCTGGGTCCTTGATTGTATGCATCTTTAACCTTACCAGATATTACCAAATTGTTCTTCAAAGAAACCAAGATGGCCTTAACATTCTCTTTAGTTTGACTCAACTTTAGATAGGTTTCTTCCTGACTGTAGGCCCCTGACTTCCCTTTTCTTAGAGCATTTACTTCAGAAAATTTGTAATTGCAAATTATTTCTCTGCCCCTTAGAGAAGTAAATCTTCTTAAAATCCTCTTGTTTTATAACCCCAGAATGCCAGTTTTGCATCTCAGGAAAGTCTTCCTCAAGGACCTAGCAACATCCCCTTTGAAAAGTAATTATCAAGAATGGCAACACCCCAATATTCTGGTTTCTGTGGGAGGGTAAGAGCCTAACTTCAATAAGCAACAATTAGCAAACAGAGATGGCCTAATCACATTGACCAACCTCTCCTCTAAAGCCTTCCAGAACTTTTTCCATGAGCTCAGCTCAAAGCTTAAAATCCCTCTCACTTTTTGTTAAAGTGGAATTGACTTCAATCTCTCTTCCCTATCATAACAGTTTTGAATAAAGTCTTTGTTCAATTTATCCACTAAAATTTTTCATAGGCTAAAATACTGCAATAGTTATTACTATCAATTTATAAAATTCATTAGCAGTATTCAAGAGTTCCTATTTCTTGACATGATTATCAATACATCATAAGCTCAATCTTTTTAATTTTTGCCAATTTTATATGTGCGCAATAGTATCTCATTTGAATATCACTGATTATCAATGAGTTTATTATCTTTTCAAATGTTCATTAGAGGTTCAATTTTTCTCCTCTATGAAATCCCTATTTATATGCTATGCCCATTTTACATGTTGTTTCTTTCCTTTATTGATTTGTAGTTCTTTATTTTTCCTGAATACTAATCCTTAAAGGTTACTAGTCTCAAATATGATCAGATCTAGCCTGATTTGATTACTAGATCTGTCCTAGTCTCAATATAATCCCTCAGCAGAAATTCCAAAATGCCAATATAAGACCTTGTTATGTAGACTATAGGTGCCAGGATTTAGGTAGCAGCAACATAAAATCACTAGTTCAAGTTCTTAGGGAAAATAACTGCCAGTCTATAAATATATACCCTGCTAAAAATTATCCTTCAAAAGTGAAGTCATAATAAAGATGTGAGTTATGGTGGTTATTTTCCTATTTTTGGTACTTATCTATTTTAATAAACCAGCAATTATTATGCTACAAATTCTTTACAACTCAGATTCCATTGGCATTTTGCAGTTTATATGACATAAACTGCATGAGTCATGTTATAGAGGAAAATATATTTAAGGAAAAAAGCAAAAAACGGCAGATAGGACGCAGGACTAACTTGCAGCTTCCACTCAGATGGACAGAACAGCATATGGAGATTCACATAATAAACATTTGCTCCAAGAACCACCACAGGAACATACCAGGAAAACTGAAAGATTCACAGACCCTTTGAAAGAAGTAGCTTGCCACTGCAAACTCTGTGAGACAGCCAAAAAACTGTGAGTGCCCAAAGTGTGAAAGTATGAAAGTCCACCTCCCAACACACATCCTCACTGGGGAACCTGAAAATCTAGATCACAGAAGAAGGATTTAACCTTACCTAGAGCTGAAACAAAGTTAGAGAGTTGAGTGAAATATAAAAGTACAAGAAGCAGCAGGAAGAGCCCTACAGGCACTCCCAGTCCCCAGAAAAACCCAGCGAAGCCATTTCTGACTTTTTCTCACAGGGGTCCTTGGGGAGGGCAGCCAGGGTAACTAGGGAATGACCACAGGGAGAAGGAGACTTCCAGCTGAACTTTGTAATAATTTTGACCAAGCACAAATTTTCCCAGGCAGAATCCAGGGGGGCAGTGAATGGGAAGTGCAGAGTCAAGCACAGAAGCCATGGCAGGCAGGGAGGGGCATGGCCTGAAAGCCCTGCTTGCTTTCTCAGCAGGGAGGCTGGTAGCCTGGGGCAAGATCACAGCCCTGCATATCAGAAGCCTGGATATAAATTCAGCTCTGTTGGCTATTGGGGAAGCATGGCAGAAGTGAGACTAGCCTTACTGGCTGCATGGAAGCTAAGTGAGGCCTCTCAGTGCCAGCTTTCACCTACTTCCCTGGAAACCTGTACAAAGCAGCAGAGGCAGCCATAATCTCCCCTGGAACATAACTCCATTGGCCTGAGAACCAGCCCGCATCCCCCACAGTGGCCACAACAAGCCCCACCCAAGGAGAGTCTTAACTCAGACATGCCTAATATGCCACCACCTGATGGTCTTTCTCTACCCACTCTGGTAGGCAAAAACAAAACATAGAAATTTGTGGGAGCTCTGTGGCCCCATTCATCACCTGAGTGATAGGACAAGAGTATGGCCATCTTAACAAGACTCCATCACCTTAAAGTATCAAGTTTCCCTTTCTCAGAACTGTCTGTTGCCACCTGACCAAACCGCAAAGTCAGCCCCACCTATATCTTTAATAGAGCAGAACAACCCTAACTAAGCTTATTAAAGTCCCTAGCAGTCACAACCAGCCAGCACTCCCCTAACCCCTCCCTGATAGGAACCTCTACCAGGGCAAGGGAGTTTAAAAGGGTAACAGTATGCTGAATGGAGAGTTCCTCCAAAGAGGAACAGAGTAGTAGATCATTAACATATTGGAGGAGGGTGCTAGGGTTAGCCAACACTTAGAGAGGTTTGCTTGAAGGGCCTGTCCAAAAAAGTGAGGGCTGTCCCTGAAACCCTGGGGGAGGACAGTCCATGTGAGCTGTTGGGAGAGGTTGGTGTCTGGATCCGTTCAGGTGAAACAAATTTTAAGAGAAGGGTGTAGAGGTATAGTAAAAAAAAGGCATCTTTGAGGTCTAGTACTGAAAAATGGCTGGTATGAGGGGGGATTCTGGAGAGAAGTGTATAGGGATTAAGACGACTCGGTGTGCGGGAATGACAGAAGAACTGATTTGATGAAGGTCCTGGAGGAGCCAGTAGGACCCATCTGGTTTTTGGACCAGAAGAACAGGGGTGTTATGAAGGGAGTGGGTTGGAATGAGGACACTGGCAGTTAACAGTCGGGAGATGATGGGCTTGAGTCCTTGAAACCATCAGGGCTGAGGAAATACTGTTGGACAGTGATGTACGAGAAGGATACTTTAATGAAATTTTGATTGGGGAGTGGTGGGCCACCAAGAATGGAGAATTTTATCCCAAACAATGGGATGGGTTTGAGTTATAGTGCTAAAGCCAGGTGTTGGCCCTGTAACTTTGGATGGGGGGTGGTTTCAGTTCCTAGCACAAAAGTAGGTAGGGATGGCTTTGGCCAAGAGCTGAAAGGTGGAGGAAGCCACTCAATTTGTGCATCAGCTCAGGCATTGGTTTAGAAGCTAGGGGACTAGCCACTTCACTCTCATATTTTAAGGCTCTCTCCACAGACCTATAAGAATCCTTGGTAGATATAGCCAAGGACCTTGTAAGAATTCAAGACCTGCTAGACTCCCTAGCTGGAGTAGTCCTCTAAAACTGGAGAGGACTCAACCTCCTTACAGCAGAGGAGGTCTCTGCCTCTCCATACAGGAAGAATGCTGCTTCTATCTCAACCAGTCAGGCTTGGTAAGGGATGCCAGCTCAAAACTTAAGAAAAGAGTTAAAAGAATTAGGGAGCAACAAGAAAACCAAATCAGTTCCTAGTTAAATGTTCCTTACCAACAGAATTACAGCCATCTCACAAGCTGCCACCCCAGAACACCTGAAGACGGTGCTACTCCTCCAGTCAATCCAGAACCAACAATCTCATGGCCCCCTTTCAGCAGGAAGTAGCCAGAAAAAGTACACTGGCCCATCTCCTTATCTAACCATAGAGTCCAGATTGATAGGACAAGAGTACTGCCATCTTAACGAGACTCCACCACCTTAAAGTATCAAGTTTCTCAGAACTGGCCATTGCCACCTGACCAAACTGCAAAAGTCAGCCCCATCTATATCTTTAACAGCACATAACCACCCTAACCAAGCTTATCAAAGTCCCCAGCAGTCCCAACCAGCCAGCATTCCTCTAACCCCTCCCCAATAAGGAACCTCTCTCAGAGCCCCAATAGGAACCTCTCTCAGAA
This sequence comes from Homo sapiens, assembly GCF_000001405.40. Lineage (NCBI taxonomy): Eukaryota > Metazoa > Chordata > Mammalia > Primates > Hominidae > Homo > Homo sapiens. The sequence continues at coordinate 39,732,370 of NC_000014.9, read as the reverse complement.
AACACTTCCCCCACTAGTACGTTTTTAAAAAGCCTCAGGCTGTAAAAAAAAGTTTTCTCCTGACCCTGCCAGCCAGAAGCCCTTCTGAGGTTTACTCTCAATAAACCTGTCTCAACTGATAAGCCATTTTCTTGTTTTGTCTTCTTTCTCATCTCTCCCCATGCTCTAACCCTGAGAAAACCAAATACTTATCCAGATGACCTAAGGCCAAGCTTGTATTCTCCCTATGCTACCACAGCTGATGCTCACTTGAAAGCGCCACCTACTGGCTGGAGGCTAACCAACTCAAGCTATTACAATAACTCAGAACAACCCTGCTCCAAGGAAGGAGAAAACAACAGCTAATCCCACCACCTACAGCATCCTGGCTACTCGGAGATCCTTAACCAGAGGTCCTGAGTCTGTCCACATGACAACCTCACTGCTAGCATAAGCAGCATTCAAGAAAACCAGTGCATTAAACTACAACCAAGGACTCTCAGAGAGTCCACTTCACTCCCCTGCTACCTCCACCAGTGCAGGTTGCTGGCACCCATTGCTGACAGACCTGAAGACAGATCATATCATAGAACTCTTTGCAGAAACTCCTTAGTATCAGCCCAGAAGCTGGTAGCTCTGCTGAGTGGCTAGACCCAGAAGAGCAATAACAATCACTGCAGTCTGGCTTGGCTCTCAGGAAGCCCATCCCTAGGGGAAGGGGGAGACGACTACATCAAGGGATGACCCTATGGGACAAAAGAATCTGAACAGTGGCCCTTGAGTCCCAAATCTTTTCTCTGACATAGTCTACCCAAATGAGAAGAAACCAGAAAAACAATTCTGGTAATATGACAAAACAAGTTTCTACAACTCTCCTGAAAGATTACACTAGCTCACCAGCAATGGATCCAAACCAAGAAGAAATCTCTGAATTGCCAGGAAAAGAATTCAGAAAATTGATTATTAAGCTACTTAAGATGGCATCAGAAAGGTGAAAAACAATTTAAAGAAATTTTTAAAATAATACAGGATATGGACCAAAAAATCTCCAGATAAAGAGATATTATAAATAAAAAATAATCACAACTTCTGCACATCAAAGACACACCTAAAGAAATGCAAAATACCCTGGAAAGATTTAACCATATAATTGAACAAGTAGAAGAAAGAACTTCAGAGCATGGAGACAAGGCTTTTGAATTAACCCAATCCAACAAAGAAAAAAAATTTTTTTTAACGAAAAAAGCCTCCAAGAAGTTTGAGATTATGTTAAATGATCAAACCTAAGAATAATTGGTGTCGCTGAGGAAGAAGACAAATCTAAAAGTTTGGAAAACTTATTTGAGGAAATAATCGAGGAAAACTCTGGCCTTGCTAGAGATCTAGACATCCAAATACAAGAAGCTCAAAAAGTACCAGGGACATTTGTTGCAAAAAGATCATCACCTAGGCACATAGTCGTCAGGTTATCTAAAGTCAAGATGAAGGAAAGAATCTTAAGAGCTATGAGGCAAAAGCATCAGGTAACCTATAAAGGAAAACCTATAAGATTAACAGCAGATTTCTCAGTAGAAATCCTACAAGCTAGAAGGGATTGGGATCCTATCTTTAGCCTTCTTAAACAAAACAACTATGAGTGAAGAATTTTATATCCAGTGAAACTAAGTTCATAAATGAAGGAAAGATAGCCTTTTCTGACAAATAAATGCTGAGAAAATTTGCTACTACCAAGCCAGCACCACAAGTACTGCTAAAAGGACTTCAAACCAAAGAACAAACCAAACCCAAACCCAGCAGAGGAAAATAAATAATAAATATCAGAGCAGAGCTAAAACCAAAAAAAACACGACATATAAATTTTTAAAAAGCTGGTTCTCTGAAAACATAAACAAAATCAATAGACCATTAGAAAGATTAACAAAGAAAAGAAGAGAGAAGATCCAAATAAGCTCAACTAGAAATGAAATGGGAGCTACTACAACCAATACCACAGAAATATAGAAAATCATTCAAAGCCACTGTGAATACCTTTATGCACACAAACTAGAAAACCTAGAGGAAATGAATAAGCTCCTGGAAATATACAATTTTTCTAGATGAAAGCAGGAAGAAATAGAAACTCTGAACAGACCAAGGACAAGCAGCAAGATTAAATGGTAATTTTAAAAATTGCCAACAAAAAAAAGTCCATCCAGGACCAGATGGATTCTAGCTTAATTCTATCAGATATTTAAAAAAGAATTGGTACCAAACCTACTGAAACTATTCCAAAAGATAGAGAAAGAGTGAATCCTCCCTAAATCATTCTATGAAGCAAGTATAACCCTAATACCAAAACAGGAAAGGACATAACAAAAACAAACAAACAAAACCTACAGACCTGTATCCCTGATGAACATTGATGCAAAACTTCTCAACAAAATACTAGCTAACCAAATCCAACAGCATATCTAAAAGATAATCCACCATGATCAAGTGGGTTTCATACCACAGATACAGGGATGGTTTAACATATGCAAGTCAATAAATGTGATACACTACATAAACAGAATTTTAAAAAATCATATAATTATCTCAATAGACACAGAAAAAGCATTTGACAAAATCCAGCATCCCTTTATGATTAAAACCCTCAGCAAAACTGGCATAGAAGAAATAGCCCTTAAGGTAATAAAAGCCAACATTATACTGAATGAGGAAAAGTTGAAAATATTTTCCCTGACAACCAGAACAAGACAAGGATGCCCACTTTCACCACTTCTATTTTACATAGTACTAGAAGTCCTGGCCAAAGCAATTAGACAAAAGAAAAAAATAAAGGTCATCCAAATTGGTAAAGAGGAAGTCAAACTGTCACTGTTCACTGATGATATGATCATATACCCAGAAAACCCTAAAGACTCATCCAAAAAGCTCATGGCTCTGATAAATGAATTCAGTAAAGTTTCAGGCTACAAAATCAATGTACACAAATTAGTAACACTGCTACACACCAACAGCAACCAAGCTGAGAATCAAGTCAAGAACTCAACCCCTTTTACAATAGCTGCAACAAAAAATAAAATACTTAGGAATATACCTAACCAAGAAGGTGAAAGACTTTCACCAGGAAAACTACAAAACACTGCTGAAAGAAATCACAAACTACACAAACAAATGTAAACACGTCCCATGCTCATGGATAGGTATAATCAATATTGAAAAAATGACCATACTGCCAAAAGCAATCTACAGATTCAATGCAATTCCCATAAAAATACCACATCATTCTTCACAGAACTAGAAAAACCAATCCTAAAATTCATATGAAACCAAAAAAGAGCCTACATAGCCAAAGCAAGACCAAGTGAAAAGAACAAATCTGGAGGCATCACATTACCTGACTTCAAACTATACTACAAAGGTGTAGTCACCAAAATAGCATGGTACTGGTATAAAAATGGCACATAAACCAATGTAACAGAATAAAGAACCCAAAAATTAAGCCAAATACTTACAGCCAACTGATCTTCAACAAAGAAAACAAAAGCATAAAGTGGGAAAAGCAGACCCTCTTAAACAAAAGGTGCTGGGATAATTGGCAAACCACATGTGGAAGAATGAAACTGGATCCTCATCTCTCACCTTATACAAAAATCAACTCAAGATGGACCAAAGACTTAAATCTAAGACCTGAAACCGTAGAAATTCTAGCAGATAACATTGGAAAAACTCTTCTGAACATTGGCTTAGGCAAAGAGTTCATGACTAAGAATCCAAATCAAGTGCAACAAAAACAATAATAAATAAATGGCACCTAATTAAACTGAAAAGCTTCTGCACAGCAAAAGAAGTAATCAGCAGAGTAAACAGACAACCCATAGAGTGGGAGAAAATTTTCACAAACCATACATCCATCAAAGGACTTACATCCAGAATCTACAAGGAACTGAAATAAATCAGCAAGAAAAAAAACAAATAATCCCATCAAAAAGTGGGCTAAGGACTTGAATAGACAATTCTCAAAAGATGCACAGATGGTCAACAAACATATGAAAAAATGCTCAACATCACTAATAATCAGGTAAATGCAAATCAAAACCACAATGCAATACCACCTTACTCCTGCAACAATGGCCATAATTTAAAAATCAAAAAATCATAGATATTAGCATGGATGTGGTAAAAGAGGAACACTTTTACGCTGCTGGTAGGAATGTAAACTAGCACAAGCACACCGGAAAACAGTATGGAGATTCCTTAAAGAACTAAAAGTAGATCTACCATTTGATCCAGCAATCCCACTCCTGGGTATCTACGTAAAGGAAAAGAAGTTATATGAAAAAGACACTTGCACACACATGTTTATAGCAGCACAATTCACAATTGCGAAAATATGGAACCAGCACAGATGCTCATCAATGAATGAGTGGATAAAGAAAATCTGATATATATAGATATTTATGTATATCTATGTGTTAACGTAACACATATGATATATATGTGATATATATATATCATGGAATACTACTCAGCCATATAAAGGAAAGTATAATGGCATTTGCAGCAACCTGGATGGAACTGGAGACCATTACTCTAAGTGAAGTAACTCAGGAATGGAAAACCAAACATCATATGTTCTCACTTATAAGTGGGAGCTAAGCTATGAGGATGCAAAGGCATAAGAATGATACAATGGACTTTGGGGACTTGGGGGGAAGGGTGGAAAGGAAGCCAAGTGAGAGATAAAAGACTACATATTGGGTACAGTGTACTCTGCTAGGGTCATGGGTACATCAAAATCTCAGAAATCACCACTAAAGAACTTATCCATGTAAGCAAACACCACCTGTTCCCCAAAAACTATTGAAATAAAAAATAATAACAATAAATATCTTTAAAAATATGACTCTATTTAAATGTTGAGATAAAATGAGGCTCTATTTTCCACGAAGAAATTAATAATGCTAAAATTAAGAATTCCAGTTTCTCCAATAAACAATTATATATTTAACAAAAAGTAGTTTATTAATCACCTTTGTTATTGCTGATATTTATCCCATTGATTTAGAATCACTACTGCCTTCCTGAGAGCTAAACATCTCTTTAATCAAATAACATTTTTATTTTTTGCTTATTATTTGAACATGTGCCTTAAAAGCACTGCCTATTTTGTTTCTAATAAGATATTTATTTTTACCTATTTTTTACATTGCAGATTTGTTCCACTGTTGTTGTTGTTTTTGTTTCAGGTATAGAATGCCACATACTACATAAAATGATTCTTTTTGCTTATGAATAATGTCACCAATTTTTAAAATAACTTGCAGAAAACAAAACTATGACTAGGCGTTTTCAGTAAAAATGCTAACATTTTGGCAACTTTGTGAAATTGTTTATTCCTCCTGATGGTGTATACAACAGAGAAATGTGGAGAAAATGTTCTACTAAGAACTCAATGATAATTTGCTCTACCTATCACATTTTTTAAATTCCATGTGGTTGTCTCCATTAACGGATGGTTAAACAGCTCCAATTTGAAGACAAAATCTTTGATTTTTTAGGAAACAAATTTTTGGAGTATCAGATAATCATTAGTTTTCTTATGACTTGCAAAAAATTTACCTTGGTTATAGTGGTAGCTAGGGTCAGACAGATTAATTATATTAAGGCTAGACAGTACTATTTTTGAAGGTAGTTTCTCTTCCCTTTTAATAGTAATGAATTATTTAAACAGGAATCATGTAACTAACACTTAGCACTGTTCTAAGAACTTTCCGTATATTACCTCAATTAATTATCATGTAAATCCAGCAAGTTAATAACTTTTAAAACTCCTATTTTACAGATAAACAATTTGTAGCACAAAGAGATAAACAGCTTGCCCAAAGTCACACAGCTAGGAAGGGGGATCCCAGAATTAAAACTCAAGCATTCTGCACTTAAAATTACTACACAATACTGGCCCACTAGCTTACCATGTTCCATGGCAGAATCCAATCATTTTACCCACGGCCATTCTTTAATAATGGCTTCGAACTTCTTACTCCATGACTGATATAAATCATAAGTTAAAAATGGAATTAGTTCAGTAATATTAAATTTAAAATAAAATGAATTATCCAAATAAATTGAAACATGAAACTTGAAAAAAGGAAACTCTCCCTAGGAAGGAAAGTCATTTGTTCTCTCAATTTTCCTAGCAACTGAAGTATGAGATTCTCTTAGCTCAGGAAATAAATGAAGTTGTTTACTATTTTCTCAAGGTCATAATAGAAACTCACAAGAAACTGTAATTTCCTTGTAGTCACCTACCCACAAACAAAACCCTGGAAGATTTATGAAGAGCAGATTCAAAGACGTTCAGAACTTTTAAGGCTGGTTTGAAACCCAAGTAGCTGCCAACTCTCCAAATTGTCATTGAGACCTTGGGAATAGAAACAAGTTTCAATTCTGTTAAAAGTCTTCTCTGTGCCTACCTGTGCTGGGTACCAACACACAGGCCAAAGAGCCCAGAATCTATAGAGGAAAGTCCAGGGACTGAGTGTCATATCTTTATGTGCCACATCATCTGTCTGAGGCTCTGTTTCCTTAGCTGTTAAGGAACATCAACGTGGCCACTTCTACTTGGCTGAATTATAATAAAGCGCCCATGAAATACATAAAAGAACTTCATAAACTCTAACAAAGTAGCTAACGTGGCTAATAGTAACTGTGGCTACCACTATTGCTAGGTCCCTCTCCTTTAATTGGTCTCAAAATTTTAATCCTAAAATTTCCAGAAAAATTGTAGTTACAACAATGATAGGAAATTGATACAACATCATAATAATTTTGTTATTATTGTTGTAATTATTGTTATGACATTGGTGATTTCTGAGATTTTGATGCACCCATCACCCAACATGTTACAAATTTGTAACAAATTACCACAAATTTAGGTGACCTAAATAATACAAATCTATAATCTTGCTGTTCTGGAGGTGAAAAGTCTGAATGGGTCTCACTGGCCTAAAATCAAGATATTGGCAAGGCTGGATTTGTTGTGGAGGCTCTAGGAAAGAATTGTTTACTTGCTTTTTCCAGCTTCTACAAGCTATTTGCCTTTCCTAGATTCTGGCCCCTTTCCATCATCAAAGCAGAAATGGCCATTGTAGTCTTTCTCACATTGCATTTATTCTGCCAATGACTCTTTCCCTTCTTGCACATTTAAAAACTCTTGTGGTCACATTGGACCAGCATGGATAATCCAGGATAATCTCTTGAATTTAAGGTCACCTGATTAGCAAACTTAAATTCATCTGCAATCTTAATTACCCTCTGTTATATAATGTAACATATTCATGTATTTTGGGGACTAGGACATGAACAACTTCAGGAAGCCATCATTTTGTGTATCATAATAGTGATACCCAATTTTAACCTTCCATTAATAATTTGTAATTTCCTTTTGTATTAAATATAGGTAAACATCATTCTACTAGAAAATTAAGTAAGTTTCATGAAGAATTTTGCTCTTTGAATGCCACTTTAAATTTTCCTCATTAAGTTTCTTCCTTGGGCAATAAGATATAATAGGGTACTATGTATTTCTACTATGCTTTCTGATTATATTAAACAACATTATATCAATTCTATTTCAGTAAAATAGTCTGATAAAGATTAATATATTGGTGCATTTCTTTAATAATTGAGAATATGTTTAGAAGTAAATTTTTAGATGAACAAATGTCGATAGTTTTTCCGTTGTTCTAAGAGTCAACATAACATATGCTAAAAATTAAAAAACAAATCATATAATTTCTTTAAAATGTTTTTACTTTGTTTAGCTATTAATAGGTTTTACATCTTTTTAAAAGGCTTTTAAAATAGGTTTTACATCTTTAAAGTCATAGAATTTATTTCTCATTACTCCATGTAAAGAAGCTGTGAATTTCATATCTCACAAAGTTAATATAATTTTCATCAGTTGAAGCACATGGTTCAATTTCAAAACTTTGAAAATAAATGAAATGATAAGGAAATGAAACACCGATCAATCTGCTTGGCCATGAGAATTCATCAGAATGCATAGTTCTTTGACATTAACCTTTATTGATTTGGCCATTTTAACAAATCAGTTCCTATTGTCATACCTTCAATTTTATGCTTCTCTATTTCTGGGATTAAATGTCTTTAACATCTTAATGTTAGGCACTTTCTTAGTATTTGCCCCAGGGGAAAAAAATCTATATTGCAATCATCTTAATCTTAAAATTATTCTGTTAGGAAATCTTTGAAAAATCTAAACTTTTAATAGATCTGTTTAAACATCTTCTTAATAATACTATACTTCTTGAGTGGTAAAAGTTAGAGCAAAATTTTCCTCCAATAAAATGTTTACTCTTTGTTGCCATAGTAAAGTTTCCCTAGTTTAGGAGATTGACTATTCTTACATATATAAATTTAGATCACCAATGAGAATATAAAAAAAAAAGTTGAAGACAGCAAAGATATTTGAACCAAATTCCTATTTTTCCGTATACGTAACATTAAAAAAAGATTTTAATACTTTGTTTTATGGGTTTTCTGCCACTATAACTCAGTTTTACAGTATCTTTAAAAATTAATAACTGAGTATTGCTAAGGTTTTTATCTCAGTATTCCAAAGATTAATGATTGTTTACATAGACAGTCTTGTAAAACTAACAAATGTTCCATTAGATGAACAGCCATTGTGTTCATAGTAGCATTATCCTTTTTTTAATGTGAAGGATAATAAAACATAGACTAAAGAATATTACATTATAGCAGAGAGAAAAGTTTTAAAAAAAAAGGAATAAATTTAATTGCATCAGTCAGTAAAACTTTCAACATTACTGTTTATAACATATTTCTTGAAGAACCTACTGGGGAAATAACCTGAAGGATTGTCTTCCCCGGAGTATTCATGAGGTATAAGAATTATAGCATTTTCTCAAAATCTGGGTATATTCCATGTCTGCAGTTAAGGACTATTCACATGAGATTTATAATATTTCAGGATTCAGCCAACTTATTATATTTTTTAAAAAAAATCTTACCCTTTGCTGCTTATTTTCTCATGCACACCACAGACCACACTGGACTCATTCCTTCCACAAGAACTCTGCCCCTTGAATAGAGAAGAGCTTTTAAAATCGTAAGTCAGGACTCACATCTTCTCTATAATATTCTCCCTAAGTGTAGTAAACCATTGAAATGTTCAATATTATATGCCTATTCTAATTACTTGGAGTAGTTGTCAATAATACAGTATTGAGAAATATCTTGAGAAAAAAAACTAGCCTTACTAGATAAGTGCTTGATCATTAGCAACTTTTGTTCTGACCACAGAACAACTCATAGCAAGCTGTAAGTTTGTTCCCCCTGCTACTGAAACCAATGCCAAAGTATGAAATATGTTACCTTGCTCCTAAAAGCAATGAGACATAAAATAGTTGGCTTAATAATAACATTAAAAAATTCTATTTAAAAGCAAGCTATACTTCATTATCCCCATCTTCTGATTTAATATATTAGATAGGCATTTATCTATAAACTTACTTGATCAAATATTTGAGTGACCATGATACCCAAGGCACTGTGCTGGTACTGCAGAGAATACAGGGCCGAGGAAATGATCTTGTACTCAAGTATAGAAAGCAGAACACTTTTTTTTTTTGTGAAGATATGATGGTTACAGTAGTATGACTGTTAGATGCATGAACTCAGATAGGACAGACATACAATCAACCACATAAGGCAGAAACTGATAAATACTAAAAGAAAAAAAAACAAATATTAGGCAGAAATGTGGAATATTATTGAATCATATATTCAAATATAATAATTAAAATAAATCTAACATAAGAATAAGAATGTGAGAGGATGCAATGTGGGAAACTACTTAAAGCTTGAGGAGATAACATGTATCAATAATGTGAACAAGAGCATGGAGGGAAGCCCAAGCCAAAGAAAGCAATAAGCACTGCATGGGCAAGGAGAATCAGGAAGGGAAGCTCCCCCAGCCTGCAGCAGAGTGGTGCCTAACTAGTGATTTGTGAAGATGGCTAAAAGGAGGAGGTGTGCTGTGAGAGGGCAGCGCAGGCACAGGCACTTGCACCATCAATGACATCTTGACCCTACAGAGCCAAATGGAGATGGGCGTCCAGCTCCCAGGAGGTGGATTTGTGGATCTAAGCCTCATGTTACTTCTCAGCTGAATTGAAAGAAACAGCTACAAATCCCCAAAGTACAAAGAGATGCTAAGCAAGAACAGGTGTTCTTGTGGCCAGAGCATCAAAAGCAACACGTACCTGTCATGTCCCACTTGAGGAGAAACTAGTTCTACTTGTATGCAAGTATGTGAGTGATAAATACATAAATGGTTATGAATGCTAACAAAGTGCTGTTTATTGGAATTTGGAGTCTCAGAAATTGGCTCTTCACTCAAAGATTTCAAAATAATGCACTCCTGCTTTTAGTTAGCATTAACTATATTTTTTATCAGTTGGAAAATAGCTACCTATGTAATAGAGAACATCGAACTGAAGAAAACCAGAGAAGACTTCATAAAGGAAAGTTCTCTCCCATTTTCTCCCTCCTGCTAAACTGCTCCAACCCCTTTCTCACTTTCTTCCAAAATACAAATGTCCTCCTAAACAGCCCTCTTTTCTGAGTTGCAGATCAAATGTCTGGAAATCCTCCATCTGCAGGTGACAATGTTGAAAGATCTAGCAAGGCCTTCTCCTCCTGCAACATTCCATATATGAACTAATGATATCACCACTTCTCTGCTGCCATTTCTAAACCACAAGGCTTGCCCAGGGCCTCTCAAAACCCACTGTCCATGACTGTATCTCCACTTATTTTCCCTTAGCTAAAAATGTGTTCTCCCCTGAACTGCTTTCCCTGTGCCCCTTGTATCAAGGTTGCTCATTCTTTTCATCCTCATATATTTAAGGGTAAGGAGTTCATATCAGTGTCTTCTTCATTCCCCATAGTACCTTCTCAATCATTCCCACCCCAATGTGTTTGTAAAAATCTATACCTCTCTGAATCTGGTCCCATTTTTCTGTACAACTTATTGTGGACATCTGTGAGTTACCAACACAGCATTCATTCTATCATGTGCCCTTGTTAACTATACTTCAATTTTTTTCAACAGTGACCCATCCCCCTACTTATGCCCTAAAGTCAACTTTTTGATAAACTGACTTTAGTTCTACCTCTAGAATTAGTGTATGCATTTACCTGGCCACATTGATGGCCTTAGGCATAATCTTATCAGAGTGAAGCTCAAAACTTTTGTTCAGTGGTTGCAGGAAATGGACACTTTTTCTTCCACGAGAGGCAAACTAGGAAGAATGGATTCACCATTGCTGCTGATACCTGTCTTGCAACCAGGAGGAAAATCAGCCTAAAGAAAAAACTAACATATAAAGGAAAGAAGAACCAAAGAAACAGGAAAAAAGAAAATGTAGAACCAAGACCTGATTGAATAGTTCCTGAAACAACTTTACTTGTGGACTTTTCTGTTTGTCTTTAAGTCACTTGAGATGGGTTTTCTGTACTTTCATTGACTTTGTCATCACTAGAAACTGTTCCTTTTCAAATTCCTACTTTAAAAATCCTATCCTCAGACATCAGCCTCCTGTCCTTTCAGTTTGTTCACTTACACATACTACAGTACTAATTAGAATGTCATATCTGTTGACCATTTTTACTATCCACCTACTCCTTCCTATTTTCATATATAAGTTTTGTTCACCAGTGGGCCAACCCATGTAGCTCAGTGTCTTACATTTAGTAGGCAATTAATAAATTGTGTTGATTCATTGGTTAATTGATTGTTCTCTTTGCCTTTCTCTCTCACCCCTTCCCAAGTATGCTTCACCTAGTGATTATTCTTTTAAATTTTTTCCATAATTATTTTTCTGTAACACAATATATCCTTATTACTGTCCCACTGGAAATCTTCAATAACACTCATTTTGTCCATAGCTGGACCTCAGATGTGGTCCACACTATGTTCCTGATGTTGTTGCTTTCTAAAGGTTATCATCTTCCAATTGAGATTGAGGATGGACAAACCCTTCCTGAACCAAATTCAGTGCTGGAAGCCACCTTAAAATGTCAACTTCAAATATGGTCTAAAATAATGTACTTTTAATAAATAAATATAACTCTCCATCATCACAAACCTCAGAAAAGCCATGCAATGATCTCTCCTGCAGTATCTAATTTTGTAAGAATTCCATTCTAGACATTATGCTTTAATGGAACACTGGCAAAATAAAAGTTATCCAAAGAGTAACCAGGATGGTGAAAAGCCCAGAAACCATGTGTCAAGGGGAAAACAGGGTTTCTTTGCAGAGAGAGGGTGTGGGGACCATAACATTTATGTTCTGATATTTGAAGGACTGTCAAGTGGAAGAACAAAAGTTGCAATTCTCTTCTGCTCCAGACATCAGAAAAAGATTAAATTTAATCTTATATGGAGTTATATCTTAGCTCAATATGAAATGTAACATTAAAATAATGTTTCTATCCAGGTATCCAGCTATAAAAGGGGCTTACATAAAAGCAGAGTTTTATAAAGTATCAATCAAGTTAGTCTAGTTTGTGCTGTAGCAACAAAGAACCCCCAAATCTCAATGGTATATCAAAAAAAGTTTGTTTCTTATTTATACTACTTTATTTGTCCAGCACAGGTCACAAAAGATCCTACGCATTGTAGCCTTCAAAGACTCAAGATGACAGAAGATCCACCATCCTATGACACTGCCATCTAAACACAAGTCTCCAGCGGCCACTGTGGCAAGGAAACAGAGCTTGAATCATAAATCAGCTCTTAAATGCTTCTGCCTGGAAGTGATTCACATCACTTCACTTAAATTTCATTGGCCAAAGCAGTCCATGGCCATGTATAATTTCAAGGAGATGAGACAGCTGTAAAAGGAAGGATGTCAGAAGCTTCAGTTAGCACTTGGAACATCTACCATAACTTTCAGTAGGATTTAAGCAGAATTCAAATTCTCATTAGGAATATCATAGAAAAAGTTAGATTGCTAAGCCTCTTTAAACTCTAGGATTCTATAATTCCAAACTTATGTCAGATAGTTCCTTTAATATCAGGGATTTTGCTTCCTAGGGTAAAATGAATAACTCTGGAGCACTGAAACTTCCCATATACAAAGGACTATGCTCAATATTTGAATTTACTGAGCTGAGCTTACAAAGACTTGGCTTGGAAGAGCTAAATATTGGCAGGTCAACAGCCCTAACTCTGTAAGCTTGTTATGGTCCATTTTTTTCAAACATTGCTTCAAATATTTACATTTGACTTTTACATAAAAGTTGCTGATTTTCAGTAGAGGCTGAGATGAACGACAGTTGATAACTGTTCCTCATGTTCTATAGAATTTATGTGTAAGGTTTCCAGCTATTTTTCTATCTTCCTTGGTAAGACTGTAGTGTAGCTAAACAGGTGGACTTAAATGTCAGCTGTATTCTAGTGGCTTAATAATGCCTTTGAATACGTAATAGCCAATGCTTACAGGTTATGTTATTTTATATTACAGTCTCCTGTTTAATTTTACTGCAGATACGTCTTAAATTGAGAGCAATTACTCCCTTCATTTTTGCCATTTTAAACCTGCTGTGTACTCATTTTTTTTAAATTATGGGCCAAAAAAGGACAGCTATACATTTTCAGTGTCATGGATCTAGAGTTATAGCTCTAGAGGGGCCACAGAGATCACCTAGTTTGCCCCTTTGTTTTACATACAAAAAATTTAAGAACAGTTAACATTTGTTGAGAGTGTACCATGTTCTGGGCACTGGCCTACTGTTTTCTCATGTATTAACTCAACTGATCTTCTCAATAGCCCAAGAAAATAAATACTGTCATCATCTCCATTTCACAGATGAATAAACTTACCTAAGATTGGGAAACATTTCCCCCTTATTAGACAGGTCAATATTTTAAAAAAAAAAATGGCATAGCCTGGTGCTGGGGAGAACACGAACAGGCACATGGCCTCATTTACTGTTCAGCATTTTGTGACATTTAGCTCAAACTTTTTGATATTGAATCTTCCTCCATTTCTCCACAGTTCTTACATATCAATTTGGACAAAGGTGACAAGATAATAGCAAATTCCAAGAAAAACTATTACATAGTTCAAATAATCACACAATTACATATTAGACAGAAAGTAAAGGCTAGAGAAAGTCTGCAGCACTACCTAATCTGAGAAAATGATTGGGAAGGAATGTTAAAATTATTAACCATTGAGGCTTGGGCCCTAGGCTCCCTTACTGGGAAGTTTCTGGAATAGTTTCTAGAGTTATGTCTGAAATAGTTTTCCAATTCTGATTGAAACCTTTAAGCTAATAATGCTTACCTATGAATGAAGAGATTTGGGTGACTTTTACATTTTTCTTTGTACTTTTCAATATTGTTTAATTTTCCATTGCAGTGACAATACATTTTATAAAATCATCGAGAAGATTTAAACAAATGCAATGAGTTTATTGAATGAGCTGAACTCAGGAAGATAGCAAAAAGCAACTTTGTTCTTTCTCACCCTGTACCTGCATACCTGTTCTTTGGGTTTCATTTAACAAGCTATTCTACAACCTAAGAGATAGGCACTACCCTCCCACTCCTGAGGTCTACCACTTTTAGAACTGTCTACTATTGTCAACACTACCTGCGACCCAGTCTTCGGCATCCCCTCCTCAAACTCATCCCCCTAAAGTTCCAGTCTCTGTCCTGCTCAGACACCTGTGTCAGGGCTCTCTCCAGTGATTCTGAATTGAGTGCCCTTGGGCACCCCTGGTAAGAGCCTCTGTCTACTCAACCACACCCAGAGCTACCATTCGCTGTATGAAGCTGGAAAAGTTCACACCCCTTAGCTCTGGTGCTGAAGTGGACACGGGTAGAGCACAGGAAAATGTGCTCCCTACATCCCAAATGAAAGCCCTGAACTAATAGAAACAAATGATGAGGAGGCTCTGTATCACTGAAGTATGGACACATTGTGGGTTAAAGGCTTTGGCAGACTGAACTGGAGACATAACCTTCATTCATCACACAATTTCTATAGAAAAATGTGTCGAGTTCAAAACAACTGACCTACAAATGATCCTTAGGAACATAATTTGTCTGGAAACTGGGGGCTGCTTTTATAACCATCTCCAGCCTGTCAGATCCAATAGATTAGAGTCAAGACAGCACCTTTGATTTACAGTCTTGGCCCTGTTGCTGAAGCACTTCCTAATTCACACTCTCTATTCTTAAAATGAGAGGCATAATATGTCTGCTCCAACTACAAGGTTGTTGAGATAATAAGCATGGCTATTTCTGAGAAAATATCTTACAAAATTGACAATATAAGTGTTTACTATTATTTCATGTGGTGCATTACAGAATTCACAGTACAGGTAATTGGTTATAGGGAAGTCGTTTCTGAGATTAATAAGACTGCCGCAAAAGTATCACAATATGCTCCTGTTTTTTCCCCATTCCTGATTTCTTTCCTTAGCAAAAAATGTTCCTTTGTCTTTCTTAACCTATGCATTTTTAGGTTATTGGCTTTTAGAATATTGGCATTACTGAAACCCTGTCTAACTTTAGGAGCGCTAATTGAGTATATAATAACACACATGTAAATCAACAAATTTTAGAAAGCCTTAGAATCTGCAAAAAGCATGAAACATAATTTATCCTATGCTAAGTACAGTAACTAGGTAATGCCAGTGTTAAAAAAAAAAGTATAAAACTTGAAAATAAGGATAAAAGGGTAGAGCAAGCCCTTTTGATGTCTACTGGTATATTATTTCAATAGTCCACTTCATGACAATTTATCTGATTACTCATGTTTGACTTTGCTATTTCCTATTTGATTAGAGACTAGACACTATGGAATTATATGTTAAATTGTAGATTTTTGTTAAGTAAAAAAGATAACCTTAAAGATGGCTGTTCTGTTGTCCCGTGGGCCACTAACCAATGTTGTATCCAACCCAGCTATCCTATTCTAATATCCTTTTAATGTCTTTCCTGCTGTACTATATATATCATTGTTCCTTAAATGCTCTTGGAACCAGTTTCATCCTCATATTGGTATGTATGTATATGTATACATATATACACATATATGTATATATGTATACATTATCTGTAAACATAATAAAGTGCTTTGAAGAAATTTTAAAAATAGGAAAGTGGGTGGTGCCAAGGAAGCTGAGGGAAGAAAATGTTTGAGAAGGGAATGCTCAGAAGAGGCTGCACTGCCATAAGTTGAAGGGACTTAGCAGTAAGGAATAGGTCAGTAACCTTGGAGAGAGCAGCATTCATGGGGTGGTGAAGGCAGAAACCGCATCATTAAGAGCAAGGGGAAGAGGGCCAGAACGTACACACCACTTTAGGGAAGTTGGAATGTGGGGAGAGCAGTGCAATGAGATGGTGCCAGATAGATAAGAGATCCAAGGAGAGGTATATATTTTGTGTGTTTTCTGGGTTTTTTGATGTTGTTTGTTTTAATGGGTGAGACCAGAGTATATTTAAATGCAGATGGGAAGAACAGTTTGAAGATCAAGTAAGAGGGATGGAGGTGGGGGTGAATAATTAAAAGAAAAAAGATTCCTGAGGAGGCAAGAGGGGATAGAATCCCAAGAACAGATATTTCAGGGTGGGGGCGGGGCTGGCAACAGACAGCATGTTGGCTGGCTGAAGTTACGGTGGGAGGTGGTGGGAGTTGTAAGTCTGAGGAGCTTGTGAAATGTTTCAGATGGAAGCTGTGGGAAATAGAAGAAAGCTAAAAAACACACATGAATTGCAAAATAGCATTGAGGACCCCAGTACAAGTTGAATGCAATGACATCATAGTGGCACCAATATGATTATATGAGGTTTTTTTTTCTCCAGCCATGCTCAAGACTTCAGCTTAGCCAAGGAAATAGCAGGCACGGTAGGTATTTTCTGGCTGGTTATGAGTGGAATATAATGAGAGAAGGTAAATAGGACACTTATAGGGAGGTAACTGAAGCAATGGACTAAGCACTTGTCCAAACATTTTTGTTCTCATGCTCTCAAAAGATTTTGGAAAACTATTTCTCACATATTTTGAAATCAAAATCTAAAAATTTTTAACACATAAAGTGAAATAGTTTCAAAGGATGTATTTATGGCTTATATTATATATGTACATTAAATATATTTTTATCCAAGTCTTGGAGTTGTAGATTTAGCTCATTCTATTTATAGAACACGTCTTTCAGATAATCAGGCCACATTGTGAAACTAATCAGCCAAATCAGGGTTACTTTTCATCAGAACCAGTACAATTTTATTTTAAAATTCATACAGTCATGCATCTGTGGAATACTTCTGTATTCTAAGATAGGTTAATTGATTTTTAAATGGATGGTTGATTGTTGGGTAGATAGCTGGTGGATAGATGAATAAAACAAGACATGGATGGATAGACAAATTCTTATCTTGAGTTTGTCTCCTGGATAAAACAAGATCCCCTCAAATATTTCTCTCTGAAGTTTTTTTTTATTTTACTTTCAAGAGACTTTCCCTCAAGAAAGTGGTATTCTAGATTTGTCCCTCTTTTTGATGCCCCAAGTGTTTTTACACCCTGGAGCAATGCATCAAAATACAACTTAGGATGGGGGAAGTACACTTTTCTTTTGTAAAGTGGAGAAGGGCAATGTGAAAGGTGAAAAAGGAAAGACTAATTGGTAGACATCAGAGTTTGTATGCAGGTCAGCTTGAAGAATGAATATGAGGAAGTTGAGATTTAGAAATTTCTACACTACAGCTTTCTAAGCTTTTTTGATTATCCCACAGGTACCTAAAACTTAACATGCCTAAAATTGAACTTACATATCTACCTCATCCTAGTCCTCCTTCCTCAGTGAGTGGCACCATTTCTATTCATTAAGACAAGACAGAAACCTGGCAGTCACCCTGAACTTCTTGTTCTCTCATGCCCTTCATATCCAACTAAACACCAAGATCTGGACATTTTTTCTCATAATGATCTCCTGAGTCAGCCCACATCCCTCTATCCCCATGGCTATCTCTCTGCTGCAGGGTATGGTTGCCTCTCACTCAGCTGCCAAAATCTGCCTGTCTCTAGTCTTGAGTCCTCTCCACCTGCTCTCCATACTACAACCAGAGAAAGTATTCTAAAACATGTCTGACTAAATAGCTCCATTTTTAAAAAGTTATCAATGACTTCCTATAACCCTAGGCCTTATTATTCACTTACTAGATTACTATTTCAATCAAGCTCTAAGGACAAATCCTAAACTCATTGGCATGGCTTTCAAGGCCCTTCTGAACTTGGCCTCTGCTCATCATGGCAGCTTCCGCTCTCCCCACTCCATACTCTGCTTATGAAGTGTTTTCATCCCAAGTCTCACCAGGCTCTCCTGCCTCAAACACTCTTTCTGCCTCCTTCTTCTAGCTCCCTCCTATTTAGCATTAAGGTTTCAGCTGAGATGTAATTTCCTCTAGAAAGCTTTTCCTAATCCCTCAAGTTTGGGTTTGATCCTTATCTTACATACTTCTGTGACGCATTGTTTGTAGTCCATTATAGCATTTACTCTACATTGAGTTTTAACTGTTTACATGTCTGAATACCCAAGAGCAGAGGGACATATGTGTGTGTCTATTCACTTTTGTATTGTCAGTGTCTAGGGTACTAGCCACTGCCTGGTGCAGAGTAGGTATCCAATAAACACGTACTTACCGAATAAATACGTGAAGCTACCAAAATTTTGCCCCCAAAATAAATCACATTCCTTCTATGAGTGGCTTATAAACCTGTTTAGTGACCAAATATAAAGTTTTCATCAAGTTCATATGAAATTGTTGGCAAAAAATAATCCATAAGCTTGATGGGGAAAAAATTCCATGCCCCATCTCTCTAACAATGATATCAAAAACTACTTCCTTATACATAGCAAAATAACTTAGCTGAGAACTGAGTCAAAAGGAACTGAAATTTTCATTATTTTATTAATTCATTCAATGATCAATGGTCACTTAGCTCTGCCTTCATGAAGCAGTGTTGCTCTAGTCTAGTCTAATGCTTGCCCCATGAAGCCCACTGAACCCTGGAGAAAAGCTGGCCCATCTCTTCAGCTTTCCAAATTTTATTATATAGAACTAGGAGCAGCTGCTTTTATCCAAGTAGGAATAATTTTTAAATAGCATTTTTCCTTGTATGTCAGAAAACCCAAGCTGAAAATATTACATTTCTTAAAACTTCTATGCTCCTGATCTTTTTCTTCTTTTCTGTTGTGCCAGAGGCATGAACTTTATGCCCCCAGCACCAGTTAAGAAGATGATTTATTAAACAGACTTAAATGAAAGATGGCTTGGTGTGGATACACTTAGATTCACAGACCGTGCCTTGGGGCAGTTTTAGTGCCAACTTTCTAACTAATTCAGAAATGAAAAACTTCTCATTATTTCAGGATAAATGTCTAAACCTACCAGCTCTTGTCTGAATGACATAAAAGTATCAGCACTAAAAATGGAGATTTTGTTGTTCACATGTCATCTAGACTCTCAACCCTACAATGTTTAACATATGAGCCAGTTACAAATTACCAACTAATGGTATCTTTTGGGCACTTCCAGGTAAAGCCTCCCAGTGTCCATTGTATCAAACTCTTTCCCTTTCATACAGGGTTACCTGTACAGTAGTATCACTCAGAAGTTATGCTGGAGGAATTGCTTTCAATTTTTTCATTAGGTTCATAAAATCTACTCAGAAAATAGATTTAAAACACAAATGTTAAAATCCATGCAAAAACACAAATATTTTGATTTGATTTATGCAAAGCCCTAAGCCTGTGCTGTGCACAGAGAAGAGAGCAATGGCATGACTACTTGTCTGTTTACTCTCAGAATGTGCATATATGCATTTCATTTCCTTGATTTGACCCTAATTCAAGGGGCCAGTCTGAAGAGTCAGCAATGTTAATTTACTAGATCTCAAAAGTAAGTATTCATATTACTGCAAAAAGCAAGATGTCATTTTCTCATCATTTCTGTGAATAGAAAAGCTATTTTCCAACAATAGGGATCCCTTATAATAGGGAAATACTTAACTGGTACTGAACTCAGAAACTGCAGTGTTCTGCTTGGCTTCATTGATTTTATCAAAGGACCTCTTTATCCTGAGCAGGTAAAGCTCAATGAATTGAAATAGTCCAGAAATACATGAATAGCTGTCCTCTGACAGAAAGTAAGTTTAAATTGTAAGAAAATTACTTTATTTCCAAGGATTCCCGAGATTCTTGTTCCTGATTATGGTCCAAAATTCCACACAGATTTGTTCTTGATTCATTTCAGAGTAGTCAGAAAAGGTACTGTTCTCCTTACATAGAGAAAGAACATCCTAAATATCAAAATATGGATATGGTTAGGTCTACGACATTTATCTCCTTGGTGTTTAAGAGAAGTCAGGTAAACATAAACAAATAGCATATGAGTAACCAGCTTATTACCTACAGAAACACCTTAAATGCTAGAAATTGGACCGAGACTACAGCAACTACACAGTTTTAATTTCCTTTAATTTAAGACCACCTGTATGCTTTCAGACCAAAACCTTCTTTCTCAAAAAGGATTAAATGTCTAGTTTATATATAACCAGAAAATAAAACAAGACACATACTTTAAAACACAGAAAGACTCTGGCAGAAATATAACTATACAGGTTTATATCAAAACTAAATGAGAAAGCAGCAAATCTAAATCACATGTACAATTCATAGTAAATCACAAAAATGGTATAAAATGTGTGGTGAACAAAAATAAAACCATTAATAACTAAAAGGTTTTCTTATAGTGACTCTGGTTTTTTATATTGCTCTGTGTCTCTAGTGGAATAAAAATAGTTATACATAACAAAGCAAAAAGAAAGAAAACAAATCTAATATAAATAATTTAAATACAGGGAGAAAAGGTAGTCAGCAATCTTTACCTGTTTTGTTCCTAATATTTGTTACTCAGATATTGAAGATATTTAATTGTTTTAAATATGCTTTATATACAAAAAGCAAAGGCACAGTTATATTTTATATAATTATTCAGTCAGCAGAGATTAGGCAGATGAAGAAGAATGTGGAGGCCACAGAAGCAGCCCAAGTGGAAAAGCCTCCTCCAGTTGAGTGGGGAGTGGCTTGGTTATAGAAGAGATGATTCCCCCAAAGATGCGAGGCAGAATAATGATCCCCCAAAGATGTCCTGTGGTAATCGCCAGAAGCTGTGACTACGTTGCCTGTTATTTGGCAAAGGGTAATTAAAATGGAAGATGCAATTAAGGTTGCTAATCAGCTGACTTTAGGGAGATTATCTTGGATTGCCTAGGGTCAATGTAACCACAAGAGTTCTTAAATGTACAAGAGGGAGGCAGAAGAGGAATCACTATGGAGTGACTTAATATGATAAAGACGTGGCCCACAGTTGGTAGTTTTATTTTTGTTTTTGTTTTTTCCTCAACTTTTATTTTAGGCTCAAGAGATAAATGTGCAGATTTGTTACACGGCAAATTACATGTGATTGAGACTTTGTGTATGAATGATCCTGTCACCCAGGTAGTGAGCATAGTTACCAATAGGTAGTGTTTCAACCCTTGCCCCAACCCCAATAGTAATCCCCTGTCTCTATTGTTCCCATCTTTATAAGCATGTGTACCCAATGTTTAGTTTCCACTTATAAGAGAGAACATGCAGTATGTGGTTTTCTGTTTTTGCGTTAATTCACTTGGGATAATGGCCCCAGCTGTTTCCATGTCACTGCAAGGGTATAATTTTATTCTTTTTTATGGCTGTATAGTGTTCCATGGTGTATATGTACCACATTTTCTTTATCCTGTCTACCATTGATGGGCATCTAGGTTGATGTCATGTCTCTGCTACTGTGAATAGTGCTGTGACAAACATACAAGTGCACGTTTCTTTTGGTAGAATAATCTATTTTCCTTTGGTATATACCCAGTAATAGAATTTTTTGGTTGAATAGTAATTCTGTTTTAAGTTCTTTGAAATCCACAAACTGCTTTCCATAATGGCTGAACTAATCCACATTCCTACCAACAGTGTATAAGCATCTCTTTTCTCCAAAGCTTTACCAGCATCTCTTGTTTTTTGACTTTTCAATAGTAGCCATTCTGACTGATGTGAGATGGAATCTCACTATAGTTTTGATTTGCATTTTTCTGATGTTTTATGATGTTGTGCTTTATTTCATGTATTTATTGGCGACATGTATGGGCAAAGGACATGAATAGATACTTCTCACAGTTGCTGGAGTTAAAAATGGAGAAAGGGGGCCAGGAGCCAAGGGATGCAGATGGCTTATAGAAGCTACAAAAAGTAAAGAAACAAATTCTTAGTGCTTCCAGAAAGGAACACAGCCCTGCCAACACCTTAATTTTAGTTCACTAAAATTCATCTGGACTCCTGACCTCCAGAACTGCAATTTGGTAAATTTGTGCTGTTTTTGACACTAAGCTATGGTAATGTGTTATACTAGCAATAGGAAACATAGAATATGGCACTTCACATTAGAAACTATGAATGAGAAGGGTCTTTAAGAAGCAATGAGGGATAAATTCAAATGCCATAGAATAAAGTAAAGATGATAAAGACAAGAAGTTTAGGAAATAGTTGGAAGAGGGCAAAAACAAAAGAACTTATGAGCATCAAACAAATTTCCATCCATAATAAAAATAATAACAATTAAAGGGAGCGCAGACTATAATACTAAGGCCAAATTCTACAGGGTAAAGAAGTAAAGTGAAAGATATGGTAGATACAATATCCTTCACATGGCAGGCTTCAGCAAATGTTTGTTGATATATTATTCTTGGACAACTAAGAAAGCAAAGGGTACTTAGGAAGTAAAACTGGAAGTATGTTACAAAGAAAATCAGAAATCAAAATAAAGGAAAATATCTGAGGCATTGCGTTTAAAAAAAAAGTCCAGAATTTTTAAATGGCCAGAATAACACTGAAAGTGTGGGCAAATGACATCAATAACATCCAAATTAGCATGTAAGTTTATATGATTTAAAAGAAGACGTGTTATATAATCTATGCCTTCTGAAAATGACTTCAACAAAGAAACCACACAGACTTCTAATGCTGAATCATTAAATGTAGGTTTTCTTGTACTTTGTAGAGTCACATTCTGTCACAGAACATAATGAAAATCTTTTGTGAATTGTTACTGATGAGAAAATGTAAACTATTTTGGAAATGTGGATTTTCTTCAGCTGAATATGGACTTTGAACCTGTATTAATGCTGTAGTCAATGAAAAGACCTTGCCTAAGATTTTTATGATCTCCAGAAGTCAGTCAATTCATCTTTGGGGAGTTCTAGGCATCATTTCTCTGTATTTCTCCCATCAAACACATTAGCTGATGACTGAAGATAATAATTCCAGAGTAAATATTAAAGGCTATTATGGCACATATATGATGCTGTTAAAATAAAGTTTAAAATGTAATATATGGAGTTGCTTTGGAATTGACCTCCTTTTCTAGCTCCAGTCATGCATCATGGTAACTTTTAAAGATATGCAATAAGCGAAGATGTGTCCCTATCAATTCCATCTTATATAAGTTTATGTAAAGGCTCTGAACATAATGTCTAAAGCACACATTGATTTGAATACACAAACAGATACACACACACACACACACACACACACAGTTTGTTGAAAGATCTTAAGAGGATACCCAATAAGGTCTGACTTGAAAGAGGAACAACCCACAGAATCATAATAACATATTAATACTGGGAAATACAGATAAGAAATCTTCCATAATCATAAAAATCCCAGCATCTCAAAGAGGGAAGGGCCCTTAGATGTCTCTGGACCAAGTTCCAATCTAAAATAGGACATCTCACCACCACATTCTGTACAGGTTGGCTTCCATACTCCAGTTAAACATCTTCAGTGAGTCAAAGCTCATGCACCTACAATTCCATTGTTTATTCCAAATTTAACTTCCACCTATACTCTCATTCTGTTTTATAGATGCCAAATCCATGTTTGATTCTATTTTTCATATTAATCCTGAAATTCTAGACACCAAATATCATCTCTTCCTACTTAGTAATTTCCTCCTTTATAAGACCAAGAAGCACAGGGTAAGCATACCTATGCCTGTCTATTATCTTGGCCCATCCTACACATTCTGATTATTTACTACACTAATTTGTTGATGCATCCATCAAATGTGTGCTGAGTGGCTACCAGCTTCTAGGCCAGGAAGAGAGACCAGATCCCTGTCCTCATAAAGCCGAAATTCTAGTGAGTCAGGCAATGAACAAATGAACAAGTAAGTAGATGAGATACAAAATAGTCCAGAAGTGAATCCTTATAGACTAGGGTCAGGATTTTTAAGCTAAGACCTAAAGGGTTAAAAGGAAGTAGGCATGCAAAGAGCTGGGGAGGGAAAATCAAGGGTAGAAAGATCCTGATGTGAAAAGAACTTGGCCTCTCTTAGATTCTCCAAATCAATACATGTAAAAGATTCACGGGAGGGAAGTTACAGTGGCAGAAACTGAAACTAAAGAATCAGACAGGGTCCAAACCACAGTACGGAATTTGAATTTTATTCTAAATGCAATAGGAATTCATGTGAGAATTGTAGGCAGGGAAGATATATAATCAATTTACTATTTAAAAACCACACCAGTGGCCTCGTGGAGAATGAATGAAAGAAGGACAAGGGTGAAAACAGAAGGATGAGTTAGTAGGCTCTTAATTGAGAGATGATGGAGACGTAGCTAAACATAGCCACAGTAGAAATAGAGATGTGTGGAAATATTTGAAGCATATGACTGAAGAAAGTACAGACAGGAATATCTCCTAATGCTATCCCTCCCCGCTCCCCGCACCCCACAACAGGCCCTGGTGTGTGATGTTCCCCCTCCTGTGTCCAAGTGTTCTCATTGTTCAATTCCTACCTATGAGTGAGAACATGCGGTGTTTGGTTTTTTGTCCTTGCAATAGTTTGCTGAGAATGATGGTTTCCAGCTTCATCCATGTCCCTACAAAGGACATGAACTCATCTTTTTTATGGCTGCATAGTATTCCACGGCATATATAAAAAATAAAATTAAATAAATAAATAAAAAATAAAGTAGCATGCTAAAAAAAAAAAAGAAGAAAGTACAGATAGGAATTTCTGATGGCAGATGTGGATGTGGATGATGAAAGAAGATGGGGAATAAAGAATGGCTGCTGGGTTACTCATCGAAGCAACTCTCTGATGGCAGTACTATTCACTGAGATGGGAGAGGCCAGATGAGAACCAGGAAACATCCAGGAGGAGGTTTCAAGTAGGCACTTGGGTGTGCAGATCTGGGACTCAAAAGAAAGAACTGGCCTGAAAATGTAAAATATGGTAGTTATCAACATATGGATGATATTTAAAGTCACAGAAATGAATAAGACAACCTAGAAGAGAGTTGAGAGAGAGACAGCTGAGCTCAAGACCTAGTCCTGAAGAAGTCCAACAGTTAAAGGTGGGAAAGACCAAGAAGAAGCTAATTGGGAAAAGGTAGAAATAGGAGAATGTTTCAAGAAGGAAAGATGGGTCAGCTTCATCAGTACTTTTTAAGAAGTGGAGCAAGAAGAGAGTAAAGCAACCATCAGTTATAGCACCAAGGACATGGCTGGTAATCTTGACAAAAGCAGCCTCCATGAAATAATAGAACTAGAAGAAAATTAATTAGTTTTAGAAGTGGATCAAAAATGAGAAAGTAGAAGAAAGGTATATAGAAAACATGTTGAAATATTATGCTTGGAAAAGGAACAATGAAAGGGGATAGTGGTTAGAGGAGAATTGGACTCAAGAGAGAGTTTTGTCTTTTTTTTCCCTAAGATAGACACTCAGATATCATAAAACTAGTGATTAAAGCAAGCTTAGCATATTAATGCTTTAGGACAGTGGTTTTGGAACTATTTTCAATAGAAAGCTGAGCTTCTGCAATGGTGCCTTGGGGCTGCTCCACGAGGCAAGACAGGTTCCTTCCTCACAGGAAAAGTAGCTCAGATTTAATCCATTTTATATATGGGGATTTATAATAAGATGTAATTTGAAAAATCACTAGTCTAAGGAGAACATAAAGTAGCCAAAACATCTTACCATATCAGAGTATTAGATGACAGAATACCTGATGAATCCATATATAGTATGTATTCTTAATTATGTCACACAATGGATCTTCAGGCAAAACATGATAAATTGTACCAGTAGCAGTTTCAGGATGCTAAACAAGTTTGTCATTATTTCGCAGCATCTTGGCAATGACAAATTAAGTAGCTTCCTTTACACTAAATTCTTTGGGAACTTCAGTATACTCAGACCTCGATTTTCAATAGTTTTAATTAATATATTCCACAGTCAATAGGTTTGATAAACTTGAGACATCTCAAACCCATTTTAATAAAATTGACTTACAAAATAGAAAGGAAAGAAAATTGCATATAGATCTTGACAGATGTGCAAACTAACTCTCTGTACTCAGTAAACACAGTTTTCTCATAAAGAGATTTCCTGAGTTTTAGATATGCAAAATAATAGCTGAGCAATATTTTTAATTAAGAAAATGAAATACAAGGGCACAGTTTATTTTTAACCATTTGAGGAAAATGGGTAGGACGACAGGGAACAAGAATAGTTTCATGAAAAGCTTATTATCAAATTAATCAAAAAAGATATTTTTCTAAAGGATGTTTATAATGTTTATGAACTTCAGTAAACTACTTATATGGAGTTATTGTGTTGATTATTAAAACTTGTACTGATTTTAATATTACTACCACTATGGCTCTGTTCTCTACAACAGGATTTCTCAACCTCTGCACTATTAATGTTTTGGGCTAGATTAAGTCTTTGTTGTAGGGGACCATCCTCTGCATTTTAGGATGTTTATCAGCATCCCTGGCTGCTATTCACTGAGATACTAGTAGCAGCACTTCCCTCCCACTAGTTCAACAATCAAAAACATCTTTAGACATTGCCAAATATTCCCTGAGGAGCAAACATCACTCCCAGTTGAGATTTTCCTCTACGAGACAGTGTAATTTCTTATTCTAGAGTTAAGCTATATTTTCATAATTTTCAGGAAGGTATTTGCACTCTAACTGAACAG
Source organism: Homo sapiens (assembly GCF_000001405.40). Taxonomy (NCBI): domain Eukaryota; kingdom Metazoa; phylum Chordata; class Mammalia; order Primates; family Hominidae; genus Homo; species Homo sapiens. The sequence continues at coordinate 39,705,200 of NC_000014.9, read as the reverse complement.
AATGAGGATATCGTGACATTCAAACCCAGCTGTTCATGAAACTGTAATGGAGAGAAGGAAATAAACACATCTCAAATGTGACTAAATAGCAAGACAATTGGCTCAACACTACGTGCAGAAAAAGTACAAACTCTAGAACAATGTGGATGCTTTATAACTGAAGCTTAATCATAAAAGACCCAGTTATTGACCTTCATATGAGAAAAATGGTAAATAAGAGTACTTTTTCAGTGCTGCTATCTCTGAATCCCTCCATTAAAATCAGCAGTGTGGCAAAGCTACATGAAAAACCTTGTCAAGACATTAAAGGCAGGCAGATAACGTTTGGCTGTATTCATTTTACATGTTGTTGTGCATTATGTTAGCAGTTTTTAAATGAAATGCCAGTGAGAAAAACACTAAAGGGAGATGCTTAAAAGGTAGAGCTAAGCTGCCACCTAGAGAATATAGAAATGACAGCATGTTAGCCACCTAAATTTGCTACATGAACAATATTGTCCTATTAACCAAAAATAGATCAAATTCAAAATCTCAAACGCAAAGTAAAATAAATTCTAATGTTATGCTTTTTAAGATTAGCCAATTATTCATAAAATTTTAAATTTACTTTCTCAGTTGTGCTTTTAAAGATTTTGGAGAGAGTTGGCTAACAGAGGCAAACCTTTAAAAGTTCAAAATAATTCTGAAGTGGTCATTGCTGGACAATAGCAGAATGCCTGTATAGAAAGTAGTGCACTTCAATGGCCTAGGCAAAGAATTTATGACTCAGACCCCAAAAGCAAATGCAACCAAAACAAAAATAAATAAATGGGACCTACCTAAACTAAAAAGCTTCTGCACAGAAAAAGAAATAATCATCAGAGTAAACAGAATGGGAGAAAATATTTGCATATTATGCATCCGACAAAGGACTAACATCAATAATTTAAAGGAACTAATACAAAGCAGCAAGAAAAAAAATAAATAATCTCATCAAAAAGTGGGCTAATGACATGAATAGACATTTCTCAAAAGAAGATATATAAACGGGCAACAGACACATGAACAAAATGTTCAACATCACCAATCATCAGAGAAATACAAATTAAAACCACAATAAGATACCACCTTACTCCAGCCAGAATGGCCATTATAAAAAAGTCAAATAAGCAATAGATGTTGGCATGGCTGTGGTGAAAAGGGAATGCCTGTACACTGCTGGTTGGAATGTAAATTAGTACAACTTGTATGGAAAACAGAACAGAGATTTCTCAAAAAATTAAAAGTAGATGTACCATTCAAGCCAGCAATCTCACTACTGGATATCTACACAATGGAAAAAAGAAGTCATTATATCAAAAAGAAAATGTGATATATGATATATAAATGTGATATTATATATATACACACACACACACATATATATATATATATCTCCCCACTTTGGAATGCTACTCAGCCATAAAAAAGAACAAAATGGAGGGAAACAGCCAAGATGGCCGAATAGGAACAGCTCCGGTCTACAGCTCCCTACGTGAGCGACGCAGAAGATAGGTGATTTCTGCATTTCCATCTAAGGTACGGGGTTCATCTCACTAGGGAGTGCCAGACAGTGGACACAGGACAGTGGGTAGAGCGCACCATGCATGAGCTGAAGCAGGGCGAGGCATTGCCTCACTCGGGAAGCGCAAGGGGTCAGGGAGTTCCCTTTCCTAGTCAAAGAAAGGGGTGACAGACGGCACCTGGAAAATCGGGTCACTCCCACCCTAATACTGCGCTTTTCTGACAGGCTTAAAATACAGCGCACCAGGAGATTATATCCCGCACCTGGCTCCGAGAGTCCTATGCTCACAGAATCTCACTGATTGCTAGCACAGCACTCTGAGATCAAACTGCAAGGCGGCAGCCAGGCTGGGGGAGGGGCGCCCACCATTGCCCAGGCTTGCTTAGGTAAACAAAGCAGCCAGGAAGCTCCAACTGGGTGGAGCCCACCACAGCTCAAGGAGGCCTGCCTGCCTCTGTAGGCTCCACCTCTGGGGTCAGGGCACAGAAAAACAAAAAGACAGCAGTAACCTCTGCAGACTTAAATGTCCCTGTCTGACAGCTTTGAAGAGAACAGTGGTTCTCCCAGCATGCAGGTGGAGATGTGAGAATGGGCAGACTGCCTCCTCAAGTGGGTCCCTGACCCCTGACCCCCAAGCAGCCTAACAGGGAGGCACCACCCACTAGGGGCAGACTGACACCTCACACGGCCAGGTACTCCTCTGAGACAAAACTTCCAGAGGAACGATCAGACGGCAGCATTCGCGGTTCACAAAAATCTGCTGTTCTGCCGCCACCACTGCTGGTACCCAGGTAAACAGGGTCTGGAGTGGACCTCTAGCAAACTCCAACAGACCTGCAGCTGAGGGTCCTGTGTGTTAGACGGAAAATTAACAAACAGAAAGGTCATCAACACCAAAAACCCATCTGTACATCACCATCATCAAAGACCAAAAGTAGATAAAACCACAAGGATGGGGAAAAAACACAGCAGAAAAACTGGAAACTCTAAAAAGCAGAGTGCCTCTCCTCCTCCAAAGGAATGCAGCTCCTCACCAGCAATGGAACAAAGCTGGATGGAGAATGACTTTGACGAGTTGAGAGAAGAAGGCTTCAGACGACCAAACTACTCGGAGCTACAGGAGGAAATTCAAACCAAAGGTGAAGAAGTTGAAAACTTTGAAAAAAATTTAGACAAATGTATAACTAGAAGAACCAATACAGAGAAGTGCTTAAAGGAGCTGATGGAGCTGAAAGCCAAGGCTCGAGAACTACCTGAAGAATGCAGAAGCCTCAGGAGCCGATGCAATCAACTGGAAGAAACGGTATCAGTGATGGAAGATGAAACGAAAGAAATGAAATGAGAAGGGAAGTTTAGAGAAACAGGAATAAAAAGAAATGAACAAAGCCTCCAAGAAATATGGGACTAAGTAAAAAGACCAAATCTACGTCTGATTGGTGTACCTGAAAGTGATGGGAAGAATGGAACCAAGTTGGAAAACACTCTGCAGGATATTATCCAGGAGAACTTCCCCAATCTAGCAAGGCAGGCCAACATTCAGATTCAGGAAATACAGAGAACGCCACAAAGATACTCCTCGAGAAGAGCAACTCCAAGACACATAATTGTCAGATTCACCAAAGTTGAAAAGAAGGAAAAAATGTTAAGGGCAGCCAGAGAGAAAGATCGGGTTACCCACAAAGGGAAGCCCATCAGACTAACAGCGAATCTCTCGGCAGAAACTCTACAAGCCAGAAGAGAGTGCGGGCCAATATTCAACATTCTTAAAGAAAAGAATTTTCAACTCAGAATTTCATATCCAGCCAAACTAAGCTTCATAAGTGAAGGAGAAATAAAATACTTTACAGACAAGCAAATGCTGAGAGATTTTGTCACCACCAGGCCTGCCCTAAAAGAGCTCCTGAAGGAAGCACTAAACATGGAAAGGAACAACCAGTACCAGCCACGGCAAAATCATGCCAAATTGAAAAGAATATTGAGGCTAGGAAGAAACTGCATTGACTAACGAGCAAAAAAACCAGCTAATATCAAAATGACAGGATCAAATTCACACATAACAATATTATAAATGTAAATGGACTAAATGCTCCAATTAAAAGACACAGACTGGCAAATTGGATAAAGAGTCAAGATCCATCAGTGTGCTGTATTCTGGAAACCATCTCACGTGCAGAGACACACATAGGCTCAAAATAAAAGGATGGAGGAAGATCTACCAAGCAAATGGAAAACAAAAAAAGGCAGGGGTTGCAATCCTAGTCTCTGATAAAACAAACTTTAAACCAACAAAGATCAAAAGAGACAAAGAAGGCCATTACATAATGGTAAAGGGATCAATTCAACAAGAAGAACTAACTATCCTAAATATATATGCACCCAATACAGGAGCACCCAGTTACATAAACCAAGCCCTGAGTGACCTACAAAGAGACTTAGACTCCCACACAATAATAATGGGAGACTTTAACACCCCACTGTCAACATTAGACAGATCAACGAGACAGAAAGTTAACAAGGATACCCAGGAAATGAACTCAGCTCTGCACTAAGTGGACCTAATAGACATCTACAGAACTTTCCACCCCAAATCAACAGAATATACATTTTTTTCAGCACCACACCACACCTATTCCAAAATTGACCACATAGTTGGAAGTAAAGCACTCCTCAGCAAATGTAAAAGAACAGAAATTATAACAAACTGTCTCTCAGACCACAGTGCAATCAAACTAGAACTCAGGATTATGAAACTCACTCAAAACCACTCAACTACATGGAAACTGAACAACCTGCTCCTGAATGACTACTGGGTACATAACGAAAAGAAGGCAGAAATAAACATGTTCTTTGAAACCAACGAGAACAAAGACACAACATACCAGAATCTCTGGGACGCATTCAAAGCAGTGTGTAGAGGGAAATTTATAGCACTAAATGCCCACAAGAGAAAGCAGGAAAGATCCAAAATTGACATCCTAACATCACAATTAAAAGAACTAGAAAAGCAAGAGCAAACACATTCAAAAGCTAGCAGAAGGCAAGAAATAACTAAAATCAGAGCAGAACTGAAGGAAATAGAGACACAAAAAACCCTTCAAAAAATTAATGAATCCAGGAGCTGGTTTTTTGAAAGGATCAACAAAATTGATAGACCGTTAGCAAGACTAATAAAGAAGAAAAGAGAGAAGAATCAAATAGACGCAATAAAAAATTATGAAGGGGATATCACCACCGATCCCGCAGAAATACAAACTACCATCAGAGAATACTACAAACACCTCTACACAAATAAACTAGAAAATCTAGAAGAAATGGATAAATTCCTCGACACATACACCCTCCCAAGACTAAACCAGGAAGAAGTTGAATCTCTGAATAGACCAATAACAGGCTCTGAAATTCTGGCAATAATCAATAGCTTACCAACCAAAAAGAGTCCAGGACCAGATGGATTCACAGCCGAATTCTACCAGAGGTACAAGGAGGAATTCGTACCATTCCTTCTGAAACTATTCCAATCAATAGAAAAAGAGGGAATCCTCACTAACTCATTTTATGAGGCCAGCATCATCCTGACACCAAAGCCAGGCAGAGACACAACCAAAAAAGAGAATTTTAGACCAATATCCTTGATGAACATTGATGCAAAAAACCTCAATAAAATACTGGCAAACCGAATCCAGCAGCACATCAAAAAGCTTATCCACCATGATCAAGTGGGCTTCATCCCCGGGATGCAAGGCTGGTTCAATATATGCAAATCAATAAATGTAATCCAGCATATAAACAGAACCAAAGACAAAAACCACATGATTATCTCAATAGATGCAGAAAAGGCCTTTGACAAAATTCAACAACCCTTCATGCTAAAAACTCTCAATAAATTAGGTATTGATGGGACGTATCTCAAAACAAGAAGAGCTATCTATGACAAACCCACAGCCAATATCATACTGAATGGGAAAAACTGGAAGCATTCCCTTCGAAAACTGGCACAAGACAGGGATGCCCTCTCTCACCACTCCTATTCAACATAGTGTTGGAAGTTCTGGCCAGGGCAATTAGGCAGGAGAACGAAATAAAGTGTATTCAATTAGGAAAAGAGGAAGTCAAATTGTCCCTGTTTGCAGACAACATGATTGTATATCTAGAAAACCCCATTGTCTCAGCCCAAAATCTCCTTAAGATGATAAGCAACTTCAGCAAAGTCTCAGGATACAAAATCAATGTACAAAAATCACAAGCATTCTTATACACCAATAACAGACAGAGAGCCAAATCATGACTGAACTCCCATTCACAATTGCTTCAAAGAGAATAAAATACTTAGGAATCCAGCTTACAAGGGACGTGAAGGACCTCTTCAAGGAGAACTACAAACCACTGCTCAATGAAATAAAAGAGGATACAAACAAATGGAAGAACATTCCATGCTCATGGGTAGGAAGAATCAATATCATGAAAATGGCCATACTGCCCAAGGTAATTTATAGATTCAATGCCATCCCCATCAAGCTACCAATGACTTTCTTCACAGAATTGGAAAAAACTACTTTAAAGTTCATATGGAACTAAAAAAGAGCCTGCATCACCAAGTCAATCCTAAGCCAAAAGAACAAAGCTGGAGGCATCACACTACCTGACTTCAAACTATACTACAAGGCTACAGTAACCAAAACAGCATGGTACTGGTACCAAAAGAGAGATATAGATCAATGGAACAGAACAGAGCCCTCAGAAATAACACCGCATATCTACAACTATCTGATCTTTGACAAACCTGACAAAAATAAGAAATGGGGAAAGGATTCCCTATTTAATAAATGGTGCTGGGAAAACTGGCTAGCCATATGTAGAAAGCTGAAACTGGATCCCTTCCTTACACCTTATACAAAAATTAATTCAAGATGGATTAAAGACTTAAACGTTAGACCTAAAACCATAAAAACCCTAGAAGAAAACCTAGGCATTACCATTCAGGACATAGGCATGGGCAAGGACTTCATGTCTAAAACACCAAAAGCAATGGCAACAAAAGCCAAAATTGACAAATGGGATCTAATTAAACTCAAGAGCTTCTGCACAGCAAAAGAAACTACCATCAGAGTGAACAGGCAACCTACAAAACAGGAGAAAAATTTCACAAACTACTAATCTGACGAAGGGCTAATATCCAGAATCTACAATGAACTCAAACAAATTTACAAGAAAAAAACAAACAACCCCATCAAAAAGTGGGCGAAGGACATGAACACACACTTCTCCAAAGAAGACATTTATGCAGCCAAAAAACACAACAAAAAGTGCTCATCATCACTGGCCATCAGAGAAATGCAAATCAAAACCACAGTGAGATACCATCTCACACCAGTTAGAATGGCGATCATTAAAAAGTCAGGAAACAACAGGTGCTGGAGAGGATGTGGAGAAATAGGAACACTTTTACACTGTTGGTGGGATTGTAAACTAGTTCAACCCTTGTGGAAGTCAGTGTGGCGATTCCTCAGGGATCTAGAACTAGAAATACCATTTGACCCAGCCATCCCATTACTGAGTATATACCCAAAGGATTATAAATCATGCTGCTATAAAGACACATGCACACGTAAGTTTATTGTGGCACTATTCTCAATAGCAAAGACTTGGAACCACCCCAAATGTCCAACAATGATAGACTGGATTAAGAAAATGTGGCACATATACACCATGGAATACTATGCAGCCATAAAAAATGATGAGTTCATGTCCTTTGTAGGGACATGGATGAAATTGCAAATCATCATTCTCAGTAAACTATAGCAAGAACAAAAAACCAAACATGGTATATTCTCACTCATAGGTGGGAACTGAACAATGAGAACACATGGACACAGGAAGGGGAACATCACACTCTGGGGACTGTTGTGGCGTGGGGGGAGGAGGGAGGGATAGCATTAGGAGATATACCTAATGCTAAATGACGAGTTAATGGGTGCAGCACACCAGCATGGCACATGTATACATATGTAACTAACCTGCACATTGTGCACATGTACCCTAAAACTTAAAGTATAATAATAATAAAATAAAACAAATTTTAAAAAAAGAACATAATGGATGGAGTTGGAGGCCATTATTCTAAGTGAAATAACTCAGGAATGGAAAAACAAATACTGTGTGTTCTCACTCACTTATAGGTAGGAGCTAAGGTATGGGTACACAAAGGCATGTAGAAGGGCACAATGGACATTGGAGACTCAGAAGGGGGGAGGGCATGAGAGGGATGAGGGATAAAAAACTATATATTGGGTACTATGCACACTACTACTCAGGTAAAGGATGCACTCAAATCTCACACTTCAACACTATGCAATTCACCCATATAACCAAAAACCCCTTGTACCCCAAAAGCTATTGAAATAAAAAAGTAAAAGAAAGTACTGCACTATTAATATTGCAATACACCCGTGGTCAAAATTTTAAAGTGTTTTTTAATGTCCAAGAAGAAAATTTGTCATTGAAAATGAATTGGAAGAATAATGAATGTGACCAAGTGGCAAGCTTTTCAATTTTTGTTACCTTTCCCAACATTCTTTCAAATGAGGCCAATGAGGAGAACAGTCATAGTAACTAAAATTCAATAGAATCATTCACTGGAGGGAGAAGAGTGCTACTTAGGCAATGCTATGAAACAAAATACAAAATATAAGGGAGAAAAAAATTCTTGTAGGAATAAGGAAGTTAAAAATAACCTGACTTTCAACTAAAGCATAAAGTGGAGCTAAAATTTCTGGGGGAAAAAAAAGTCTCCTTTTCTAAATGTAATAGTATAATTGAACACTCATTTGGTTCTCCAGACCATAAACCATTGCCTGGTTAAGGTAGGCATTTGAGAAGCTGCGTGAACTCTTTTGGGCCATGAGGGTCCCATTTAGTAAATTACTACTTCAGTGCACTGAATAATACCCTTGAGGCATGGTAGTGGATTCCAAAAGAGCTTAATTTACGCACTGGGAGAATCTGTTGCTCATTAGGAAATGAGAACTATGCCTGCTCACATATCTGCGTAGAGCAAAAAGTACCATACTCATCTAAAAGGAGAGTATGAAATGTGCCCTGGAGATTCAAGTGTCAAATTATCATTCAATAGTAGAGCCACGTGACCTGGTCTATATGGTGTGACTTGAGATTTTTCCCCTTTACAATTTGAGTTGCTTCTTTATCTTATACGTGTTTTCTATGTCACTGTCATTGCAGTTTTGCAAGAATTCTAGGTTTGTCCTTCCCAGAAGGTTTTAAAGTGGCATATGAATTTTCCGAGATGCTAACATGATCATCCACCATGCCTATATCCATCTGTACAAGTCAGTTAATAAAATCCAGTTGTTTAGAGGTGAATTTTCTCAACCCATTTGTGTGTCCTATGAGCTAATACTAGGTATTACTGAGATTTTTACTTTTCAACTTGCTAATTTATCACAGCCTAGAGAAAATCTCAGGGTTTCTTTTGTTCTGAGAATTCTGTTTAGGCACTTAGGAGATTTTAATCGTGTATATGAATGGCATTCTGCATCTTTTTATCTAAAACTGAGCACTTTTTATCTAAAGCTGAGCACAATAGTAAATTTTAAGAGTAAAATCTTGCCTGTACCCATGTGAGATCAGTAATGTTTTATACATCTGTCTCAAAATGTAGATTACTAATTATGATTCATACCTACATAGAAATCTTAAATTATAGCTATTTATATCACACAATTGTGTCTTCTGCCTTAAAGTCATGAATTTGCCTGTTTTTAGATGATGTGAAACAGAACCACTTTGTATGTGGCACATATGTTGAATCTCTCCAATGTACCTTTTAACTGAGAAAATATGACATTTTAATGGCCCAAGAAAAGGCCTTAGTCAATAAGAATGAATTTCCATGCATTTCAGAAATCTGATTCAATACTCTAAAGGAAATATTTGGCCACAAAAGTTGTAAAAATCATTTCTGAATTGGCAATACCTCTTTATATCAATATTCTAATTAAAAAGTCAGCATTATAATTACTATCTTTAAAAGCATGACACCAGGACTTGGAAAGGAATAAAAGCATTTGGAGATTTCCAAACTAGTGGATGAGATTGATGTCAACAGAAGTGAGATATATATATAAATAGATAGATAGATAGATAGATAGATAGATAGATAGATAGATAGATAGATGTTAGAGAAAATAATTTCTATCTATTGAGCATCTTATATGGTAGGCATTATGTGGGATATTTTACACGCATTTTTTATTCATTTCAGACCAGCCAATCTCCCTCTCAGGATTAAATGAGGCACCCTATTTGACAGATGAGTTTCATAAACAGTAACAACCCCACCTAATCATAATATGGGCAGGGCCAAGGGAGGAAATACAGGAGTCTTGGAGGTGAGAGATACAGCTTGTTTCCGCAGAGAGCAACGTGTTCAAAGGCCTAGAGTAGAGGGTGAGTATTTTGAGAATTGGGACCTAAAAGAAGCCTAATATTGATGGGACAGAAAGCTAAGAGACACAGACAGCATCTTTCTTTGCCAGAGTGCTAGGCAGATCTTAAAAAGCTTTAAGGTTATCTCAAGCTCTTAAGTTGTGAGGCCATTAACCTAAAGGCAAATGGAAGTCACTGAGGTTTTTAAGCATGAGAGAAAGATGATCATATGTGACATCAAAGATCATTCTGGCTTTGGAGACAGAATGAACGGGAGAGGAATAAGAAATAAAGGCAGGGAGGTGATTTTAGGAGGTGATTTTTAGCAGGCCAGTAAAAAGATAATGATGGTCTAAATTAGGATGGTGGCAGTGGCAATGAAGAGACATAAATACGTTTGAGAGATATTTAGAAGTCATCATGTATGAGATTTTTGTTATAAATCGGATATAAAAAATTAGGGAAAGAGAAGTGTGATGAATAACTGCCAAGGCTTTAACTGGGGAAACTAAATGTTCCTAATGACACAGGGAAATGTGCCATGGGGGCAAATTCATAGGAAGAGGGAGGAGAAGGGAAATGATGATGAGTTCAGTCATAAGCAAGCTGATGTTGAGGCTCCTGACAAAAAGTATGCAAATAAGATATCAAGAGAGACTGGAATATATGGGTATGAAGCTCAGCCAAGATACACATGAGGGTAAATCAGCATATAAATAGTTATTGAGGCAGTGAAAGTAAACGAGATTGCCTGAAATCCTACGTAGTTTATAGAACATCATAGAGCCTAGGAGACAGCCCAAAAGAACACTAAATTTGGGGTGTGAAGGGAAGGAGAGATGTATGAAGAGAGCTAAAAGATAATATGAGTTTAAAGTAAGAAGATTTTGGCTTGGCAGTAGTATTTTATACAGGTGGAAAAGCTTGGGCATCTTTAGTGAATGCGAAAATGTGATAGACAATCAAGGACAAAGAACACAGTAGAAAGGGGATTATCTACAGGGTAATGTGATTGTTAGCTTTCTTTTTTTGTCTTTTTTTTTATTATACTTTAAGTTCTGGGATACATGTGCAGAACGTGCAGGTTTGTTGCATGGGTATACATGTGCCATGGTGGTTTGCTGCACACATCAACCTGTCATCTACATTAGGTATTTCTCCTATGTTATCCCTCCCCTAGACACCCGCACCACAACAGGCCCTGGTGTGTGATGTTCCCCTCCCTGTGCCCATGTGTTCTCATTGTTCAACTCCCACCTAGGAGTGAGAACATGTGGTGTTTGGTTTTCCGTTCTTGTGTTAGTTTGCTGAAAATGATGCTTTCCAGGTTCATCCATGTCCCTGCAAAGGACATGAACTCATCCTTTTTTATGGCTGTGTAGTATTCCATGGTATATATGTGCCACATTTTCTTTATCCAGTCTATCATTGATGGCGATTTGGGTTGGAACCAAGTCTTTGCTGTGTGAACAGTGCTGCAATAAACATACATGTGCATGTGTCTTTATAGTAGAGTGATTTATAATCCTTTGGGTATATACCCAGTAATGGAATTGCTGGGTCAAATGGTATTTCTGGTTCTAGATCCTTGAGGAATCACCACACTGTCTTCCACAACGATTGAACTAATTTACACTCCCACCAACAATGTAAAAGCGTTCCTATTTACCCACATCCTCTCCAGCATCTGTTGTTTCCTGACTTTTTAATGATTGCCATTCTAACTGGCATGAGATAGTATCTCACTGTTGTTTTGATTTGCATTTCTCTAATGACCATGTTTGTTGTATGTTTGTCATATGTATGTTTGTTGGCTGCATAAATGTCTTCCTTTGAGAAGTGTCTGTTCATATCCTTCGCCCACTTTTTGATGGAGTTGTTTGTTTTTTTCTTGTAAATTTATTTAAGTTCCTGGTAGATTCTGGATATTAGCCCTTTGTCAGATGGATAGATTGCAAAAATTTTCTCCCATTCTGTAGGTTGCCTGTTCATTCTGGTGATAGTTTCTTTTGCTGTGCAGAAGCTCTTTAGTTTAATTAGATCCCATTTGTCAATTCTGGCTTTTGTTGCCATTGCTTTTAGTGTTTTAGTCATGAAGTCTTTGCCCATGCCTATGAATGTGGCGGTTAGTTTTAAGTGTCAACTTGACTGGGCCACAAGTGCCCAGATATTTGGTCAAACTTTAATCTGAGCATTTCCATGAAGGTGTTACTGGATGAGATTAATATCTAACCTGGTAAAAGCAGATTGCCCTCCCTAATGTGGGTAGGCTCCATCCAATCAGTATTTTGTTCTGAACGGAATAAAAGAGGCTGACCCTCCTCTAAGTGAGAGAGAATTCCTCCAGCCTGCCTGCCTGCCTTCAAACTGTGATATCAGTTTTTTTCCTGCCATTAGACTCAAACTGAAACATTGGCTCTTTCCAGGTCTCAAGCCTGGCAGCCTTCTGACTAGAATTACACTATTGTCTCTCCTGAGTCTCCAGCTTGCTGACTCACCCTGCAGATCTTGGGACATGGCAGCCTCCATAATGCCATAAGCCAATTCCTTGTAATAAATCTCTTTCTATATATGTATATCCTATTGCTTCTGTTTTTCTGGAAAACCCTAATACAGGCATTGATTCACAAAGTGTGGTCATTGAACAAGCAGTGTCAGCATCACCTGAGAACTTGTTAGAAATGCAGACTCTCTGGCCTCACCCAGGCCAACCAAATCAGAAACTCTGGGGGTGGGCCCCAGGGTTTTAAAAAACTACCTGAAAGTGATTCTGATGCAAACTTATGCTTTAGCACCACTGCTCTAGAGCAAGGTGCCTGCAGGCAGGAGGGTTTAAGAGAGAACAGGTGGAGGGCTTGCCTTATACAGGAGGAGATACATTTTGCACTACAAAAGAAGCAAAGAAGAGAAGAAATGGGTTGCTAGATAAGGGTGAGTTTAAGATTTAGGGGTGGAAATTTGAGGCAGCTACTACCCTGGCTTCTATTTTGTCTGCAGGGCAGAAGACAATGTGATATTCTAAGAGAAAGTAGGGAGGTGGTGGGTGGAAAGAGTTGAGAAAAGTTGGTGAAAATGTGAAATAATCATTGCAGAAAGTAGGAAAATTTGAGGGCCCACTGAGGTCAGGGAGTAACCATACCACACCAGCCAGCTGCAAGATTTTCCCAGATGTGGTCAGCCTCTCCAGTGGCTGGGATTACAAACACATGCCCCCATGCCCAGTTAATTTTTAGTATTTTTAGTAGAGATGGTGTTTCTCCATGTTGGCCAGGCTGGTCTGGAACTCCTGGCCACAAGTGATCCACCCACCTCAGCCTCCCAAAGTGCTGGGATCATAGCCACCACCATTAAAGCCCTTTGATAAGCAGAATGACAAGATCATTGCAACCTGCATTTTTTCATCCTAATATTTGTAAAGATGATAAAGGCTGAACTATTTGGCTAACAGACTAGATGTATTCCTAGAAGCTGCTCTCTAAAACTAAATTTAATACATAAGCTAATACTTTACCTTTAAAAATTACTATCCCTGATATGAAAAACATTAAAGTCTTCATAAACAAATAGACAAAAAGGGAATAGGAATAAACAATTCACAAAACAGAAATGTAAGTGACTGATAGACAACAATGTTCAATAAAAAACACAAGACTTTTCAGCACTTAATGATGCTCTTCATCTTTGGCAATGATGTGATGAGATTAATCTCATTAGTATTGGTTAACATACATTGGCATAATCCTCACAGAAAGCAATTTGACAATAGATATTTCAAAAACAATTTTGAAAATAGGTAATCTTTTTGACTAGTATTTCTACTTCTAAATATTTATGCACAACAAATTTTATTATAACATTTTTAAATGAATATAATATCCAATAATAAGGGAGTGCTAAGTTAACACTTACGATGAAATATTTATTCAGCCTTTATAAATGGTATTTATAGAAAGTAAGTAAAGATGTAAAAAAATCAATAATATAAAGCAGATAAAAACATTTCACGATGTAGAAATACATAAACAGTATAATCTTAACTGTGCAAAGTATATATATTTGTGTATATATATATTCAAAAATATTGGCAGTAAATGGGCTAAAATTTTAATGGCTATTATCTCTAAATTTAGGGTTTAAAGTTGATTTTTATGATGAGAACAGATGGACACATAGAGGGGAACAACGCACACTGGGGCCTACCTGAGGACAGAGGTTTGGAGGAGGGAGAGGATCAGGAAAAATAACTAACGGATACTAGGCTTCGTACCTGGGTGATGAAATAATCTGTACAGCTAACCCCCATGACACACATTTACCTACGTAACAAGCCTGCACATCCTGCATATGTACCCTTGAACTTAAAAGTTAAAAAAGACAAAGATGATTTTTATTTCCTTCTTTATGTTTTCTATATTTTACAAATTGCTGATGACAAGAATTCAATCTACTGATAGTTAGAAAATAAATCTTTACAATAAGTTAATAGTTCTGTGACAAAAATGAATCAGCCCTAAAATAAATACAGCTTCCTTTATTGTTGCCAACAAAGAATTTTATTTTTACAAATCCATTTAAGTCTACCTTTCTCTGAAAAATGTTATAACCCATCTCTGGTTATTTCACTGTTTCAATTGGGGGTAGGAGAGAGGCAGGTATTTCCCCCTCTCTCTCGGTGCCTCAAGAGTGCCATATGTATATAGTTGAACATTAACAAGTGATTGTGGATGATGACTCCATTTCCCCCCGAATTCCCTGTGCCTGGTATAACCATGTCCTCACAGCATGTGCTTTCTAAGCAACGTTCCCTCTTCTCATTTTCCCAAATCTGGGATCATTCTTTCTCATAACAAAAAAAAAGTTAGAATTATAACTGTGCCCAGGAAGGACACATATCTGAGTCTCAAACATCAGTAGGTTTTTGTCACTAGGGATGAAGTGTGTCTAGGCTAAAAGAATGGTGGCATTTCAGAGGGCCATTCTCACCACTAGGAAAATAAGAGAGGAGGTTCTCGTTTCACATACAGAAAGGGCCTTAAAATTGTGTAAACTTGCATTATTAGATAACATGAATCAAATATCCTTCCTTGTTTTATAATTCTCATTTTGATCAAACCCCTCTTTGGGATGTTAGTTTTCAACATCCAAAATTGGAGAGTTAAAAATACAATAAAAAAATCCAGCCTTCTTAGCCCATGATTAAATGCCTTAAATCAGGCTTGGTGGGTGGAAAAGAACAATATTTGAAATTGCCCTGATGGAGGGTACCTAGTGATTCTTCCTACTTCAGCTTGTAAGCAAGATTTTAAATTATCTTTCTAGGAATAAATTTGCAGAGATATAAACTTATTTAAAAAAGAAATTGTCATTAAATACTATTATTTATGGAATTGTCTGTATCCACTAATTTTATTTCAGAAAAGCAATCAACTTTATGATATATATTCTGTGTCTGCCATCCTACAGAAGTTTATAAATGCTCCCAATTTATACTAGCATTATCTTTAACAGAAAAGATAACATTATGGTTTGGTCTTTAATAATTCATAAAGGTCTCATGATATGTTTCAGGACGCTTATACCTTCTTTCTCAGCATTTGCTTTGAAAGCATTATTTAAATATTTCCCTTTAAATGTTTTTACCTTTCTCTTTCTATTTATTTAAAGTTCACCCAGCAAAGCCTGCCAGCAATTATCCCCCAGCTGTGGTATTTCACTTGCTTAAACAGAAATCATATGAGCAAATAATAGTTATTTTCATTCTACACAGCTAATCATGTAGCAGTCACTGAATTCCTTTGCAATTTCTGGCTACAGACATTAGATGAAACCATCCATTAATATGATTTTCGTATGTCACCCTACTGTCTTTCATTTACAACATGAGATGTGACTGTTTAAAAAATTAGACTGATCTGTATGTGTGTTTTCTAGAATCCGTGGTTTTATGATATCAGCATATCATATGGCTAATTCTACCTCTAACAATATCCTGTAAAAGCAACAAGCAATTCCCTCCTCCAAAGATTTTACTGGGAAGCTTTAGGCCAAATGAAATCAGTTAAAACAATCATATACTCCCAAATCAAGCATCACTGGAGAGATGAGATTTAAAGGTAACAACTGTTCATTTTCAATAAAAAAATTTTAGTAACTTGGAGGAAAGACACAAAAAGAAAAGGAGTAAGACGAAATTACACTGGAATGGATTAGTGAAAAAAATAATAAAACAGTTTTACATCAGCCATTAATTTGTGAATATCCTAAAATTATTTGAAAATTTTAAATTTCTTTCATATGACAAATATGGTCAAATGAAATTTGTCTTTTTCATCTGACAAATATACTCAAAATGAAATGGGTGTCTGCCCTTAGAGTTCTTCAGAACCCCACATTGTGGGATATTCTATACTTTATCATGAGGTTAACTCTAATATATTCTGTCTTTTATGCCTATTTTTCTCTCCATGTCTCATATATGTATTTCCCCAAAACAAAAGAGAAAGCATCACTTTCTCGGTATACTGACGCTATGGGAAGATCAGTGGATATCGAGGAAGTAGTCTTAAGTGGGCATGGGGCCAGCCAGCCAAGTTGGCATCAAGTTCTGCACTGTCATTCTCTATCAGAAGACTCACACTAGGTGAAGAATCCAACAATGTCAGAGTTAACGTTCAAAGATACAAACAGAGAAAGTGGGCTAAGACATGGCAAAAGTCAAATATGTAAATATATATTAACATTCTGCATTCAAATCAGCCATGAGAGAACATGTAGATGATAAATGCCCAGGTAAAGAAACCAGGAGATGTATCCCAGCAGGTAGCATGCTAAATATTCATTCAAAAACTCTGTGAGCATCCATTATGTGGCAAGCAGTATTCTGTAGAATATACAGCATTAAATAAAATGAATAAAAAAGTGGATCACCTGAGGTCAGGAGTTCAAGACCAGCCTGGCCAACATGGTGAAACCCCGTCTCTACTAAAATACAAAAATTAGCCAGGCATGATGGCGGGTGCCTCTAATCCCAGCTACACAGGAGGCTGAGACAGGAGAATCGCTTGAACCTGGGTGCTTGAATCCGGGTGACGGTGGTTGCAGTGAGCCGAGATGGCACCACTGCACTCCAGCCTGGGTGGCTGAGTGAGACTCCATCTCAAAAAAAAAAGAAAAAAGAAAGAAAAAATCCCTGACTTTACTGAGCATACATTCAGTGTTGAAAATAAATAATAAGATAAATACAGAGTGATTAGAAGTTAGGAGAAAATGAACAGGAAAGAAGGAATGTGGTAGATAGTCCCTAAAGATGGCCACCAATATTCCATCTCTCCGCTTAAGAGATAGGGTCTATTTTCTCTCTCCTTGAATCCAGGCTGGCCTTCTGACCTGCTCTGACTAATAGAACAGGTGGAGGTATCAGCTCCAGGCCTGGCCCTTACGAGACCTGGCCGCTTCTTTATTACTGTCTGAGAACCTAGCTGCCGCATTGTAAGAAAGTCCAGACTATCCTTCTGGAGATACAAGTTCACATGGACAGGCCCTGGATCACAAGACCAAGGTGGGGAGGATGACAATAGGAAGAAGAACGAAGGTGCACCACTGAGCTCCCACCTGCATGCAAATACAGCAGAGACCCCACTGGCACCACACCACATAAAAAGAATAGAAACCCAGTAAACCCAGAAAATTGAGAGAAATAATAAGGCACTGTTGTTTCAAGCCATTCAATTTTGGGGTGCTTTTTAAAATATAGTAATAGATAACTAAAACATTGGGAGGAAACAGATTAAATTGGTAATCATAAAAGTGATCAACTTAAGATAAAATTGGTAATTATAAAAATGATGAACTTATAGCATAACAATGAGATTTTCTATGTCTTTTCTGAGGGTACAGCAAAAAAGAAAATATTTAAATTGCATAAGGAGAGAAATAGCTAAGCAGAATAAATCCTATTGGCCACTGGAAAGGAATATGCTGCATTTCTACAGTAGAAGTTGAGAGGCAAAGAACGATCTTGCTGACCCAGTTTATAGGTCTTTAAACCTGAAGAATGACAACTAAGGAGCAGCACCTGGGGAATGGCACCCACTTGCTTCAGCCAAATCTGGCCCTGATCTAACCTGGAAGATCCTGGAACTCAAGTGTAAACCACAGGACTTAATGGGATGTGACTTTGAAGGTTGTGAGTGTAATTTGCAGGTGGGAGAGAAGTGAATCACTTGGGGCTAAAGGGCAGACGGGAGTAGACTATTGGGTTGGTAGTCTCCAATTAACCACACCTCCCGGTGTTCATATACTTGTGTAATCTCCTGCCACATTGGCTCTGGCCATGGCTATGTGACTGGAGTTAAACAACAGGACATTAGCAAGTGTGATACAAGCAGAGGCTGGGTAAGCCCTTCCCCTGGGGGCCTGTCTTCTTCTTGGAAGGCTGTCACTTGGAAGTCAGCCTGTATGACTTAAGCAAGGCCTGGCTATTCTACTGGAAGGAGAGCCACGTAGAGAGGCCCTGGAGGATGAGCCACCACGGAGAGAGACCATGTGGAGGAAAATCAAGATGTATCAGTGGAGCTCTCCGCTGAATGTAGACTCCCCCAGATAGGGAAGGAACACCCACTCACCTGCAAAATTGTCGCAAATAACAAATCATTCCTGTTTAAGCCACTAAATTTTGGGGTGGTTTATTACACAACAATAAATAGATACCTGACATAAGGAATGAGGCGTAGGAAGACTTCATTGAGAAGACTTCAGGAGGTTGAGAAAGAAGCCATGTAGGTATCTGGAGAACGCATTCCAGGCAGAGGGAATAGCAAATGACAAGGCCCTCAGGTGGCATTAGCCCTGGCTTATGTGAGGAACTGCAAGGAAGCCAGTGTAGCTGGAACAGTGTGAGGGACGTGGAGAACATTAGGAGATGAAGTCAGTGCAGTCACAGGGACACGATCAGCCTCGGCTTTGTAGGTCATTGTAAAGATTGTAACTTTTATCCAAAGACTGATAGAAAATCCATGGAGATTTTTAAGCACTCATCAATTCACTTAACAAATATCTATTTAGCATGAGTGTGTGCCAGTTTTACAGTGCTGGGCGTTCAACAATGAATGGGACTCCGAGTGTGTTTTGGAGGAGGGAAGTGAAGGTGGTGAGAAGGGAGAGTGGGATCACAAAAGAACCTGGCCAAGGAAGGACAGCAGGAAGACCGCTTTCAGTTGGCTCAGGCCAACCTGAAGGACAGAGATCCCTTCGGCCACGACCCCCCTTTGCTTTCCTCGAAATCTTTCTTCAGGATCAAGTGCTACAACTTTACATTAGGGTACATTATACCCACATTTAAAAAGCTCACTTCTCTTTTAATACAATTTAGTTTCCTAAAAGCTTTTTCCAAACAAATCGTGGCATTTCATCAGCCATGCACACATATTCTCTAAAGATCTTGCAAGGCTCCAGCATTGTGTGCTCTAAATGTGTGTCAATACATTTACAGAAAAAGGCTCTGTTAAATTTAAAACAAATCTCTTCAAAAAGACACTATGTACTTCCCAAAAGGTACTTTATGAATATAGTACTTTACACACTGCTGTGAGGTTTTAGAGCAATTGACTTACCACCCGCATCATATTCTTACAACCAAACTAAATGACAAAGTAACAAGCAAAGAAGGCACCGAGCTAACATTATTATAGTTTTAAATAAAAGTTCATGAAGCAATTTTCCTTAAGTGTGGTCTGGTGCCACACACATCAAAGTATATTTGGCAACATGAATGATGACAGAGTAACAAGAGGATTTTGTCAGGCCTTGTCGAGAATATTTCCTGAAGGAAAGCATGGAGAACTGATGGGGGATGGGATCAAATGTATTCCTGCATTGGTCAACCCATCCACTTATACTGAATCCGGATGGTCTCCTAGTTCAGGAATGACTGTATTTAAAATAACAGTTTCACAGAACTTCTTGTCAAACATACTACCTTTTTGGGAAAAAAACACAAGTGCCCCCTTCAATGGAATAAAATCCCTCTACTTATGCTATTCTTCCATGGGCTTGTAAAGACAGAAAATCCTAAAATACTTTGCTGCTTTAGAACAGACCTTGGTCCAGCTAACTCAGTTCTCCCAGCAATACAGTAAAATGCTCCTCTTCACCTAATGTTATTTCTTATGTTCTGGTTAATGGCAGGATCTGAATTTCCAGCTCCCTGATATTTGATGAATTGATTGAGCATTTGTTTCCTGCCAGCAGCTGTTTTTCTGATATAAGGGCAATATAAAACAGATAAGAAAGACCTAAAAATAGTATTGTGTCTACTAACACTTTCCCCTGTACATTTTAAATCATTCTCATCTAAGCTGTTTTATTTTCCACTTTCAATCTTTCACTTTCACAGACCGATAGCCTAACTTCTCTTGAAATACAATTCTGGTTTTAGGACACATGACGAAATATATGGCGTTCTCTGCCACTACAGCTTCTGCACCCTCTCTCTGGTCTTGCACTTTAGCTTCTCTTCCCCAGTCTGAAACAATAATTTCCAAAGATGCCAGTAAGTGACTTTCTTACTAAGCCACCTTCAAGGGGCTAGACCAATGTTTCTCTAAATGAGTCTCTTGGTTCACCAGAATTGGAATCACTTGGTGTCAAAATTCAGGTCCCAAGACCCCACCCCAAACTTATTAACTTGGAATTTCTGGATATGTGCCCTGGAATTTTTGACAAACATCTCAATTGATTTGAATATACTAGATATTTAAGGAGCATGGTTCCAGACAATGGTCCTTAAGCCATGTTAGAATCTGGTAAATACAGCAATGCAAACCCTCAGCCCAGGAAAATGTGCAGGAGAACTTCATTTTGTACATCTCTCAGGGAGTTCACAGAAGCCCTGAAGCCTGTCAATGGACCCTTGCCCCCAGGATGTCTAGACCCAGGATCAGAACTCCTTTTTAAAATAACCTTTTCTTTGAGGTTTCCAGGGAAATCAGTGTGGAAAAATTGTTTGAGTACCCACTGCGCTCTGTTCTGTTCTGTTGAGGAGAGTCATTGACAATTTATCTTTTATCTCAACCTCAAAATGAAGTATGTTTCTTCTTATTCAATTCACACAAGTATTGTGAAGCTGAAATTGCTTTAAGAGCTTTAGAAGAAAGGCATCATATAAATGCAAATAACAGGAGATTTGATAAAAAGAATAGTCATATCCAAGTGCACAACGGCTGCCCGATCCAAATGAACAGCTTGAGGTTTTACTGCTATTGTCATTCAATACACATCAGAGAATAAAGACTGAGAAGTGAGCCTTCTAGAATTCTTTCTGCTTGAATTGCTGGCATATTTTTCTCATGCTATCATGTAATATGCCATGTAGAGAACTGAAAGAAGACATCAGGGATCATGAGTCCTATAGGCTTTCTACTACCACCCCAAAAGGATACAGAGGCATTTCACTGATGGGAAAATGCTCCACAACTTCCTATTCAACCACAGCAAGGAAACTCAGGGAGCTCTGAAAAGAGTATTCAAATCACCATTTTCTCCCTGTGGCAAGATATATTTTTTAACACTTAGCACAAACATCCACCCACACATTATGAAGTCAGGCATTTAACATTTTAACTGCTCGGGTTGGCATGCCTACCATGCCCCCTGCTCCAAAAACTGTTGGTTTTTGTAATCAGGGCAACAGTGCTGGTGGTCAGCCTAAGGAGATATTGGGGAGCTAATTCAATATGAAAATAATAAATAGCAGGATTTTTTCTAGACAGTCCTACTCTGTGGATAGCATATCAGCAACCATTCACAGACTTCCTCTGAAATTTGCTCTGACACGGCTTACAGTTTAGCCAATAGCTGACCACAGCACTCCTGACTTGGTTGCTACAAATTGAAGGAGCAGTTGGATACAATGCATGCATAGCCATGAGTGAGTGGCCAATAGCTTTTTGCATGGCATCTTTCTAATTCTATGTAAGATATAAACAGCAAGGACAGGAAAGTAACCTCACCTTTAGAACATGAGCTCCAGAGTCCATATGTGAAATCCTTAACAACTACACAAGAAAGAAAAGGAGAAAGTGATAGTCTATCAGGCCTGAGGCATCTGAGACCTTATCTTTGATTGATATGCGTATTATTCTTTTTTTAATTAATATCCTTTTAGGTCACAGTATTAATTTTCCTCTTGTTTGAAGAAACAGGCAGATTGCTTATTTTACATTTCAGCAAACTCATATAGAGAAACAATCAATCCTCATGGACTTAAATAGAGCAAATTAATCAAATACAAAAGGCGAGAACTAATTCAGAAACTACCCAATGGGAAATGAGAAACAGGAGAGAAAGCCCATGCTTTTGAATAGACTTTGGATGCCATAAACTTAAACCAATATATTATCTCACTTTCCTCCCACAGCTTCCCTGCAGGAGGCAGGACAAAATCAAACAGAGCAGCCTGTAAGGCAAGATCAGGCCCCAGTTCTAAATGCCTCTATGCATAGTTAGTGGGCCTTAAGGAGAGAGAAATTTAATGCTTAAAAATGAAGATCATTCTGTATCTTTAGCTTCTTTCTGACACGTTAGGCAAAACTTCCAAATATCCTAGCACATATCAAAACCAAAAATCTCATAACGACAGCAGGACATGCTGTCAAAAGAAGAAAGCTAAAGATTCCTACTCGAACAACTTTTCTTTCACTTCAAATCACAAACTTTGAACCTACAGAGCTTTCATGATACATCATGCAGTTGGAAGGATTCAAGAGCTAAAGAGTTCTAATTTTTTAGTCATGTGAAATAGAGTTAATATAGATAAGACTGAACATATTATCAAAGATTTCCATTCTATTGGTTACATCAATGGAATTTTTTTATCATAATACCAATGAAAATAATACATCTGCCTAAGACTTTCGGAGTGAATGTTAGAACCTTCTTTGAAATTGCTTATTATCTTGCCTTTTGAAACCTAATATATTCCTGTCACAGATTGGGTGTGCTATTTTATGATTGAGGACAGAAAAGTTCTACTCATGATGGAACTATTGTCTCACTCTCTTTCATGTTCAAAAATGTTTCCAATGTTGTTGTTCATGCATGCAAATGAGGCTAAAAAATGAGCGGCAGTTCTTTCTCAGCTTGATACATGTAAAGTCCATTTTTCATCAACAGCTCTTGGAAGAACCTGCCACTGATTGCAGCTCTGCTTTTCTCATCACAGTGTGATGGATGTTTTTGCTCAAAATAAGCCGCCCTTTGCTGATTGCTGCAGGCTGCTTGGTCTGTCAATTGTGAAAATACAGCATTCCCCAGCTAGGCCACGTTGCTTATTGTAATCAGAGTCAGATGCAAACATTCATTCCAATGATACCCTAGTTCTGATCTCTATTTGCTCTACTGCAGTGCTCATTTTGGTTGTGAGGTATCCTCAGAACAAAACTGCCATGGGTTAAAGATCAAATCACTCACCTTAATTGAGTTAAAATCTTCTCAGTCAGAGACTAAGCCTCTCATTTTTCCTGAAAGATGTGCGAAAGGGTGAGTTTCCTTTTAAAATGCAACTGGGCAGAAGCTACCATTTGTGATGAGGATACAGGAAAATTTGTGACTGAAAATTTGATTCCAGACAGCAACTCTGAATGTTATTAATACTTGTCTATCAAAGGGGTGACACTTAAAAGCATGCTTGTATGTGTCACACAATATTGGGAGTAAAGTGATTAAACAGAAAGGTCCTGAACTACTTCCTAGGTACTGCTGTTAGAAGGGGCATGGGGAGTTTAATGGTGTTATTCAAAAATAACTACATTATATCCATATTTATGTATAATGGAGATCCATTTTTAGTTTATTAAATGAAATTTGGCCTAAAGCTGTCTATGTAGTGAACTGCAACCTAACTTACTATGTAAACAAAATGCAACCTCACTTAAGAGTATATTCTGCAACAGATAGCTGAGTCTCAGCCGGTCACAGGCTGCCAACTGATCAGCCTTATATTTGTTCATATAAGACAAATACTGAGCTATAATCAAAGTATTTCTATATGTCATTTCCTTTTTCTGTCCATAAATATTGCCTGCCCATATTGGATGAAGATCTCTGAACTACTGGTTAGAACTGGGTAGCAGTGAGAACCAGGAGAGGTTCAGAGAGCTCCACCCAGCAATGGGGACAGGTAGTATTTATAAACAGAAAAAGGAAGTGATACAGAAACCACTTGATTGGTTGCAGCTGCCTTATTTAAGCATGCTGGTTGAGGTATTTGTCTTATATGGGCATGATCTGATCAGTTGGCAGCCCTGATTGGCTGAAGCTCAACTACTGGGATTAGTTGAGACTCAGCTATTTGTTGCAAGACTATAATAAAGTGAGGTTGCAGTTTGTGTACAAAATAAGTTAAGTTGCAGAATACTAGGTACAGAGGCTACTGTAGATCAAATTTAATTTAATGTAACATAGTCCCGGTGGCTGCTAGAGCTCCAGCTATTATATCTGCACTCCAGACAGCAAGATGAAAGAAACAAGAAAAATCTCATCACCTCCGTTTTTTCTTTAAGAGACTTCAGAGCAATCTCACACAACACTTCCATTTACGTCTCATAGGTAAGAATCTGGTCATATGGCTATACCTAGTTGCACTGGAAAGTTATTATTCAAGGCCACAACAAATGTGGCTAAAATTTGGGGTTCTCTTACTAAAGCAGAAGGGAAAATGGGTATTTGTTAGAAAACTAGTAATACCTACTACAGCACTAACTCCTCACCACCATCTCTGCACATTCAGAGCCATTAAATGAACTTGGACAAGTCACTTAAATCTCTCTATGCTTCAATTTCCTCAACTCATGAGGTAACACACCTGTTAATTAGCTTGATTAGCCATTCCACAATGTGTACATATATTCCAAAATATCATTTGTACACAATAAGCACATAGAATTTTATCAATTTAAATAAAATAAAAAATTTAAAAATTTCCTCAACTCTAAAATATCTACCTTGTGCGTTTGTTTGAAACTTAAATGAGCTGACATGTAGAGGGCCGAAGGCATGCAGGTTCTTGGTAAACAACAGCCTCCTTCCACATCTCAACAGAAACCAGAATGACTCCAATCCACCCAAACTCCTTGGAGCCTATAATTGGGACCATTGTTCCCTTCCTCAGGGCCACACTGGCTGAGCTCTCCTGGCCCCTGGCCCAATGCTGGCTTCCTCTCCTCTTCTTTTCTGTAGCACACTCTTATGCCCATTTTGATCCACAGAAGCCTCAGCCAGGCCTGATAACTGAGCCCACAGAAGTTGTGGCAACTGGGACACTGAATAAACAAGGAAGAATTGGAGGAATGAAAAAGAGCGTACACATAAAAAAGCATTCAGGAAAAATGGAAGAAACAAGTTTTCCACTAAGACCTCAGATGCCAAAAAGACTAAATAATTTTTTTTAGCAAGGTGGCAAACCATTAAGGTTTCTAGCAGTTTCTCCTACCTGCTTAGCAGAATATGCCTCTAGATTATCCAGCTCTGTTTTATGCTTCAAGTCATTTCTCTTGGAGGACCCATTGAGACAATGTGAATAACTTGGGATAACCCATCACCACTAAGGGCCAAACACTACAAAGTGTAAGTCTTCTTGATAGATCTATCCCTTGCATGAGGACGCCAGAGGGTTGCTGACCACTCACCTGCTACTGCAACCCACATTCTCTGGAAGCAGATGCTGAGATGGAGTTTTGAATGCAATATGTTTGTGAGTGGATAAACTCCTGTAAATGAAGGAGCTGAAGCAAAATTGGGCAGAAGGGGAAGTTAAATTGCAATTCTAGCCCCATAAAGCTGACAGAGCACTTTGGCACAAGTGTTGTCTAACAGAATATCCTACTTCAGGGTGAAATGGCCTGGTCTTTATAGCCCCTCATCTCACACCAATATCAGTTGTGAGCTGTCTGGAATGGCATGACCTCAGCTGAGACCGACCCTAAAGGAGCTGACAGCTTCAGGCTGTGCACTAACTGCACTCCCCACAGCTGGGCAGCAAGACCTGTTCTGAAGAGGGATCAAGCAGCACATGTCTACCCTACCTGCCATAGAAATTAATGTAAAACCATAAAAGGATTTCAGTGTTTTCCTGGCTCTGCTGTTCATGCATTGATTTCTTGTCACAAACGGAGTTGACACAAAAATCACTGTATTTCACTCCTCAACTCA
The DNA here is from genome assembly GCF_000001405.40 of Homo sapiens. Taxonomy (NCBI): domain Eukaryota; kingdom Metazoa; phylum Chordata; class Mammalia; order Primates; family Hominidae; genus Homo; species Homo sapiens. Next base: position 39,679,009 of record NC_000014.9, on the reverse strand, counting down.
CACATCACAGAATGGCTACTTAATTGATAGCAGACTTGAAATGCTATATAAACAACTCAATTAAGATCAGGAAGATTAGAAAATCAAGCTTACTCTATCAGCCCTCTTGGTATAAAGATCAATGTATATAAATAAGGATTTTGCAATTTAAAAAAATATTCAAATATACTTCATAATCAATAGCAAGAACCCCTAAAGATAAGGACTGTGGAAGAAAATGATGTTTTAGCAGATTTCCAATATTTTCTAAATCTTGCTTTACTAAGAAGCAAACTGTTTTAGTACTTATTTTCCAATTTTCAATTCTCCTGAAATGCAATGGATGCTTTCATTTTCTATTTAAATGTTCAGTGGTAAGCTGAATTTCCCCAATTCTCAGGGTAATCTCACAATCACCATGTGTGTCCTTCCATAGGGATTCCATCTAAGAAACGCTAGGCACCCTTCTATATTTCACAAAATTACCAAATTCCCAAAGAAGCAAAACACACAAAAAGGGTTTGCTGCATGGGAATCAAAATCATCCCTGACTTTACAAATAAAACCTAATGTGTTACGTTATTAAGCGCAACTCCACTACTGAACAAGATCACTTGTAATAAATGATTTTGAATTTGGTGGAGAGGTGTTTAAGAAACTAGAACAGAAATAGATCAGATCACCAAAACACTATAGGTTTCACAATGCCATAGTTCAGTTAACTGCCACTTCCATTTTAGCCTACCTATGGAGTTGCTCTTACAGTAACTATTAAAATATTTCTCAAAGCAGAAAATTTTACTAGGGAATATACTAGAAAATATGCAAGAAAGAGGAGAATAAGAACGGAATAAGGAATGAGTACAAGCGTATTCAACTGTATGGAGCTAAGCGTTTAATGAAGAAAGGATCAGAGCTGAGAAAGTGTTGTTGAAAGGACACCAAACAGAGTGGCATGACTCTACATCAAGGGTCATCAAACCACAGCCCATGAGCCAAATCCAACCCATCACCTGTTTTGGTAAATAAAGTTTTATTGGAGCACCCAGCTATGTTTACATATTGTTTATGACTTCTTTCATGCTACAACAGATAGCAGAATTGAGCAGTTGCAACAGAGACTGTATGGTCCACAAAGCTAAAAATGTTTGCTGATCTCCAAAATATTTGCTGAAACATTTGTTGATCTCTACTCTAGATAGTTACAGAAGCTGAGTCACAGAGGGCACCAGGCTAGTAGCTGTGATATAGATTTAAATGAAGAAGTAAGCTACTTTGGGAAAAGACAGAGCTAAGGCAGGGTTTCAGGACAACCAGTGATCTGTTCTAACTCCTATGTGCAAACCCGGCCATGCTGTTTGGATACTTAGGTGGCTGAATAGCATAGGCCAGAGGAGGGCCAAGGCTCAGCTGATGGTTGGAAGGCCACTCCTCTCTTCTGATGAGGTTACAAGATGGCTCATTTGCTACCTTATGGAAAGAGCTTTGAAGAAAAGCACAGTGCACCTGCCTGTTGTCATTGGATTTGAATACTGTTGACTATAATATAGATGTGACACATACTTCAAATAACGATCCTCCCTGGTAGTGCCTGGACATGTTTAAGGTTTCCCCTTACATTGTGATCGTGGTAGCTTTATCTAAGTTTCTCTCCTTGAATCTCCTCTATTCAAACTCTCACTCTCCTGGAGGCATTTGCATGAACATTCTTAGCTTCAAGTAACTTCTATAGACTGCTGACTCCCAACTCTGCATCTCCTGAACTTAAGATCCACATACCCACTGCCTTTGGAACAAGTCTACTCCTCAAATGCAATGCATACGAAAACTCAACTCCTCTTTGCCTCTAAATAAATGAACTCAGACTGCCTTAGTTAAAATCCTAACTCCACCCCTACTCAGCTATGTAACCTTGGGCCAGTCATTTAAACTCTCTAAGCCTTGGTTTCCTCCTATGTAAAGAGGGGATAACAGTAGTGCTTACTACAGAGTGTGGTTGTGAGAACTGAATGAGATCACGTATGAAAAGGACTCAAAACAGTCCTTTTCACTGACACACAGGAATAACTCAATAACTATTAGGAGTAGTGAAATTATCATTAGAAGGTTCTATTTTTATTTACAACATTAGTAAACAGCGCCTCCATTAAATGTTACTTTTTGCCTTGCCCCTCCCTTGAAATTCTGACCTCTCTATGCTCACATAGAACCAAATAGATCAGGGATGTACTGCATTGTTTTGTAACAGCTTATTTACATGTTGTCTCTCCTGTGGATCCACAAGCTGTGGCTAATTTAACTCAATACTGGAAAGATATTGTAGAATGAATAGGAAGAGTGGACAGATGGAGAGACAAATTAAGAGGATACTAGATGAGACCTACAGGATTTTTAAACTAAGTCGGTGGGAGTGAGGATGAGAGAGAAGGATTTCAGAAAAGTTTAGAAGAAAGAATCAACAGAACTTTTCAATGTTTGGATGTCAATGATGAGAGAAAGTCTTTCATTTTACTTCCAGCCAACCACAAGTTTATCCACTCTTAAAATTTAAGTTTATCCAACCCTTGCAAGAGAATATTTGCAACAGAGCAAAGGGTGTTGTTTTGAGCTAGGACTGGTAATAAGAGCGAGAATCAGATGCTACTTCAGATTTCCTCTCTGCCCAGCTTGCATGCATTGGTCATCACCTAGTTTCTTCGGCAGTTTTCTTCTTCATCAGGTAGTGTGGCACAATGGCTATGCACATAGACTTCAAGGTTAGACAAACCTAGATTTACGTTCCAGTTCCTCCTTGATAACTGCGGACCATGGGCAAGTTACTTAACCCTCCAAATCCCAGTTTCCTCATCTTTAAAATGGGAGTGATGATTGTGTTTACCTTATTGGTTTGTGTGGAAATTAAATAGATAAAGCATTTAATGCTTTCGACACAGTGCCTGGAAAATAGTAAATGTCCTATATTAGCTGCTTTTATTTTATAAAAGCAAACAATTAAAGTAGTGAATCTTTAGCTTTGAGATCTACAATTGTTAAGACACTCATATGACATAACTGCAACTTTTATACCATACATCATGAAATATAATCAGATGTCTAGTCTGGAATTTTGTAAGAAATTAGGCATTAAATATCATATTAAGCCAAAAGACAAAATCTCATCCTATAGAAACTGGTAAGAGTTATCATTTGCGATTGGACAAGAAGAAAAAAAGTCAATCAATCGGACTAATTTAACCTCAGTAATTTATTTTTATAATAATAAAAATCTGTACTTTCGTTAAGAATAAATGGTAAATAACCAATCTAAACTTATATCACTACTCACACAAATTCCTTTATCTATCAGTTATGAATTGCTCATAAACCCTTTTGGATTTCAAGATTCTTGTTCAGTATAGAAAAAGCAAAGACACCTAATATATTTAGTAATCTCATTTGGCTAGAAAATGGAAAGTAATTGTTTTTTTGTTTTGTTTTGCTTTGTTTTGTTACCAACCCAGGCCTACAGAGGAAAGTAATTTTTATAAGTAGCATATTTTATTACTACAGCTAATTTAGAAATGATTGGTTTACAGTATTTAGTATTTATTTTTGTTTGAGCAAACTATAAAATCCAGATGGCCTTTCAAGTTCCTGATTGAAAAGCTTTTCTTATTTACAAAAGCGACTAATTTGACACTGACAGTAGTTGGTTCTTAATTTTCTTTTCAATCACATCATTGCCAGTATAATGCCAAAACAGAGAAGGGTGACTTCTAAAATAAAAGCAACTAAGCCCTAAGAGGAAGTTTTCCCTAACTCTGCTCACCCTTCAACTCAACCACTGCTACTTCCAGGTTTCAGACATCCATAAAATTTCAGTTTAACAGAATTTGAAAAGACAGACAAGTTTTATAAGCAAAATTAAGGAGGTCTGTAGCTAAAATGTGTCATCTTCATAAAAAAAGGATCTTGAGGATATTCTAAACATCACTTGCAAAATCAGAAGGAAGGTAGGTAAAAGGAATCCATTCCAGTTGGGCTTTTGATCCTCTGTGTAACTTCAATCAAATCATTTCTTTTTGTACTTCTTTTTTTTTTTTGGCCCATTTCTGAAGCAATAATTGAAGGAATAATTGCCATATCACTATCTTGAAAGTGTGATTTAAGAACTAAATTCTAGGAATGCCTTTTGGCCTCATTTTCCCATTTGAAAAACTGATGAAATTATACCAGAATTTCTTCTAAGTTTGCTTTTAGCTTTAAAATACTATGAGTCTAATAGATCATAAGTTATTTTCATGAAACCTAAAAACATTTTATTCAGAAGGCCCCCTGGCCAAGTACAACTATGTTATCCACACGGAATAAACACTTAACCATTAACACAGACTATTTGTATGGATTTCTTTAGGTTCCTAAAGAAATGGAACTTGTGACTGGCAAATTTTGCAGGCAAGTCAGAAAATGGAAAGGCCAGGACTACAGAGACCTGTGTGGGGAGAAGAGAATCATGTAGAGAGAAAGCTGGGGGGTCAAGGTCAGAGTACTTTCTTCATGGTAGATGCTCAACAGGAATGGTAAACTTTCTTGGAAGGTAGGATTAGAGGTCACAAGTATAAGGAAAGGGGAAACTCCGAAAAAGAAATCTGTGGGACATTAAAGACTACCTCATGATATCAAGTTTTATGAGTATCCTCTTAAAAATAAACCTGAAATCATAAACAAGAACTGTCACCATGTGAATAAACATATAAAGCTTAAAGTTGCTGTTAAAAGTAATCTTATAGTAAGGACTTTTTCTTGGCAAAACTACAGTGCAGGAAGAAAAAAAAAAAAACATGGCTTTCTCGTCTCCCCCCATCACACTTATCCTCCTGTCCACTTCTTATCCTTCCTTTGATTCTTCCCTAATAATCCCCATTTCTTAGCTCTCAGGTCATCAAACAGCTCATTGTACAATCCCTCTCAGCCATGGACTTAACTAGGAAACATTGCAATTTGCTTTAGAACACCCCTTAGAAGCATGGAGTAGTAGGATGAGCATGGGCTTCGAAGTCAGGCAACGTGGGTATCAATCCTGGCACCCTGGCCACATAGGGAAATTATGTATTTGGCCAAGCCATAGCATCTAAACACGCTGTGAAGTTCAAAGGAGATAATCTACTTAAAATTCCTACCACAGTTGTTTCAGAGGCAATTCTTAGGCACAAAGAGTGTCTTGATAACCTAGATAGGCCTTCCTATTCTCATGTAGAATAGAGAGATTTTAGGAGAAAACCTGTTCCTTTTCTTTGGGGAAAATGGTAAGTGAAATTGAAGCTCACAAAACAGCCTGATTGTAGGGTATCAAGAATAAGATTTGATGACACTGGTGATTTTGTAATGCCTTCCTTGCTGTGAGAGTATGATGATTCATAAAAGAAAAATAATACTTGTGGAAAGGAGAAGATAGAAAAGGTGAATCATGTCCCAAAGGAAACTTCATTTATACCATATCCTCATTTATATGCATGAATTCATTCTTCTAAAAGTTTAAGTTTGTCATGGTTAATCTATGACTATAGGGTCATTCTATAAGTCTCCAGTGAAATAAGAGTTGGTGTAATTATCCACAAAATTCAGGCATATTTTTAAAACCCACAAGTTTTGCCTAAATTACTCAGATAAGCACTCTGACTGCTCAGCTCATTCTGCGGGGGAAGTGCATTAACTCCCACTCCAGAGTAGAAGCTGGCGTTATCCCTGGAGCTTCTTTAAGTGTTTCTGAACATCTGATTACTTATAGTCTGTGACTCACAAATTATATAAATCTTTTGAGAATTGAGCATTAATGCTTTCTTTTCATTCCCATTATATTGAAAAATAATAGCACCACCTCTGAAAGAAATTAGAGTCCAACAGCTAATATTTACTATGGACAATCTTACTCAAAGTAATCCTCAGTAAATGTCAATTATATGCACAGTCTACTAATCAGAGACAACAGGAGGCTTGAGAGGGAATTATGACCCCAACAAAGACTTCAATCTATATGCCTTTCCTAGAGGAAGAGACTCGATGATTTCTTTAAGACTAGAACATGGGTTTCCTGACTTTCAGGCAGGAGTCTTACCATTGTTCCATACTTACCCTAGCCAAGCAGGGTGCAGTGTAAATATTTTGACATTCTGGTTAGATCTGCCACTTCCCAGTAATGAGACTATGGAAAAAAATGCTGAACCCCTTTGACTCCTTAATTTCCTCATCTGTGAAATGAGAATACTGTATCTTATATAATGGACATAAAGCTTAAATGTACACATATAAAATTTTTCTAAGGTTATACTGATTGCATCAAACAACCACAATATCTCAAAACTTTCCAAGAACAAATAATTCTTGCGCTCCTGCACTCAGCTGGGGCTCCACGTGCTTTATTATTTTAAAACCAGGCTGAAGTAATAGCCAGTGCTGAGCTGAGGAATTGGAGTAAGAGAGCAAATGGACACAAACGAAGCCTCTTAATGCCTCAGCTCACTGGCATACTTCCATTCCTCCCCATTTTCCAATCATCAAAGCAAGTTTTATGGCCAACCCCAAAGTCAATAGGGAAGAATATGTCACTTATCAAGATAAACAAATCATTTAAACAAATAGCCAGAAAACGTAAAACATAAATATAATCAGTGCTTCCTAAATGTTGATTACAACCCCTACTACCTCTCCAAGCCTTGATTCCCAGGTTTGCAGATTACAGGTGTTCACTAATTAATTGCTGATTCATTAAACTGTTGGCTAATAATTATCATCATTCAAATAGTGGAAGCAATAACACAGGTTTTAGTCTGCAAATATAAGCAGTTTTCTTTTGGACACTTGAGTCACACATTTTTATCACATGAATTTTAAACTGTATTTTTTTTAAACTTTCATTTTAAGCATTTTGTCTTTAGGTACTGTATGCTGTCCAGCGTAGACTCTTAATATATACGTATTGAAAAGTTTGAAAGTGCTCAGGTCTTCAACAATGGTGTCTTAATCATATTAAGATGTACTTTAATAAAGTTAAAGTCTTAAATAATAATTGTCATCAGTTGAAAAGGTGCAGTAAAATTATATAGTACTGTACCAACCTACATGCATAGATAATATAGACTGAAATAACCTTAGGGACAGTTTTGTAGTGGTCACAATCATAAAAATCTCAAAAAGCAGAAAAGGGAAGTGACAAATCACAAGGATATATTTATTATCACCCAATATTAATTTTTACCATTAGCATCTTGTGTCAGAACTCCAAGGACTACCAGGAAAAAATGAAGAAACTATGATTAGGAAATGGGCGTTCCCACTTTCATCCAAAATTGCCATTTGCATGAAGGTGACTTTGTATAAATTATATTCATCTCTTTTCAGGATCCTTGACTGTATATCAAAATGAAATATTAAGTTGTGTATTCACAGAATCCCAAGTTAAGAAGGATATTCTCTTGGGTTGAATTCGGTGATGAATTTCGAGTTACTCTCTCTCTCTGTGTGAGAGTCTATATTGTATAGGAGAGCTTCATTTATAAAATGTCTCAGTATTGAAGTGACCCCGAAACAATAAAAGGTGGGCATGTGATACCTAAAAACATCTGTTTGGAATGCATTTATTTACATGCCATTCATCAAAAGGGATTAGTTATTCTCTAGATTAATGCTATGCCTTCATTACTGCCCTATATGGTTAAGACTTTCACAATAATTCTCCATTTTCATCTATCTTTTGGATTAAATTGATTTTTAGTCTGCAAGAAGAGGAAACAATTTCACAAAGGAATCAGGTTCATTCTGAGCACTGTTCTGTAAAGCCACACCCTCAGTTCCCAGGGCTCTATGCATTCACTCTCCTTTGATACCAGAAGTTCATTGATAAGTTTGAGAAACACTGCCTGGGAGAATACTTAGGATGCATTACAGAATTTATTTAGGGAACAGAATATTTAGGGAAATTTGCAGGCAAGACTTAAATGCAAGAAAACAGGCAGCTGAAATATTTGTATATTTTTAGGAAAACCAATATAAATCCCTTTTCCAGCCCTCCAAAATCACTCTCACATAGTTTTTGAAGCTTAAAATTCCTTCCACACAAGAGAGCAATGCCTTTCAACCCATAGGTAGTGACATGGGTAACTAACCAATACTGTGCTTAAAGTGTACATACACTTGAGAATGACAGTATGTTATATTCTCAACAAAGATACAAGCAGCTGAAACCAAATCTTTCCTGAAAGCAAGTTTTAACTGAGGAAAAAAGCAAGATATTCTGTGCACATTAAGTGGAAAAAAACAGGAAGGGAATCCATGCATTGGGAAAAGAAGTCTAGAAAGAGCAAGTAAGAGTGTCAAAACAAGCTTTACCCAATTCAGAATTTTCCAAGAGTTACAATGAGTGGCTGACTTCTATTTCCTGATCCAGCCTCTGCCATCTTTCCCTCCTGCTCCTTCAACTCACTGCCTTGCAAGGACACTAAAGTATTTCTGCTAGCCATATAGATGGTGGTATCACCAGTTGCAATCCAAACCAAATTTAATGCTCTTTTGGCAGAAAGAAGTTTTAAGTTGTGAGGATGAGTTTTGCTAACATCTGTTAACTAATAAAAGAGCTTTCTCATTGTATACACTAGTTTAAAATGAGTAAAAAAAATTGAAATGTCATAAAACAATAGCATATACAGAGTTGTTCTGAAAAAGAAAAGGTATAGGAAAGACATGACAAAAACTTAACGCAAAAGGACTAAAGTAAGTTCACCAATGATAGGCATGTTTGGTTTCAATACAACAAAGAAGCCTGTGCACTATGGCTCACACCTGTAATCCCAGTATTTTGGGAAGCTGAGGTGGGAGAATCCCTTGAGCCCAGGAATTCAAGACCAACCTGGGCAACATAGCAAGACCCTGTCTCTTAAAAACAAACAAAAAAAATTCCTAAAAACTGGAGCTATAAAAAATGAAGGGGGCTTCTCTCTAAGCTGATGAACTCCCTGGCACTCAAATTTTCAGGTAAGGCTAATGTAGAGAGGGTGCCTGATTGGGAGATGGAGAAGGAACTAAAACTAAATTTAATGCTAAGCATCTCTAATTTTCTATAGACAATATCTCCCCTGGGGCATAAAGAAAGAGAGTTTTGAGACATTAATATAACCCAGAAAATAACAAATATTAGAGAATGACCATAAAAATGAAAATATTTAATGTTACCAATAAACCTGGAGGCCAGAAGAGACATAAACAAAGATGAGACACAACGAATGGTGGCAGGGAAAAGCAAGTAAGCAGAATACATTGGAATATGGTAACCAGGTAGGATTAAGGAAAAGCTGGGATAGGGAAATGGATGCTACTGGACCATGGCTGAGGGCACCAGGAATAAAGGCACAAGGGATTTGAGAATCAGGAGAGTGAGAAATCAGCCTGAAATGGAGTTTCCCAAAATGGAGGGAATACATGTTTTATGGGCGGAGGGGGACAAAAAGAGTTCTATGGTAAAATCTATTTAGAAACACTGAGTAAACACCATGGAACAGATTCCCTGACACCACTGTACAGATTTAGTTGTTCACCATAATTGTTAGTCTCCTAGAGAGGGGGAGAATATGCAGTAGCCCCATTAAATCAGTCTTTTACAGAAACTTTTGGGAGCTAGTATTCTGAAGGATACATAATGAAAAAGAAATACTGTGCTTAGATGTCTAGACCGGGTATCTGATGATTAGTGAATGTTTGGACTTATAGTAAGGGCTTGCACTTAAAGTCTAGTTCTCAGTGCCTGGAATGGTTTCTTTTCGATCTTTCAAATCTTGTCTCTCAGGTCTCATCTTAAATATCACTTATTCAAAGAGTCCTTCTTTGTCCGCTTCATCTAAAGTAGCCAACTCTCTCCTCTTCTATCACATGCCCCACCCCCATCATTATTACAACAGTATATTTCTTTGACTAAACTTACCACTAGCTGTAAATATTTTCTTTATTTACATGTTTGCTTTCTTCCTGCTTCACTAAACTGTAAGTTCCATGAGGGCTGAAGGCCTGTCCTATTTGTCTAGACTAGTTTAAGGCTGGGTTTCTAGTGGCTACTCAGTAGATACCAGTTGGGGGAATGGATAAAATGTAAGTATTATGCATTGGGATCTGAAGAACAGAAGAGAAATCTGGGCTTACTTATATATTTGGAAATAATTAGGCATAAAGGTGGTATGTGAATCTATAGATGTGAATGGGCTTGTTCACAGAGAATGCACAGAAAGATAAGAGAAATGAGCCTAAGCCAGAAGAACCCTGATGTGGGAGTAACTATCATCCAAGATCGTCCACAATGATTCTCACTTCCTGGTATTCAAGCTGGTGTGTAGTCTCCTCCCAAACTGAATAAGGCTGATCTGTGTAACTAGTAAGATATTTCAGTTGTGGCAGAGTTTGACTTACAAGCCTAGATCACAAAAGACATTGTGGGTTCCTTCTTCCTGTCTCTTAGATCACTCATCCTAGAGCAAGTCAAATGCCATGACATAAAAACATTGAAGCCTTCCCATGAAGAGATCCACATGACCAGAAACTGGTGTCTCCTGACAATTGCCAGCACCAACTTGCCTGAACATGAATGAACCAATGGAAGCAAATCCCTGAGACAAGCTATCAAGTGACTGTAGCGCTGGCTAGCATCTTGTTTACAATCTCATGAGAGATCCAAGTGAGAAACACCCAACTAAGCCACTCCCAAATTTGTTTTAATAACTTATCCCAAAACTTAGTGTTTCAAGAAACAATATATTCTTAATAAAAAGTTTGTCCAGTAAAAGAATATCCCAAATTTATCTTATAAATTTAACAAAATTTCATACCACATCTCTTTCAGCATTATCTTAGAGTAAATCATCCTTTACAATGTTGGCTTGTATTCTTGAAGAAAACAATTAGGTTTTTTTTTAAAAAAGTCAAATTCAGCAAAATCAGAAACCAGGCAGCCAATATTTAACAAATAGATGGCAAAAGAGGTACAATATATTAAACAACAATCTTTTAATGCAGGGCATTTAAGACTACAGAAATAGTTGTAGAAATAGAATGGTATCTTATGCAATTCCATGAACAAAATTTTACATTTCAAATGATTAGCTCGTTTCTCAAGAAAAAAAGAATAAGAACATCCCTTGTTGAGTGTCTGTTAAGCGTCAGGCTCTGAACTATGGGCTTTACATATGTTATCTCTTTTAATAACCCTGTGAAGTAAATATTATTGGCCCCATTTTGACTTGCCCAACAGAGCTTCCTCATCTCAGCTTCTCAGTCCTTTTTTGCTTGTGTTTTTAAATTTAGGTTAGAGAATTGTCATTTGGAGAATATCAGGTTCAGACCAGGTGAATCTTCTTTTAAACCCCTCTTAGGAATGAAATACTCTCTTCAAAGGGAAAAACATTAGATAATGAAGCAAGGAGTCCTTTGAGGAGGACAATAAAAACTTAGATTTTCAAGTGGAGCAGCTAAAGTTTTAAAGTATACATATTCAGAATATATAAGGAATAAATAATATTGTGTTTGAGCTGGAAGAACCTGAGAGAACATTTATCCAAGCCCTCTTATTTTACACAGAAAAAGAAATGGGATACTTTAGCTCAGCATAGTCTGTCGAGACCACATGGTGGGTTAGTAGCCTAAGCAGAACTAGAAACAGCAAAGCTGGCCCTGTTAGAGCTACAACTGTGCTTGGCACTTAGTAGATGCTCAGTAAATTAGATTAGGCTATGATGCATCATCCTAAAACAAGTACAGTCCCACCAATACTGAGTAAGAACTCCGAGCCTCCCCCTGGAAACCTGTTGTGTTCACTCTCTTTCTTTCCAAGCCATTAGCATCAAGAGTTAAACTGTAGAACAGCACCTAGCTTTGGTGACACTGAAGAGAAGAGAGCTAGGAACGTTGCCATTTCCTTAGAGCATGCTCCAGTTATCTATTGTTGCATTAAAAATCACCTCAGGGTCAGGAGCAGTGGCTCATGCCTGTGATCCCAACACTTTGGGAGGCTGAGGTGGGCAGATCGTTTGAGGTCAGGAATTCGGGACCAGCCTGACCAACATGGTGAAACCCCATCTCTACTGAAATACAAAAATTAGCCAGGCGTGGTGGCAGGTGCCTGTAATCCCAGCTACTTGGGAGGCTGAGGCAGGAGAATCACTTGAACCCAGGAGGCGGAGGTTGCAGTGGGCTGAGATCACACCACTGCACTCCAGCCTGGGCAACAGAGTGAGACTCTGTCTCCAAAAAGAAAAAAAAAAAAAAGACACCTCAAAACTTAGTGGCTTAAAAAACAGTAATCATTTATTTTCCTTACAAATCTAAAATTTGGGCAGGGATCAACAGGAATCATTAATCTGTGCTCCACACAATGTCATCAAGGGCAGCTCAGCTGAGGGAGGGCTGGAGGACCTGCTTTCAGGATGACTCACTCATATGGCTGGCAAGTGGGAGCTGGCTATCAACTAGAAGTTCAACTAGAGCTATGTGCAGGTGCCCATGAGGGGTTTTGCACTGGCTGCTTAGGTTTCCTTGTGGCATGGTAGCTGGGTTCCAAGAGCAATGATCCTAAGAGATAGGAAATAGAAGCTGCTAGCTTCTTAAAGCCCAAGCCAGAAATGGGCACAGTGGGACTTTCATTGTGTTCTATTAGTCAAACAGTCACAAGGCCCTAATTCAAGGAAAAGGGATAAAGATCCTACCTCTTAATGAAGGAGTATCAGAGAATCGATTGGTCGTGTTTTAAAGCCATTACAAGGGTATTTTTTTAACTGCAAATGATTCCATTTTGCTGATATGGTAAAGAATTGAACATTATTAGAGATAAGTCATAGATATCAAAATTATAATCTATTCAGAGATATTAATCCCTTCACCATATACTAATCAGCTTAGATAGATGACAGTCCTACAATTAATGCTCAATCTTTGCCTCCATTTACTCTTCCACATTAAGGGGATAATAATAAGCTCTATTGTGGGGAACCAGAAGGCTTATTTATAACTATAAAAGCAGAATGTACTTATAATTACCTTAATACATACTTATTAATAGTGAGTTATCTGTAAAATGTCATACACAAGTGAAAGGTAAAATTATTATATGCTTAAATAATTTTGCAACATGGAGCCTTTGCAGTTTACTTGGACAACTATTTTTGTGCCTGAACTGCAGAAGCTTTCAATTAATTTTGCTGAACACAGTTAAATATTAATCCTATTTTTTAAAGGATAATTATTATGCAATCCTCTTAAGTATTCAATTGAATTGACAAGAAAAAAAGATTTGTGGCTTTTAACGTTTACAAAAGGAGCAGTATCTCACGAACAGCACAGAATTTCAGAGCTTCTTTGCAAATAAATCACATTTTACAATATATTTCTAGGTCAATATGCAACATATTCATTCAGATTTCCCCACAACAGTCCTAGGAATTGAATTGTATTCAACAGCAGACCCTTTCTAACAATATTTAGAAATAGGAGAATTGAGTTGCTTTTCTCGCTATAACAAACAGGAAATTTTCAAGTTTAACTAAGGTGATGTAAGAGAAGATCTTAAAACTAGTTCTGCTTAAAAGGAGGAGCCAGTCAGTACCTTATTTAGTTTACAGGCACAGTAACCAATTGGGATTTTCCCACAGGGGTCCTAGGATTTAGGTAAAATGACTTTCTGTTAGGCAATTTAGACCACAGAAAGTAATAACTTCCTCAACGAAGCCACTTATGGAAAGATTGGTTAAATAAGATGAGATTTGTCCTAGCTAAAAATGGGACCTGCAGCTGTGAGGTTGGTTTCTCAGGGACCAGAAGAGAGGGAGCTTTATTACCCAGTTAAGCTTTCTTATTGCAAGAAAACAAAATGAGTATAAAACATGAGTCATACTCAGCCAGCCAGTGGGCCTTATTTATGCATGTGTATTTTATGCACATATGGTGATTTAAAAAGCAATGTTAGTTTCATTGTCATCCATTTCACTTATTTCTGTATGTCACACATACTTCCTACAGAATTTTAAGTTTCTTATCTAGAGAATTACTGGATTAATACAAATTTATTTTTAAGGACTTCTCAGAGTACATTTGGGGTCAAGCTTTTCTAAGCCAACTAAAAGATGACACTGTCTACGCTAAATCAGACTCTGTGTGAGAGAGAATCCAAGTGGATGATGAATACAGTCACCAGAAGTATGGCCTCTACCATCCCATAAGACTATAGCCTCCACACTGGACTTTTCCCTGACCCACTAACACCTTCTCTGTCAAGTTTCTTGCCATCCTTTACTCACTAACACTTAGGAGATGGTGAAATGCTGAGAAGGACTCTTAAGAAATGAAATGCAAGAAGTTAAAACCCAGAGGTGAATATAGGCTACGAATTATAAATAAACATGCAAAAAAGTTTATGTAAGTTAGAGCAAAAAGAAAGATGGGAGAGGGGTGGGCATTCTGAACACAAAGAGGGGATAACCACTTTAATCTAAATATAATACAAGGCCAAGCCTGAATGATCTTAGTTACCCGGAAAGTTTCAACAAAACTGGCCTAGGCTTCTAACAGCCAGAGCTTTGATTGTGACAATCTGCTCAGTACAAATGACCAAAATGGAAAGCCACGATCATGGTTTGTTATATAAAACATTTCCCTTCATTTACTAATGTCAAAATATTCTGTCACTTGTTAAATTACAAATTATGAGCCAATTTTTGAGCATGTCCTCACCAAGGTTTAGAGAATTACAGTAGTTGTGAAGGAATTAAAAAACATGCATTCACTGTAGATTTCGACAAAATCCATAAAACTGAAGGGTTTTCTTTTTAATAGCTTCCCTAGCAAACCACATACTGTGCTCACTGAAGCACAAAGTATAAAGAAATGACTGAGCAATATTAAAAGGTGGAGAGCCAGATCCTTTTCTCTATAGTGTTTTAATGTGAAAATAAAAGGTACCGGGTAACCCTTGGCTCCTCCAGCCGGGACACCAGCGCCATGTCCTTCCTCCTGCTGCCAGAACAAAGAGTTACCGGAGAGCCCATGCCCTCCCCATAGGAAGAAAAAATTTTAAGGTAAAACTTCCAACCAGATTTTCCAATCTCACATTTTCAAACAAAGCAGTCTGCTTGTCTGCAAGAAAGTTTGGTGAAGCAGATTTTGTTTCAGATTTGGACTAAAGATTTTGTTTCAGATTTCGACTAAAGATAATACTGCTTCCATCCATTCAGGTTGCATGGAGATGGTTGTTCTTTTCAACAAGATATTGTTTTGTTTACAGTCCAATATATTCAAATATTTAAAAGTCTAGACTAGACTTTGAAATAAAGAATGATGCTGCAAAATATCTTGAATTCCCTGGAATTCTTGGACTCACACTAAGACATCCAAACACACCCCACACTGGGCATATGGTAAAGTGTATAGAGTCAACACCATAGTAGGGACTTACAAACAATAACTTCACAATCACCCAATATCTGTATGAAGCATAACTGGTATGAATAGAAAATACAGTATTTTCTTACATGTCAGTTTCAAAATTCTCCTGGTGGAAATACTATTTCCCTTACTCCCCTATGCCGTCCTTCCCCTCCACCACCATCACTAACAGGTGAAAAAGAGGACCCATGGCCACCTGCAGCCTGTAAATTTCATATGTTATCTATTTAGTGGATTTATCCAGTTTGTTAACAACAGATATACTTAAATACATTCCAATATGCCTCACATTAACATACCACTTTTTTTCTTGTCTACACTGTATTTCTATACAAAACAAAATGTTTCCCCGCCAAGCACAGTTGAAAACTATCACCCATCATGTGTTATACAGGTGCCTGTGCATTCTCTCTCTTTCAGGTATCTTTATACAAAGACTTTTCTAATCACAACACAAGTTATTTTTAAACTGTCTTTTTCCTCAGGCAAAGACAATGATTCCTTAGCAATGGAATACACGTAACATCTACAAACAGTAGGAAGATGTAACTTAAAATGAAAAGTATATTTTCTCAATGCTCAAATGGCATCGGTGGAATTTTCGGAGTTCAAGAGCTGGAGTTGCCAATGAATAATAGAGAGAAGTCTAAGGGTATGTAAAAGAAAAGTAAGATAAGATGGACAGTTTTATTCCTGTCGATCTTAAATACAGTTCCATGCAGCTCTTAGAAGTGTCTGCCTGGGTCAGATGGTCAGGGTGCTCTAAAATCCTACAGGTTTTCCTTTTCTTTTCTTCTTTTCATCACTATGAGAATATTTCTCCTTTCACATACTATTAAAGGATCTTCTGCTATTGAACTATTTCTTACAGCATGTTCTTTCTTGGTTCAATTGGATTCCTTTTAATATCTGAAAAAGTGATAGCCTCACTTTATTAATATAATAAAGACACACTATGAAATCAGATTTCCTGTATTGGAGTCTCAGTTACAACATTTGTTAGTTGTATGACCTTGGGCAAGTCACTCAAATACTTTGTGCTTCAGTTTCCTCATAATGGAAATAATAAGAGAACATCAGAGGGTTGCTGAAAAGATTCCATTTTAAAAGGTAGGCAAATCATTTAATAAGGTATGTTGTACTTAGTAAATGCTCCATAGATATTGACAAATAACTAAAAATCTTTTTTTGGGGTGGGGGACAGAGTCTCACTCTGTTGCCAGGCTAGAGTGCAGTGACACGATTTCAGCTCACTGCAACCTCCACCTTCCAGGTTCAAATGGTTCTCCTGCCTTAGCCTCCCGAGTAGCTGGGACTACAGGCGTGCACCACGATGCCCAGCTAATTTTTGCATTTTTAGTAGAGACGGTGTTTCACCATGTTGGCCAGGATGGTCTCCATCTCTTTCGTGATCTGCCTGCCTCGGGCTCCCAAAGTACTGGGATTTTGGCGCCCGACCAAAAATCATTTTTTAAAACTGAGTGGAGTTTTTTTGCTGATGTTGTTTTCTTAATTATATTGCTTAAGTATCCTTTCTTTTTTTTTATTTTATATTATTATTATTATACTTGAAGTTTTAGGGTACATGTGCACAATGTGCAGGTTAGTTACATATGTATACATGTGCCATGCTGGTGTGCTGCACCCATTAACTCGTCATTTAGCATTAGGTGTATCTCCTAAAGCTATCCCTCCCCCCTCCCCCAACACCACAACAGTCCCCAGAGTGTGATATTCCCCTTCCTGTGTCCATGTGTTCTCATTGTTCAATTCCCACCTATGAATGAGAATATGCAGTGTTTCGTTTTTTGTTCTTGTGATAGTTTACTAAGAATGATGATTTGCAATTTCATCCATGTCCCTACAAAGGACATGAACTCATCATTTTTTATGGCTGCATAGTATTCCATGGTGTATATGTGCCACATTTTCTTAATCCAGTCTATCATTGTTGGACATTTGGGTTGGTTCCAAGTCTTTGCAATTGGGAATAGTGCCGCAATAAACATATGTGTGCATGTGTCTTTATAGCAGCATGATTTATAGTCCTTTGGGTATATACCCAGTAATGGGATGGCTGGGTCAAATGGTATTTCTAGTTCTAGATCCCTGAGGAATCGCCACACTGACTTCCACAAGAGTTGAACTATTGTACAGTCCCACCAACAGTGTAAAAGTGTTCCTATTTCTCCACATCCTCTCCAGCACCTGTTGTTTCCTGACTTTTTAATGATCGCCATTCTAACTGGTGTGAGATGGTATCTCACTGTGGTTTTGATTTGCATTTCTCTGATGGCCACTGATGGTGAGCATTTTTTCATTTCTTTTTTGGCTGCACAAATGTCTTCTTTTGAGAAGTGTCTGTTCATGTCCTTCGCCCACTTTTTGATGGGGTTGTTTGTTTTTTTCTTGTAAATTTGTTTGAGTTCATTGTAGATTCTGGATATTAGCCCTTTGTCAGACTAGTAGTTTCCAAAAATTTTCTCCCGTTTTGTAGGTTGCCTATTCACTCTGATGGTAGTTTCTTTTGCTGTGCAGAAGCTCTTTAGTTTAATTACATACCATTTGTCAATTTTGGCTTTTGTTGCCATTGCTTTTTGTGTTTTAGACATGAAGTCCTTGCCCATGCCTATGTCCTGAATGGTATTGCCTAGGTTTTCTTCTAGGGTTTTTATGGTTTTAGGTCTAACATGTAAGTCTTTAATCCATCTTGAATTAATTTTTGTATAAGGTGTAAGGAAGGGATCCAGTTTCAGCTTTCTACATATGGCTAGCCAGGTTTCCCAGCACCATTTATTAAATAGGGAATCCTTTCCCCATTGCTTATTTTTCTCAGGATTGTCAAAGATCAGATAGTTGTAGATATGCGGCGTTATTTCTGAGGGCTCTGTTCTGTTCCATTGATCTATATCTCTGTTTTGGTACCAGTACCATGCTGTTTTGGTTACTGTAGCCTTGTAGTATAGTTTGAAGTCAGGTAGCGTGATGCCTCCAGCTTTGTTCTTTTGGCTTAGGATTGACTTGGTGATGCAGGCTCTTTTTTAGTTCCATATGAACTTTAAAGTAGTTTTTTCCAATTCTGTGAAGAAAGGCATTGGTAGCTTGATGGGGATGGCATTGAATCTATAAATTACCTTGGGCAGTATGGCCATTTTCACGATATTGATTCTTTCTACCCGTGAGCATGGAATGTTCTTCCATTTGTTTGTATCCTCTTTTATTTCATTGAGCAGTGGTTTGTAGTTCTCCTTGAAGAGGTCCTTCACGTCCCTTGTAAGTTGGATTCCAAGGTATTTTATTCTCTTTGAAGCAATTGTGAATGGGAGTTCACTCATGATTTGGCTCTCTGTTTGTCTGTTATTGGTGTATAAGAATGCTTGTGATTTTTGTACATTAATTTTGTATCCTGAGACTTTGCTGAAGTTGCTTATCAGCTTAAGGAGATTTTGGGCTGAGACAATGGGGTTTTCTAGATATACAATCATGTCTTCTGCAAACTGGGACAATTTGACTTCCTCTTTTCCTAATTCAATACCCTTTACTTCCTTCTCCTGCCTGATTGCCCTGGCCAGAACTTCCAACACTATGTTGAATAGGAGTGGTGAGAGAGGGCATCCCTGTCTTGTGCCAGTTTTCAAAGGGAATGCTTCCAGTTTTTGCCCATTCAGTATGATATTGGCTGTGGGTTTGTCATAGATAGCTCTTATTATTTTGAGTTACATCCCATCAATACCTAATTTATTGAGAGTTTTTAGCATGAAGGGTTGTTGAATTTTGTCAAAGGCCTTTTCTGCATCTATTGAGATAATCGTGTGGTTTTTGTCTTTGTTTCTGTTTATATGCTGGATTACATTTATTGATTTGCGTATATTGAACGAGCCTTGCATCCCAGGGATGAAGCCCACTTGATCATGGTGGATAAGCTTTTTGATGTGCTGCTGGATTCTGTTTGCCAGTATTTTATTGAGGATTTTTGCATCAATGTTCATCAAGGATATTGATCTAAAATTCTCTTTTTTGGTTGTGTCTCTGCCCGGCTTTGGTATCAGGATGATGCTGGCCTCATAAAATGAGTTAGGGAGGATTCCCTCTTTTTCTATTGATTGGAATAGTTTCAGAAGGAATGGTACCAGTTCCTCCTTGTACCTCTGGTAGAATTCGGCTGTGAATCCATCTGGTCCTGGACGCTTTTTGGTTGGTAAGCTATTGATTATTGCCACAATTTCAGAGCCTGTTACTGGTCTATTCAGAGATTCAACTTCTTCCTGGTTTAGTCTTGGGAGGGTGTATGTGTCGAGGAATTTATCCATTTCTTCTAGATTTTCTAGTTTATTTGCATAGAGGTGTTTGTGGTATTCTCTGACGGTAGTTTGTATTTCGGTGGGATCGGTGGTGATATCCCCTTTATCATTTTTTATTGCGTCTATTTGATTCTTCTCTCTTTTCTTCTTTATTAGTCTTGCTAGTGGTCTATCAATTTTGTTGATCCTTTCAAAAAACCAGCTCCTGGATTCATTAATTTTTTGAAGGGTTTTTTGTGTCTCTATTTCCTTCAGTTCTGCTCTGATATTAGTTATTTCTTGCCTTCTGCTAGCTTTTGAATATGTTTGCTCTTGCTTTTCTAGTTCTTTTAATTGTGATGTTAGGGTGTCAATTTTGGATCTTTCCTGCTTTCTCTTGTGGGCATTTAGTGCTATAAATTTCCCTCTACACACTGCTTTGAATGCGTCCCAGAGATTCTGGTATGTTGTGTCTTTGTTCTCGTTGGTTTCAAAGAAGATGTTTATTTCTGCCTTCTTTTCGTTATGTACCCAGTAGTCATTCAGGAGCAGGTTGTTCAGTTTCCATGTAGTTGAGCAGTTTCGAGTGAGTTTCTTAATCCTGAGTTCTAGTTTGATTGCACTGTGGTCTGAGAGACAGTTTGTTATAGTTTCTGTTCTTTTACATTTGCTGAGGAGAGCTTTACTTCCAGGTATGTGGTCAATTTTGGAATAGGTGTGGTGTGGTGCTGAAAAAAAATGTATATTCTGTTTATTTGGGGTGGAGAGTTCTGTAGATGTCTATTAGGTCTGCTTGGTGCAGAGCTGAGTTCAATTCCTGGGTATCCTTGTTGACTTTTTGTCTTGTTGATCTGTCTAATGTTGACAGTGGGGTGTTAAAGTCTCCCATTATTATTGTGTGGGAGTCTAAGTCTCTTTGTAGGTCACTCAGGATTTGGTTTATGAAACTGGGTGCTCCTGTATTGGGTGCATATATATTTAGGATAGTTAGTTCTTCTTGTTGAATTGATCCCTTTACCATTATGAAATGGCCTTGTTTGTCTCTTTTGATCTTTGTTGGTTTAAAGTCTGTTTTATCCAAGACTAGGATTGCAACACCTGCCTTTTATTGTTTTCCATTTGCTTGGTAGATCTTCCTCCATCCTTTTATTTTGAGCCTATGTGTGTCTCAGCACATGAGATGGGTTTCCTGAATACAGCACACTGATGGGTCTTGACTCTTTATCCATTTTGCCAGTCTGTGTCTTTTAATTGGAGCATTTAGTCCATTTACATTTAAAGTTAATAGTGTTATGTGTTAATTTGATCCTGTCATTATGATGTTAGCTGGTTATTTTGCTCATTAGTTGATGCAGTTTCTTCCTAGCCTCAATGGTCTTTACAATTTGGCATGATTTTGCCGTGGCTGGTACCGGTTGTTCCTTTCCATGTTTAGTGCTTCCTTCAGGAGCTCTTTTAGGGCAAGCCTGGTGGTGACAAAATCTCTCAGCATTTGCTTGTTTGTAAAGTATTTTATTTCTCCTTCACTTATGAAGCTTAGTTTGGCTGGATATGAAATTCTGGTTTGAAAATTCTTTTCTTTAAGAATGTTGAATATTGGCCCGCACTCTCTTCTGGCTTGTAGAGTTTCTGCCGAGAGATTCGCTGTTAGTCTGATAGGCTTCCCTTTGTGGGTAACCCGACCTTTCTCTCTAGCTGCCTTAACATTTTTTCCTTCATTTCAACTTTGGTGAATCTGATAATTATGTGCCTTGGAGTTGCTCTTCTCAAGGAGTATCTTTGTGGCGTTCTCTGTATTTCCTGAATCTGAATGTTGGCCTGCCTTGCTAGATTGGGGAAGTTCTCCTGGATAATATCCTGCAGAGTGTTTTCCAACTTGGTTCCATTCTCCCTGTCACTTTCAGGTGCACCAATCAGATGTAGATTTGGTCTTTTTACATAGTCCCATATTTCTTGGAGGCTTTGTTCTTTTCTTTTTATTCTTTTTTCTCTAAATTTCCCTTCTCACTTCATTTCATTCATTTCATCTTCCATCACTGATACCCTTTCTTCCAGTTGATCGCATCGGCTCCTTAGGCTTCTGCATTCTTCAGGTAGTTCTCGAGCCTTGGCTTTCAGCTCCATCACCTCCTTTAAGCACTTCTCCGTATTGGTTCTTCTAGTTATACATTCATCTAAATTTTTTTCAAAGTTTTCAACTTCTTCGTCTTTGGTTTGAATTTCCTCCTGTAGCTCAGAGTAGTTTGATCGTCTGAAGCCTTCTTCTCTCAACTCGTCAAAGTCATTCTCCATCCAGCTTTGTTCCATTGCTGGTAAGGAGCTGGGTTCCTTTGGAGGAGAGGCGCTCTGCTCTTTAGAGTTTCCAGTTTTTCTGCTCCGTTTTTTCCCCATCTTTGTCGTTTTATCTACTTTTGGTCTTTGATGGTGGTGATGTACAAATGGGTTTTTGGTGTGGATGTCCTTTCTGTTTGTCAGTTTGCCTTCTAACAGACAGGACCATCAGCTGCACGTCTGTTGTAGTTTGCTAGAGGTCCACTCCAGACCCTGTTTGCCTGGGTACTAGCAGCGGTGGCTGCAGAACACCGGATTTTCGTGAACCGCAAATGCTGCTGTCTGATCGTTCCTCTGGAAGTTTTGTCTCAGAGGAGTACCTGGCCGTGTGAGGTGTCAGTCTGCCCCTACTGGGGGGATGCCTCCCAGTTAGGCTGCTGGGGGGTCAGGGGTCAGGGACCCACTTGAGGAGGCAGTCTGCCCATTCTCAGATCTCTAGCTGCGTGCTGGGAGAACCACTGTTCTCTTCAAAGCTGACAGACAGGGACACTTAAGTCTGCAGAGGTTACTGCTGTCTTTTTGTTTGTCTGTGCCCTGCCCCTATAGGTGGAGCCTACAGAGGCAGGCAGGCCTCCTTGAGCTGTGGTGGGCTCCACCCAGTTGGAGCTTCCTGGCTGCTTTGTTTACCTAAGCAAGCCTGGGCAATGGCGGGCGCCCCTCCCCCAGCCTCACTGCCGCCTTGCAGTTTGATCTCAGACTGCTGTGCTAGCAATCAGTGAGACTCCGTGGGCGTAGGACCCTCCAAGCCATGTGCGGGATATAATCTCCTGGTGTGCCGTTTTTTAAGCCCTTCGGAAAATCGCAGTATTAGGGTGGGAGTGACTCGATTTCCCAGGTGTCGTCTGTCACTCCTTTCTTTGACTAGGAAAGGGAACTCCCTGACCCCTTGCGCTTCCAGAGGGAGGCTATGCCTCGCCCTGCTTTGGCTCGCACACGGTGCCCTGCACCCACTGTCCTGTGCCCACTGTCTGGCACTGCCTACTGAGATGAACCTGGTACCTCAGATGGAAATGCAGAAATCACCCGTCTTCTGCGTTGCTCATACTGGGAGCTGTATCATTTCTAATCGTATATCTTTTAGACTTCTGTCTAGTTTTCTTTAGTACTTAATTTAGTTCGCCTACATCACTTTAGTATTCAGTTACTTAAAATCATAACACTTACCTGTGGTTTCATCTCAGAACTGTAGCTCTCATATTTGCAACAGAAAAAAGCTGGACCAACAGCACACTAATGGCTTTTTGTGAACCCATCAGAAAGCTAAAGTCGAAGGATAATAGTCTTCCTGAAATCTAGAGAGATGTGGGGTACCTATGTAAAAATTAGAGGGCTGTGGTGGACACAGGAATCATAAAATCAGCCAGTCCTTTTGCTGAAATACATTTCTAGTAGTGCCATGGGTGATTTGAAAATAGTCTTGTTCCTTTTCTTCATTCCCTTGCACACTCTGTCTCCTCTTCTCCATGGCTCTGAAGGAAGAAAGGAAAGCAGAGAAACATTAAGGAAGTCCTGGGCTGGATAAAGCTAAACTGCTAAGTAAGCACTGATAATAAAGTTTGATCCCTTCAAATCAGACCTAATACTCAAACTTAGGCATCGTTAAACTAGAATTTTAAATTACTTTCATGGCAAAACAACCAACAGAACCAAAGACAGGTATGCAAAAGTAATCAAAAAGCATTTACCGCTACCTGCTTTATCCAACCCCCGGGATAAGAGTCCTCATGTGACACCACAATAATCCAAACTGCTACCCCATCTATACTTTCTTTCTCAAAATATACCTCTCTATCCTTCATCTTCCCAATCGTAACTACCAAAATTTCCCTTTCCCTAGTGGCTGCCAATCTCAATAAGGGAAATAATTATTGTCTGTTGTTAAAGTGTATTTTTGGGTGATGAAATAATCTGTGTAACAAACCCCCATGACACGCATTTACCTATGTAACAAATCTGCACATCCTGCACATGTACCTATGAAGTTAAAATAAAAGTTTTTAAAAAAGGAAAAAAAATTCAAATGCATTCTTACTTATAAATTACACACAGAATTAAGGCTTCCCATTTAGGAGAACATCCATTTCTCTCTGACAACGTCATCAAAGAAGTGTTCTTCTTCCAAGATTTTCTGTCAACAACCACATTCATAGATCAAGCTATGTTTACCATGGTGGAGCAAATCACTACTATTCCTGCACCATCACCATCAAAATGTTTTTATTTATTTTTTTATTTGAAAAACACAAAAAAGTAAAAATTACCCACAATCCCTTGGTTCTATAATTAAGTAGGAAATAAAAGCCTCCCCCCATCTAATCCAATACCCATCATTGTTAAGACCTCACAGTGTAGTCTTCCCAACTTTTCCTATATTTGTACAACTATGTCTATATTTACATATCTATATGTAGAAATATATAAAATATAAATATTTGGATCTTTACAATAATACATTTATACTTACATTTATTTACTTGCATTTATTTTCATATTGGTCTGAAACCTTATTTTTTACATAATATATCATGTATATATTATCTTGTTCTTATTTTCAAACCTATTCTCAAAAGAGCACTTACAATTGTGTCTAGAACATAGTAAGCACTCAATAAATCTTACTTATTATTTTCATTATTATTTCCTCCTTTTTCTAATATATGCATACTGTTCCACTTTATGGATACACTTTTCACTTACTGAGAGGTATTTAACTTGCTTCTAATTTTTTGCTTTTATAAACAGTGCTGCAGTGAGTTTCCCTCTTCTTTCTAGGTGATAGATTTCAAAAACTTGGGTGGCTAGGTTAAAATATATAAACATTAAAAATTTTAAAATACATGCCAAGGCATTACCCACAAAGGCTTATACCATTCTACACTTATACTAACAGTGTCTAGGAATGCCCATTTCCCCCATCGCCATCAGCACTGAGAGTTAGCATCTTTCCCTAGTTCGTTGGCTGTGTGTGTACATGCACATGTGTGTGAGCCTGCACATGTATAATCTGTTCATACTTTACCCATTTTCCTAATGGACTGTAGTTCCTCTTATTATTTTATGAAATATCTCTGCATACTAGTTATATAACTCTTTGTCTACCTTGTATAATACAAATATTCCTCTCAGAATGTCATTTGGTTTGAATATTTTAGGTTAGTTTCCCATGCACATATTTTAAATACATGCATACTCAAATGCTTTTTTCATTGTGGATTTTTAAATTACATTTTGCTTTAGTTGACAATAATTGTATGCATTTATGTGGTACAATGTGATATTTTGATATGTTTCCATTGTGAATGATTAAATCAAGCAAATTCCATCACCTCACATACTTACCGATTTTTTTGTGGTGAGAAGATTTAAAATATAATCTTTAAGCCATTTCAAAATATACAATGCATTGTAATTAATTATAGTCACCATTCCATGCAACAGATTACTACATCTTTTTCCTACTCTCTAACTAAAATTTTGTATCCTTGAATCAACAGCTCCCATTTCCCCAACCACCTCCAACCTTTGGTAATCACCATTCTATTCGCAACTGCTTTGAATTCAACTTTTTTAGATTCCATATATAAGTGAGATCATGTGGCACTGGTCTTTCTGTGCCTGGCTTATTTCACTTAGCATAATGTCCTTCAGGTTCATCCATGTTGCTGCAAATGACAGAATTCCCTTCTTTTTTAAGGCTGAATGATACTCCATTTTGATTGTGTGTGTGTGTGTGTGTGTGTGTGTGTGTGTGTGTATAACATTTTCTTTATCCATTCATCTGTTGTTGGACACTTAGGTTGCTTTCATATTTAGCTATTATGAATAATGCTACAATGAACATGGGAGTGCAGATATTTCTTCAACACACTGATGTCAATTCCTTTGGATATACACCCAGAAATAAGATTGCTGAATCATATGGTAATCCTATTTTTAGTTTTTTGAGGAACCAACATACCTTTTTTCCCTAATGGCTGTATTAATTTACATTCCCACCAACAATGTAGAAGGGTACCCTTTCCTCCACATTCTCTCCAACACTTGTTACCTTTTATCTTTTTGGCAATAGCCATACCAACAGGTGGGAGGTGATAGCTCCCTTTGGTTTGATTTTCATTTCCCTGACAATCAATGATGCTAAGAGTTTTTTCATATATCTGTTGGTCATTTGTATCTTCTTTTGTGAAACGCCTATTTAGGTCCTTCGCTGCTTTTTTCAATTGGGTTGTTTTCTTGCTATTGAGTTGAGTTCCTTACATATTTTGGATATCAGCCCCTTATCAGACATTTGATTTGCAAATGTTTTCTCCCAATCTATGGATTATCTCTTCACTCCATTAACTGTTTCCTTGGCTATGCAGAAGCTTTTTAGTTTGATGTAATCTCACTTGTTTATCTTTGCTGTTGTTGTCTGTGCTTTTGAGGTCATACTGAAGAAATCTCTCAGGCCATGTCATCGACTTTTCTCCATGTTTTCTTCTAGTAATTTTACAGTTTACATCTTATGTTTAAGTCTTTAATTCATTTTGAGTTGGTTTTTTATATGGCATGAGATCTATTTCATTTTTCTGAATGTGGATATCCAATGTTTCCACCACAATTTATTGCAGAGACTGTCCTTTCTCCATGTGTATTCTTGGCACCATTGTTGAAAATCAATTGACTGTAAATGCATTAGTTTATTTCTAGGCTTTCTATTCTGCTCATTGGTGGATGTGTCTTTTTTTATTCCAATATCATGCTGCTTTGATAACTATAGCTTTGTAATAGGTTTTGATGTCAGGTAGTGTGATGCATCTAGTTTTGGTTTTTTGCTCAAAACTGCTTTGGCTACTCAGGGTTTTTTGTGGTTCCATATATACTTTAAGATTATTTTTCTAGATCTGTGAAAAATGACATTGCAGTTTTGACAGGCATTACATTAACTCTGTAGATCACTTTCAGTGGTGTGAGCATTTTAATAATATTAATTCTTCCCACCCATAAACACAGAATATTTCTCTATTTATTTGTATAACTTTTAATTCCTTAATGTTTTATAGTTTTTAGTACACAGATCTTTCACCTGCTTGATTAAATTTATTGTTTTTTTTTTTATGCTACTGTGTATGGGACTGATTTCTTAATTTCCTTTTCAGATAGCTCGTTGTTACTAAAGAAATACTATTGAATTTTGTGTATTGATTTTGTACCCTGAGACTTTACTGAATTTGTTTATCAGTTACAACAGTTTTTGGTGGAGTCTTCAGGGTTTTCTATGCATAAGATCACGTCATAAGCTAACAAACAATTTCACTTCTCCCTTTCCTATTTGGATGCCTTTTCTTTTTCTTGCGTAATTGCTCTGGACAAGGACTATATTGAATAGAAATTGTTTGAGTGAACATCCTCATATTATTTCTGATATTAGAGAGAAAGCTTTCAACTCTTCACTACTGAGTATGATCTTAGTATGGGCTTTTTATATATGGCCTTTATTATGTGTTGAGGTGCATTCTTTCTGTGCCTAATTTTTTTGAGAGCTTTAATCATAAAAGGATGTTGAATTTTGTCAAATGCTTTTTCTGCATCTATTGAGATGATCATACAGTTTTGTCCTTCATTCTGTTAATGTGATATATCACAGTTCTTGATTTGCTTATGTTGAACCATCCTTGTGCATCCCAGGAATAAATCCCACTTGATAATGGTGAATGATTCACTATAGATTCATATTATCCTGGCTTGCTTAGAAAGGGTATAATATTTTCAGGTTTCTCAACAGCATCAGGGTCATCTATATTGGGAGAAGCTGTGTTTTGACAGAAAAAAAAACAGTAATTTGAGATCACACATAGTTGGCTCTCTTGTAAGAACTTTATATTAAATAATGAAGCAGTTACGTAGTAATAACCCACATGCACTTCTATGCCAACCAGAGATTAAATCCATGAATACCACAGACACTAATATATTTATGAGGTTAAGGCACAAGAATCCCTTAAACACGGGAGGCAGAGGTTGCAGTGAGCCAAGACTGTGCCACTGCACTCCAGCCTAGGTGACAGAGTGAGACTCTGTATCAAAAAAAAAAAAAAAAGCAAATTAAAAGAGCAAATCATAAATGAAACAATTTGCCATGTATGGGAGTTTTGACAGTCACTAATGCTGTTCACAAATATCTCTGGCTTTTCTCTACTCCTGGCAATGATAGGATGGCAATTCCCTCCCCTCAATGGCATCATATGTGGCTATGTGAATTGCTCTGATCAAGGATATATGACCAGAAATGATATGTGCCGAAGACTTATGAGCTGCTACAAGACTCACCATGCTCTCCTTTTTCCTCTGCCACAGTGACAGGCAATACCCTAAGTGGTGGGCTGCTCCCAGAACCTAGACCCAGCAGTGAGGATAACACAGAGAGAGCCTCCAGCACAACCACAATGATATGTATCATAAGCAAGAAAGAAATTTTTGATGTTTTAAGACATTGATACTTGGAGATTGTTACTGCAAAAATCTCAGCATCCTGACTGATACTAATACAGAGTAATTTATTCATAAATATTTATTGAGCACATTCTTCGTGTCAGGCACTATGCTAAGTGGTATGAATAGAATAATGTTTAAAAATCAATCTCTGACCTTAGGCATTTACAAGCTAGTGGGTAGGACAGAGAAGTGATAAAATATACAATTGTAATTAGTGTGATAAGTGTGATAAAGTGCTGTAATTGGGACAAGCATTTAGTGCAAAGGACCCTAAAGAATGAGTTCCTCAAGGAGGTTACTCTAAATTGAGAATCACAGAACAAATAATTTTTTTTCCCAAAATAACTGATCTCTCAATTAGGCCAAAGTAGGTAAAATATAGTGCTGTTTTAGATACTCTATAAATAAAGTGATAATAAATAATCAAAATATACTCTTCAGCTGGTCCAAATTCAAGAGACCCTACAGAGAACTGCCAAGTGTACTAGTCTGCTACAGCTCCCATGACATAGCATCACAGCCTGGGCAGCTTAAACAGCAGAAATGTATTTCCTCTAGTTTTGGAGGCTAGAAGTCCAAGATCAAGATATCAGCTACATTAGTTTTTCCTGAGGGCTTGTCTCCTTGGCTTATCGATGGCCATCTTCTCCTGTCTAGAAGAACATCTTCACATGGTCTTCCCTCTGTGTACGTCTGTGTCCTCATTTCCTCTTCTCATTAGGACACCAGTCATATTGGATTAGTGCCCACCCTGATGGTCTCATTTAAACTCAGTTGCCTCTTTAAAGATGGGTTCTCAAAATACAGTCACATTCTGAGGTAGAGGGAGTTACGAATTCAACATATAATTTGGGGACAAAGGGCATAGACAGAATTCAGCCTCCAGAACCAAAGCTGGCCACAAACTAAATGCAGGATGCAAAGGGGGAAAGGAGCACCAAATCACAGCAAAGCTGAAGCCCTGAGATCTTGTAAAGATGGTGAGTCTGGGTAGTCAGAAAGGGTGCCTATTTGGTAAGGAAGACAAACTGAACCTTATTTTCAAGCCACAAAACCTCAGTTGGGAGCAGGACATTCCACTAGCGATATCCTGAAGGCAAATCAAGAGAGGATGCAAAGGTAGAGTGAAATATCCTAAATTTGAAGTCCACTTATTTTATAACTAATCAAGACAAGTTAATTATCCCAAGAAAAATAGTCTTAGACACTTAGAATATAGTGTATATATTTTCTGGAGCTGCAAACAAATACCGTAGTTGAAGAACCAAAATCAAGTTATGATAAACAATTAGCCAGATACAAATAATATATGTGATTGTTTACAATAAGAAGAAAGTAAATGAGTAATCCAAGAAATCAAAAGGGCAGTTTTGAAGCCACAGAGACAATTATTTTATAATAACTACGAATTCCAATGTGTAAATTTTACATGGAAATGATACCTAAACTGAGTAAATCATACCGTCAAATAAACTGAACAGAGAAACAAAAGAATATTTTCCTGAATATAAAAATCCTACCACATTTCAAAAGCAATATAAAAACAGATATCTAATCTATAAAGTGTTGGTGAATAATAACTCCGAGGAGAATGCATTAGATGGCTTGACATAACTTATTAATAAAGCCCTTCAAGTGCTACAAATAGCCATTATTTATAATATTTTCATGAATATCCCTGTAACTAGGAGGAAGCTTCTTGTTTAAAATGATAATAAATCTGAAATGAGTGCTACCTCATTCTTCTTCAAGTAGGAATCTATAAACAAAAATCATAAAGAAAAGGTTGTATATTTTGCTTTAAGATCCTAGAATTATTAAGTTTAAGGGCAGATTATAATTGAATTGAGCACAGGCAACTTTAAACTTAGTAAAGCTTTCTTCTTGGCTCGAGTTAGGGCAGAACACAGATACAGTTTATATTAAAAGATCAATTTCTTTGAGTTATATGCCATTGCCTCCTGTATACTGGATAACATGGTATTTAAGAAAATTCCGAGATAAACAAAATCCACAAGAAGAGAAGAAAAATTGTGTGGTGAAGAAAGTATTAAATTAGAAGTCAGGTAACCTGAATTCAAGCCCAGGCCCTCTACCATTTACTCTCTGTGATCAGTATAATCCATCATCCTTGGACAGATTCTTTACTTCTATAATGGGGATTTTAAAAAACTACCACACAGAGTTACAGTGAAGTCTAAATAAGATAATGCATGTTAAAATATTTTGAAAACTTTCAGTTTTAATGATACAAGATATCAGTTATTAATTGTTCAAAATTACTGACAATCTGAACACCATAAAAGATGGGTTGTCATGGTTAATACAACAGACAAGAATACTGCCTGACATTCCAGTTGCAGGTGTTTCAATACCACACACAATTCAGAGAAAGGTACAATTCAGAGCAAGGTACAATTCAGAGCAAGGTACACAAAGCCCATTGAAATTCTGAAATTTCCATAACCAAATTCTATAGTAGACTGTGCTCCTAGCTATAGAAAAGCTCATATTATTAGGCAGATATTGACCGGAAAACATTTAAATATTGATAATTAAACCCAAACTGTGAATTGGGTCATCCAAGGCGACAATATTTTTTAAATCTCTATTCAACTAATTAATTAAATGAATTGCCTCAGAGTTCCCTTTGCTATGAAGTGTTTCTCAAAAGGTAATATGCTTATGAATCACCTGGGGATCTTTTAAAAACACAGATTCAGATGTAATAGGTCTGGGGTAGTGCCTAACATTCTACATTCCTAACAAGCTTCCAGATAATGGTAAAAACTGCTCTCTATAAAGACATAGTTTTAGAGGAATAATCAAGACACAATCTCATCCAAAGAAACTGATATTTATTGATTAATGTTAAGGTTATAGTGATAAATGTAGGTGTTTAACCATTTGTGCCCTCAAAAATATTCAAGGAAGGATATTCTTCTATCTTTAAGACAAAAAACTCTCAGCCTTCAAACAAGACTCTGTTTAGCACCTGAGGAGATCCAGAGTTAATATAAGAAAAGTTTTCCTTACTTCTGTGCCCAAATGCAGCAACGTGGGGTAGCCCTTCACTAACCTTTGAATATAAATTAGGCTCTGACCAGCAACTTCACTGTCCATGCTCCATGTATAGAGTATATTGATCTTCTTTCAGTCAACGGCAAAGTGCCCTTTTATCAGACACTGGCTATCCATCTAAATGGGAAATTATCTGCCTGATGATTCCTGTCCAAAACCCAGTGCAGACAACTGCTATTCTACAGGGAAAATCTAAGTAGATTTCAAATTTCGTTTAGTAATAAACCCTCTTGTCAAATAAAATTCTGCACTCAACTCTAATACATAAAATAGTGTTTTATTAATATAAGTTTAGTTCACATTTAAAGAAAATGACGTTGTTCAGATGGACTCCTCAAATCTTTACATTAGTGGTTATAGTTGTCAGCTGTGGCCACACCAGCCTTACTATCCAATCTGTCTTCGTATTTTGTTGTTGTGGCAAATATTAAAATAATCCTAAATCACACAAGAAATTAATCTCAAATAATAGCAGCTGTCATACTGCATCCTCAGAATTGTCATCACTAAAATAGAGATGTCGGTAACATATTTTATAACAGTTGCTTTTTTAAAGTGGTTTAAAATATTGTTTAAAAAATATTTAAACCATGTGGTACATATACACCATGGAGTACTATGCAGCCGGAAAAAGAATGAAACCTGATCCTTTGCAGCCACATGGATGTACCTGGTGGTCATTATCCTAAGCAAACTAATGTAGAAACAGAAAGCCAAATACTGCTTGTTCTCTTATAAGTGGGAGCTAAACATTGGGTACACATGGACATAAAGATGGGAACAATAGACAGTGAGGACTACAAGAGGGGGAAGGGTGCGGGGGACAAAGGCTTAAAAATTACCTACTCAGTATCATGCTCACTAGCTGGGTGATGGGTTCAACTGTACTCCAAACTTCAGCATCACACATTATACTCTTGTAACAAACCTGCACATGTACCCCTGAATCTAAAAGTTGAAAAAAAGAATGAATAAATGAATTAAAACAAATTTAAAGCAAATTAAAATTAAACATTTGTAGAGACCCTCTTTTGTCCTGCCATCTACAGAACCCAGTTTGAAACGCTGATCTAAAAGATATCATAACTTCCTCGCTGTGGTTACCTTAGTTGGTGTTACCCTGTATTAAGCCACTTCATCAGAAAGCTACACACTTGGAACATATTGTTCTGTAGAACACCATATATATAACTAAGATTTAGCTTTCTACTTTCCAAATTAATCAAAGGATAACAAGAAATGCTATATGTAAAACATATTTTTACAAAATTTATAGTAATGACATAGCCAACCCAAGCTACAAGACGACTGGAAAATGTAGTCTCTAGTTGAGAGGTCTGATGGCTGCTAAAACTCAAGGAGTTCTATTTCTAAATGAAGAAAAGAAAAAAAAATGACTATTTGAAGACAATTAACAATCTCTACCATGAGGTTATATGTTTTCCCCAAAAATTCTCCATTTGTCCCAAAAAATGGCATTTACACCCGTCTTAACTAAATAAAGATCTAATGCAGGATCCTGCATTGTTGTGATCCCTTAAGGTTGAATATTTATGTTGGCATAATAGTCACCTCGATTGGTGATGAATGAATGTTTTTCTCACTTTGGTTTTTATACTGATGCATAACAGATGTACATATTTTCAGGGTACATGTGATATTTTGATACATTCGTATGTGTAAAGATCAAATCAGGGTAATTAGGATACCCAACACCGTAAATATTTATCTTTTCTTTGTGTGAAGAACATTCAAATTATTCTCTTCCAGCTATTTTGAAATGCATAATAGTTTATTGTTAACTACAGTTATCCCACGAATCTAATACTAGGTCTTATTTCTTCCATCTAACTGTATGTTTGTACTCATTAATCAATCTCTCTTTATCCCCACTCCTCCTCCTTATCCTTCCCAGCCTCTAGTAACCACCAATCACTTTAGCTTGCTTTTTTTTATTTCTAATATAATTATGGACTCAAGATTTTCACATATTTGATATGTTTTAATATAGTACAATCATTATTTTTTGAGGCTCAAATTTAATGCTCATATTAAAATAACTGACCAGCAGGAATCCCTTTCACCTGGTTCCTGTGTCCTTTGTTAAAATTGTGGTAAAATAACATAACATAAAATTTGCCATTTTGGCCAGGTGGGGTGGCTCATGCCTGTAAATCCCAGCACTTTGGGAGGCAGAAGTGGTCGGATGACTTGAAGTCAGGAGTTGAAGACCAACCTGGCCAACATGGTGAAACCCCATCTCTACTAAAACTATAAAAATTAGCTGGGCACGGTGACACACGCCTGTAATCCCAGCTGAGGCTGAGGCAGAAAAGCTTGAACCTGGGAGGCAGAGGTTGCAGCGAGCCAAGATCGCGCCACTGCACCCTAGTCTGGGCGACAGAGCAAGACTGTCTCAAAACAAACAAAAATAATGCCATTTTAACCATTTGTAAGTGTACAATTAAGTGGCATTAAGTACATTCATGCTGATGTGCTGCCATGACTACTATCCAACTCCAGAACTTTGTGCCCTTTTAAGTCAACCTCATTATTCCTTGAAAGATTCCCTGCATATGAGATGTTGAACACTTACCTTTCACCTTCTTTACCCGAGTCTTCAAATCATCTATTTCTCTGAGAAGCCCTGATTTATTTTAATGAGTAATGGTATTAGACATTGTATCAGTCATATTGTCACAATAATGCAATAAAACAAATTACACAATTTCAGCAGCATGAAATGATAAGCATATAATGCTAACACATTTAGAGTCACCTAGGAGTAGACCAAATGGTTCTGCTGATCTTTGCCCAACACTTTCATATATTTTGGTGTTAGATGACCGTCTGGCAACTTAGAATAGCTTTGGCTGGTACAGATGAGGAGACTCAATTTAGCTCCACTTTTTTTTTAACATCCCACTGACTAGCCTGAGTATGTTCTCATGGTTGAGGCACAAGACCAAGCAAGTCCAATTTCCCAATTGCTTTATTTTATTGTGGTAAAAACATGAACATAAAAGTCACCATTTCAACCATTCCAAAGTGTACAACTGACTGGCATTTAGTAATACCACAATGTCAGACAATCATTACTACTATCTCTAGTTCCAGAACATTTTCATCACTGCAAAAAGAAATCTCATACCCATTAAGCAGTAATTCCTCATTTTCTCCTCTCCCTCAGTCCCTGGTATTTTTTTTCTTTTTTTTTTCCACATTAACAAAAAAAAGGTCTTGCTCTGTCACCCACGCTGGAGTGCAGTGGCACAATCTTGGCTCACTGCAGCCTCAATCTCCAGGGCTCAAGCAATTCTCCTGCCTCAACCTCCCGAGCAGCTGGGACTACATGAATGCACCAACATGCCCAGCTAATTTTTGTATTTTAATAGGGACGGGGTTTCGCCACGTGGCCCAGGCTGGTCTTGAACTTCTGGGCTCAAGCGATCCACCTGCTTTGGCCTCCCAAAGTTCTGGGATTACAGGTGTGAGCCACTGTGCCCAGCCACTCCCTGGTAATTAACTAACCTGCTTTCTGTCTCTATTTTGGCTATTCTGGATATCTCATGTAAATGGAACTATGCAATACGTGGCCTTTTGTATCTGGCTTCTTTCACTTGGCGTAATGTCTTCAAGGCTCAGCCATGTTGTAGCATGTATCAGTACTTCATTCCTTTTCATGGCTGAATAATATTCTGTCTCATAGAAGATACCCATTTTATTTATCCATTCATCAGTTGATGGACATTTGGACTGTTTCCATCTTTTGACTGTTATGAATAGTACCTCTATGAACATCTGTGTACAAGTTTTTTACATCTGTTTTCAGTTCTTTCAGTTATATATACCTAGAAGTCATATGGTAATTCTATGTTTAACATTTTAAACATCTGAGAAACTGTTTTCCAAGCAGCCACATGGTTTTACATTCACACTTACATTCACACTAGCAATGTGTGGTGTGAAGTGGTATCTTATGCTTTTGATGTGCATTTTCCTAATGACTTATGATGTTGAGCATTTTTTCACATGCTCATGTGCCATTGGTATAACTTTTTTGGAAAAATCTCTACCAAGTCCTTTGCCCATTTTTTTTAATTTGGTTATTTGTCTTTTTGTTAAGTTGTAAAAAATGTTTATATATTAGATTGAAAGTCTTTTATCATATATGTGATTTGCAAATATTTTCTTCCATTTGGTAGTTTGTCTTTTCAGTCTCTTGATAGAATCCTTTAGTGCACAAAAGTTTTTAAATTTGATGAAATCCAATATACCTTTTTTCATGGCTTGTGCTTCTGCTATCATATCTAAGAAACCATTGCCCCCACCCCCAGAATTACAAATCACAGATCTCATGAAGGATGTGTCTCTAGAATATGCTAGAACTGCACTTGCTGTCTCTCTCATCAAGAGGTAGGGTCGATTTCCATCACCTTGAAACTGGGTAACTTGCTTTGACCAATAAAATATGGTAAAAAATGATGCTGTACTAGCTTGCAGCTTTGCTCTTAAAAAATACTACCAAAAGAGAAAGGCCACATGGAGGATAACTGAGTTACCCCAACCAATAGTCAACACTGCAGTCCCAGACATGAGACAGGGGCAGATGATCTTGCATGCTAGACCATCTGCCAAGTGAACAAACCTACCTAAGGAACCCCAGCCAACACAACATGCAGCAGAAGAACCACTCAGAAGCCTCCTAGAATCACATGAAATAAAAAACCGTTGTTATTTTGAGTAGTGTAGATGAAATATTAGTAAGATCTACCAGTGATCTTAGATTAAATTAATGCACCATCCACTTACATGTTGACAGAAGTTCTAAAAAGGGAAAGTCATGAGATTCCTAAAGAAATGGCAAATATTCCTTGATGTTTTGACTTTCTGGAGTCCTACATGCAAAAGCAGGGGAAAATATGCATACAAAAGTTTTCCCAACACTCTATTTGGCTCATTTAAAATTACTCAAATTTACTTTTATTCACTTTACTAAAATTACTTCAAATTTACTCAAACTTACTTTTAAAAATTAATTACAAACAACAAACTTCTCTCAAAATGAAAAAGGGTTTTTAGATATAACTTGGAATTGAGTTAAAACTGCAATCAGATATGAAATTCACAGATGCAAGAGATTTAAATCGATTAGAGAAGCTGTGGCTTTATGAAAGTCTCTTTAAGAGACGTCTCCAAGGCATATAATGATAAAAGTTAATAGAAATCTCCAACATGGTTTTCAAAAAGAGTATTATTTAAAACCATTAGTATTAAACTTTAAAGCTCTATAGTACCAAGTTATTTTGACTTATGGGAAGCAATCTAAAAATATGAATGCACCTAAAGAATTTCAAAAATTATAGCTAGGAAGTCTTCCAAAGACCAAAAAAAAAAGGGGGGGTGGGGTGGGGTGGGCATTATAAGATTTCTCAACAGAATTTTATTTGAAAGTTAATGTCACTTCAAAATCACTTCTCTGCATGACTGAAAAGTGAAAAGACTGCACTTCATGTTAATATTCTTCAAAGCATTGTTTTAAATTCTATTTTTCTGTGCTAAGAAAGACAATTAATGCTAAGCCACAGTAAAGTGTTATGTTCCAATTGTACAGATTTGTTACTTGCAACGTGTCAGAGGGAAAGAGAAAAGGGGCTATTGAAATCTAATGAAAAACTGCAGTGCCTAATAGAAAGAGTTTTTCAAAATGTTATCGGTGAGCCCACAAACTAAAAGTTCCCTGTCTCTAATTTGTTTCGTTCTTAAATTACTTTTAAACTCTAGACTTGAGAAGAAATAGAATCAAACCCCGAACTTTCAAAACTTTTATAAAATATCAGTGAATATCTTCATATGGCATCCCTCAAGGATTCCTCATTCTATATATTGTATTTTCAAAAAGTCAAGTAAACAACAAGCACTGTCTTTAAAATAACTTAAAAGAAAGCAAGTGTGCACTACTGCTTCCTGGTACAGAGTTATCTATTAACTTCCTGTGCCAGAAACCACCTCAAAGATCTTCAGAAAAGAAAACCAAGAGGTTATATATGCCTCAATATCATCTATTATTGTCAGGTTTCTTCTGTAACAACTCTCTTTAAATCAAAAGAAAAACACAAAGCCAAAAAACATTAAAACTACTTAATATAATTTCAGTTTCTTCAACAGCTTTATCAGCAAACAATTAAATATAATTTGAGTTATTTTTAATACGAAATATTTTAAAGTATAATGAAATGTTTAAATGAAAAATATTTAAGTATATCAAAATATTTCCCCAGAAATTTTGAATAGACTGAAGTAGCATGGAATCTTCAAAATATACAATCTTTGCTCTTGTTGCTGTGGTAGAAATGATGTCACACCCATTTTTTCCATCCATTATTAGATGTCAAAAACATTATAAATCCACTGATTCAAAGCACTTTCCTAAACACAGAAGGAAAAAATTCTTATATTCAAATTAAAAGGACATTTATTATAAAATACTAATGGATGAAATTTTTTTTCCTATATTAGCCAGTCTAAAAAGAAATGTGAGACCCATGGATGGGGACTGAAGAGGGCCCATACTGGCTAATGTTCATTCCTTGGGCAGTTTGGAATAATAGAAGGAGCATAGCCTTTGGAGGCACTAAGTCTGGGCTCAGGTCTTGGCTCTGCCAAGTCTTGTACCATGTGATCTGGGACAAGAACACTTAGGTCCCTGCACCTCAATCTCTTCATCTTTAAAATGAGGCAATACTACCATCAGTTTCAGTAGGTTCTTAGGATTACTATAAAAATGACTATAATATTACTATAGTAATTCATTTAATTTACTTTAATTCCCATAATAATTAAAGGATCAAACTAAAATACAGGACAGGACATCAATGACATAATATTTGGAAGGTAGGTGATCAGAATTAAATTGTTCTAAAGCCTTTCTATCATTTGGAGAAAAGGTTAAGATATTTAGATTTTGTTAAGCATGTATGGTAAAATTTCAAGAGTTTTCACACAGATTGAGGGAAAAAATAAGAAGAAAATAAATTAACAAATAAAAAATGCATTCAATAAAAAAGGAGAAAAACAACTAAAATATTTAAAACAGAGCAAAATGTGGATAAATACCACAAGTTCAGATATTTCATTGGTCATAATGGGGTAAGTAGTTTAGATTTGCCATGTAAAAAAAAAAAGAGATGGATTCAATATTAAAAAAAAAAAAATCACCTTTGTGCCTCAGGCACATATAAGCAAAAGGAAAGTGAGGTTAGTGATAGACTTTAGGACAAAAAGTATCATTAGAGATGGAATAATTACACAGTGGTAAAGTTTTTATTTACTTATAAGATTTAAGAATTCCAAGTTTATAGGTAATTCATCTAATAGCCTCAAAATGTAGAAAGCAAAAATAAACAGAGTTACAATAGCCAGAATAGGTCCTGAGTGACTGCAGAGTTGCCACATGGTCAGATTACATTTCTGGACAGAAAACATATAAGTTAACAATTTTAAATACAATAAGTATATAGTGGTTCAACAAAATAAACATTTTTAAGCACTTCAAACAAGGTAGGTGGACTCAGATGCTGGAGATACAGTGATAAAAAGTTAGCTTCTATAGGAGTTCATGATCTATCTTGAACACATGTAATACATTATAATGTGACAAGGAAAGTATAGCAATAAAAGTATGCTCAAATTGTTATAGGATTAAGAGATGAGTTGACTTTGTCTAAATCAAAGATTTTCGGGGGGTGGAGCTAAGATGGCCGAATAGGAATAGCTCCAGTCTACAGCTCCCAGTGTGAGCGACGCAGAAGACGGGTGATTTCTGCATTTCCAACTGAGGTACCAGGTTCATCTCACTGGGGAGTGTCAGACAGGGGGTGCAGGACAGTGGGTGCAGTGCACCGAGCGCGAGCTGAAGCAGGGTGAGGCATCGCCTCACCTGGGAAGCACAAGTGGTCAGGGAATTCCCTTTCCTAGTCAAAGAAAGGGGTGACAGACGACACCTGGAAAATCGGGTCACTCCCACCCTAATACCGCACTTTTCCAACAGTCTTAGCAAACGGCACACCAGAAGAGTATATCCCACACCTGGCTCGGAGGGTCCTAGGCCCACGGAGCCTCGCTCATTGCTAGAACAGCAGTCTGAGATCTAACTGCAAGTCGGCAGTGAGGCTGGGGGAGGGGCGCCTGCCATTGCCGAGGCTTGAGTAGGTAAACAAAGCAGCCAGGAAGCTCGAACTGGGTGGAGCCCAATGCAGCTCAAGGAGGCCTGCCTGCCTCCGCAGACTCCACCTCTGGGGGCAGGGCATAGCCAAACAAAAGGCAGCAGAAACCTCTGCAGACTTAAACGTCCCTGTCTGACAGCTTGGAAGACAGTAGTGGTTCTCCCAGCACACAGCTGGAGATCTGAGAATGGACAGACTGCCTCCTCAAATGGGTCCCTGACCCCAAAGAGCCTAACTGGGAGGCACCCCCAAGTAGGGGCAGACTGACACCTCACAGTACCCTCAGAGGGTACTCCTCTGAGACAAAACTTCCAGAGGAACAATCAGGCAGCAACATTTGCTGTTCACCAACATCTACTGTTCTGCAGCCTCCGCTGCTGATACCCAGGCAAACAGGGTCTGGAGTGGAATTCCAGCAAACTCCAACAGACCTGCAGCTGAGGGTCCTGACTGTTAGAAGGAAAACTAACAACCAGAAAGGACATACACACCAAAAACCCATCTGTAAATCACCATCATCAAAGACCAAAGGTAGATAAAACCACAAAGATGGGGAAAAAAACAGAGCAGAAAAACTGGAAACTCTAAAAATCAGAGTGCCTCTCCTCTTCCAAAGGAACACAGCTCTTCACCAGCAATGGAACAAAGCTGGACAGAGAATGACTTTGACAAGTTGAGAAAAGAAGGCTTCAGACGATCAAACTACTCCAAGCTAAAGGAGGAAGTTCAAACCCATGGCAAAGAAGTTAAAAACCTTAAAAACAAATTAGACAAATGGCTAACTAGAATTACCAGTGCAGAGAAGTCCTTAAAGGACCTGATGGAGCTGAAAACCATGGCACGAGAACTACGTGACGAATGCACAAGCCTCAGCAGCCAATTCAGTCAACTGGAAGAAAGGGTATCAGGGATGGAAGATCAAACGAATGAAACGAAGTGAGAAGAGAAGTTTAGAGAAAAAAGAATAAAAAGAAATGAACAAAGCCTCCAAGAAATATGGGACTATGTAAAAAGACCAAATCTACGTCTGATCGGTGTACCTGAAAGTGACAGGGAGAATGGAACCAAGTGGAAAACACTCTGCAGGATATTATCCAGGAGAACTTCCCCAATCTAGCAAGGCAGGCCAATATTCAGATTCAGGAAATACAGAGAATGCCACAAAGATACTCCTCGAGAAGAGCAACTCCAAGACACATAATTGTCAGATTCACCAAAGTTGAAATGAAGGAAAAAATGTTAAGGGCAGCCAGAGAAAAAGGTCGGGTTACCCAAAAAGGGAAGCCCATCAGACTAACAGCGGATCTCTCAGCAGAAACTCTACAAGCAAGTGGGGGCCAATATTCAACATTCTTAAAGAAAAGAATTTTCAACCCAGAATTTCATATCCAGCCAAACTGAGCTTCATAAGTGAAGGAGAAATAAAATACTTTACAGACAAGCAAATGCTGAGAGATTTTGTCACCACCAGGCGTGCCCTAAAAGAGCTCCTGAAGGAAGCACTACACATGGAAAGGAGCAACTGGTACCAGCCACTGCAAAAACATGCCTAACTGTAATGACCATCGAGGCTAGGAAGAAACTGCATCAACTAACGAGCAAAATAACCAGCTAACATCATAATGACATGGATCAAATTCACACATAACAATATTAACCTTAAATGTAAATGGGTAAATGCTCCAATTAAAAGACACAGACTGGCAAATTGGATAAAGAGTCAAGACCCATCAGTGTGCTGTATTCAGGAAACCCATCTCATGTGCAGAGACACACATAGGCTCAAAATAAAAGGATGGAGGAAGATCTACCAAGCAAATGGAAAACAAAAAAAGGCAGAGGCAGCAATCCTAGTCTTGGATAAAACAGATTTTAAACCAACAAAGATCAAAGGAGACAAACAAGGCCATTACATAATGGTAAAAGGATCAATTCAACAAGGACAGCTAACTATCCTAAATATATATGCACCCAACACAGGAGCATCCAGATTGATAAAGCAAGTCCTTAGAGACCTACAAAGGGACTTAGACTCCCACACAATAATAATGGGAGACTTTAACACCCGACTGTCAACATTAGACAGATCAACAAGACAGAGACTTAACAAGGATATCCAGGAATTGAACTCAGCTCTGCACCAAGTGGACCTAATAGACATCTACAGAATTCTCCACACCAAATCAACAGAATATACATTCTTTTCAGCACCACACCACACCTATTCCAAAATTGACCACACAGTTGGAAGTAAAGCACTCCTCAGCAAAGGTAAAAGAACAGAAATTATAACAAACCGTCTCTCAGACCACAGTGCAATCAAACTAGAACTCAGGATTAAGGAACTCACTCAAAACCGCTCAACTACATGGAAACTGAACAACCTGCTCCTGAATGACTACTGGGTACGAATGAAATGAAGGCAGAAATAAAGATGTTCTTTGAAACCAATGACAACAAAACACAACATACCAGAATCTCTGGGACACATTCAAAGCAGTGTGTAGAGGGAAATTTATAGCACTAAATATCCAGAAGAGAAAGCAGGAAAGGTCTAAAATTGACACCCTAACATCACAATTCAAAGAACTAGAGAAGCAAGAGCAAACACATTCAAAAGCTAGCAGAAGGCAAGAAATAACTAAGATCAGAGCAGAACTGAAGGAAAGGGAGACACAAAAATCCCTTCAAAAAATCAGTGAATCCAGGAGCTGGTTTTTTGAAAAGATCAACAACATTGATACACCGCTAGCAAGACTAATAAAGAAGAAAAGAGAGAAGAATCAAATAGACACAATAAAAAATGATAAAGGGGATATCACCACTGATCCCACAGAAATACAAACTACCATCAGACAATACTATAAACACCTCTATGCAAATAAACAAGAAAATCTAGAAGAAATGAATAAATTCCTGGACACATACACCCTCCCAAGACTAAACTGGGAAGAAGCTGAATCTCTGAATAGACCAATAACAGGCTCTGAATTTGAGGCAATAATTAACAGCTTACCAATCAAAAAAAGTCCAGGACCAGATGGATTCACAGCCAAATTCTACCAGAGCTACAAGGAGGAGCTGGTACCATTCCTTCTGAAACTATTCCAATCCATAGAAAAAGAGGGAATCCTCCCTAACTCATTCTATGAGGCCAGCATCATCCTGATACCAAAGCCTGGCAGAGACACAACAAAAAAAGATAATTTTAGACCAATATCCCTGATGAACATCGATGCAAAAATCCTCAATAAAATACTGG
Source organism: Homo sapiens (assembly GCF_000001405.40). Lineage (NCBI taxonomy): Eukaryota > Metazoa > Chordata > Mammalia > Primates > Hominidae > Homo > Homo sapiens. The sequence continues at coordinate 39,635,930 of NC_000014.9, read as the reverse complement.
CAAACAAAATCCAGCAGCACAGCAAAAAGCTTATCCACCATAACCAAGTGGGCTTCATCCCTGGGATGCAAGGCTGGTTCAACACATGCAAATCAATAAATATAATCCAGCATATAAACAGAACCAAAGACAAAAACCACATGATTATCTCAATAGATGCAGAAAAGGCCTTTGACAAAATTCAACAACCTTCATGCTAAAAACTCTCAATAAATTAGGTATTGATGGGACGTATCTCAAAATAATAAGAGCTATCTATGACAAACCCACAGCCAGTATCATACTGAATGGGCAAAAACTGGAAGCATTCCCTTTGAAAACTGGCACAAGACAGGGATGCCCTCTCTCACCTATTCAACATAGTGTTGGAAGTTCTGGCCAGGGCAATCAGGCAGGAGAAGGAAATAAAGGGTATTCAATTAGGAAAAGAGGAAGTCAAATTGTCCCTGTTTGCAGATGACATGATTGTATATCTAGAAATCCCCATTGTCTCAGCCCAAAATCTCCTTAAGCTGATAAGCAACTTCAGCAAAGTCTCAGGATACAAAATCGATGTGCAAAAATCACAAGCATTCTTATACACCAATAACAGACAAACAGAGAGCCAAATCATGAGTGAACTTCCATTCACAATTGCTTCAAAGACAATAAAATACTTAGGAATCCAACTTACAAGAGACGAGAAGGACCTCTTCAAGGAGAATTACAAACCACTGCTCAATGAAATAAAAAAGGATACAAACAAATGAAAGAACATTCCATGCTCATGGGTAGGAAGAATCAATATCGTGAAAATGGCCATACTGCCCAAGGTAATTTATAGATTCAATGCCATCCCCATCAAGCTACCAATGACTTTCTTCACAGAATTGGAAAATCTACTTTAAAGTTCATATGGAACCAAAAAAGAGCCCACATTGCCAAGTCAATCCTAAGCCAAAAGAATAAAGCTGGAGGCATCATGCTACCTGACTTCAAACTATACTACAAGGCTACAGTAACCAAAACAGCATGGTACTGGTACCAAAACAGAGATATAGACCAATGGAACAGAACAGAGCACTCAGAAATAATGCATATCTACAACTATCTGACCTTGACACACCTGACAAAAACAAGAAATGGGGAAAGGATTCCCTATTTAATAAATGGTGCTGGCAAAACTGGCTAGCCATATGTAGAAAGCTGAAACTGGATCCCTTCCTTATACCTTATACAAAAATTAATTCAAGATGGATTAAAGACTTAAATGTTAGACCTAAAACCATAAAAACCCTAGAAGAAAACCTGGGCAATACCATTCAGGACACAGGCATGGGCAACGACTTCATGACTATAACACCAAAAGCAATGGCAACAAAAGCCAAAATTGACAAATGGGATCTAATTAAACAAAAGAGCTTCTGCACAGCAAAAGAAACTACCATCAGAGTGAACAGGCAACGCACAAAATGGGAGAAAATTTTTGCAATCTACTAATCTGACAAAGGGCTAATATCCAGAATCTACAATGAACTCAAACAAATTTACAAGAAAAAAACAAACAACCCCATCAAAAAGTGGGCAAAGGATACGAACAGACACTTCTCAAAAGAAGACATTTATGCAGCCAACAGACACATGAAAAAATGCTCACCATCACTGGCCATCAGAGAAATGCAAATCAAAACCACAATGGGATACCATCTCACACCAGTTAGAATGGTGATCATTAAAAAGTCAGGAAACAACAGGTGCTGGAGAGGATATGGAGAAACAGGAACACTTTTACACTGCTGGTGGGACTGTAAACTAGTTCAACCATTGTGGAAGTCAGTGTGTCGATTCCTCAGGGATCTAGAACTAGAAATACCATTTGACCCAGCCATCCCATTACTGGGTATATACCCAAAGGATTATAAAACATGCTGCTATAAAGACACACGCACACATATGTTTATTGCGGCACTATTCACAATAGCAAAGATTTGGAACCAACCCAAATGTCCAACAATGATAGACTGGATTAAGAAAATGTGGCACATATACACCATGGAATACTATGCAGCCATAAAAAATGATGAGTTCATGTCCTTTGTAGGGACATGGATGAAGCTGGAAACCATCATTCTCAGCAAACTATCACAAGGCCAGAAAACCAAACACCGCATGTTCTCACTCATAGGTGGGAATTGAACAATGAGATCACATGGACACAGGAAGGGGAACATCACACACAGGGGCCTGTTGTGGAGTGAGGGGAGGGGGGAGGGATAGCATTAGGAGATATACCTAATGTTAAATGACGAGTTAATGGGTGCAGCACACCAGCGTGGTACATGTATACATATGTAACAAACCTGCACATTGTGCACATGTACCCTAAAACTTAAAGTATAATAAAAAAAAATTAAATTAAAATTTAAAAAAAGATTTTGAATGATAATTTTGTCAAGATAAAACCTTTCATGATTCACTTACCCCTCTTACATTTCTATATTATTTCCTGCAAATTTTTTATCAACCCAAATGCCTAAGTATAGGTGAAGAGCAAAGATAACTTTGATCTGGATTAGAAGTTCTCAAACCACTGTTTAAGCGTGCTCTATAAAAAATTTTATATTTTTTGTTTATATTTAGATAAAAATCTAAAGGAATTAATATAAACATATTTTCAATAATCCATTACCATCTTTTAATTTAGTATCACTGGGTAAATTATTCCCAAGTGAGGACCAAATTCATTTCCTGTATTCATGAAAGACTCACCATAGTTCAAATAGAGAAAAGTCACAGAATAACTGAATACTCACACCCTACAAGGTAGAATAATAATGCAGAACTCAAAAATGCACACTAATAGCACCATGTTAATGTTTTAAAAAATTGCTTCATTTAGCAAAGCAGCATCATTGATTGTTAATGTGAATGGTATTAGTGTCACAGATTTTTTGTATTTTTATTGTTAATTTATCATGGTTTAACAGTTGCCTAGATCCTACAACAAAGGAGTGGAAACCTAGTTTAGTATTAGCATATTTCTGCATTACATTCTTAATAAAATACTACTTCAACACTGAGGATGTCCGTGAACATTTTGGAAAGTATCTATACATTGTTTAAATTGGAAAATATACATGTGAGATATAATATTAAGCAGCTTTCTAAAGGACAAGTTTGTGATTTGTATCAATTCACAGAAATGCACTTTTGAAATAACATTAAGGAAAAATAACAGAAATATTGTGTCATCATCCCTTGTTTGTCTAATGAGTGCTTGTGTGACAAAGGGTTAGTGTTATTAATACAATAAGAGCTCTTATAAATCAGCAAGAAAAATAAATATCAAGTAAGAAGACTCAGCAAATTACACAAAGAATGTATGAAAGAAGAAATACATATAACCAAAATCATGTAACAAATCTCAACCTCCTTACTAATCAAAGAAATAAAAACTCCAACAATAAAATAATCATTTTTCATCAAATACTCTATAAACTATTTTGGGTACTTTTTAATGACAATTTCCTATGTTGTCAAGATTTCATGGAAATGGACATACATTCCTTGTTTTGTGGGTCAGGAAACTGTGGGATACAAATACACAAGCTTTATGGTATTAGCAATATATGTGAAAAACCTTAAAGGACATATCCTTTGATCCAAGAAGACTATGTATACAGAATATTCCCCGGTCGGGCTCGTTGGCTCACGCCTGTAATCCCAGCACTTTGGGAGGTCGAGGCAGGCGGATCGCCCGAGGTCAAGAATTCGAGACCAGCCTGGTCAACATGGTGAAACCCCATCTCTACTAAAATACAAAAACATTAGTTGGGCGTGGTGGCGGGTGCCTGTAATCCCAGCTACTCGGGAGGGTGAGGCAGGAGAATCACTTAAACCTGGGAGGCAGAGGTTGCAATGAGCGGAGACCACACCATTGCACTCCAGCCTGGGTGACAATAGCGAAACTCTGTTTCAAAAAAAAAAAAAAAAATCTGCCCTAAGGATGTAGCACAAACACAAAATGTCCACCATAGCATTGGAAACAATCGGAAGTCCAACAATGAGTTAGTTATATACATTATGTGACAACTATACAATAAGTTTGTTTTAATTTAGTCATTTTAAATTATACTGGAATTTTTATTTTGTGACATAGAAAAATATTTATGAACATTGCCTCTGTTAAAATAAAAGCTTTAGACAAATTAAATGTAACAGAGTTTAATTGAGCAAAAAACGATTTAAAAGTTGGGCAGTCTCTAGAGCCAGAGTAGGTTCTGAGTGACTCCGGAGTTGCCACATGGTTGGATAACATTTCTGGACAGAAAAAAGAAAGTGACATACAGAAAACAAAAGTGATGTACAGAAACAGCTGGATACATTACAACTTGGGATTTGCCTTATTTGAACACTGTTTGAACAGCTGGCTGCCTGTGATTGGCCAAAACTCTGTGATTGGTACAAGAATAAATTACAGTCCATTTATACATCAAGTTAATGTACAGGGAAACCTTTAGGCTGAACTTAAAATATATTCGGAGGCAGTTTTAGGCAAAAGTTAATACTATATTTTTAAAAATTAGGGTACAAAAGCATGTGCAAATTTTACAAATTAATAAATTATATATGTTAGTACACACATGTATACATGAACATGTGTACATACAAACATATACAAAGGATGGAATAAAAAGCAATTCTCTCTGGTTATTGGAATTATAAGTGATTTTATTCTAAATATTCTCTAAAATAAATCCAATAAAAAATAGTTATTTTTTATTTATTAAAAAAAAAATCTATACCTTAACAGTGACCTAAAATAAAATTCTGAGAGCTGGAAAAGGTTTTCAGTTTTCATTACCAGATTTCATTTTTAAAGTAGGTTAAACTCATAATAAAATCACACTCAAAGACTCCTTTCAAGTTATTTCAGGACTCTTTTTTTATTGAGAGTTTTTAGCATGAAGGGTTGTTGAATTTTGTCAAAGGCTTTTTCTGCATCTATTGAGATAATCATGTGGTTTTTGTCTTTGGCTCTGTTTATCTGCTGGATTACATTTATTGATTTGCGTATATTGAACCAGCCTTGCATCCCAGGGATGAAGCCCACTTGATCATGGTGGATAAGCTTTTTGATGTGCTGCTGGATTCTGTTTGCCAGTATTTTATTGAGGATTTTTGCATCAATGTTCATCAAGGATATTGGTCTAAAATTCTCTTTTTTGGTTGTGTCTCTGCCCGGCTTTGGTATCAGAATGATGCTGGCCTCATAAAATGAGTTAGGGAGGATTCCCTCTTTTTCTATTGATTGGAATAGTTTCAGAAGGAATGGTACCAGTTCCTCCTTGTACCTCTGGTAGAATTCGGCTGTGAATCCATCTGGTCCTGGACTCTTTTTGGTTGGTAAACTATTGATTATTGCCACAATTTCAGAGCCTGTTATTGGTCTATTCAGAGATTCAATTTCTTCCTGGTTTAGTCTTGGGAGAGTGTATGTGTCGAGGAATGTATCCATTTCTTCTAGATTTTCTAGTTTATTTGCGTAGAGGTGTTTGTAGTATTCTCTGATGGTAGTTTGTATTTCTGTGGGATCGGTGGTGATATCCCCTTTATCATTTTTTATTGTGTCTATTTGATTCTTCTCTCTTTTTTTCTTTATTAGTCTTGCTAGCGGTCTATCAATTTTGTTGATCCTTTCAAAAAACCAGCTCAAATGGGATCTAATTAAACTAGAGAGCTTCTGCACAGCAAAAGAAACTACCATCAGAGTGAACAGGCAACCTACAACATGGGAGAAAATTTTCGCAACCTACTCATCTGACAAAGGGCTAATATCCAGAATCTACAATGAACTCAAACAAATTTACAAGAAAAAAACAAACAACCCCATCAAAAAGTGGGCGAAGGACATGAACAGACACTTCTCAAAAGAAGACATTTATGCAGCCAAAAAACACATGAAGAAATGCTCATCATCACTGGCCATCAGAGAAATGCAAATCAAAACCACTATGAGATATCATCTCACACCAGTTAGAATGGCAATCATTAAAAAGTCAGGAAACAACAGGTGCTGGAGAGGATGTGAAGAAATAGGAACACTTTTACACTGTTGGTGGGACTGTAAACTAGTTCAACCATTGTGGAAGTCAGTGTGGCGATTCCTCAGGGATCTAGAACTAGAAATACCATTTGACCCAGCCATCCCATTACTGGGTATATACCCAAAGGACTATAAATCATGCTGCTATAAAGACACATGCACACGTATGTTTATTGCGGCACTATTCACAATAGCAAAGACTTGGAACCAACCCAAATGTCCAACAATGATAGACTGGATTAAGAAAATGTGGCACATATACACCATGGAATACTATACAGCCATAAAAAATGATGAGTTCATGTCCTTTGTAGGGACATGGATGAAATTGGAAACCATCATTCTCAGTAAACTATCGCAAGAACAAAAAACCAAACACCGCATATTCTCACTCATAGGTGGGAATTGAACAATGAGATCACATGGACACAGGAAGGGGAATATCACACTCTGGGGACTGTGGTGGGGTCGGGGGAGGGGGGAGGGAAAGCATTGGGAGATATACCTAATGCTAGATGACACGTTAGTGGGTGCAGCGCACCAGCATGGCACATGTATACATATGTAACTAACCTGCACAATGTGCACATGTATCCTAAAACTTAGAGTATAATAAAAAAATAATAATAATAAAAAAAAAAAGTTATTTCAGGACTCTGTCTGCTTTGTTGAAATTGAATTTATTTATGTTAATATGTAAATGTGCCATTCAATTGTTCCAAAGCATAATCTAGATCTAAGATTTTTCAAAGCCATTGGCTAGGTTGCATATCTTCAATGTTTCCTCCACAGCATTTTGAACATAGCAAACACTCAATGAATACACACCACATAAGCTGTGTTGGTAGTTTGGCCCCAAGTCATCATGTCCCTTGGTTTATTAAAAGCATACCCACTCCTCAACACTTTGTTCCATGAGCCCTTTAAGCAACCTCTGTTAGAGACAGTGAAATTCATAAAAATAGCATCTGATTGTGTATTCTGAGAAAAACTGGACATTAGCTAAGAATGGTGTTGCATAAAAATTTTCCTATGGTGTTTTTGGTAGACACATAAGCTTATTCATTGCCTTCGATGCATTCCTGAAAAATAAAACTTAAAAGTCACCAACTTAAAGTGTTGCATTGTCTTATAGTTTGAGCATTAAAATGTTAAGAATGAAGTAATCTTAGAAGTTTTCTGCTCTTTACTACGTAAATTTCAGCTAACAGCAATCGTTTACAGACAGCTGTTGCCCTTAATATTTCAACTTCTTCATGCTGAGATCTTTAAAATCCATCCACTTTTTAGAACTGCTTTCTCATTAAATATCAACCTTACTAACTACTAAATAATAAACTCTTCTCCTCTTCCTAGGGATTAAGGAGGAGGAGAGGAAACTCAATAGATTTTGAACAACAAATTATTAAAATATTCTCTTGTTGTAAAACCTGTTTTTCAAAGAGTACATGGAGAGGTTAAAATTAATGCATTCTTTGTTTTCTGTTGCTCAGCACATATGTCATTTGGATGTTGTTTCTTATCTTGTTCTACAACCCACAACGTCCACTGTCTAGTCAGTGAAAGCTCTGTGGTTAGATCAGCTTCACAGGAGACAGAGAGTGTCATGCTCCTTTGATGAATTAAAGATAAAATATTTTACAACCCAAAAAACAGTATAAAAGAAATGGACGGCTGTAGTAATAAGATACCTTTCTTTGCTGTACCACCTTCCTACTTTTGAGTTGCGGGATAATAATGTTTTGTAAACTTAAGTATCAAATAATCCATATACATTCCTCTTGTTTATTTCTTTCTGCCTTGTTCAGGCAATAGCAGCTTTAGTTTAACCCAAGGTAACTTAACACAAGCTTTCCCTAGATTTTCACTATATAAACAACAACAAAAAATGAATATATACCCAGTTTGGCACCCATAACTTCCTGATCCTCAAGGTAACATTTTTCATCAATCAGAGTCATCCATTAATCAATAAAATAATTAATTGGCATCTAGATGTCATAACTTTTCTTACTTATAAACTTGTTACACACTCTGCCTGGCATGATAACTGCTCAGTAGAAGTTCCTGGAATGAATGAATGACATATAATGTATAATGCTGGTAGCATCGCCTAACACACTATTTCACAATGAGGGTGAAATGTACATAAGATACAATCCCTGTTTTCCACAGACTAAGGAGAGTGGCAGAAATAGGAATGAATGAGACAAAGTGGTGGCCTAAAGTGTTATAATCATCTCTGCTGAAGCTTTCACAGGGGTGGGGAAGCTTGGGCTACAGCTTAAAAGGTGAGGAAAAATTCACCAAGTGAGATGTTCCCTGATCCCTCACAGGAATTTGTGAAGGATAGGGGGCTTGTTTTGCTCAGCTGCGGAGCTCGAACCCCCCTTGGATGAGGGGGAGCACACAGGTGAATGGGTGCAGGAGCCAAGGTGAGTGCCTTTAAGCACCAGCAGGGGCAAACTCCATACTGGTCCACGCAGTCTAGCAGTTGCCCGCACCTCTAGAGCCCCAGAGGGTGTGTGTTACAAACAATGCTCCTTTAGCATTTGCCATCCGCTGATGGCTAAGTGTTAACCAGCTCAGTAGAGAGTTAGGGCGTCATACACCCTGTCCTCTTGGTACGCAGGTTCCTGTCCAGTGTCCAGGAAGAATCAGGTCATATGGACTTGAAGGATGGTGAATGCGGAGGTTTTATTGAGTGATGGAGGCAGCTCTCAGCAGAAAGGGAGCTGGAAAGGAGATGGTGTGAGAAGAAGGTGATCTTTCCCTGAAGCCCAGCCATCTCCGGCCAGGCTCCTCTCAGAAGTCATGCTGTCTGAAGTTAAGCTGCGCCTATCCGTAGTCTCCAATGCTCAGTTGCTTCTCCTCTCAACACTCAGCCACTTGTCTCTCTGCCAGCTGAGGTCTGGGGTTTATATGGACATAGGATGGGCGGCGGGTGTTGGGGGGTGTGGGGGGCAGGCCAAAAAGCAACATTTGGGCAGGAAAGCAGGAATGTCTGTTCTCATTTAGGGCCGCAGGTCCAGGCTTGAGGGTGGATCCCTCACCAGGAACTCGGCCCCCCTGCCTCCTGTCGGTACCACAAGAAGGGTCAGAAGGACACTCCAAGCAGAGAAAACAACACGTGCAAAAAGCATGGAGCCTGAAGGTACAACCACTTTGGAAAACTATTTGGCAGTTTCATATATAGTTAATCACACACTGCATCTACAACCCAGAAATTCTCCCCTAGGTATTTACCTAATAGAAATAAAAAAATAAGCCCACAAAAAAAAAGACTTGAATAAAAATGCTTATGGCTGCTTTGTTCATAATAGGCAAAACCTGCAAACAACCCAATGTTCATCATCACCTAAGAATAAAGCAAATTGATTGAGCAATATTCATACCATGGAAAGTATACCACTGTAAAAAAAGAATAAACTCGATTCAGTCAACGCAGATGAATTTCAAAAACATACTGAGCTTAAGAAGCCACACATGAAAGAGTAAGTACTGTATGATCCCACGTATACAAAGCTTAGGAACAAGCAAAACTAATCAGTGGTGATGGAAATCAGAACAGTAGTTTTGACTGGAAGAGGATACAAGGGAACTTTCTGGTGTGATAAAAATGTTCTAAAGCTTGATTTAGAGCTTTAGAGGCATACACATTTATCAAAGGCGTACACATTTATCAAAACTCACCAAATTGCAATTAAGCTTAGTGCACTTCACTGTATGTAAACTTTGCCTGAATAGAAATAGTAAACCAAAAAATTAATGAGGCAATACTGAAACAAACAACAAACAAATGTATGAGGGCCCGAAATGTATAGTATGGTGTAGGAAACCAGAATCTGCTACCCCAAAATATGCCTCTTTAGTGTAAGGATTATTTTGAGAAACAGCAGACACAGGAGAAACTCTGAAAAAGAGTAGAAGTTACCTTTTCATAAGACAATTTTACATCAATAAAGGAAATCTCCATTTGTAATGGAGTCTCCCTCTCTGTACCATAAAGAGAAGAATGACTAAATCATTAGAGACTCATAAATGGAGAAGGCATTAACAAAAATCAGCATTAACAAAACCTTACTTTTTTAACAGTACTTTTACAGGGGTCCCACTCCAGAACTCGCCTTCCCCACGTCCTTCTCTCTTGTTTCAGTTGGGGATAGTATTTAAACCCTAATTCTAAACCACTTCTTGGATATTTACTCATTTTTTCCTGGTCATCTCCCATGTATACATGGGGTATACATGTTAATAAACTTCTGTTTGCTCTTCTCTTGTAAATCAGTCTTTTGTAACAGGTATCTCAGCCAATGAACCTAAGATAAATAGAAGGAAGGTATGTTTCCTCCCCTGTAATGGAAAACTGCAAGTAGTTCAGCAGGAGTGGAGCATAGTGTTTCAGCAGGGAAGCCACAGGAGTTGAGCCTGGAAAGGCAAGCAGTGTGAAACTAGAGTCTAAATATTTCAATTTTCTGACTAGAGAAAACTGGAACCTGGGTTGAGGGGCAAGTTTTAGAAGTTAAAAGGTGATTGAATAGCCAGAGACCTCCAGAAAGACTTAGGGACTTATTTCCTTAAGTGTATATATGGATGAAACTCCTTAGAGCCAGTTCTTTACATTCCAAAGGATTGTAAAAGACAAGGCAATGAAAGGTTTCTCTCTCTCTCTCTCTCTCAAGAAGTCAGATGGAGGATGGAGGCAGTAATAAATAGCCTACCAACCAAAAAAAAGCCCAGGACCAGAAGGAATTAACAGCAGAATTATACCAGAGGTAGAATGAGGAGCTGCTACTATTCTTTCTGAAACTAATCCAAACAATCGAAAAGGTGGAACCTCTCCCTAACTCATTTTATGAGGCCAGCATCATCCTGATACCAAAATCTGACAGAGATACAACAAAAAAAGAAAACTTCAAGCCAGTATCCCTGATGAACATCGATGCAAAAATCCTCAATAAAATACTGGCAAAACAAATGCAGCACATCAAAAAGTTTATCCACCACAATCAAGTCGGCTTCATCCGTGGGATGCAAGGCGGGTTGAACATACACAAATCAATAAATGTAATTCATCACATAAACAGAAGTAAAAACAAAAACAACATGATTATCTCAATAGATGCAGAAAAGACCTTCAATAAAATTCAACATCCCTTCATCTTAAAAACTCTCAATAAATTAGGTATTAATGGAACATATCTCAAAATAATAAGAGCCATTTATGACAAACCCGCAGCCAACATCATACTAAATGGGCAAAAGCTGAAAGCATTCCCCTTGAAAACTGACACAAGACAAGGAGACAAGGATGCCCTCTCTCATCACTCCTATTCAACATAGTATTAGAAGTTCTGACCAGGACAATCAGGCAAGAGAAAGAAATAAAGTGTATTCAAATAGGAAAAGAGGAAGTCAAACTGTATCTGTTTACAGACAATGTGATCCTATATCTAGAAAATGCAATCATTTCAGCCCAAAATCTCCTTAAGCTGATAAACAACTTCAGTAAAGTCTCAGGATACAAAATCAACGTGCAAAAATCACAAGCATTCCTATAAGCCAACAATAGATAAGCAGAGAGCCAAATCATGAATGAACCTCCACAATTGCTGCAAAGAGAATAAAATACCTAGGAATACAGCTAACAAGGGATGTGAAGGACCTCTTCAAGGAGAACTACAAAACACTGCTCAAGAAAATAAGAGAGGACACAAACAAATGAAAATATTCCATGCTCATAGACAGGAAGAATCAATATCGTGAAATACTACCCAAAGTAATTTATAGATTCAAAGCTATTCCCTTTAAACTACCATTGACCTTCTTCACAGAATAAGAAAAAACTACTTTAAAATTCATATGGAACCAAAAAAGAGCCCACATAGCCAAGACAATCTTAAGCAAAAAGACAAAGGAGGCATCATGCTACCTAACTTCAAACTTCACAACAAGACTACAGTAACCAAAACAGCATGGTACTGGTACCAAAACAGACACATAGACCAACAGAACAGAATAGAAATCTCAGAAATAAGACCACACATCTACAACCATCTGATCTTCGACAAACCTGAGAAAAACAAGCAACACAGAAAGGATTCCCTGTTTAACAAATGGTGCTGGGAAAACTGGCTAGCCATATACAGAAAATTGAAACTGGATCCCTTCTTTACACCTTATACAAGAATTAACTCAAGATGGATTAAAGACTTAAATGTAAAACCCAAAATTATAAAAACCCTACAAGAAAATCTAGGCAATACCATTCAGGACATAGGAACAGGCAATGATTTCATGACAAAAACATCAAAAGCAATTGCAACCAAAGCCAAAATTGACAAATGGTATCTAATTAAAGAGCTTCTGCAGAGCAAAGGAAACTACCATCAGAGTAAACAGACAACCTACAGAATGGGAGAAAATTTTTGCAATCTATCCATCTGACAAGGGTCTAATATCCAGAATCTACAAGGAACTTAAACAAATTTACAAGAAAAAAAACAAATGACCCCACCAAAAAGTGGGCAAAAGACATGAACAGACACTTCTCAAAAGAAGACATTTATGCGGCCAACAAACATGAACAAAAGCTCAATATCACTAATCATTAGAGAAATGAAAAACCACAATGAGATACCATCTCATGCAAGTCACAATGCTGATTATTAAAAAGTCAAGAAACAACAGTACTGGTGATGCTGTGGAGAAATAGGAACACTTTTACACTGTTGGTGGGAATGTAAATTAGTTCAATCATTGTGGAAGACAGTGTGATGATTCCTCGGGGATCTAGAACCAGAAATACAATTTGACCCAGCAATCCCATTACTGGGTATATACCCAAAGGAATATGAATCATTCTATTATAAAAATAAATGCATGCGTATGTTTATTGCAGCACTATTCACAATAGAAAAGACATGGAATCAACCCAAATGTCCATCAATGATAGATTGGATAAAGAAAATGTGGCACATATACACCATGGAATATTATGCAGCCATAAAAAAGGAACAAGGTCATGTCCTTGGCAGGACATGGATGGGGCCATAAGCCATTATCCTCACAGGAACAGAAAATCAAGCACTACGTGTTCTCACTTATAAGTGGGAGCTAACAAAAAAAAAAAAGAAGAAGAAGAAGTCAGAGTGGGCAGTCTGTAACCTATATACGATCCCAGATTCGCAATTTCAGGATTCCTTTTTCTGCAGTGCAGACTCTCCCATCCCCCAGCATGCAGGGTTAATAACTTTCATCTCTGCCCCAGAAACCTCATGTTTACTTTCAAGATAAATAGAGATATCAAAAACTTGTCAAACAGGAGCCAAATCATGGGAGTTTTCTATACCATGCAAAAAGTGTCTAGATTAATGTTATTGCCATTGGAAAGCATTGCAGGATTCTAAACACAGAGAAAAGAGCATATTTGAGTATAGAAAGATCACTTTGGCAGCAATATGGAAAATAGATTCAAGGCAGTCAAGACTAAAGGCAGCAAGATGATTTAGAAGACAACTGCAATGGTCCAGGTAGGAAATGAGGATATAAACACTGGTAATGGAGGAAGAGCAGAGGGAATGGACATGAGCAATGTCACAGAGATTGGACTCTCAGGATTTTATACTCCTATGAGATGTGGTACTAGAGAAGGAATTATCATGATATACCACCAGTGCCTGGTTGAATGCCATTAAAACGATCTGAGCAAAACACTTGAAGCATCGACTCCTGCATTTCACTGAACTACGCCATGTGTATGTACTTGCTGGTTTATAATGCCCTTCCACTCATTTATCTGGAAAACTTGTATTCATCTTCAACTGGGAAGACCCCTGATGCCCCTTAACCCACAAGTAAACTAGGATCCTGATGTTGTTCACTCCCACAGCTAAGATATTACAGGACTTAGCTGTGTCTCCACTTCACTACTATCTTTGGATTATGACTGTGCTTTCATATCTGGCCTTCTCACTAGGCTATGATCTCATGGGCAGACCATATCTTGCTCACTATTGCATCTTCAGCATATGGCAGGGGCCTGGCACAAAGTAAGAACTCAATAAATAGTTGTTATTAAATTAATAAACATTGTTCGAAGTCATATTTATAAACAATCAAAAACCAGAACATGTTAACCTTCTACAGCACTCTAAGGATATTCTGTCCTCAGTAAACTCAAACAAATCATTTGATTCTCTCTCTTTTATTTCTCATTTTTAATGTAATAAAATATAAGCCTTATAAGACTTTAGTGAAAAATAAAGGATCAACCTGAAACGTGAGTTTTTCAGAATATGTGGCTGATCAATCTGTTGTTCCCCTAAAGAAACCTAAATTTGGTACCTGGAAACTCTAAAGACACCCAACAGAGAGATACCATCATCACTTTGATGCCACCACAGGGGTGTTTGATGTTCCTGGTGCCTTTACTTTGGCATGGTAACATTAAATAATGTAACAAAGGGAAAAGCACAGTAACACACACACATACAAAGTACACAAACAATAAACGGAAATGTCTTCACCTTTCCCTCTCCAATCACATTTTTCATACTTTATTACTCTGCACTAATTTGTATTTACAGGTGAATCTAAGCAAATGGTGAAATTTCCACAGCCTCATGAAAGTCACAAACATGGCCTATTTCCTTAAATTAATGGGCACTGAAATTCATGACACAATTTAAAATGTGCTTATACTGCGCAGAAAATAAAACCATGGCAGGAGAAAAAAATGTTTCTTCCTCTTCTCAGGAAAATAATGACATATAAAATATACATTTGGTGCACATCTAGCCACTCTAATGATTCCAGTAAGTAAAGAAAAAGATTAAAACTGTATGATAAAAATATACAAAATGAAGTTCATTATTCTAAATATGGGAATGATTTTAAAAACATGAATATTTTACCACCTATATCCAATTGCAGAAGTCGACAATGGCATTATATTTTTCCCCATCGAGCACCTGCCATTAGCTCTTAATAAAGATAGAAATATTGACCTTCATTCAGTGCTGAAGAGCAGGGCTTAGAATGGAAACTATTCAGAGAGTGGCACTGCATTCCAACGGTGTCTAGTGTTGAAACCTGAAACAAGCTTCAAGTCTGAAGCATAAATATGAGAGAAGCCATTGATCTACACTGCTGGTTTCTTCAAGTCCACAATAAGAATTTTATCAAAGCTCATATCCAACTAACAATAAGGCCAGCAAACCAGAACTGGCAGGGTGAGACTAGACTACATAATGGAATTCCAGTTGTACTTCATCCAGGATGAAAGATGGCTTGAGAAATCTTGTTCCTAGAATAGAAAAATGCCTGAGAAAAGGGATTGTGGCAACAATGGCAGGAGAACATGTGCATGGGAAGGTTAATGTCAAAAGCCTCTTGACATTATGGGGTACAGTTTAGATGTCCCATGACATAGATGTCCCCAACTCATAAAGAGACAACCAGTTTTCAGGGCCCAACATTTACTGAGCACCTACTCTGTGCCAGGATCTTTAACAGAAGGGTCCGCTTGTCTTAGCTCACTTACACTTTTGCCAATTCAACACTTCTTTATTATCTCGATGTTACAGATAAGACAACTGAGGCCAGAGAGTTAAAAAGATTCAATTCACATAGGGAGAAAATATTAGCACTAAGATTTAACTCATCTTTTTCCTTCATGACCAATATTTAACCACACCATTGCAGCACCATCACTATAAAATGTGAAGAAATACAAAGGGCCTTGCCTGGGCAATGGGTGAGGGAGTAGGCTCAGAGGCTGAGGAAAAGAAGGAGTGTAGTGACTGGAAAGGGGTGAGGGGTGTTCCTGGGGTGCTGGCTGTTTTCTGCCTAGACATGTGTGCTTGTTACATGGGTTTGATCACTTTGTAAAAATTCAACAAGCTGTGTATACATGATATATGCACTTTTCTGTATACATGACGTATGTACTTTTCCACAGCCAACCCTCCATATCTGCAGCGAATTGGTTCCAGGAACCCTGCAGATACCAAAATCCACACATACTCAAGTCACACAGCCAGCCCTGTAGCACTGCACATACGAAAAGTCAACCCTCCATATCTGTGGGTTTTGCATCCCTCAAATACTGTACTTTCGATCTGCAATGCCTTTGGATGTAGATGCAGAACCCCCTGATGAGAAAGAGGACCAAGTGTACTTATTGGAAAAAATATGGGACCTATCCATTTCAAACCTGTGTGTTCAAGGATCAACTGTACATACAAAGTTAAGAAACCTGATCAGCAGTGGCCTTGCCAAGGGCCTCAGATTTGCTCCTTATGCCAGGCCAGTTCCTTGAGTCTCCCTTTCCTCTGTCTCTCACAGGCACTGGAGATGAACTGGCTTTCCTCTCCCCTTAAAGTAAGCAAAAACCACACACACTCAAAAGAGACTATATTTAGCCAAATCCTTACTAACCATTATAAAATGAAACTAAATATTTTCCAAAAATAAACTTCAACATAGACATACGTAGATGGCACCAGAATTATGAAAAGCACTGTGGATGAGAGGGGACCTCATCTCTAATCTTACTACTGACTGGAGGCACTGAGCCTCCATTTACCTATAAATGAAGGCTTAAATTAGATAACCTTTAAAATCAATTTCCCACACATATTCTTCAGGATATATGTACAATCCTATTCAAAGAAATTTTGTTTATAATAGGAAAAAGGTGGGGGGAATGGCCCTTGATAGGAGAATGAATAATAAATTGTTGAATGATGCAAGGAAACATTCTATGGCAATAAGTAAAGAATTATGGTTATACATGTCCACTAGATGGATCTCAGAAGCACAATACTAAGTAAGAAAAGCAGGTCAGTGAACAAAATACATATTGTGGTGCCATTTATATACAGTTAAAAAGAAGCAAAATGAGGTCGGGCAAGGTGGTTCACACCTGTAATCCCAGCACTTCGGGAGGCTGAGGTGGGTGGATCACTTGAGGTCAGGAGTTCAAGCCCAGGCTGGCCAACATGGTGAAACCCCATCTCTACTGAAAATACAAAAATTAGTCAGGCGTGGTGGTGGACACCTGTAGTCCCACCTACTCGAGAGGCTGAGGCAGGAGAATTGCTTGAACCCAGGAGGTGGAAGTTGCAGTGAGCCAAGATTGTGCCATTGCACTCCAGCCTGGGTGACAGAGTGAAATTCTGTCTCAGAAAAAAAAAAAAAAAAAAAGAGGAAAAATGAAATAGCATATTGTTTAGGGATACATGCATGTCTGGTAGAACTCTAAAGAACACCAGCAAATGATAAATACAAAATTCAGGACACTGGTGATTTCTGAAGGTAGGTATGAGGTGGGGAGAGCAGATGGAACACAGCAGCATTTTCAGCAGTATTGGTAAGTTGATGAGTTCATAAGTATTTGTATGGTTTTTATACTTCATAACTTACATATATGTTACATATAACCTTTTATGTATCAAATAATCCATAATTTATGTAAATATTATGTGTATTTTTCTAGGAAATGTTGAGGATAAAGGAGTGAGTACAAAATCTTAAAGACATCAATAAATTGTTACTCTCATCTTTAACTGCTCTAATAACAGGGCTTGTTTTTCATGAAGAAAAGGCAGGATCACAATTTTTTTCTAGAGGAATTTACTATCCTTGGCCATGAGTCTTGGTGCAGCATACAATTGAAGCCAAAAATGAGCCAAATAAACATAATAGAAAACTCTTTATTCAAACAAAAAAATGCAGTTCAACTCTTTGTTGTTTTTTGTTTTGAGACAGAGTCTTGCTCTGTCGCCCAGGATGCAGTGCAGTGACACGATCTCAGCTCACTGCAACTTCCGCCTCCCAGGTTCAAGCAATTCTCCCACCTTAGCCTCCTGAGTAGCTGGGACTACAGGTGTGTGTCACCATACCTGGCTAATTTTTGTATTTTTAGTAGAGACGGAGTTTTGCCATGTTGGCCAGGCTGGTCTTAAACTCCTGGCCTCAAGTGATCTGCCCACCTCAGCCTCCTAAAGTGTTGAGGTTACAGGCATGAGCCACTGCACCCAACCTATTCAACTCTTCTTTGGAAGTAGCTATTTATAGTCTCATTCTACTAATGTTTATTTTACTCCAAGCATGGTTGATGATTCAGGAATGAGCACAACAAAGCCCCAGCTCACAGAGCTTCTATCCAGGTGGGTGAGACTGACTATAAATCCATTACAAATTAAAAATTAGACAATTTCTGAGAGTAAACAGAAAAAGAAACATTTATTTTATTGTGACTCTTCACATCTGGTCTCTGCTAATGAAATCACAAATTTTCCTTATTATTTGTCTGCAGTTTGAAAAAAACTGAGCCTCTTGTTTTACTACAATAACAGTAACTTCTTTTCAAAAGTTACTGGTTTCTATGAACAAAAGGATCCAGAGAGGCCAAATGGATGGCTTGATGGTCTTCTTGGTGTGTCAACTTGACTGGGTTACAGTCCCCAGGTATTCAATCAAACACTAACCTAGGTGTTCGTGTGAAATCATTTTGTAGATGTGATTAACGTCCAGAAGGAGTTTTAGGGACGTTATCCTGGATAATCTGACTAGTCCTGATTCAATCAGTTAAAAGGCCTTAAAAGCAGAGCTGAGGACTCCGCAAAGAAGAAGAAATTCCACTTGCGGGCAGCAGCCTCAGCCACTGCCCTTCTAGTCACTGGCCCTATGGATTTCAGACTTTTCTAGCCAGCCTTCACTACTGTGTAAACCAATTCCTTGTGATCAACTTCCTGCTGGCTCTGCCTCTCTGGTTGAGCCTGACTGATACAAATATATTTATGGTGCATTGTTTTGGATTCTCACCACAAAAGATCCTGAGTCTAAACATATCATTGGTTCTACGTTTCCCCAGTAAATAAACAATGATTTGGGGGATGAGGGGTTGCGAGGTGAAGGATATCCACTGACCTACTTAGGAGCCAGAGCTTCCACATGCACTGTCTCATCTCATCCTTACCTAAACCCATGCAAAGTCACCATTAGTGTCCCCACTGCAGTCACAAAGAGGTGAAAACTACAGAAATCCTGTAACTAGCAGAAGGTCACCTGATTACTAAGCAGCGAAAGCAGGAGTGGAATGTGGATCCATACAAGCCCAAAGGCGAAGCTCCCATGCTGCTTCCCTGAGAAGATAAACATTGTGTATTCTTTTCAGCTTATAATGTAAGGTTTGCAACTGAGACACTGTCATGGCACTGGAAAGTAATGGCTAATTCAGCAAATAATCCAATTTAGCTAAAGGATTGGGAAAAATCGGGAGAATAATCTAATTTTTCCTTAGGTATTGACAGAAACATAAAACAATTTTTATAACAGACCACTGAATTTCTCAGAGGGATGCTGAAATAGAAGCCTTAGTGACCAAGAGGGCTCATTTAAGTATCTCCATTATAGGATTTGGGATTTAATTTAAAGGAAAAAAAAAGGTCCACATTAAACCAAACAAATCAGGGTCTGAAATGTAGCTGTATGCCCATCTGCCACTTAATGGCTTTTCCAGAAATATTTCACAGTTACCTATCCTTGGAGTCTCTACCTTTAAGAAATGCACCTTGATTATTCTGTGTCTTTAAAGTGCTAAAACTGAACAGTCAAAATCCCCGTTCCATTTAAGCTTGCTTCCCTTGGAGCCCAGGGCAACCTGTTACTTAAATATAACAGATGAATTTCACTGTATTTCAATGATTTGGGTGACATTTCCTTGACATTCACAATATGTCTATAAATTAGAAGCACTATAGTTTTAACACAAAATGAATAAAATGATCAAAAGAATCCTCCAGTTACTGTCTACCCTTGGAGAAGGGAAAGCCAAACTGATTGCTATTCTCTGCGTACATCAAACTATACTCCAAAGCATGGGGAAAGCACTAATAAATTGCCTTTTCTCATTATATTTTGGTTTACTTTATGTTTTGTAATTCATGTAATTGCTCACTGTCTTCTAGAGTAACATATTAGAGAAAACCTTGGTTAAACCATTGAAACCCTCAATTTACCATAATTTGGTAACCACAAATCGTTTTCTAAATGTTAAGGCTATAGAGAGGCAAATGACAACATAACAATCTGTATCCGGGTTCTTTTATGTTTCTTCTTCTTTTAATTTTTTTAGCACATTGTCTCCCACACTAGAACATATAAACCCAATGTAGGAAGATTCAAACATAAAAGGCCAGGCAGCACCCACCTCAGGGGAGACGGCTCTTTCCAGGCCCTGGAAATTGAAGACTGTGCTCTCTGGGGAAAATTCCATCCTCTCTCAGGGCACACAGGTTGCAGAGGCACTTTGTGGTTTAACCATGAGTAAGGATATAGGGTGATAAGGATCACTGCTAATGCTTGAGTGGAGTGTACTTTGTACTAGACCCTGATCTGAGCACTTTAGGGATACTAAAAGAAACCCTTTGAGGTAGGTATTAATATTATCTCCATTTTACCAGAAGAAAATTGAGAAACAAATATATTTAGTTCTTACTCCAGATCATACAGCTAGCAAGCAGCAGAGCCAGGATTCAATCCCAGGCAGTTTTGCTTTTCAGCAGAAGCTGTTTCTTCTCCCATTAGGTTACAAATTACTTGCAAATTCTGTATCATTTTAGCAGCAGCAGTACCCAACCCACATCAAATTTATGAGGATTAAATAATAGATTGAGAAAAAATTAAATATTACATACGCTTGACAGGGCGATGGACAGAGGGTGCCTGAGAACAGATTAAACAGACCAATACTAAGATTAAGAACAGGAAATAGCTAGTAACCACCAGCCATATTCTTTCTCCTCTGCACAGACCCCAAAAATAAAATAAAATAAAAAAACTGCCTATCCACCTTCAACAGAAACAGTTCACAATCAAACCTAGCTTTACACCATTAGGAAGAGCACTAAATTAATAGAATATGGTAACATTTTTGTAAAACTCTGTGGCAACAAAAATTCAGATAAAAAGAGTGTTCTATTTAGCTACCTAATAACTAGACAATTTAGTTACCCAGAATGCTCAATTCCAAAAGCATTGCAGTGAAGCAAGGTTTTGACTAAATCTACATCACTTCTGGATGTTTGGTATGACAGTCGCAGTGTTTGCCTTGGTTGTTGACATGCAGGGGCATCTATAGATTCCTTATGCCTTTGTGAGTCAATGTCACAATGTTATCTTGTCACTTTCACTTTGGGATTTTTATCTGCTACTTCAAGTTAAAGAGGAAAGGCCTGAAATGTGTGTTTTTAAAATACATCCAGGACAACACTTCTATTTTGGAACTCTTCACTGGTTAAATAAAAAACCCTCCAACAGCTGCTAGATAGGAGAGGAATACCAGTCATTTCAGAAGCTGAGAAATATGTGATGAGCTACCACTTCAGTTCTTGAAAAATAAGCCCATTCAAAGCAAGCTAGGACTGTGATACTCCAGATGAAATGCTAAACCTAGGCTGCATTTCTTGTCATCGGTAAGACTGAAAGTGTAGAGTGCCTCAAAATACGCAATTTTCCTTGAATGTTATTATGGAGTACCTGCATTTTTGAGGAAAAGATTTCTTCTTGCTTATGGTATCTGTAGTCTCATTTTTGGGCAATGCCTTCTCAAGTTCCCTGGAATTATTATAAAGTTGTACCTCTGCAAGCTCTTTTACACAATGTACGTGCCAGAGAAATCAGATATAGTGTTGAAATTCATCATGCACAATCTGTGAAATAGGGGCTGTATGACCACATCAGCACATGGTACAAAATACATTTCCATTTTTTTTTTCATGTCCTTCTGAATTTATTTGACAGAATTTCAGAAGGGAAAATGCGTTTGCTGGAAGGCAGGTTGTTTTTACTTCTTGGAGTCAGCAAAGATGCTGAAAGCTTTTCAACTTTCTTTGCCATTATTTAAACCTCATCATCTCAGACATCTAGCCACACTGCATGCCGCAGTGGTGGGGATTCTTTCCTAAATCGCTCCTTGTCTCAACAGTTTCTGAAGCCACTTCCAGGCAGGTTTAGATATTTTGAAGTCACAGCTCATTTTAAAATACTCTTATACTAACACCCAAAAAAGAAGGTAAAAGCCTTTCTTCTTTTTTTAACCTAGCTCAGTGGTCACCAGACTGGGCTCTTAAACTCTCCTAAATATCAAGTTTCTACTACTGCTTTCAAAAGTATAATTCCTAGACTCCTCTGCGTCTTCAAGTTACAAATCTCTCTCTTTTATCTTGCCTTCAAGTAAATGTTCTTGAAATCAAAATGAGCACTTGATGACTCCTCTCCTCCAATTTTGTCATTAACCCACTGTTATTTGGCTTTTGCCATTCCAGTAAAATTGTTCTTGCTCTCCTCTTCACCTGCAATGGCCTAATACGGTGTCATTTTCTTTTTTCTTTTTTTTTTTTTTTTCAGACAAGAGTCTCGCTCTGTCACCAGGCTGGAGTGCAGTGGCACGATCTCGGCTCACTGCAACCTCCGCCTCCTGGGTTCAAGCGATTCTCCTCCCTCAGCCTCCCTAGTAGCTGGGACTACAGGTGTGCACCACCACACCCAGCTAATTTTTGTATTTTTAGTAGAGACGGGGTTTCACCATGTTGGCCAGGATGGTCTTGATCTCTTGACCTTGTGATCTGCCCGTCTTGGCCTCCCAAAGTGCTGGGATTACAGGCGTGAGCCACCCCATGCCCGGCCTACAGTGTCATTTTCAAACATGGTCACTCTAGTATTTGATAGTGTTAACCAGTACCTCCTTCTTGAAATTATCTACACCTTTTTTCTCTGAAACCACTTCTGATTTTCCTTGTATTTCTCCCAATTTCAATACTGTTTAATGAGTCCTCTCCTTACCACCTTAATTGCTGGGATTCTCTGGCTCAGCCTTTGCTCTTCTCCTCTGATTGGACACACTCATCCTGAGCAATCTTAGTCACATTCATGCTTCTGAAAACTTCTTTACACTGATGATACCAAAACCTATCATCTCCACACTGAATCTCTTTCCTGAACCTAAGCTTACTTTGCCCACTGCTTCATGGTAATCTCCACCCAAATGTTCCACCAAACTTCTAATTCAAGATGCCGAAAACTGAACCCATTGTTCCCTTCCCCAAACCTGGCCTCTTCTCTTTGGATTAATGAAACGATGATCCACAAAGTTAGAAAACGGAGACTAACCCCTTGTTCCTCTCCTCAGTCCCAGGCTCCAGTCATTTCTCATCAAAGTGACTACAATAAATTTCCAACTGGTTGCCTTGACCCTGGTATCACCCACCTTCTCCACCCTCCATTCTCCAACCTTTTGAGGTCAAGCCCTTTGAAGGCCCCCAATGTCTATGGGTTAAAGTCCAAAATCCAAAGTAAGACATACAAGTCTTTTAAGAATTTCTGCTCCTGCCTACCTTTAAAATTATAGGTGCAAACATCCTGGCCTCTTGGTTGCTTCACATTTTTCTGTCTTTTCTTAACTGCTGTCTCCTAGCCTGTAGTGCTTCTTCTTATTACCCTGAAAAACTAACTCATTCTTCAAGAATCTAATCATAATCCCCAGCACTTTGAGAGGCAGAAGCTGGAAGATTTTTTGAGTCCAGGAGTTCAAGTCCAGCCTGGGCAACATGATGAAACCCTGTCCCTACAAAAAATACAAAAACTAGCTGGGTATGGTGGTGCATGCCTGTGGTCCCAGCTACTCAGGAGGCTGAGATGGGAGAATCACTTGAGCTAGGGAGGTCAAGGCTGCAGTAAGCCATGACTGTGCCACTGCACTCCAGCCTGGGCAACAGAGTGAAACCCTGTTAAAAAAAAAAAAAGTTACCATCTTTGAGAAGCCTCTTATAGCCTTTCAGGATAAGTTATGTGATTCCTCTCATGCTCCTCAGCATCTTGTTTATTCCTCTGTTACAGCATTAATTACTTTGCTGTAACTGCTCTTGGAGTGGGGACCAGGAGTGATGGTTTATTTGTCTTTGTATCATTAATGCTCAGAACCATGACTCACACATAAGAGTGTAATAAATGCTTTGAGAATGGAATGATGCAAGGGATGAAAGGTATAAATTTCTACCTCTCAGAAACTATACTTGTCTATGTAATTATGTGTAGTTTCCATCTGGAGTCTCCATTTGAGTCCTA